>NC_000021.9:22965808-23595730 GCF_000001405.40 Homo sapiens
CCAGAGAGTCAAGGATTATTACAAGGAATGACACAAAAATTATATTGCCAAGGGAAGATTTGTATACCATATGCCTCTACTGCTAGAGATGTAGAGATTTAGCAGCTAAACCAAAAATGTATACATCATCAGTTAACTATTCATGGCATGCAGAAGGAAGACAGAAAGCACAAAGAAACAAAACTACATTTTTAAGAAAAGCATTATTTCCTGATATTGAGAACTGGGAAAAAAAATTTTCTTCCACATGCTTTCTTTGAAAGAAGCTTATGGAAATACTAAAAAAGTATCCTTTAAGTTGTCTTTATAAGTGGCCAGAAAAAATGTTTCAAAGTTTAAAAAAAAAACATAGTATGCTATCTCAGTCATTTTGGCTGCTACAAGAAAGCACTATAGATGGGTGGCTTATAAACAACAGAAAATTATTTCTCACCGTTCTGGAGGCTGGAAGTCTGAGATCAGGGACCCAGCATGGTTGGGTTCTGGTGAGGGCCCTCTTCTGGTTGCACACTGCCAACTTTTTCTTTTATTCTCACGTGACTGAAAGAGAGCAAGATAGTTACCTGAAAGTTAGGAATGTTTTTTAATAATCTGTTTTGAATGTGATAGGAAAAATATTTTATGTTCTCGTAAAGCAGAAAAAAATTAGCTAGGCATAGGTGCGCCTGTAGTCCCAGCTACTTGGGAGGCTGAGGCAGGAGAACTGCTTCAACCCAGGAGGTGGAGGTTTTAGTGAGCCAAGGTCGAACCACTGCACTCCAGCCTGGCGACAGAGTGAGACCCCATCTCAAAACAAAACAAAAAAAATGCCAGTGAATGTTTTCTAAAAGAGGATAGAAGGAAAAAAAGTCAGAGTGCAGATAGTACCTTTCATAGGGGAAATAATCCCATTCATGAGGGCTCCATTGTCATAACATAATTACCTCTCACAGGTCCATCTCTTCATACTATCACATTGGGGAATAAGATTTCAGCATATGAAGTTTGGGTGACCACAAACATTCAATCCATGCATATGCTTTATGCTGATAGTTGTCAAAATATTAAAACACTATCGATAAAGTAAGTCAAGCTCTTGATGTAATTGATATGCCTACTTTTACGCTTCTCGTATTTAATCCAAAATAAAATTTTGAATATTCAGATAAATGAATGGGTCATATGTTCTTTGATAAATCCTTCATAAATGTTCTATTATTATATCAGGAATTTGATAAACTAATATTTGGAATATTAAGAAGTGTTTGGTTGTTTTACAAGACAAAATAAGGTTCCATAGGTGACCAACAAAATTTCTACTCTGCAAGAAATTGGAGTGCAAATATTTCATAGTGCTTGTTAATGGCAGGCATGCATGCTTTAATATTCAGTGAGGCAGAGGGAAGGGTTAAGTCCTCTCAGAAAAATTTAAAATTTGGTCTTGCCTTCCTCAGAAAAACGCTCTAAGTCCATCTGTTCCAATAATACTTATAGACGGTCATGGCCCCAAAGTTCTATGTCATGGAGATTAGATGTAATGATTTTTAGTTTGGAAAATATTCAAAACAATGTCCTAGTGTGGTTTTTGTTTAAAAAAAAATAAATTAAATCCTCACAGGCATTTCATTTAAGCAATGTGGTTATGCTGAAATCTTCAAAATGAGGGTTGTAAATTTAACTCTCACATAACTATTACATTGGATTTCTGAACATATGCCATGAAATGCTGAAAAACAATTTACAAAGAGGGTGGTTTTGTTTTTAGAATAATCAGTGTTACTGCTCGTATAGACAATAATTAGAGTACAAGAACAATGGCCTGTTATGCCACTTTGTCATAGTGTGGGAAATAACACCATGTATTTGGAATACAGATAACTATCAGTTGTTTTAATTTTAATAGTAGAGCATCTGAATTCGGTCTTTGCAGAAATAGAATTACTCTAAAATAAGTATTACAATTCAAAAAGATGTATAAGAGTTTAAACTATATTATTTTGTATTACTAGTAAACAATTAGTCAAATTTTTAAGGAGGCAGGATTTTATATGATTTGGAGGACAGACATTCTGATCAAAGAGACAGGCTCTAAGATTACTATAGATATTTCACACTGAGATGAGATGCCCTGAACAAGTGTGATGGAACTGACTTAGAGAAAACAATGAGTAAGACTGAGATATCAAAGAAACATGGAACAGACATTTGTATCCTAGTGGTATCAGAAATTTTGGTTTAGGACAACTATGTAATGTAATGCCAGAATATAATCCTAAAATCTAACCTATGTGTACTATTTAACACCTTTACTCTTATTTGTAATGACATTCATTGCATGCATTTAAGTGTGTCTACAAGAGATAAGCTTTAAGCCGCTGTTTAACTGAATTTGAAACACTTCGATTAAATTTGAAATACCCTAAGGTATCTTTCATATACATAACTATACATATCAATATTCTTCATTTTGGAAAAAAAAAATTTCCTTGGACAAAGAAATGGATATATCTGTGGTGGCTTAGCTCTTTTTGAATGCTCACACATCCTTACACATGGCTCCTTTCCATTTGGACTTGAGTTTTCCCATGCACACAGGAAGCTTTTGCTGGTTTATGTGGGATTTCTGCTCATGCTTAACAGAGACTGGATTTTCATAACTACTACTCTTGGAGCTGTTTATTACTTAAGAAATACCGGGTAAGCAACCTGAGCAATATTTACTAGGTAAATGGGTAATATTTGTATGGGTTTATAAGCTTAACCTCTCAAATAGTACAATAATTCAGAGAGAACAGAAGCATGGTGTACCATTCAGTCAATAATACTGTTTTTGTAGAAGGAAATTTAACTATAGAAGGCGAATAATCATTGAGTACCAGTATTATCAAAACATTTGCTTAACACTATTACATACGCAAAGTTTGAAGAAATGCAGAATAACTATTTGCCTAATTCGTTTTAAACATTAAATGACTTTTGCCAAATCTAGACCTACTTACTTTGCTTCTCATTTTCAGTTGTAATCTTTTAAAGAAGTCTTGAGACTTCAAGAATTTAATGTTAATATTTAACTCATGATGTGTGCTTGTACAAGTTTGTGCTCAGCCTGGTTCAACTGAGAGTTTCATGCTGGTATTGCTTTCCTCAAGTGAGAGAAAGCATTTAGTATTTGCTAAATAGCTTTATGTCCATTGTAAAACTGCCTGCATTTTTGTTTATCTTGACCTTTTCTTTCTCTTTATTATTATTTACTTCATAAACATTCCATGATGATGAGAACATTTATCTTTCACAAATATCTCTATTTCTAATTTTTTAGAATATATCTTTGTCCATCTTTAATATTTTGTGGGATTAGCCGTCCCACTTCAGCAGAACAGAATACAGTATGACAATGTAAAGGTAAGCAACCCAGTAACCTTTATAATAGTAAACAAAATAGTCATTTACCTGGATTAGATGGTAGAAATTTGTCTTTGTAGTAGACTACCAAGTCCACGTGGTACGAAGAAATAATACTGTCTCAAATTATTTAAATGCTAATATGATCAGCATGTATGAATAACAGAGCTGAACTTCAAATAATATTAATATTTGAAATAATATCACAAACAGGTAAATTCATGGAGTGCTTATGATTATAAGCATTTTGTCTACATGAAAATTATGTCCATTTTTAATATTAGAAACTTTAGGCACAAAATATTAAGTGACTTGTTCTTCCTCTCATATTAAATGCATTCTCAGTGTTAAGTAAATGTGTTTTTAAAACCTTGATTTCCCAAAGAAATAATAAAGTGTAGTATAAAATAGTATAACCTCTTGTATAGCCTCTGATTTAACCTCTAATGAAAAAACAGAATTGTCATATATATTCATTCATAATAAATTGCACTCAAATTTGGCCTCATATGCTCTTAGAATTGTAAAATTTTACAGTGGAAAGACTAGGCCTTTAGTAAAAACTCTTTTAGAGATGAAAAAATAAAGCTAAGAAAGTTTTTTTATAAGTACTTAGTGGCATATCTATGACGAAAATCCTTGTCATAATATGTACGCATTTTTCATATGTATTTCTTATTTATACACTAAAATGCTTAAGTTGTCTAGGGTGATTTCCAGCGTTTGCAAATAAGAAACCTGATGGACAGGCTTAAACAAACACAAATATATAGCAAAGCACTCTTTGAGCCTACATTACCCTGTAACTATTATCCTATTTTTATTCCATTCACAATGGAACTACTAAAAAATGTAATCCAAATCAGCTCACAATTCTCTTCCCTTACATTCTATAATTTAACCAGAATCAGACTCATCTCTTCAGGCCTCTGCTAAGCTCTCTCACACTTTTACAAAGCAATTCAATACAGAGTTTGTGATATATCCAATTATTCCACCCCACATGTCATTCCCTAATTTTTCCCCTCTTAGTAATTGGTGCCACTCATTATTCAGTTGATCAGGTAACATCCCAATTGTCATTCTTAATTTCTTGCTTTCCTTTAAAACCAAGATCTAATACATCGGTGAAACTTGTTGTGGTCACTACCACCAAAACATTTCAAGAATCTTACCACAATTTCTTACTTGCATTATCACCCTGCTCCAAGCAATCATCTAATCTCACCTGTATTATTACAGTTGCCGATAACTGATCACTTGGATGCATCCTGTGCTTGCTATTGCTAGTGAATACAGTCAGAGTAATATTGTTAAACTCAGTCTGAAATCATCAACCTCTAGAGAATATTTAAAGCCATGAAAGAAGCCTGAGGGCTCACAGGAAACTATATAATGCCAGTTAGGAAGATCAAGAATTATTTTCAGGCACTCCAATGTTTAGAGGACAGGAGGATGCTGAGAAGGCAGAAAGGAGTTCAGAGATAAATAAGTAGTAAAGTTTAGAGTAGGCTCAATCCAGTAGGTAGGTGGGAGCACCGAGACATTATATTCATGATATTCATGGTTATTTTATATTGTGTTCATTAATGGATGTTAATTAGCTTTATTTATGATTTTACAATATGTATCAAAATATCACATCACATATCATAAATACATTCCATTTATATTTTTAAATTTAAAAGATAAATTTATAATTTTTTTAAAAAGCAATAAAAAATGCAATGCCATTCTCTCATTGGAATCTAAGATGGTCTCTAAGAAACATTGCCTAATATATATATACACACACTTACATATATATATATGTGTATATACACATACATATATACATAAACAACTCATATATATATTTTTTAAGTTTTATTTTTTAATTTTTAATTTTTCGTGGGCACCAAGTAGGTATATATACTTATGGAGAACATGAGATATTTTGATGTTGCCTGTTATATTTTGACTGTAACTTCTATAACGATGAACATAAAGTTTATATTTAGTTTATTTTCAAGTTACCATGTATTTATTTTAGTTTATGCTAGGTAAGTTAAACACATTTCAATTCTTTCGATCATTATGAAATGATTTTTAAACTTTTTTATAAAACAAAATTATCTCGCTCTGTTGCCTAGGCTGGAGTGCAGTGGTGCAATCTCAGCTCACTCCAGCCTCTGCCTCCAGGGTTCAAGCGATTCTCCTGCCTCAGCCTCCTGAGTAGCCGGACTACAGGTGCGCGCCACCACGCCCAGGTAATTTTTGTATTTGTAGTAGAGATGGCATTTCACCATATTGTCCAGGATGGTCTCGATCTTCTGACCTAGTCATCCGCCTGCCTCAGCCTCCCAAAGTGCTGGGATTACAGGCGTGAGCCACCACGCCCGGCCTGCATACTGTTTTTCATAGTGATTGCATCATTGTACATTCCCATCAACCGTGTTCAAAGGTGACAATTTTCCATACTGTCACCAATATTTATATTTTTTATATATAGCAACCATATTAGCAGGTGTGAGCTGATAACTCACTGTGGTTTTGATTTTTAGTTCCCTTGTGATTAGTGTGTTGAGCACCTTATTTTATATCTGATAGTCATTTGTATGTCTTCCCTGGAGAAGTGTCTAAGTTCTTGGTCCATTTTCACTTTATTTTTTATTTAGTTGGGTAAGTTCCCTGCGTATTTTGGATATTAACCCCTTGTCAGATATATGCTTTGCAAGTAATTTCTCCCATTCCATAAATTGCCTTATTATCTTATTAACTATTTCCTTTGTTGTGCAGAGGTCTTTTACCTTGGTGCAGTTCCCACTTGCCAGTTTTTATTTTATTTGCCTGTAGTTTTGGTGACATATTCAATAACTCATGGCCAAAGGCAATGGAAAGGAGTTTTCTCCTGTTTTCTTCTAAGAGCCTTACAATTCCAGGTCTTACGTTCAAGTCTTTAATCCATTTTGAGTTGATTTTTGTGTGTAGTGTAAGATGTAGGGTTCCAACTTCATACTTTTGCAAGTGGATTTCTGGATTTCCCAGCATAATTTCTTGAAAAGTCTATCCTCTCCCTATTGTATATGCATGATGGCCTTGTAGATCAGTTGACCATATACACCTACATTTATTTCTGAGTTCTCAAGTTTTTTAATTTTTTAAAAACACATATATACATATATATATTTTTTTTTTTTTTTTGAGACAGAATACTGCTCTGTCACCCAGGCTGGTGTGCAGTGGCACAGTCATGGTTCACTGCAACCTCTGCCTCCTGGATTCAAGTGATTCCGATGCCTCAACTTCTTGAGTAGCTGTGACTTCAGGCATGCGCCACCTCACTGGGCTAATTTTTGCATTTTTAGTAGAGATGGGGTTTTATCATGTTGCCCAGGCCCATCTGGAACCCCTGGTCTCAGGTTATCTGCCAGCCTTTGCCAGCTTACAGAAATTACAGTGCTGGGATTACAGGCATGAGCTACGCATGCCCAGCTGAGCCCTCAATTTTGTTTCATTGGTCTATATGTCTGTTTTTATCCCAGCACCATCCTGTTTTGATTACTATAGCTTTGTAATATGTTTTGAAATGAGGCAGTGTGATGCCTCCAGTTTTGTTCTTTCTTCTCAAGATGACTTTGTATATCCTGGGTCTTTTGTTGTTCCATATAAATTTTAGCACTATTTTTCTATTTCTGATTTAAATCCCATTGGGATTTTGATGGGAATAGAATTCCAATTTATCACGTAATATGAACGTTTTAACACTATTAAGACTCCAATACATAAACATAAGATTTATTTCCATTTTTTTTTCTAATTTATTTCCTTAATGTATTGTAGCTTTCAATGCAAGGAAAATGTCTTTTACCTCCCTGGGTAAGTTTATTTCTATTTTTTAATGGGATTAATTCTATTATAAATGAGACTTTTAATTTCCTTTTCAGATTGCATGTTGTTAGTATGTAGAAATACAAATGCAACTTTTTAAATGTTGTATGTGGATTCTGTTTCCTGTAACTTTATTAAGTATATTTATTAGTTTTAAGTTTTTTTTCTTTCTTTCAGATTTTGGATGTCTTTTATTTCTTTTTTCTTGCCTAAACGAGCCCACATTTAATATCCTATTTAACAGTGAAAAACTAATGGCTTTTCCTCTAACATCGGAAAGAAAACAAAGATCCCCACTCTTGTAAATTCTATTCAACATAGTGCTGGCAGTTCTTGGTAGCACTTGGCAGTTCTAGCAGTGCAAAGGTGAGACCATTTTAATGGATAATTTGCATACAGTTTTTCTGACTATGGAACATAGGTGAGACTATGTAAATTTTCCAAATAATCTGAGACACTTCAGTGAAAGTTCATTATACAGATGAACTGAAAGCTTGGTATTTTTTTCTTCATTTCCTCCTTCTCCTCATTCTTCTTCTGTTACTATCGCTAAGGATCATTGTGCTAACACTTCACATAGGTTATCTTCTTTAATCTTCACAACAACCCTATAAATAATTAATCATCAGCAATTCAGAAGAAGACAGTGACTTACTAAAGATCACACTTGTCATCAGAAGTGTTGGGATGAACCCAGGTAATGTGCTGTCAGAGTCCCTATGATTAACCAACATACTCTACTTTAAATGCCTTGAAGAATTAGAAAACTCTTCAATCTATATCTTTGAGCCTGCAAATAAAACTTCACATGTACCCAGTGTAAAAATATAACAGAAATAATAAGAATCAGTATAATTTTTTAAAATGTGAAGTATCCTTGAAGATTCCAAACACTGTAAAATTTAGCAATAAACTGATGATTATGAGTCACACTTTTCCTCTACTTTTGAGAGCATTACCAATATGTTTTAATGACATATTAGAAATTATGATATTTTAAAACTAGGTTGATTGAGACTATATGAAATGCCATTGAGATTTTTGGAGTACTTTTGTCTTTCTAAAAATAGGATAATCTGAGGGTAAACAAATATATATGTATATATATATAGTTATAAATGTGAATTATAATTTATGTTTCAAAATTGAATTATACAGCATTTTTAGGAATCCATGCCTATAGGGTAAGATGTGGAAATTTAAGGAAATAAACTAATAAAACATCTTTACTATAACCTAATTATTGTATTTTCTAATAATTCAGAGTTTCTTGATACTAAAATAGTTTGTGTTGTCACAAATAAATAAAAACCCATCACTATAATCTTGCATAAAAAACAAAAGCCAAAATAAATTTTATTTATGCACGAGTAAATCTATATATAGTAGCTAATCAATATTTATTAACAATAATTTTTTTCAAAGAGGAGAGGAATCATTTTTGATGCAAAACCATTAATAGTCAAATTAAAAAGTACAATATTGAACAGTATTAAAGCTGTATGCAAAATGTTCAAATTTTGTTAGAAATGTATACATTTATATATCTTTTCACATTCTATAGCCATATACCTGTGTGTTTACGGGAACGTATGTTTTTATATAACTCCATTTATAAATACAAGTATATTAAAATCTAAAATAATTATCAACACCTATAACTACATATTAGTAACTATATGAAGTTATATATTCATTATTATATGCAAAAACTCATAACTAATGTTTAGAATACATATACTAATATTTACTAAATGTATAAAATTATATATCCATGTCATTTTATAGCTACAGATATTTTTATATCTTTTTAAAATTTTATTATTATTATACTTTAAGTTTTAGGGTACATGTGCACAACGTGCAGGTTTGTTACATATGTATACATGTGCCATGTTGGTGTGCTGCACCCATTAACTAGTCATTTAGCATTAGGTATATCTCCTAATGCTATCCCTCCCCGCTCCCCCCACCCCACAACAGGCCCCGGTGTGTGATGTTCCCCTTCCTGTGTCCATGTGTTCTCATTGTTCAATTCCCACCTATGAGTGAGAACATGCGGTGTTTGGTTTTTTGTCCTTGAGATAGTTTGCTGAGAATAATGGTTTCCAGTTTCATCCATGTCCCTACAAAGGACGTGAACTCCTCATTTTTTATGGCTGCATAGTATTCCATGGTGTATGTGTGCCACATTTTCGTAATCTAGTCTATTGTTGTTGGACATTTAGGTTGGTTCCAAGTCTTTGCTATTGTGAATAGTGCCACTATAAACGTACGTGTGCATGTGTCTTTATAGCAGCATGATTTATATTTTTATGTCTTAAACAAATTCACCGATATTTTAATGTGTTTATCTTTGCATAACAGGATTTCAAGTAAGAACAGCAGCATGGGGGTAACTACTCCCATGATTCAATTACCACCCACCAGGTCCCTCCTGTGACACATGGGGATTACAATTCAAATGAGATTTGGGTGAGAACACAGCCAAACCACATCATTCTGCCCCTGGCTCCTTTCCAAATCTCATGTCCTTCCAAATCTCATGTCCAAATCACATTTCAAAACACAATCATGTCTTCCCAACAATCCTCCAAAGTCTGAACTCATTCCAACATAAAATGTCCAAGTCCAAAATCTCATCTGAGACAAGGCAATTTCCTTCTGCCTATAAGTCTATAAAATGAAAAGCAACTTAGTTACTTCCTAGATGCAATAGGAGTATAGGCATGGGGAAAATATACCTGTTTCAAATGGGAGAAATTGGCCAAAACAAAGGAGCTACAGGCCTCATGCAAGTCTGAAATTGAATAGGCCAGTTCTGAAATTATCTCTTTAATCGATGTCTCACATCCAGGGCATGCTGATGCAAGAAGTTGACTCCCATGGCCTTCTGCAGCTCCACTGCTATGGCTTTGAAGGTATAGCTCCCCTCCTGGCTGCTTTCACAGGCTGGTACTGAGTGTGCAGCTTTTCCAAGAGCACAGTGCAAGCTGTCAGTGGATCTACAATTCTGCAGTCTGGAGGACAATGGCCCTCTTCTCACAGTTCCACTAGGCAGTGCCCCAGTGGGGACCCTGTGTGGGGGTTCCAACCCCACACTTCCCTTCCACATTGCCCTAGCAGAAGTTCTTCATGAGGGGTCCACCCCTGGAACACACCTCTGCCTGGACATACAGGTCCCTCCACACATCCTTTGAAATTTAGGGTTTCATTAAACCTCTTGAGTTTTCTGAATTTTCTAAGAATGCACCAGAATTTTAATTATTCAAAATGTCCATTGAAACTTTGCTAAGCACTATTTTCAAAGGTCTATACAAGCGAAGGATTTGGATCAGTTGATGTTGGAGGGGAATACATTTGTGTAGGTAGGTAGATAGATAGATAGATAGATAGATAGGTCTGATTTATTAAGAATCATTCACCAGGTATTAGTGTTACATTTTAGAAAGGGAGAAAGAGAATAAGGGAGAGAGCGTATGTTCCAAGAGACAAAGAGACAGAAAGATAGGGATATTCAGAGGCAAAAATACACGCATATGAAGACTAAGAGATAGAATCTCAGAAACAAAACATAATTCATGAATCTCAACATTGGGAGATACTCATTGTACCTTATTTTACATGTCTAATCCTAACATTATAATACTATTAAAACTACAATGATTAATTGAATTTTAAGCTTTCATTAAGTCCACTGACTTATGGGGAATCCCTTACCCTTCTCCTATAGGAGAAAATATAACCTTAGCAAACTAACACAAGAACAGAAACTAAATACCACATGTTCTCTCTTATAAGTGGGAGCTAAATGTTGAGAACTCATGGCTGCATAAAGGGGAACAACAAACACTGAGGCCTATCCGAAGGTGGAGGGTGGGAGGAGGGACTGGATCAGGAAAAATAACTAATGGGTACTAGGTTTAATGCCTGAGTGATGAAATAATCTGTGCAACAAACCGCTATGACACAAGTTTACCTGTGTAACAAACCTGCACATGTACCCCTGAACTTAAAATGAAAGTTAAAAAGAGAAACCTTACAAATATATAAAGTTTAAGAAAAAAAGGGAAATGTCAAACAAATAAACAACTTCTCCTTATTGAAAATAAAGGAAGAGACTTGTCCCATTCCCTTTTCTTAGAGTATTAACTTTACAAAACATTTAGTTTCTGTCTCTGTTTCCTGGAAATGTATGTACATTCAGGAAACAGAGTTAAATAACCTTGCTAGCTTTATGACCCAGACATGTTTTCTTAATTACATGGGACAATTTCATTGATGTATTCATCAAGGAAGACCAGCTCATCTATTTTCCGGTTTCTATGGGATGGTAGGAATCTAATTTCTGTAGAAGTGGCTTGCTCCAACTTGCAAAATCAACTCATAAAAATGATATAAAATGGGCTGGGAGTGGTGGCTTACTCCTATAACACCAGTACTTTGGGAGGCTGAGGCCAGCGGATCACTTGAGGTCAGGAGTTCTAGACCTTCCTGGCCAACACGGTGAAACCTTGTCTCTACTAAAAATACAAAAATTAGCCGGGTGTGGTGGCTCATACCTGTACTCCCAGATACTTGGGGGTGGCTTAGGCAGGAGAATCGCTTGAACTCGGGAGGCGGAACTTGCAGTGAGCCAAGATTGCACCACTGCACTCCAGCCTGGGCGACAGAGCAAGACTCCATCTCAAAACACACACACACACACACACACACACACACACACACACGAGGTATAAAAACATGAAAAGCTTATTTTATAAAACATAAAAATATGAGTTTTCTTCTTTAAAGAAAACCAAATGGCTAACTCAGATAGTCATCCCAAATAGCAAGTGAGTTTATGATGAATTATGTATGAAAAATGGCACTTTCAAGTCCTCTACTTGAGAACTAGTTGTTTATCTTGAGAGCATGTATGCAAAAGGTTATATCTGCTTGGCTCTGCAAAGGGTGAGATTTCTTCCTAACTCTATGATCTCTTAGCGGATTGCCTGTGATCCCCTAATACTCTTGTTTATTGCTTACCGAATAATAAAACTTCTTTACTGCCCTTCTACTTTTGTGGACAGGCTTTCTGGTTTGGAAGGAGATTTTATTTTTAATTATATTTCCCCAACACTTCCAACTGCTGATTAAACTATTGGAATTACGAAATTAATAATGGTGAGGTTTTTTTTTTAACTTTCCCGAATTGGCTCTTATTCTAACCTTTAAAGTTTCAAATATTTCTAAAATATGAGTTGCAAACCTTGATCTATCAAAATTTGAATATTCATCTTCTAAATAAGGATGTTTTCACTCTTTCTTTTTTATTATTATTATTTCATTGGCTAATGGAAACAGAAGATAATATCCTGGAAGAAAAATAAAATTATTAATAGTAAAAATACAATAATTCACAGGAACAAAATATAATTCTTCTATTAAATTAAATATATTTCTTTTATTTTTAATAGAAATAATAATATTAAATAAAAATTTATCGGAGGTCATTGTTTTAGACTGAGCTCCTGTATTAGGCCCCAACAGAGCAGACTAAACCAGAATGGAGTCCCTTGAGCTCAATGCCATGTAATCAAACTGGACTAATTTTGTGAAGAACAGAAGATTCACAGCAACCCATCAGAAGAAGCCCAACTTACTTGAGCTGTCATGATAAGGAAGTCCCATCTGCTTTAACACTATAGAAAAGTAACTTTCAAAAGACTAGTCAGCTTCTTTTTTTCTCATTTATGCTTTCTTCAGCCCTTTTCTGCCCTAAAACCAACCCCTTTTGCTCAGCTCATCAGAGCACTCATTCTATTTTGTGAGATGCTGCTTGATTTCAAAATCACTGGGAAAAGCCAATTAAAAAAAAAAACTAAATATATTGACATTTTGTCTGTTGACAATAGTGGTTAATTCTAAAACTTCTTGACTTACTTTTATTTTCTATACCATTGTAGTAATCAGTGTGTTCAGTTAACTAAAGCAGCAGATGTGATACATGCCTAGAAACAAAGTAAAATCAATTGACACCTGAATTTCCATAGTCATTACTTTTCATTTTTTCATTGTGTTTGAGATAATAGTATTAAATGTGAAAAATTAATATTCATAGACAAATATTATGCCAGTAGGAAAAAATAATATATCACTAGAAACCACCATAGCTATAACAAATAGAGTTCTTTAACCCATAAAAAAGATTGAAACCTCAGAACTCTGGATATTAATTAAATGTGAAGGCTGAAAAAATTTTGTTGTGATTACATATTTAAGAACTTGACAATTGTATAATTAGTACTAAATTGATAAGACAAATCCTTCAACTACACAATTCATGCTCTGTTTCTCCACTCATAGCAGTTTATAAAATATATTCAAATGACCAACACCACTTCTCATGTATGAGTGAAATATACATATGAGAATCACATTTTTATTTTATTAATAGTCAGATTGCTAAACTACCAGAATTAATTCCACTCTTTACTCTATAACACACAACTGGTTATTGTAGAAAAGATATGTTCAATCTCAGTTCCTTCCCACCAGATCATTTGTTTCATTTTTAAACAAGTTAAACAAGGAAGTTATTAGATACAAGGAGAGAATTTTAAGTGGGTATTTCTCTCATTTAAGTGGATATTTCTCACAAAATTTAAAATGGGTATTTTAAAATTGTTTTGTATGTTGTTGAGATAGTTAACTGTAGCTGTATAAAATAATGTTTTCAAAAATATTTACTCACTAAATATACTGATCACTGAAGACATATATACTACTGATGTCTGTATTTTCAAAGTCATTAATGATAACAATTAGACCCAATGTTTATTGTTATTAGAAGACACTAAACATATTAAGAATGCGTTTTTACATTTGAGTCTGTGAACTGTTAAAATGTGGAAAATAAAATAACCTTTCAAGAAATTAGTTCTGATAAAACTAAAAATAGATGATAAACCTAATAAATATTAATGATTTGATTTGTTAAATTTACCAAGAGGGCTGTAAATAATAAATATAATAAAAGTAGAAAATATTCTGACTATACGTATTTCATTTCAGGAACAAATTACTTATTGAGAAAATTTTGGATTGATAAAATCACAGTATGAATTCTGACTTGGTTTTAGCTAATCCAAACAGAAACTTCACAATACAGTGGCTTAAGCAAGACACTTTAGATTTTCTCATATAACCATCTAGAAAGAAAAAGGCTAAAGCTTTTATAAAGGTTACCTTCACAAGTTATCCAAAAATTAAACTATACTTTAGTTTGTTCTCACATAACCATCTAGAAAGAGAATGGCTAAAGCTTTTATAAAGGTTACCTTCACAAGTTATCTGGGGCCCCACACTCCCACTACACTTTAGATCTGTCATCTCTGGCATGTTTCTCTGATCTACCTGATCAAATGTATCTCATTTCCATGTCTAGTGGAATAAGGTGGAGGACAGGGAAGGGGGCACCATGCCTTGTTAGGAAAATACCTGCAAGTAAAGCACAGTTCTTCCCCGTGTGTACCACTGGTCAGGTCACAGTCACTTTATCACATTTACCATCTAATACAAGAGATGATGTGGAGTAGGATTTTAGTTTTCTACAGAATCATACATCCAGCCCAAAACCAAACAAAATAAGGAAACAAATAAAATACAGGTCTTTTACTATAAAGAAGAAAAACAGGGGAAACTGATACTGAGGGAAAACTATTAATAGCAATCTAGAGGACAATCATCAAATTAGGAGAGAAAATATTGAAATAAATTACTAATAATTCATATTAAATTTTAGCAAGATTAGTGCAGTAATTTGTAGTGACTTCCTATTTAGGCAAATTATTAAACATATTTTTCTTTCAATTAATAAACAGCCAAAGAATTGATAACGGTGTTTCAAATATGCAAAGTAATCCTAAATTTCTTTGTTATTAGGTTAGTGCCATCATTCTTTACCATATCAAACATTTCAAAATGTAAAATTATGTGTTTTTAAATATTTATAAAATTATCAAAGTGAAACCTAAAGTAACATTTTTAATTCATTTATTTTTAATCAGCTGTAAAATAGTTATAATTTTCATCACTTTTGAAGAAGTATAAGAAACATGAGCACATGCACAGTCTGATTCTTTACCTTCTTCGTCATACAATAAGGATGACATTTTAATACTATGCTGAGCTCTAAATTGTTACATATCAATGATATTGCCATATTAAGATAGCTTTTCCTTGTCCGGGAAAGGCTAAATAGAATTTTGGGATATATCTTAATAAATGCGAGCAGATTACATTGTTTTAGACATCCCTTACAATCCATTACACTTGACACTTTAAATCCACTTATTTTACTTTATGTAAATTAAAGCTCAATAGAATAATTAATTCCAGGAGTTGAGAGAGACATGAAATTTCATAAGTAAGGAATCTGCTGTCTCACTATACAGATTTAGTTACACTCTATGTCAAAACTCTGAGATACTTTTCTCTTGAAAAAGTATATATTAATTCTATGAAAGTTTTGAGTTACAATGTCCAGAATAATTCCTTCATGGTATAAAATTATATTCCCGGGGGTGGAGCAAGATGGCAGAATAAAGAGTTTCACTGATCATTCCCCCAGCAAGGACACCAAGCTAACAACTATCTACACAGAAAATACACTCTCATGAGAACCAAAAACCACGTGAGCACTCATAGTACCTAGTTTTAACTTCATATCACTAAAAAAGACACTGAAGAGACAGAAAAGACAGTCCAGAATTGCCAACGCCACCCTGTCCCCACGCCCCGGCAGTGGTGGCATGGTGCTGAGAGCATCTCTTGGTGCTGGGAGAGGGGAAACACAGCAATCTTGCAACATTAAACCCTGTGCTCTTCTGTAAGAGCAGAAAGGAAAATCAGAACAAACTTAGCTGACAACTGCCCACAGAGGAAGCATTTAAACCAGCCCTAACCAGAGGGGAATCTTCAATCCCTAACAATGCCACAACAACTGAATTACCATAGCAATTCAGGGGTCTCAAGTAACACAGGAGTCTCAAACTGAAATGTCAACAAGAGTCAAGTAAATATTTTAGAAATAGGCTACCCTGAACTAGATGGGTTCGAGAGGAACCAGTGAAATCCCAACTTTATGTGAATTATCTTAATTGTGAAATGTTGGCAATTAATTTACAATATTTTTAAATGTCTGAACTTTAGTGCCTGCAAACCTCACCACCGAAGGGTACAACACTTTGTGTCTCCAAGTAAACTTGAAAGGCAGTCTAGGCCATAGGACTGCAATTCTTAATGCTGAACTAGGGCCAGAAACAGTGTGTTAGGGGGCATGTGACATGCTGAGACACCAGCTAGGGCAGCCAAGGGAGTGCTGGCATCCTCTTTTCTGACCCCAGGCTGTGCAGTTTGTAGCTCCAAACGAGACCCCTGTCTTCCTCTTGAGAAGAGGAGAGAAAAGAGTGGGAAGGACTTTGTCTTGCATCCAGGATACCATTTCAGCCACAGCAGGATAGGGCATCAGTCCGTTGTGAGGCCCCCATTCTAGGCCCTAGCTCCCAGACAACATTTCTAGACACATTCTTGGCCAGAAGAGAACCTGCTGCATCGGTGGAGAGGACCCAGTCCTGGTAGCATTTATCACCTGCTAACTGAAGAGCCCCTGGGCCCTGAATAACCAGCAGTGATACCCAGGTACTACCTTGAGGGCCCTGGGAAAGCCTCTGAGACTTGTGAACTTCAGATGAAGTCCCCAGAACCACCACAGTATGTCACCAGCTGTGGTGGCTCTGGGGCAAAACTACTTCTGCTTGAAAAAAGCAGAGGGAAGAGTGAAGGGGACTTTTTCTTTTACCTTAGGTCCCAGCATGGCCACAGTGGGGTAGAGCTACCAAGCAGGCTCTTGGGGTCCCTGATTTCAGGACTTGACTCTTAGATGGCATTTCTACATATGCTCTGAGCCCCAGAAGGGCACCCACTGCCCTGAAGGGTGAGTCCCAGGCCAGGTGGCATTCACCACAAGCTGACTTAAGACATCTTGGATCTTAAGGGAACATCAAGGGTAGTCTGGCAGTACTTCTTGTGGCCTCAGGTGGTAGTGGCTATGAGGTGAGGCTTCTCTGCCTTTGGGAAGGAGAAGGAAGAATGGAAAGAGCTGCATCTTGTTGTTTGAGTCCAGCTCAGCCACAATACAATACAACACCAGGTAGACTTCTATGGTTTTTGAGTCAAATCTCTGACTCCTGGACAGCACTTCTGGACCCGCCCAGGGCCTGGGGGACCTTGTTGCTCAGAAGAGTAGGACAGAATTCTGGCTGGCATTACCACCTGCAGAATGTGGAGACCCAGGGCCTTGAGTGAACATAGTTGGTAGCCGGGGAGTGGTCAGAGCAGGCCTTGGGTGAGACCTAGAACTTTGAGGGCTTCAGGTCTCACTGAACACAGTCATAGTGGTGGTGGCCACAGAGGTGCGTATGTCACTCTATCCTCAGCTTTAGGTGACTCAGAACAGAGACAGAAACTCTAAGTTTGGAGAAAGTAAGGGAAGAGAACAAAGCCTCTGCCTGGTAATACAGAAAATTATCTCAAATCTTGTCTAAGACTTTCAAGTCTATGAGTCTGCAAGAACCACAGCATTACTGGGCTTGGGGTACTGCCTAAATCAGATACAGCTTAGATCACAGCACCCAGGTACTTTCAAATATTTGGAAGGCCTTCCTGAGACAGATGGCTACAAATAACCCCAGACAGTGAAGACTACAATAAATACCCAACTCTTCCATGCTCACACACCAAAGAACATCTAGTGGCATCAAAAACATCCAAGAAAACATGACCTCACAAAAGGAACTAAATAAACCACAGGGAATCAATTCTGGAGAAACAGAAATATGTGGCTTTTCAGACACATAATTCAAAATAGTTGTGCTGAAGAAACTCAAAAAAATTCAAGATATCACAGAAAAGGAATTCAGAATTCTATCAGATAAATTTAACAAAAAGATTGAAATAATTTTTTAAAAAGCAAAAACTCTGGAGCTGAAGAATGCAATTAGCACACTAAAGAATGACATCAGAGTCCTTTAACAAAAGTATTGATCAAACAGAAGAAAGAATGAGTGAACTGGAAGACAGACTATTTGAAAACACAGTTAGAGGAGATGTGTTAGTCCATTTTTACACTGCTACAAAGAAATATCTGAGACTAAGTAATTTATTAAAAAAAGAAGTTTAATTGACTCACAGTTCCACATGGCTGGGGAGGCCTCAGGAAACTTGCAATCATGTCAGAAGGGGAAGTAAACACATTTTTCTTCACAAGGCAGCAGGAGAGGGAAGAGTGAGTAGGAAAGGGGGAAATCCCCCTTATAAAACCATCAGATCTCATGAGAACCCACTCACCATGATCTACTCACTTCCCATCCAGTTTCTCCCTAGACACGTGAGGATTATGGGGATTACAATTCAAGATGAGATCTGGTGGGAACACAAAGCCTAACTATATCAGGGGACAAAAGAAAAAAGAATACAAAACATAAAGCATGCCTACAGGATCTAGAAAATAGCAACAAAGAGGCAAATCTAAGAGTTGTTGGCATTAAAGGAGGAGGCAGACAAAGATAATAGGAATAGAAAGTGTATTCAAAGGAATAAAAATGGAGAACTTGCCAAACGTAGAGAAAGATATCAATATCAAAGTACAGGATGATTATAGAACACCAAGCAGACTTAATCCAAAGAGGATTCCCTGAAGGCATTTAATAATCAGAATACAAGAGGTCAAAGATAAAGAAAGAATTCTAAAAGCAGCAAGAGAAAAGAAACAAATAAGATACAATAGAGCTTCAATACATCCCGAAGCCAACTTTTTAGTGGAAACCTTACAGTCCAGAAGAGACTGGCATGATATATTGGAAGTGCCGAGGGGAAAACACAAACACATAAACAAACAAACAAAAAAAACCTTTACCCTGTAGTCGTATTAGAATAATATTATATGTTGAAAATATCCTTCAACATGAAGGTTTATCATATTGCCTACAAATGTCACTTAGAGAATGAAGAATCATTTTAATATTGAAATAAAACATAATAAACATTTAAAAAAGACTTTCTGGGACAAATAAAAGCTGAAGGATTTCATCAATATCAGACCTTTTTCTACAGGAAATGCTAAAGGGAGTGATTCAATCAGAAAGAAGAGGATATTAATGAGCAATGTATAGTCACCAGAAGGTACAAAACTCACTGGTAATAGTAAATACACAGAAATCATAGATGACACAAACCAATGAAACACATCTCATGCTCATGGATGGGTAGAATTAAGAGTGTGAAAATGACCATACTGTCAAAATAAATCTATAAATTCAATGCAATTCCCATCAAAATACCACCAACATCCTTCACAGAACTAGGAAAAACAATCCTAAAATTCATATAGAACAAAAAAAGAGCCCACATAGCCAAAGCAAGACTGAGCAAAAAGAATAAATCTGGAGGCATCACATTACCTAATTTCAAACCAGACTATAAGACGATAGCCACCAAAACAGCATGGCACTGGTATAAAAATAGGCACATAGAACAATGGAACAAAATAGAGAACCCAGAAATAAACCCAAATACTTAACAGCCAACTGATCTTTGGCAGACCAAACAAAAATATAAAATGGGAAAAGGATACCCTTTACAACAAATGATGCTGGAATAATTGGCTAGCCACATGTAGTTGAATGAAACTGGATCCTCATCTCTCACCTTATACAACAATCAACTCAAGATTGATTAAGGACTTAAATCTAAGACCTGAAACCATAAAAATTATAGAAGACAACATTGAAAGACTCTTCTAGGTATTGTCTTAGGCAAGGATTTCATGACCAAAAACCCAAAGGCAAATGCAATAAAAACAAAGATAAATAGCTGGTATTTAAATAAACTAATGAGCTTTTGCACAGCAAAAGGAACAGTCAGCAGAGTAAACAGGCAACCCGCAGAGTGGGAGAAAACTTCACAATCTATACATCTGACAAAAGACTAATACCCAGAATCTACAATGAACTCAAATAAATCAGCAAGAAAAAAAACAAAATAGTCCATCAAAAAGTGGGCTAAGGACATGAATAGACGATTCTCAAAAGAAGATATACAAATAGCCAACAAACATATGAAGAAATGCTCAACATCACCAATGATCAGGGAAATGCAAATCAAAACCACAATGCGATACTACCTTACACCTGCAAGAATGGCCATAATCGAAAAATCAACAAACAGTAGATGTTGGCGTGAATGCAGTGATCAGGGAACACTGCTGGTGGAAATGTAAACTAGTACAGCCACTATGGAAAACAGCGTGAAGACTCCTTAAAGAGCTAAAAGTAAAATTACCATTTGATACAGCAATCCCACCACCGGGTATGTACCCAGAGGGAAGGAAGTCATTATACGAAAAAGATGCTTTCACACGCATGTTTATAGCAGCACAATTCACAATTTAAAAATTGTGGAGCCAACCCAAATGTCCATCAATCAATCAGTGAATAAAGAAACTGTGATATATATATGACAGAATACTACTCTGCCATAAAAATGAATGAATTAATGGCATCTGCAGCAACCTGGATAAGATTGGAGACTATTATTCCAAGTAAAGTAACTCAGGAGTGGAAAACCAAACATCGTATGTTCTTACTGATATGTAGGAGCTAAGCTATGAGGATGCAAAGGCATAAGAATGATATAATGGGCTTTGGTGACTTTGAGGGAAGAGTGGGAGAGGAGTAAAGGATAAAAGACTACAAATAGGGTGCAGTGTATACTGCTCAGGTGATGGGTGCACCAAAACCTCACAAATCACCACTAAAGAACTTACTCATGTAACCAAACACCACCTGTATCTTAATAGCCTATCAAAATATAAAAAAAATTCAGATTTATCACATTGCCTACAAATGTCATTTAGAAAATGGAGAAACATTTTAATATTAAAATAAAACATAACAATTAAAAAAAAGACTTCCTCGGACAAATAAAAGCTGAAGGATTTCATCAATACCAGGCCTTTCCTACAAAAAAAATGCTAAAGAGAGTAATTGAAACAGAAAGAAAATGACATTAGTGAGCAATATATAATCACCAGAAGGTATAAAACTCACTGGTAATGGTCAGTACAGAGAAACGCACAGAATAATATAACACCGTAACTATGGTGTGTAAACTACTTTTATCCTAAGTAAAAAGACTACAAAATGAACTAAACAAAAATAATTAACAACTACAACTTTTCAAGACTGACTATGTCTTTATGTCTTTTTGTACTGACTATAGTACAAAAAGATATAAAGAAAAAATGAAAAGCTAAAAAGCAGGCAGATGAAGTTAAGCACAGAGTTTTTATTAGTTTTCCACAAGAAAACTGTAGGTGCATATAAACAAATTCAATGAAGTTGCAGGATAAAAACTCAGCATACAAAATTCAGTAGTATTTCTATATACTAACAATGAACAATGTGAAAAGGAAGTAAAAATAATCCTATTTACAATAGCCACATATAAAGATAAATAGTTGGGAATGAACTTAACCAAAGAAGTGAAAGATCTCTATGATGAAAACTATAAAACCGTGATGAAAGAAATAGAAGACACCCACCCCCCCCAAAAAAAGGAAAAAGATTCCATGTTCATTGATTGGAAGAATTATTAATAATACTGTTAAAATATTTATATTAAATAAAGTAATCTAGATTCAATGCAGTTCCTATCAAAATTCCAATGACATTCTTCAAAAATAAAATAAGAATCCTAAAGTGCATATGGAACCACAAAAGATCCAGAATAGCCAAAGCTTTCCGAAGCAAAAAGAACAAAACTGGAGGAATCACATTACCTAACTTCAAATTATACTATGGAACTATAGTAATTAAAAGAGCATGTATTGGCATAAAAACGGACACATAAAGGAAACAGAATAGATAACCCAGAAAGAAACCTACACACCTACAGTTAACTCATTTTTGACAAAGCTGCCAAGAACATACACTGGGGAAAAGATCAATAGATGGTGCTGGGAAAACTGGACATCCATATGCAGAAGAAGGAAACTAAACCCCTATCTCTCACCATATACAAAAATCAAATCAAGATGGATGAAGACCTAAATCTCTGACCTAAACCTATGAAGCTACTACAGGAAAATATTAGGGATTATCTCCAGGATATTGGTCTGGACAAAAATGTTTTGAGCAATACCCCACAAGCACAGGCAACCAAAGAAAAATTTGACAAAGGGATCACATAAGTTAAAAAGCTTCTGCATAGCAAAGGATACAACCAAGACAGTGAGGAGACAACTCCCAGAATGGAAGAAAATATTTGCAAACTACCCATCTGACAAAGGATTAATAACCAGAATACTTCAGGATCTCAAACAAGGCTATAGAAAACATCAAATAATCCAATAAAAAATGGAGAAACAGTCTGAATAGACATTTCTCAAAAGAAGACATAGAAATGGCAAATGGGCTTAGGAAAAAGTGCTCAACATCACTGATCATCAGAAAAATGCACATCAAAACTACTATGAGATATTATCCCACCCTAGTTAAAAGGAATTATATCCAAAAGACAGTCAATAACACATCCTGCTGAGGATATGAAGGGAACCCCTGTACACTATTGATGGGAATATAAATTAGTATGACCACTATGGAAAACAGTTTGGAGGTTCTTCAAAAAACTAAAAATAGAACTACCATATAATCTAGCACCCCCAAACTGCTGGGTATATACCCAAGAGAAAGGAAATCAGTATATCAAAGAGATGTCTGCACTCCCATGTTTGTTGCAGCACTATTTATAATAATAACTAAGATTTTAAATCAACCTATGTGTCTGATATGGTTTGGCTGTGTCCCCTCCCGAATCTCATATTGAACTGTAACTCTCATAATTCCCACCTGTTGTGGGAGAGACCTGGTGGGAGATAATTGAATCATGGGGGCGCTTTCCCCCGTATACTGTTCTTATGGTAGTGAATAAGTCTCATGAGATCTGATGATTTTATAATAGGTTTCTCCTTTTGCTTGGCTCTCATTTCTCTCATGTCTGCTGCCATGTAAGACATGCCTTTCATCTTCCACCATAATTGTGAGGCCTCCCCAGCTACATGGCACTGTGGGTCCACTAAACCTCTTTTTCTTTATAAATTACCCAGTCTCTGGTATGTCTTTATCAGCAGCATGAAAAGAGTGTCTATCAACAGATACATGGATATGGAAAATGTGGTACATATACACAATGGAGTACTACTCAGTCATAAAAAAGAATGTGATCCATTCATTTGCAACAACATGAATAGAACTGGAGATCACCATGTCAAGTGAAATAAACCAGGCACAGAAAGAAAAACATCATGTGTTATCACTTATTTGTGGGATCTAAAAATCCAAACAATTGAACTCATGGACATAGAGAGTAGAAAGATGATTACCAGAGGCTCAAAATGGAAGGAGGGGCAGGGAGGCAGTGGGGATGGTTAATGAGTACACAAATTAGTTAGAGAGAATGAATAAGACCTACTATTTGATAGCACAACAGGGTGACTATATTCAATAATAACAATTGTACATATTAAGATAACAAAGAGTGCAATTGGATTGTTTATAACTAAAAGTATAAATGCTTAAAGGGATAGATACCCCATTCTTCATTATGTGCTTATTTCATGTTCTGTTATCAGAATATCTCATGTACTCCATAATTATATACACCTACTATGTATGCACAAAAATTAAGAATAAAAAATAAAATAAAATATTTTATTAACATCTCATTATAAAATAATTTGAATGTTATTTATAAAAAGATAATGAGATATATTATAAAAACAATTCTTAAATGAAAAAACATTATTATATAACAGTATCAAAAAGCATTATTACAACAAAGGCATTATTACAATAACAATAAAATTGTCTAATATTAAACCAGAAGTGAACAAGTGGTTTAAGTATTCTGCATTCATTGGTAATCAACAGACACCTCATGTGATGCTCATTATTAGAGGACTGACTTCTTATATGCCTCCAATATTCATAGGTACCAAACCTACAATAATCATATAGAAGAGATATACTTGGAAAGTTATGTTATAAGGTAGAAAAATATCGAAAAGGAAAGTTTTGCCTCTTAATATTTTGCTGGTTAGAAAAACAAGAATCTCAGATGCAAGACTTCTTTAATGAAGCTAATACATCTTTGCTGTGTATGGTATTATACAGAATGACAATAAAGTAAAATCTTCATTAGAAGATTATATGTATTTCTGTTTTGATTAAATCAATAATCCTTTAAAATATTTAAAATTACTTTCACTCAGTGTTATTATTTCCTATAGAATGTAATGAAAGCAATATTTTGTAAACTGTACTCATTAAAATCCTGTCTCTAATGTTCATTGCATGAACTCACCATGTAGGTAAAGATAAACTCTAATGAGGTCCTTTGATGATTTCTGTAGCAAATCCCCTCTGGTACCACAGGATAAATTGGCCTTATGCAGAAATATTCTCTATATTATACTGTGGGTTTCACCACACACAGAAATCACATCAAATCAGAATAAAACATAAATGATTTACACCTCTAATAGTCTTTTACCTAATACAGGTCAACCTACATAGTTTTTTTTCAGATGTATCCTGAAACATGAATAAAAACTCATAGTGAATTAACACAGTCAAGTATGTACGTATTTCCCTAGTTTATTAAACACATTTTGAGGTCCTATTATGAACTATGCAATAGTTGGGGTGCTGTGAACACACCAAAAACCAAAACAAAAACGTACGTCCCCTTTCTCATAACGTTTGTAGGTTTGAGAGGGAAGCAGACAATTAAAAGACATTAACAATAAATATGCAATTATGAGATGTGCAAATACTAAAAGGAAAAATCCAGATGGTTAAAATGTGGGAGGGGTAGAGGTAACATTTGTGAAAATATTTCTGATTAAAACAAGGAAGCAGGCATACAGATATCTGGTTTACCAGAAAAAAAAAAATGTGTTTTCCACACTCAAGTGTCTACAGGTCTCCTGGAGTTCAGCTGATCTAGTGTGAACTTGACTGGGCTCTTCTACTTCTGGATGAGGGCCAGATGCATTTGTTATTTGTCTATAAAACGAGTCAAGAGCTGCTCCATTTGTCCCTCTTTAGATCTGCAGCTGAGGTGTGTTCTTTTTAGGGATAATAGTAGATGGAAAACCAGACCAAAAAAAAGCATATTTTGTGTCTCTATTTATGCCAAAAAGACTCATATTTCATTGCCAAAGCAAATTACGTAGCCAAGTCTAATATTAATATGGGAGACAAGTATTTTTAATCTACAATGGCAGAGCACACAGAGCTATGTTGCAAAGAGTATGGGCTTACTGTCCAAACAGAAAGAAATATTAGAATCAGCCATTCAGTATCCTGGTACAGAAGGTGGCTGGTCTTCTGTTCAGAGTAAAGACTATTTTTTTTTTGAGTGAGATGTGAAGCTATTGCAGAATTTTGGGCAAAGAGGGACATCATTTGATTTGAATGTTGAAAAAAATTACTTCAGTCTTTTTTTGCAAATATATTGTCATGCAGTAGGTGAAAAACTGGGATGCTTATATTAACCCAAGTGATAAGCAGACATATATAGGACCAGGGAAGTAATAATACATATGCTTAAAGGTGAACTGAAAATGTATTTCTCTACTCTACTACATAGTCATCATACTATGGCGGCATAGACTTATGTAACCACGATAGACGTTCCCAGTTTAAAATGAGAAAATCAGGAGGCACACCACAGTCATTGGTCAATAGTTATTTGAAAATTCATCGGGTTATTTATTAGATTAAGACTCAGTTATTCTCTGGGGCTTTTGAATCTGCCTACTAGATTTCTTGTTTCACCATCTAAATCATCCTTTTCTTTTCATCGGGGGTAGTATATATATATTTCTCTGAGAAGATTTTTAGCCTTCTTTGTTTTGCTTGTAGAAGGTTGAAGGACAAAAATCTTTCTTTTTAACTATCCTTTTAAGTATAAGTTTATGAACTCCGTTAAACAAAACTTTTAAAGCTTTGGAATATGTGTCAATTTATAAATTATTCCATAGACAAGAGTCACACCCACAATCTCATCAAGATAATCTCACATCTATTTGGTCTCCCTATGGTACTGCTGTAGGGCAGTCCTTAAGATTCTTAGAAAACCATTTGTTTAATAGAGAAGACCTTTGAGGAATAACCTCATGCTCTCTGGAAGAATTTTTGTCTGTCTGAAAGGTTACATAAGACCTCATCTTAGATCTTTTCTAAGGTCTTGACATAAGATCTTGCAGTTCTACCTTGGATTGAATCTTTTCCTGGAAGCTATTTCTTAAATGAATGGTTTGCCATCTGGAGAGGTTGGCAAAAGATGCAGTTTTAATTTAAAACTTTGCAATCCTTGACTACTTAAATATTTAACCATCAATTCTTTAGCTCCTATCTCTTCTCTTTTATTTGATTTAAATGCAGAGAGAAAAGGCCAGGTGGCATCTTCAAAAATTTTGCCTGGAGATTTCCTTCACTAGATCATTGAGTTCACTGAGGTGTTTACTTTTTTGCAAATTAACTCAGGCGAGAGTATTGTCAAATTTAGTGGTACTGTATGATGTGTCACCTCTCTTCTAGTTCCCACTGTCATTTCCCTTAATCTCCTTTAAGCTTTCACTGACAGATTTCTCCAGGCCTTGCAGGCTTCATTAAGACTATTCCTAGCTCCCTTTAGGCTGTCATTAACAGAAACCTTAAGGCTCAAAGAAATGTTGTATATTTTAGGTTTGGGTTATGGCAGATCCTACAAGCGGTTCCATTATCAGCTCCAATTATTTACAAACGCATATTCAACTACTCCAAATGTTCAGTTTAAAACAATCATTTTATTATGCTTACAGGTACTCTGGGGCAGGAATTCAGAAGATAAGCAAAAAGAATTTTCATCTGCTCATGAGAGCAGAAGCTTCACTGGAGAGGCTTCAATTTCTGTGCAAAGGAATCAAGTGGTGTCAAGTGGTGGCATGCTCACTCACACATCTGTTGGCAGATGCTGGCAGAAGGCAAGATTTCTATTGGCTTTGTCCTCCAGACCAGTACTTCACATACCCTGTCCTTCCTCGGAGCATAGAAACCTTGGACTTCTTACATTAATATTCATGGCTTCAAAGATCTCAACTCTTCCTTAAATGAACGAGCCTCAGATGTCATATCACGTGATATCTGCCAAAATTAAAAGTCTACCACCCAGCTCCAAATGAAGAAATGCAGACACTCATATTTTAGTTAGAATAACTTCAAAGTTACATTGTAAGAATAGCATGTGGGTTGGAGATATTATTTGTAGTCATCTATGGAGCATACAATCCGCTACTTCTATGCAGCTCAAACCTATGATTTCCTATAAAGCCTACATCATCCAAGCAAAAGGGCAGCAGAAATTATTGTCCACTAAATATCTGTTTTAGTGAGAATGTTTTCCTTTTTTCGAAGTGTTAATTTTGTTGTTAACTGTAATTGATTTGATGTTACAAAAGTATAAAGCGTATTCCACATAGAATAACAAACACGAGAGGGGAAAATGGCAGAGAGGAGGCAGAACTAACTTGCAGCTCACAAATGGAAAGACAGAGCAGCATGTGGAGACCCACCTCATGAACTTTTGCTCCAAGAACTACCGCAGGAACATACCAGGAAAGCCGAGAGAATGCACAGACCCTTGAAGGAGGTGGATTACCGCTGCAGGGTCCATGGAACAGCTGAGGAACTGTGAGTCGGCTTGCTTTCTCAGCTGGGAGGCTTGAAGCCTGGGGCAATTTCTCAGCCCTGCTCACCAGCTGCTTGGAAATAAACTTGGTGCTGTTAGGGGGATATGGTGTGGGAGTAAGGCTGGCCTTTTGGGCTGCAAGCTCTTTTAGGAGCTGGTGAGGCCTGCGGCAGCTGGCGTTCCCCCACTTCCCTGGAAACCCGGGTGATGCAGCAGAGGCAGTCGCAATCCCCCAGGGAACATAACTCCATTGGCCTGAAAAACCACACCCCCCATCCCGCAAGGCAGCCACAGCAAGCCCCACCCACGGGCAGTCTGAGCTCAGACATGCCTAACCCTGCCCCCACCTGATGGTCTTTCTCTACCCACCCTGGTAGCTGAAGAAAAGGGACATAATCCCTCTATGGCCCTGCCCACTTCATGAGAAACCTGAATACTTATCCAAACGTGACCCTAGGACAAGCTCGTACCCTCCCTACTTAAGTACAGCTGATACACTCTTGAAAGCGCCACCTCCTGGCTGGAGGCCAACCAACATAAAACCAGCGCACTCAACAAAAATACAACCAAGAACCCTCACAGAGTCCACTTCACTCCTCTGCTGCCTCCACCAGAGCAGGTGCTGGTATCCACGGCTGAAAGACCTGAAGATGGATCACATCACAGGACTGTTTGTAGACACTTTCCAGTATCATCCTGGAGCCTGATAGCCCCTGCTGGATGGCTAGATCCAAAATACAAATAACGATCACTGAAGTCTGGCTCTCAGGAAGCCCCATCCATAGGGGAAATGGGAGAGCACCACATCAAGGGAGCACCCCATGGGACAAAATAATCGAACAGCAGCTCTCGAGTCCCAGAATTTCCTTCTGGCATAGTCTACCCAAATGAGAAGGAACAGAAAAACAATTCTGGCAATCTGACAAAACAAGGTTCTTTAACACCCCTAAAAGATCCCACTAGCTCACCATCAATAGATCCAAACCAAGATGAAATCTCTGAATTGTCAGAAAAAGAATTCAGAAGGTGGACTATTATGCCAATCACAGAGTCACCATGCTATATACAAAATCCTTGGCTGATAATTATTTTGTTTAAGGAGGCTAAAGTTAGGGCCCCAATCCCTCCTAGCTTGTAGGGCTTCTGCTGTTAGTCTGATAGGTTTTCCTTTATAGGTTACCTGATGCTTTTGCCTCAAAGCTCTTAAGATTATTTTCTTCGGCTTGACTTTGGATAACCCGACGATTATGTGCCTAGGTGATGATCTTTTTATGGTGAATTTACCAGATGTTCTTTGACCCTCTTGTTTTGAATGTTTAAGTCTCTAGCCAGGCCAGGAACATTTTCCTCAATCATACCATCAAATATGCTTTCCGAACTTTCGGATTTCTCTCTTTCCTCAGGAACACCAATTGTTTTTAGGTTTTGTCGTTTAACATAATCCCAAACTTCTTGGAGGCATTGTCTATTTTTTAAAATTCTTTTTTCTTTGTCTTCATTGGATTGGGTTAATTCCAAAGCCTTGTCTTTG
The DNA here is from genome assembly GCF_000001405.40 of Homo sapiens. Classification (NCBI taxonomy): domain Eukaryota; kingdom Metazoa; phylum Chordata; class Mammalia; order Primates; family Hominidae; genus Homo; species Homo sapiens. The sequence continues at coordinate 22,995,426 of NC_000021.9, forward strand.
AGCTTTGAAGTTCTTTCTTCTACTTGTTCTCTTCTATTGCTGAGACTTTCCAGTGCATTTTGCAATTCTCTGTGTCCTTTATTTTCAGAAGTTATGCTTGTTTTTTATTTATGCTATCTACTGGAGATTTTTCCATTAATATCCTGCTCCTGAATGATCATTGGCTCAACAATGAAATCAAGATGGAAATTAAATAATTCATTGAACTGAATGATGATATTGACACAACCTATCAAAACCTCTGGGATTCGCCAGTGGTGGTGCTAAGAAGAAAGTTCATAGCCTTAAATGCCTATATCAAATAGTCTGAAAAAGCACAAATAGAAAATCTAAGGTCACACCTCAAGGAACTACAGAAACAAGAACAAACCAAACCCAAACCCAGCAGAAGAAAAGAAATAACAACGATCAGAACAGAACTAAAGGAAATTGAAACAAAGAAAAAATACAAAAAATAAATGAAACAAAAAACTGGTTATTTGAAAAGATAAATAAAATTGATAGACCATTAGTGAGATAAACCCAGAAAAGAAGATAAAAGATCCAAATAAGCTCAATTAGAAAAAAAATGGGAGATATTACAACCTATACCACAGAAATACAAAAGATCATTCATGGCTACTATGAACACCCCAACATGCATAAACTAGAAAACTTAGAGCAGATGGATAAATTCCTGGAAATATACAACACTCCTAGATTGAATCAGGAAGAAACAGAAACTCTGAACAGACCAATAACAAGTAGTGAGATTTAAACTGTAATTAAAGTTACCAACAACAACAACAACAACAAAACCCCAGGAGCAGAATGATTCACAGCTGAATTCTATCAGATATTCAAAAAACACTTGGTGCCAATGCTATTGACACTATTCCAAAAGATATAGAAAGAAGGAATCCTCCCTAAATCATCCTATGAAGACAGTACCAGTTTAACACCAAAACCAGGAAAGGACTTCACAAATAAAGAAAAGTATAGAACAATATTCCTGATGAACAGGGATGCAAAAATCCTCAATAAAATGCTAGCTATCCAAATCTAACAGCATATCAAAAAGATAATCCACCATGATCAATTAGGTTTCAAACCTACTTGATTCAGGGATAGTTTGACATCTGCAAGTCAATAATTATGAAACACCACTCAATGAGAATTTTAAAAAAATACCTCACATGATTATTTCATTTGAAAATGCATTTCTCAAAATCCAGCATCCGTTTATGGTTAAAACCTTCAGCAAAATTGGCACAGAAGGGACATACCTTAAGGTAATAAATGCCATCTATGACAAAACCACAGCTCACATTATACTGAATGGGGGAAAGTTGAAAGTATTCCCCCTGAGAACTGGAAAAAAGAAGGATGCCCACTTTCACCATCTCTGTTCAACATAGTACTGGAAGTCCTAGCCAGAGAAGTCAGACAAGAGAAGGAAATAAAAGGCCTCCAAATCAGCTAAGAGGAAATCCAACTGTCGCTATTTGCTGATGACATGATTGTATAACCAGAAAACCCTGAAGACTCCTCCAGAAAGCTCCTAGAACTGGTAAATGAATTAAGCAAAGTGTCAAAATTAATTAATGTGCAAAATTAATGTACACAAATCAGTAGCCCTGCTATATACCAACAGTGACCAAACTGAGAATCTAATTAAGAACTCAATCCCTTTCACAATAGCTGCAAAATAAATAAAATAAATAAAATAAAATACTTAGGAATACACTTAACCAAGAAAGTGAAACATCTCTACAAGGAAAACTACAAAACACTGCTGAAAGATATCATAGACTACACAAACAAATGGAAACATATCCCATGCTCATGGATGGGTAGAATCAAGAATATGAAAATGACCATACTGCTGAAAGCAATCTACAAACTCAATGCAATTCCCATCAAAATACTACCATCATTGTTCACAGAATTAGAAAAAAAAATCCTAAAATTCATATGGAACAAAAAAGAGCTCACATAGCCAAAGCAAGGCTAAGCAAAAAGAAGAAATCTGGAGGCATTACATTAATTTACTTCAAACATTACTATACAGCCATAGTCACCAAAACAGCATGATACTGGTATAAAAATAGGGATATCGACTAAGGGAACAGAATAGAGAGCCCAAAAATAATGCCAAATACTCATGGTCAACTGATCCTTGACAAAACAAACAAAAATATAAAGTAGGGGAAAGGACACCCTATTCAACAAATTGTGCTGGGATAGTTGGCAAGCCACAGGTAGAATAATAATACTGGATCTTCATCTCTCACTTTACACAAAAATCAATTCAAGATGGATCAAAGACTTAAATCTAAGACCTGAAAGCATAAAAATTCTAGAAGATAACATTAGAAAAACCCTTCTACACATTGGTTTAGGCAAAGTCTTCATGAACAAGAACCCAAAAGCAAATGCAACAGAAACAAAAATAAATAGACGGGACTTAATTAAACTAAAAAGCTTCTACACAACAAAAGAAATAATCAGCACAGTAAACAGACAACTCATAGAGTGGGAGAAAATCTTTGCAATCTATAGATGGACTTGCAATCTATACATGCACTATACATGCAACAAAGGACTAATATCCAGAATCTACAATGAACTCAAACAAATCAACAAGTAAAAACAAATCATTCCACCAAAAAGTGGGTTAAGGACATGAATAGACAATTCTCCAAAGAAAATATACAAATGGACAACAAACATATTAAAACATGCTCAATGTCACTAATGATTGTGGAAATGCAAATCAAAATCACAATGAATTACAATCTTACTATTGAAAGAATGGCCATAATAAAAAAATAATACATGTTGGCATGGATGCGGTGACAAGGGAACAGTTTTACACTGTTGATGGGAAGGGAAACTAGTACAATCACTACAGAAAACAGTGTGAAGATTCCTTAAAGAACTAAAAGTAGATCTACCATTTAATCCAGCAGTCCCACTACTGGATATCTACCTAGAGGAAAAGAAGTCATTATACAAAAAAGATACTTGTACACGCATGTTTATAGCAGCACAATTTGCAATTGCAAAAATATGGAACAAGCACAAAAGCCCATCAGTCAAGAAGTGGATAAAGAGAATATGGTAATATATATTTATATATACATACACACACCATGTATATATACACACCATGGAATACTGGTCAGCCGTAAAAAATAATGAAATAATGGCATTTGCAGCAACTTGGATACAGTTGGAGACATTATTCTAAGTGAAGTAACTTGGGAATGAAAAAAACATTGTTCTCAGTCATAAGTGGGAGCTAAGCTATGAAGATACAAAGGCCTAAGAATGATACAATGGACTTTGGGGACTTCGGGGAAAGGGTGGGAGGCAGGTGAGAAATAAAATACCACACATTGGCTAAAGTCTACACTACTTGGGTGATGGGTGCACCAAAATCTCAGAAATCACCACTAAAGAACTAGTTCATGTAACTAAACACTGCCTGTTCCTCGAACACCAATTACAATATAAAAAATTTTACAAATGCATGAAGGGCTGCAAAAAAAGAATAACAAACACCAGATGCATTTTCAGTATTAATTTATAAATTAATTATGTCTTTGGTACTATTGCTCAAAATAAATTTTTTGGTCTTATTGGACATGATGATTAATTCAATGTGTCAATTTGACTGGGATAAGGAGTACCCAGACATTTGGTGGAGCATTATTTTTGTTGTGTCTGTTAGGGTGCCTCTGAATGAGATTAATATTTGAATCCCATTGACTGAGTAGTGCGGATAGGCCTCATGCAGTCATTAAAAACCTGAAAGGAACACAAAGTCTGAATGAAAGGTAACATTTTGACCCCTCTGCTTGAGCTTGAACATTGGTGTTCTCCTGTCCTTAAATAGAACTTACACCAATGCCTCAATGCCTCTCCTGGGTTTCTAGCTTGCTGACTATAGACTTTGGGACTTTGCAGCCTCCATAGTCATGTGACCCAATTCCTTATGATCACTCAATCAGTCTCTTTTATTATATATATATCTCTCCCCCTTAGAAATTTATAAAGACTGTCATGTAGAGAGACAGTCTTTTACCTTTTCTGTTTCTTTCAGGAACCCTGACTAATGAAGTAGAATTCTGTAATTCTGAAAAGAAAAGTGACATTGCTTAAAAAGTGAATTATACTAACTGTGTTTTTAAAGTCATGAAGAAAAATTATCATATTTTTAATTGTCTTATGGGAAGTAAAACTCAACCTTACATAATTTGAAAAATATTTTATTCCTGTTAATTGTGAAACAACTGGCTTTCTTTTTTTTTAAGCTAGAGTAGACTAAAATTGATTTTTTTAGTATAGAAAATAAAGTGGCATTCCTTTTTCAGGTTTGTATCTTGGGAATGATACACAGAATAATTTAAGGGAAAAGGTTGGAAATGTGTATGATTTCATTTCTGTTGCTCTCATTTTGTAAGAGAAGATTATTTCATGCTGTTACTGCAAGTTTACTTACTCAGTTCCTGAGTACTAATAATAGCTCAAAATTTCTAGTATATGATTACCAAATGAGATTTTACCGAAACTAAATAAGACTGCAATACATAGATGAAGAGCGAAATTTTGACAATGTTAATGTTCTTTTTAAATCAATGCAATAAATACAAAGTGCAGCAATGAGAAGAAATTAAATATTTGTTTTACTTAGTAAATCTTTATGTGTTATCTATGTATCAGTCACTTTGTTAAGCTCTTTACAAATTTAGCATTGTTTAGTTATCATAACCCTGAACTGCAAATATTTTTAGTATTGTCTCCATTTGAAAATCAGAAAATGAAATGTTGACAATGTATTAAATTGTCCCAAACAAAGGTATCAAGTAGCATGTGATTATAAATGGTTATTATTTATTATATGGTAGTCTTGGTAAATTGCTAGTTTAACTTTTGTATTTAACAACTGGAAGAGGACTTTTAAAATCCTGATTATAATACCCATTTTATGTAGCATTTTAGTAGATTTTCATTGCTCTAACCATAGTGACCAAAATCTTTATCCTGGATGACAAGGTCTAGGTGCTGTTTCTGTTCAATTCACCAGCTTCATTTTCTGTTTTCCCACCTCTCTTGGCCTCATATCCTGTCTTCCCACATCTAATGATTCTGGGTACCTCACTCTTTTGTCATGTTTTGGTCCATCATACCCAATACATTATTTAGTCCTCAAATCAAATAACAACAAATGAATTAGTTAATGAAGAATAAATAAATGAAGCAGCTCACAGAATAAAGAAACCATATTTTAAAGAGAAATCAGTGAGCCTCCAGCACTCACTAGGAAGATCATACCTAATTATTTGGTTAGAATGTACCTCTCCAGGCCAGTCATAGTGGCTCATGCCTGTCATCTCAGCAACTTGGGAGGTTGAGACATGAGGATTGCTTGAGGCCAGGAGTTTGAGAATAGCCTGAGCAACACAGTTAGACACCATCTCTATAAAAAAATTAAATTAAATTAAATTAGACAGGCATGATGGTTAATCTGTAGTCATCCTAGCTACTGGGGTGGCTGAGGAGGAGGAATACTTGAGCCCAGGAGTTCAAGGTCACAGTAAGCTATGACCACAACACTGCACTGCAGCCTTGGTGACAGAGCAGAATCCTGTCTCTTGAAAAAGAAAGAAATTTACCTCTCCATAAGAACTTATTAAACCCTCACAAATGTGCAAGTATACACACAAAAACATTCTGTTTCATATGTCCCTAAATTATTTTTCAAATCCAAAACATGTTTGTTACTGAGATTACATGCTTGAATAGAATTTTTTAGAAAGAAAACCTTCATATGTCTTCATTATACTATGACCAATAGTATAGTCAAGAAAGGTCATAAAAGTCTCCGAGCCTGAAATTATTTTTCCAATTAACTGTATAAAATGTTAAAGTTCTGGGTATAGATAACTTTTTCTCAATAATGGTAGCAAAGATTATAATAACACAGAGTCGTTGAATTTAGAACTATGGTTCAAGTTCTACCCGTCCAACTTAGTGGCAGTATGACTTTAGGAGTAAACAAAATCTTATCTAAAAACAAGCAATTAATAAATATCACTTTAAATCAATATTATTATGATTGTTCAAATAACAGAATTTAAACATACTAATTATATACTTATATGTTTAAATTATTTCAGTTTACAAGGATACACATTTAATACTTCTCCAAATTATTATCTAGCATAATCCAAAAGAGCATGCTTTAAACGGTACTCGCCCAACTCACAAAAATACAATTATTAGTGATGCTCACCTAGAGTGAAACTATTTACTCATTTGCCCACAGCTAGCAAGGCTTGATAGAATGAAATGAAAATACTGAGAACCAGAGCAAATTTTTAGAAGGCTCCAAAAAGATATGTTAACTATAAAAGTAAATATACATATTTGCAGTTTCTCAAGACCATAAACCATAGCTGATAATGTTTAAATTGTTTTCGTTAATCAATTCTCTTATGAAGATGAGAGGCATCTGATGAATTTTGCTTAAAATTCGTAACTAATCTTTTTCAAGTTTAATGATGTATAAAAGTTTTAAAAGTCTATTAGTGTTGAAGAATTAATGTGAGTGTTTATGGTAGAATCAGCATGATTTGTCTAGTGAAAATTCTGGGTTGATCAGACGGAACCTTCTAAAAATGTACAAATCTTTTGGGACTGTTTGGTAAATGGATGTGCCTATTATCAAGCACTGTTTCATTATAAGAGTAAATGTGTTTCATCCACAAAGGGCCAATATTGTGATATGTGAAGAAACATACCATCGTGGTATGTGGAGAAATTGTAAAGTGTATTGATAATGTTGCTGTATAATACCTTGTACCAATTCATAAATAAAATATTAATGAGTACAAAGGGCATTATATTGCAGTTCTTATAAGTAGTTTTTATTTTTTCTTTTGTTTCTCGTAACAACTAAAGGAATAGTTTTACTTTGAGATCCATTTTATAGTTAAGAAGTTCGGGCTGATATAAATGACTTTTCCAAACTATTCAAGGTAGAATGTGGAAAACCAAGAAATATCAGCTATGGTTTATGGTCTTGAGAAACTGCAAATATGTATATTTACTTTTATAGTTAACATATCTTTTTGGAGCCTTCTAAAAATTTGCTCTGGTTCTCAGTATTTTCATTTCATTCTATCAAGCCTTGCTAGCTGTGGGCAAATGAGTAAATAGTTTCACTCTAGGTGAGCATCACTAATAATTGTATTTTTGTGAGTTGGGCGAGTACCGTTTAAAGCATGCTCTTTTGGATTATGCTAGATAATAATTTGGAGAAGTATTAAATGTGTATCCTTGTAAACTGAAATAATTTAAACATATAAGTATATAATTAGTATGTTTAAATTCTGTTATTTGAACAATCATAATAATATTGATTTAAAGTGATATTTATTAATTGCTTGTTTTTAGATAAGATTTTGTTTACTCCTAAAGTCATACTGCCACTAAGTTGGACGGGTAGAACTTGAACCATAGTTCTAAATTCAACGACTCTGTGTTATTATAATCTTTGCTACCATTATTGAGAAAAGGTTATCTATACCCAGAACTTTAACATTTTATACAGTTAATTGGAAAAATAATTTCAGGCTCGGAGACTTTTATGACCTTTCTTGACTATACTATTGGTCATAGTATAATTTTGTAAATTATAACCTCATTTTCTTTTCAATATATTATTCTTCTCTTTACACTATCATCGCATACTCTTTTGTCTCCTACTGTTTCTTTCTCTACGTTTTTATTGATTTTGCTGTTTTACCTGACAGAGCCATCAATGTACTCATCCCAGGAGGTTGCCTTATACTAGGGCATTTAATCAAATTGTGATACTTGACATTAATAATTATTTAGCACCTGAGTTTGTTTAGGAATCTAGTAACTTTCCAGAATGTATACAGAGTTTGGCTCCCTAAGGAGCTTTTTAAAATATGTTTATTGGCTGCATAAATGTCTTCTTCTGAGAAGTATCTGTTCCTATTCTTTGCCCACTTTTTGATGGGCCTCATTATTAAATTTTTTAATGAGAAAGGGCTAAGTTACTTTCAAAGTTAGCATTGTTATCTCACTTTACAGTTGAGAAAACTGGAGTACAGAGAATTTAACTACTTGGCCAAAAGTTACAACATTGCCAGGTGGCAGACTCAGGATTCATAGCCTGGCTGTTTGGTTCCAGACTCTACACACAATCTACTCTGTCCCACTGCTTAATAAGATGCCTCTCCCAGCATAGCTCAGATAAAAGGAAAGTGGCAGGCAAAAGTAGCATATATTTCAGCAAGAGGAAAATTATTAAATGTTGGGTGGAATTAACTGTCTCTAATATCACTGAGCTGAAAATTAAATAATGGTAGATATTTTAAAGTCAACAGGATTAAAAAAATTAATAATTGCTAAAACATCACTGTAGAATTTAGAGATAATCTTCCAAAGACATAACATTAAGTAATATATCCTTAAAAATATATATCTTCCCCATTATCTTATAAAGCTGTGTCCACCTTAATTAAGAAAAAATAATGTGATACAAACAACTGTTTTTTCTCTAATAGTTCTCCTCCTTAAAATGTACTCACCATGAGCCTAGATCTGAAAGTCTCATTAGAATTGTTATGGATATCCAATCCCATCAAACACTTTTCATTTGTCACAGTTCTCTCGGTAGGTTTTTACACTTAGTCAATATTTGCTCATTCTTTCGAGATTTCCTGATCTTGTCTCAATAGGTACATAATTCCTGCTATACTTGATCATGTTTGTTCAGAATGGGCCTAGAGTAGAAGTTAGATAGTAGAGACTAGATAGTCGAAGTTTCATTTCTATTCTGTTTTTGTTTGTTTGTTTAATGGAGCCATGACGTGGTCTCATTACTAATCTCCACGAAACAGCAATTTATTTAATAGCGGGATGATAATATTTGCAACAGCAGTATTCAAAGTGAAGAGCAGAATATGGAATTAGCCCATGCAGATGGCATATATATTTTTAAGATTGACATAATTGCCACAGACAATCCTGTTAGGGTCATCAGGTAGCCTAGTACTGGTGCAGCCAAGTGCTTGGTTCCCTTTTCCAGTGCCCAGCACCCCATGCACCCATTCCTTAAGCTGGGGTACTTCTACTGGCATTTGCATGTTAGTCTTACTAAGATTATTTAGCATTGGTCTCCAAACTTGACTGTGACATTTTCAATCGATACTTTGATTACATAACTTAGCCACATGTCACATCATCAAGTGAAATATAAATGTGAATGTCGTTTTCGCTGTGGAAACGAAATTGAATACCATAGAATGACTACGAAATTCAGGTATTTTAAAAATACATTTTTATAAAAGGCATAGGCAATGAAAGCATAAAGATTGAAAATAAATTGTAAATGTTTGAAAGAATCCTGCCTTCGGATTATTGTCACATTGATGTTTTCAGGCTATTTTAAAGAAACTGAAACTTTTGAATATATAGAAAATGCAAGACTAGTGAGGATTTTGGAAACAATATGAGTTTGAACTCCAATAAATTGAGTCTATATTTTAAAAAGGAGTTTTATTTAGACAATTAAATATCTCTGAATTAGAGAAGATACTGATATTACGTTTTTCTTTTAAAAGTAGCAGCTGGACCCCTTCCTTATATCTTATAGAAAAATTAACTCAAGATGGATTAAAGATTTTAAAGCCCAAAACCATAGAAACCTTTGAAGAAAACCTAGGCAATACCGTTCAGGACATAGGCATGGGCAAAGACTTCATGACAAAAACACCAAAAGCAACTGCAACAAAAGCGAAAATTAACAAACAGGATCTAATTAAACTAAAGAGCTTCTGCACAGCAAAGGAAACTATTATCAGCGTGAACAGGCAACCTACAGAATGGGAGAAAAGTTCTGCAATCTACCCATCTGACAAAGGTATAATATCCAGGATCTACAAGGAACTTAAACAAATCCAAAAGAAAAAAAAACAAACAGCCCCATCAAAAAGTAGGCAAAAGATAGGAACAGATACTTCTCAAAAGAAGACATTTATGCAGCCAATAAACATATTTTAAAAAGCTTGACATCACTGATCACTAGAGAAATGCAAATCAAAACCAAAATGTGATACCATCTCACGCCAGTCAGAATGGCGATCTTGGCAAGGCTGTGGAGAAATAGGAACACTTTTATACTGTTGGTAGGAATGTAAATTAGTTCAACCATTGTGGAAGACAGTGTGGCAATTCCTCAAGAATCTAGAACCAGAAATACCATTTGACACAGCAATCCCATTACTGGGTAAATACCCAAAGGAATGTAAATCATTCTACTATAAAGAAACATGAAAATGTATGTTTATTGCCGCACTGTTTACAATAGCAAAGACATGGAACCAACCGAAAAGTCCATCAACGATATACTGGATAAAGAAAATGTGGTACATATACACCATGGAATACTATGCAGCCATATAAAGGAATGAAATCATGTCCTTTGCAGGGACACGGATGAAGCTGGAAGCCATCATCCGCAGCAAACTAACACAGAAACAGAAAACAAAACGCTGCATGTTCTCACTCACGAGTGGGAGTTGAACAATAAGAACACATGGACACAGGGAGGGGAACAACACACACCGAGGCCAGTAGGGTGGTGGGGGTTGAGGGGAGGGAGAGCATTAAGACAAATAGCCAATGTGTGCAGGGCTTAAAACCTAGATGATAGGGTGATAGGTGCAGCAAACCACCATGGCACGTGTATACCTATGTAACAAACCTACATGTTCTGCACATGTATCCTGGAAGTTAAAGTAAAATAAAAAATTAATAATAATAACAACTTTGCTTTTAGCGTTCAACATACAATATTTTATGTCCAAGTATGGATATCAAGCATTAATATCCAAAATACTATATATGTAAATTTTAGATTAAAATAAAATTAATACAACCAAATGTTAAGTTTATATTATTTTATATGATTCATTGCTTTAACTTTCCTAATTACTTTAGCTATGAAATCTTCTTCTCTTTGTTATTAATTTCGTAATACCAGAAGATTTCTGTGCAACATGAGTATAAGTAAAATTCAGGCAATTTTTTTATAAACTCAAGGAATATGAGAGTTTTAAAAATCTGTTCATGCGTACAATTTTATGAGAACTGACCCTGAAGAGAAAGTTCTAAATGTACAGACTTTTCTTGAGGTGAAAAGGATTGTGTTAACACTAATGACTGCCTGTACTGTTTGCCCCATGAGAAAAGCTATCCAGTATGATTGTTTTTAAAGATAGACAAAGCCAGGTGAATTTAATGATACATGTATTCTATTGTCACTAGTGGTTAGAATGGACAATTTGCATATAGAAATAGTGTCATACAGTACAAAAATTTAAAAACAAAACAAATATTCAAAACATAACTAAGAATATAAAATCACCTTATCACTCCCTGGTCCTGCATAGCTATTTGTTGACATTTATATTAAAGCCTTGAGCTATTTTAATGTATTCTCAAGTTTAGGAAATTTTATGTGAATTTGTATCAAATTGACAATTTTACTAATCTCTGTGTATTTACTTTTTGTAAATTAAATGAATTTTACAGCACCCTTGATTCATCAGCTGCACAGATTTAGCAGGTTTATGGTGAATAATTGCATATATTTTTTAACACTGAGTTTCTATCAAAAAGAAAACAATAGAATTTGCAAACAAATGCATGAACAATTTGTTAGTCTATATAACTCTCCCACATTTGGAATAGTCCTTCCTGTATAAGTGGAAGTAAAAAGCTAGCTTTCCATTCATAATTACGATTAGAATTAGGCATGCTTTAATTGTGTTGATGCTCTCTTATACCAGTTAATAAATCTCTCTCTCATATCAAATTGATTTAATAAAAATATCCTGTGCTATGTTTTTTCTCCTGAATGGATTACTTGTAGCTATACTTAAAAAAATCTTTCTAATTTACGAGACAGCTATATTTGTCACAATTCTCTAGAGAGACAGAAGTGGTAGAATATATACAGATAGATATAGATCAGAAAGAATTTATTAGGGGAATTGGCTCACATAATAATGGAGGCTGAGAAGTTCCCTCCCAGCTTCTGCAAGCTCGAGGCCCTAAAATATTACAGTAGTGTGGCTCATTCCAAGTCCCAAAGCCTCAGAACCAGGGAAGGCAAAGATGTCACTCTCAGCTGGAGGCTGAAGGCCTGAAAACCCAGAGGGTCTCAGGTGTAAGTTTCAGAATCCAAAAACCAAAAATCCTAGAGTTTTGATGTCCAAGGACAGGAAAATAAGGGTGTCCCAGCTCTACAAGAGAGAAGTCAGGGTGATAGAAGGGGGAGCGAGAGCGGGTGATGGGGGATGGGGAGAGAGGAAGAAGGTAGACAAGGAAACAGGGACAGGAGACAGGGAGGAAAATCTCCTTTCCAATGACTTTTTGTTCTATCTCTGTTCTTCAATATTAATTTTGACAATATTTTGGAAAACTCTAAATAAATTTTGGTGGGATAGACCACACTTTAACCTCTATAGAGACTTAGTAACTGGCTTAATCGAATCAGCTTAATTATATTCATTGGTTTCAGGAAAGAGTCTCACAGATTTTAAGCCACTGAAAACCAGGCTAAGGAATTATGCTTGCTTGGCTGCTCTGAGAGTGAAGCTCTCTGCATCTGAACAGCAATTCTGTGAGGAGGGAGGTTGACCTTCCTATGTGACTCCAAGAAGAGCACCTGATGCTCCCTGAAAGAAATGCATGGTCTCCCAGAAGGCTGGGCCTGAGAGAAATAACAGAAAATGTACTAGGCAGAGGCTGGATCTTTGGTGCCCTTGGTGAGGAGACTTAGGTCAAACATTGCCTTCTGCTTTAACTTTTGGGTTAGCAAAATGTACCAAACTTTTTTTTTCCAACGTTCAAAACAGTTTGAATTGGATTTTTTTAGTCACTGGGAGCTCACATTTTTATTACAGATAGATAAACACAAAAATACAATGTCTCCTGTTCTCTCACGTTGAAAGAAAGCTACCTCCTCAGGTTGAATTGGAAATGACATTGAGTTATAAGTACTTCTTAAAGTTGTTGCCATATAAAGACTTCTATCTATACTTCATGCCAAAAACAAATTAAAACAAATACACACACACACACCCCAAAATAAACCTAATGTTTCTTTTCCGTACAACAGCCTCCTTTTTCTTATTTATTTATTTTGAGACAGGATCTCACACTGTCGTCCAGGCTGGAGTGCAGTGGTGGTGTGATCATGCCTCACTGCAGCCTTGATCTCCTGGGCTCAATAATCCTCTTGCCTCAGCCTCCTAAGTAGCTGAGACTATAGCCAAGCACCACTAAGCCAGGATAATTTTAAAATTGTTTTGTAGAGAGGAGATCTCACTGTGTTGCACAGGCTGATCTCAAACTCCTTGGGCTCAAGTGATCCTCCTGCCGTGGCTTCCCAAAGTGCTGGGATTACAGGCTACAGACATGAGCCACCGTGCCAGGCCTGCTTTCTTTTTACTTAATTGAATACACATTTTGAATTAACAGGATTTCTTCCTCACATAGGCTGATAGGAATCTCAGGATCAAATTAACTGCATACCACTGTTGACTACAGAATAGCTGATGATATTTTCATCAGTGAATTCATTTTTGCCTTCAACTTGCTATAATACCCTTATTTATCGTCATTTTTACTTATCCGTATTTTAAATTCAATTTCATTCTGTGCATTTGTGTTATGTAACTTAACTATTCGTGAAACTGAATTTGGATAGCACTAAGTAAATAAAGCAAACACCAAATCACCACAGAAAGTAACACAAAAAATTGTCAATCTCTTAGGCTGCTGTGGACTGTAAATGATGAAAATATAACTCAATTATTTTTGGAAATAAGAAAAACACAGTGTTTTCCTCAGGAAATCCAACACTGGGGTAAATTTCAGGTTGGTTTAATAATCAGTTTAGCAATATTTTCAAGTGTTTAAATTCTCCATATATCTTAATTGTCTAATCCTTGGATTGGTTTCACTCTCATCCACGTAGCAAGATTGCTGCAACAATTCTGGTTATCTTGTCCTAACATGACAGATTCAGACAAAGAGACAGAACAGTCCTTCCTGCTGGCTATTTCACTGGAGAAATAATACATTTTTTTTCAGAAGCTGCCTCCTGTTTCACTAGGCAGGATGTTTTAACATTTGCTTTTCTAAAACAGCCCGAAGCAAGAATAATTTAATTATTACAGTTTTCCTAATATTTATGTGTGACTCTGTAGACATGACAGCAATAGTCACAACGCCCAACACCATGCATTTCTCACTTTTTAAATGTATTATTATTGTTGTTGTTTGTCCACCTGCTGAACTTCCTCTCTAGATGTTAAGAATTGTTTGCCCTGAAAATAGGAATCCCCATTAAAGTAGAGAAACTCTTAAAACTATTACCTTTACATTTTAGACTGAATCTTTAATGTACTCCAAGTAACCATTCATTCAAATAACCATTTGAAAACCTACAATGTGCCAAGCACTGTTTATTCTTTCAATCAGTATGAAATTATAAATGATAGTTACGTCTTCAAGAAGATTCTAATGCTTTTTAATTAAATGTTCAATTGAATGAATACTTTTGAGCACCAAATTTATGTCAGAAACTCTGTTAAAAATTGGAGAATGACTATTTAACAAAACAAGTCTGGCCCTTGAGAAATAGATGTAAATTCTAGTTTCTTACAAAAATTATCTTAAATTCTTTGCTACCTTTTATAAAATTAGGGTAAATTATGCTAAAAAAGCTACCTCTGATGACAGTGGTATGAAAGTTAGACTAGATAGAAATGAAGGTGGAGTTGAGAATATAGTTTAAAAAGTAAATGTAATAGATTAGAGACTATGATGCTGATCTAAAATAATAACAATAATAGCGTAAATATGTATATCAAATGTTTGCAAGAGAGAAAATTTGATCATAAGAAAATAGCAAACCCAGGTTAATGACAGGAAGGAGCCAAATATTTATGTGGGGTTAAGAGGAAGATACTTTTAGTTATATGAAAACAGGTATTTTGTTTCCATCACATGTCCCATGAGGCTTCCCTACATCCAAATTGTGTAACTGATCTCTACTGGGTGAAAACTGCTTTCCAGTACTCGTAGCTGTTTGAGATTTCCCAGTACTTGGAGTCACCTGTAATTGTGCATAACTTGATTATTTTATGTGAAAAAAGAACCTTAGACTCTAACAAGTCTGAAGTAGGGTCACTAAGGTCTTGAAGGAGGGATGTTAACATACCTGGTGACAGCAAGTTCAAGAGGTTCTTCTGAACCTTTTCTGAAGGAGAGCATCTGCTCATTTACCAACAGATTGTTTCCAAGGCACATTTTAGGGAGGTATTTACTCCACCTGGGATATCAATCTACCCTTTGACACTTTGACTCTGCTATTAATAGATGAAACCAAAACGCAGTGGAAAAAATGAGCCTTTCTGGGCTTCGAAAAGACGAACAAAGAGCCTGTTTCCAGGAATTTAAGTAGGAAAAATATGCAGATAATCTTACAAGGATAGTAAGGTTCAGGAAAGTGACAGGGATTAATTGATTGTGTTTTGATTGTAAGATTGCTGGCCACCATGAGGTCACAATGTAATTAAATGTTTTTAATCCACTGTGTTGTATTAAAAAAAACAGAAAAACGTTGAAAATAATTGACAAAGATGAGGTTGAGGTATATTAGCAGATTTGTTTTTCCTATTAGAAAAATATGTGAATTTCTATTGTGTAAAAATTCTACCCTCTATGGTTTTTGTTCATTTTACTACTTTGTGTCTACTACATATGGGCCACCATATGTCACACAAATTTATAATGATTTTGACAAATAAACAGTCTTACATTTAACCAGTGAGTCACTGAGTCAAACACTATGGCCATGTCACATATCTTCTCCTCATGCAACAGTCTCACTTCACTACAACAAACAAAACTAAAGAAACAGAAGTTCTACATATACTGGGGGAAAAATCAGGCTGTATGTTACACACACAATTTATTTTCAGCAAGAAACTATTTGACCATTTCGTACCTATAAAATGTCCAGTGGGAGAAATTACATTATTGACCCTGAGGCACTTATTTTTAAATGGAAGAGTGAGTTTACCTTTCTAACCATTCATCAAAGAGGAGTGAGTGGAACTTTAAAAGAAATACATTTCCAAAGAAAACTTGAAGATTGAAGTTCCACTCATCCTGCACTATGATGTTAAAATAAAAATAGCCTTGCCTGTGTGTAGTTTGCCTTAGATACAAGTTCCAGTAAACTACTTTGGCAAGGCCATCATCATAAACAGTGACAGTAGGAAATATGATTCTTCATCTTCTCTCCAGATTATTTTGCTGCAAAAGTCTAGTGTCATCTAAACACATATTTCATATCTTGGATGAGGAATGAATTGGAAAGGTGTCTCTCTTCTACCATATCAGAACCTCTTTAAAGTAACGACAGAAAGAGAGACAGAGAGAGGAGGGAGAGAGAGAGAGAGAGGAGAGAGGTAGCAAAATACTAAGTTTGAGAGGAGAAAGCTAAAGAGTAAATGAAAAGGCAGAGAATTGAGTTATCTAAAGCATACATATAGAAAAATTTATAACTTTTGATGGATCTTATTTTTAAATATTATTAAATGATAGGAAATGACCAGTGTTAAAAATCTGGAAGTTAAAAAACTACAACAGAAAATTCTCATGAATCACAAGTGATTGAAAGGAGACGGATAGAATTCTAAGTTTTATTAGTTATTGAATTTGTAGTCACATTGCCAGAAATTTCCGATTTTCGTAAGTGATCTTTATGCATAACAGAAATACTAATTGTTGTCATTTTCCCCCTTTAAACAAGTAAAATAGTTCAATTATCTCTATTCATTGTCTCTCCTACTTCTTTCTCATTTTTTTCTACTTATTGATTGTGCTCTCCTTCTATTTCTTCCTGCTCTGATTGCATTATTTTTCTTTCCAATAAACTTAAGAACTGGCATTGAATTTGGGCAATGAGGAAACCTAGAACTCGATGGAATAGTAAGGTTATTATGACAAACTTACAGCTAAAACTGTCGTGATGTATACTAATATGGTTAATTATTAAGAGATTTAAAGGTTGGGGTGATGTAATCTTAAAGTTGGAGAAGTTATAGTCTAGTTACAGTATTGTACTGTAAATTCTAAATTATACAATTAAATATATCAGTAAATAAAAAATGCTCTTTATATTGAAATGAGAAAATGATATGCATCAACTGCACTAGTATATTCAACTGCATGCCATAAATATTTGAAAAAGAATAAATATTGAGATTCTGTTGGCAGAGGCCCGGTTTTTGACATTTTGTTTAAGAATTTACACTTGCCCATTAGTATTTGAAATAATACACTAAACCTATGTAATGAGTAGAAGGTGGGCAGAAAAATGAGAGAAAGATGGTACCTATTTCTGATCAGCTGTTTTAAAAGAGTAAGTGAATTGCAAGCTACTTAGCAGAGTAACTTTTTTTTTTTTTTTTTTTTGAGACGGAGTCTTGCTCTGTCGCCCAGGCTGGAGTGCAGTGGCGCCATCTCCGCTCACTGCAAGCTCCGCCGCCTCCCGGGTTCACACCATTCTCCTGCCTCAGCCTCCTGGAGTAGCTGGGACTACAGGCGCCAGATTATCAGAGTAACATTTTACCATTGAGTAGTAAGTCATATAACAGATACAGTGCATAAAGATAAAACATTTATAATCATAAATCCCACCGATTTTCCTAATTAATAATCCATCATCACTGGCTTCATTATAATGTATAATATGGATGAAACCAAAAAGATATGGCTTAATTCCAGCTTTAAACTGAAAACAATCTTCTATTGCTTTGAATTTTCACAACCCTGGAGCTAATGAGGTGTTACAGAGCAGTAGCCTTCAATGGCAGAAGAAGAACGAACAAGTGTTTCACTGTTTTTACAGTCCCTGTAAAAGATATAGATATGTTGAGCCATTGTTTAGGTTAATCCATCCTGTCTTTGTTGTCTGAGGAGACTGCCCATTGACTTATTAAAACTACAGCAGTTCTCTTGCTTCAGTCCTTTTCAAGAATTGTTTTCTGTAGCCTTTGCTTTGATTCTGTGGGTTGTCCCATTATCTTTCCAATAAATTACCTTATTTTGCTAAAGGTAGCCTATTTCTCTAGCTTGCAAACAAATAATTCAAAAAAGACATAGATACTGTTTATTTGTTATCATTGATCTAAGGACTGCCAGAAGAGTTGCTACCAGAGTTTTGTATAAGCAATTTGCTTGGGAAAATCAATGCAATGCTTTGCCTCCAGCATAACATCAGATTAAAAAGAAAGCTGCTGAGAAAGTAAAAGATCTTTTTATTGCCTCTAACACTGTGATGATAAACAATCAATTTTCTTATCAAATGATTATATAGGACAGTATATATAAATCTATTATTTTGATATGAATTAATTTGTAGAATACATTAAGCCACAACTACAAATACAATTTAAGAGTTCTTAGAATATAAAAATGAATATTTCACAATTGTACTTAAGACCTTCTGCTCTCTTTTTAAACCTCCAACATCTCCTTGTCTGTCTTCATTCCTGCCAAACAACTTTGTTTCTTATCTGATAATGAAAATAGATTTGATAAGAAGGAAATTCTTATCAGCTCACATTAGCACTTTTACCCTTCTACCCACGGTTGTCCTCATGTTCTATACTTTCTTTTCTGCTGCTTTGGCTTGGCAGTCCATATGCCTCTTCTCAGAGGTTAGATCACAGACACTCTCATTTCCTGAAGGTCACTGATCCGGATTCATTTATTTATGGCGACAGCTTCAACCTCCCTCTCTCTACTGCTGTTTCTCAGCAGTAGGCAAAAATGTCGTTATTTCAGCCATCTTAAAATCACTTTCACTGGACTTAATTTTCCTACTAATCACTAACCCATTTATTCACATCCCTTACAGAAAGCTCTTCCAAAGGAGTTTCCTTTACTTGCTGTTCACAATAGCTTTTCTTCAGTTCTCATCAGAACCAACTGTGTTTAGGCTTTTGACCAATGCATCACTTCACTAACGCCGTTCTTGTCAATATCACCAAGGATCCTTGCTTTTTAATATGTAATGGTAAAGTCTTAGTCCTCTTCATCTCATCACAGAATTTAACACACATTATTAGTCTCTCCTCATTTGTATATTTGCTTCACTTGCCTCATAAATACCACTGTCCTCCTTCACCAGAAACCCATTTTCAGTGACTCTTTCTTAGTTTCATCTCAATTCTTTCACCTCTTTACACTGAAGGGTTCCAGGCCTGAGTCCTTGAATCCTTTATCTTTCCACATACACTCTTTTGTGTTCCCAACCCGCTTCATTGTTTTTAAATATAATCTAAACCTGTATGATTTCTAAACGTATACTTCTTGCCTGTGGCTATATTCACATTGACTACAGAAAATAAATCAAGTTACAGAATTAAGGTGAATTTTATTCATTAATCTTACTGGGGAGAAGAGACTGAAGCCTGAGTCTCAGGAGCAGCCCTTTAGACAGATTCAATCAGTATTTCAGCCCACTTCTTATATACCCATGGTGGAGGTTCAGTACTTGCAAAATCACATCGCACCTGCTTACAAGTTACATTAAAGTAGAATCACATTGTGGTTTGGGTGTAAGAGTACATTTAGTTCTAGATTACAGAAGCATAATAACTAACCCTGTCAGACATTATTAATCTTATGTGTAAGAAAAGGAAAAGGCTAAGGTCATTTCTCTTTTCTTTTTTTTTTTTTTTTTTTTTTTTTTTGAGATGGCGTCTTGCTCTGTCGCCTCGGCTGGAGTGCAGTGGTGCAATCTCGGCTCACTGCAACCTCCGCCTCCCAGGTTCACGCGATTCTCCCGCCACAGCCTCCTGAGTAGCTGGGATTACAGATGTGCGCCACCACGCCCGGTTATTTTTTGTATTTTTAGTAGAGATGGGGTTTTGCCATGTTGGTCAGGCTGCTCTCGATCTCCTGACCTCATGATCCACCTGCCTGGACCTCCCAAAGTGCTGGGATTACAGGCGTGAGCCACTGCGTCCAGCCTAGGTCATTTATCTTTTGAAGAATGTAGTGGCTCAGGCAAGAGACGTAGGGGACCATGTTCTGTATTCTATTTTGTCTTCAAAGCATCTTTCTGGAGACCTATATGTCATCATAGAGCCAGAGGCATTGTGAAATTATGCTGGCAAGCAGAAATGAGTAAACACGGCTTTTTATGTTTGCTGCTTTGTTTTACACTTTACTCCAGATTGGCATTTCCAAGCTTCTTGTGCGTTTGCACTCTGCAGTATAAAAGACATCTTAACCTAAAATGACAAAACTGTACTTAGGAACTTTTCCCAAAATCTGCTTGCTTCTAATGCAGCCTTTTGTATCTCATTTAATAGCAACTTTTTTTCTTAGTCTTCAAAATTTGGGAGTCACAATTGACTGTTATCTCCTCTCACACCCCATATTTGATATTAAATTGATAATACATTTGGAAGTTGTCTGCGTATTTTTTTTTTTTTTACCTCATCTACTGTAAACTAGGTCCAGGACACCTAAACCACTGCATGATTTCAGTAGTCTCCTAAGTACTCTCTCTACTTCTAGCTATTCCTCTTTTTTTTTTTCTCAACACAACCACCATAGTTAGCCTGTTAAGACCTGTGTCACATACACAGAAGTTGGTCTCCTCAATAAGCAGATTCTCAGATGGGGTTTAATCCACAGTAGGTTTATCAAGGTGTTTCTTTTCCTTTAGCAGCTATGGATGGAAGAAGAAAGAAGCAACATAGGCAGAAGGAGAAGTTAAAGTTGAAAGAAGACCCAACTGCAGACACAGCCAATCTCACTGGGTGCTCTGGAGCTGTAAAAACCTTTTAGGGCTATCTCAAAGTTTTCCAAGATGAGCTTAGAGGCCCATTCTTGTGGGATGCACCCTGAAAAGGGCATGATATTGGGCAAGCTCTCTGCAGCTGTGGCAAACTCTGAATTACCTGGAAGGTAAAGGCTGTCTGCCTGCCATCACTATCCTGGTAGCTGAGGCAACAAGATTCTCATCAAAGTGTGAGATGACCTGTATGTCACAATGTCTACACCATCTCATCATGTCCCTTCTCAGCTTCAAACTAAGGACTTTTCATTGCTTTCAAAATTGGAGCCATAAAGTTCACAATGACTTTCAATGCCCTACAACATCTAGACCTTCATTTAACCTCTTAAAATTCCCCATTTCACTCAACACTACTCCAGCATTTGTTGTCCTGTGTGTTCTTGGTCAAATATGTGAAACACACTGCCACCTTCTGGGCTATGGGCTTCCTCTGCCCTCGGCCTACTTGACGTGAACTTTCCCTAACAACTCACTGTCCACTTTCTCGTCATTTTTAATGATTTTTTCAAATATCATGCTGATCATATGAAATATTAAGAGCACCCAGCTTTACTTTCTATTTCTCTTTTTATCATTTATCTATCTATCCGTGTATCTATCATCACCTATTTATCTTCCCTCCAAGTTTTCAACATGAAGTACATTATTAAATTTTTATGTTCCTCAAAAGGGAAAAATAATTTATTCGTAGAAAATAAATGAAAAATGATTGAATAATGAAGACAAATGATAATGAGCTCTATAAAAAGCAAATATAATTTCGTAGCACAACAGGGTGATTATAGTCAACAATATTATACATTTTAAAATAACTAAAAGAGTATAGTTGAATGTCGTAACAAAAATAAATGTTTGGGTTGAAAGATCTCCATTTAAATATGCCATATGCCTGGATAAAAATATATCATGTACCCCATACATATGTACACCAACTATGTACTCACAAAACTTAATTTTAAAAAAAGAATGTAAAACATAAAATAAACGGTAGATATTAGAAGCAATAAAAATATATGTTTTCATATTTAAACAGTGAACAAATTTATGCTTAGATTATATAACCTGTATTACTGGTTATAAATAGCAATCACTATAAGCTTCCAGGAAAGATTATCCCAATAACTACTAAGATGTCTATAAATACATGAAATAAATGGAAAACTCACAACCCTTCCACAATACACATGCAAACTAAAGTTTGCATTTGATGTGTACTTAAGAGTCTATGACTTATTTTAACTAACTATAATATCAACAGAACCTTAAAAAGCATTTTAAACTCACCATGACTGAGGTTTTTCCTTTCTTTTTTTTTTTGTTTTTTGAGACAGGATCTCACTCTGTCATCCAGGCTAGAGTACAGTGGTGCAATCTCAGCTCACTTCAACCTTTACCTCCCAGACTCAAGCAATCCTCCTTTGATCAGCCTCCTGAGTAGCTGGGACTACAGTCACACCACCACACCTGGCTAATTTTTGCATTTTTTGTAGAGATGGGGTTTTGCCATGTTGCCTACGCTGATCTCGAACCCCTGGGCTCAAGGGAGGCACCCGCCTCAGCTTCCCAAAGTGCTGGGATTATAGGCATGAGCCAATGTCCTGGCCTTTAGATTTTTTAAAATAGAGCAAATTAACACACTTGCAGGGTATAGAAAACCTCATAGTTTCTCTCCCCAATTCAGCATCTATGAATTAGAAACTCTGAGGCTGTATCTCAGGAAAAAAAATTATATAGCTATTACTCAGATATGTGGGAACTTCCTTAATGTAGTTATAATATGTTGAGCTCACTTCCTATGAATAATTGCTGTGTAATGGTTCTCATGTCACTGGTATTGGTAAAGAAAATTATGTGGTTCTGTGTTTAATGGATAAATATTGCATATAATAAGAATAGCTTTGCTGGTGAGCAAGTGAAGTGGATAATCATGCTAAAGGACAAATAGTCACTATAACCCCAGATATTGTATGTGTCACATACTAAATTATGAATTATTTGCATTTAATTGACCTCATTCATTAGACATGAATGGGTTTTCTGTTTTTTCTCCATTTTTACCTTTGTTTTATGGCTGAAAGTTGCTTGGGAATAAGATGAAAACATACAGCGATTCCTACAAATGGAGGTATGTTGTACTGATTAAAACATGGGCCCTGAAGTAAGCCCATTTTGTTCTAAATCTCAGCTATATCCCTTCTTTGTTGTGAGAACTTGAGGAAATAAGTAAGCATCTTTGCACTTCAGATTCCTCATCTGTAATATAACTACCTCTAATACGTTGGGATGTCAAGAAGATAAAGGATATTACTAGAGGCTGAGGAACTTTGAACATTTTCTAGTAGTACATAAGCTTTCAACATAGGTTAATTTTCCACCTGTAAATTATCTTAAGGATGAAGAAGATTCCTCCTCCATTAAGTAGGACTTCATGAGGAAGTTGTATGGATCCCATAGACAACAACCATATTCTATCTCTAGATCCACTATGGCATTGAAGAATCATTCATATGAATGTGAGTAGGAGGACACCATTGAAAAAATGACTCACTACTTAGTAGAATTGGGAAAGGAGGGTGATAACACGAGAATTTCAAGACGCCTCATACCATTTTTGCTTGAATACTAAGAAGTAATGATGTGCAATGAGCAGGGAAAACAGAGGTAGGATATAAAGTTGGGTAAGTAAAAGCTACTTAGATCAGAGCATAGTAATGAGGATCTTGAATTCACTCTTTTTCCCTCCAACAACAACTAATTCATCTCATCCCAGTCCAGCCACACTAGTTTCCTTCAATTTGTCAGTTTGAACTTTCTATGCTTATTTTTGCTCCAAGACACTAGGATTTTCTGTTGCTACTCCCTGGTAGCCCTTTCTTTTAGTTCTTAAATAACTACTTCGTTAGCTGAGACTCATCTCAAACTCTCCCCCTATCTATGGCTGTGCTTCACCTTACTACCCAGTGATGCCTGTATTTACTACCGTCATCTCAACTGGCAGATTTTCTTCTTTTTATTTATCACTATTTGAGGTTTTATTATAATAACTGGGGAAAAACAGCCACAGTAAATTATTGGTTTGTGAGTAAAGGTTTTGTTCTTCTGTTGCTGTATGATGTCACATTCTATTGCAAATTTATTGCAAGTTCTGGACTAAACTGAGAAAATACTTTTTTTTTGGACAAATATTGACTTTTACCATGTGTAATTAGAATGTAACAGAATTTCTGAATGTGTCACATGGTTTGAAGACACAGTGAATCACCTTTTTATTATATAGATACCTTGTTTTCTCTCTGTCCTTCAAAATAATCTGACTATAAATGAACTTTAATAAACACATTTTTGCAAATAAGAAAGAATGATTGTATGCTTACTATTCTTATTTTGAAGAAAAACTTTAAAGAGCACAATATGCTGGTCTTCAGTGACCTTGCACAGGTTTTAAATGTAAAAAAAAAAAAGATTATAAAATTTAAAATTTGATTATCTGATGTCTGCAAAAATAGTCTTCAATTAACCTTCCAGTTTTAACAGATAAGTATTTAACCATCTTACTTAACATTACTTCCAATAAAATAGACAATCTCACATATATTTTTGAATAAATAAATGAATAATTATATAGGCCAAAAGGCACAACCACTATACTTAAAATGAGAATGACAAGCCAGATAAAGAGAAAATAAGATATAAGGCAAACTGGATTATTTTTAAAAGTAGGATGAGAAATGATGGCAAGAAAAATGCAATTTGTGTTAGATTTTAAATCATATTCAAGACTTCTCCTTCCAAGCACAATGGAATAACTTATGGCAGAATAACACTCTCATTAAAAATAATCAGGCCGGGCGCGCTGGCTCACGCTTGTAATCCCAGCATTTTGGGAGGCCGAGGCAGGCGGATGATGAGGTCAGGAGATCGAGACCACGGTGAAACCCTGTCTCTACTAAAAATACAAAAATTAGCCAGGTGTGGTGGCGGGCGCCTGTAGTCCCAGCTACTCGGAGAGGCTGAGGCAGGAGAATGGCGTGAACCTGGGAGGTGGAGCTTGCAGTGACCCGAGATCGCATCACTGCACTCCAGCCTGGGTAACACAGACTCTGTCTCAAAATAAATAAATAAATAAATAAATAAAAATAACCAGAAAAAATTCAAACAATTACTCTCTCAAAAAAATGGTATTTACAAAAAGGCAACAAAAAGCTATTAAAGAAGACTCTATGGGGACTAAACTTCCAGATAGTTAACAGTCTTGGAGAAGTGAGTTCAGGATCTGCAGCTGCGTTTTTACTGAACTTTGTTACAAATCTAATCCTTTCTACACTGGTTTTTCTCTTCTACTCTCAGTTAATTGTCCCATTACTTTTTCTCCGAAGCATGTTTGTTAGCCAGTGGAGGCTGGTGAAAATCTGTCCTAATTAGGACTTGGTTTTAGGCATTGTGCTTATCTCTGGATCTTGAGAGTTTCAATCTGGGAGTTTGGTCTTCTTGGTTTCCTTATCCTTTGATGACTCTAGTTGTGGGTTCAATAAAAGATTAAGGGCACATAAAGGGGAACACAAGGGCACATAGAGGGGAACATCACACAATGAAGACTATCAGAGGGTGGATATTGAGAGGAGGGAGAAGATCGGGAAAAACAACTAATGAGTACTAGGTTTAATACCTGGTATTAAGGTATTAATGTGTCCGGAATTGGTGGGTTCTTGGTCTCGCTGACTTCAAGAATGAAGGCCGCAGGCCCTCGAGGTGAGTGCTACAGTTCACAAAGGCGGCGTGGACCAAAAGAGTGAGCAGCAGCAAGATTTATTGCGAGCAAAAGAACAAACGCCCCAAGCCTGAAAGGCGACCCAAGCAAGTTGCAGCTGCTGCCTCAGGCAGCCTGCTTTTATTCCCTTATCTGACCACCACCCCCCCCCCCCCCCCACATCCTGCTGATTGGTCCATTTTACAGAGAGCTGATTGGTCTGTTTTGACAGGGTGCTGACTGGTGCATTTACAAACCTTTAGCTAGACACAGAGTACTGATTGGTGCGTTTACAATCCTTTAGCTAGACACAAAAGTTCTCGAAGTCCCCACCCATCCTAGAAGCCCAGCCGGCTTCACCTCTCACCGTCCCTCGTCGCCAGACTCTGCAGCACCCAGCCCGGGCACTCTGGCAGCCCAGAGGGAGCTCATCCCCCGATCAAGCCCGGCAGGCGCTGGTCGGCTGCGCCCAGTGCGGGGCCCGCCAAGCCCCCGCTCACCCGGAACCGCGCCGGCCGGCAAGCGCAGCGCGCGGACCCGGCCTCCGCTGGCGCCTTTTTCTCCACACCTCCCTGCTAGCAGAGGGAGCGGGCTCCGGCCTCAGCCAGTCCCAGAAAGGTGCCTCCACAGCGCAGCGGCGGGCTGAAGGGCTCCTCAAGCGCGGCCAGAGCGGACGCCTAGGCCAAGGAGACGCCGAGAGGGAGCAAGGGCTGCTGGCACGTTGTCACCTCTCATTAATACCTTAAGGTATTAATACCAGGTATTAAGCCTAGTACCCGTTAGTTGTTTCATTCCGCCACCCCCCAGTGCTGTCCTCCTACAGCTGCAATCCACTTTCACTTACGTGTTTTTGATGGTTAATACTGTCAGATTGATTAGATTTAAGGATGCAAAGTATTGTTCCTGGGTGTGTCTGTGAGGGTGTTGCCAAAGGAGATTAACATCTGAGTCAGTGGACTGGGAGAGGAAGACCCACCCTAATGTGGGTGGGGACTATCTAATCAATTGCCAGCTCCAGTAGAATAAAGCTGACTTGCTGAGTCTTCCAATCATCATCTTTCTTCAGTGCTGGATGCTTCCTCCCCTGAACATCAGACTGCAAGTTCTTCAGCTTTTGGACTCTTGGACTTAACACCAGTGATTTGCCAGCAGCTCTTGGGCCTTTGACCACACACCGAAGACTACATTGTTGGCTTCCCTACTTTTGAGGTTTTGGGACTCCGACTGGTTTCCTTGCTCCTCAGCTTTCAGACGGCCTATTGTGGGACTTCACCTTGTGATCATGTGAGTCAATACTCCTTAATAAACTTCCCTTCATGTATACATCTATCCTATTAGTTCTGTCCCTCTAGAGAACCCTAACTAATACAGGTAGGGTTAAGGATAGTAATGCTGCTACTTTGTAGGAGAGATGGGGAAAAAGGATCTAAGCCTAGTTTTTACCTCTCCTGACTGCTACTGTTTCCTTTCCTGACCCATTTTTTTTTTTATTTCCATAAGGAATACTCTGGGCCTCTTTCTTATGACTGTTTTATGGGTTTCATAAGTAAGATGTTAACTCTTAAGTTTCTGCAGCCTCCAGGCATTTCACATTGTCTGATCTGTCTGCAATGAACCTCACCAAATTGTCAGATTTTTTATTTTTTAACTTTTATTTTAAGCTCAGGGGTACAAGTGCAGGTTTGTTACATAGGTAAACTTGTGTCATGGGGGTTTGTCTTGTAGATTATTTCATCACCCAGGTATTAAGCCTAGGACCCATTAGTTGTTTTTCCTGATCTTCTCCCTCCTCTCACCATTAAAAGATTGATTAAAAGAATCACCCTTGTACACAAATGGCCATGACGTGAAGCATTTTCTCCTTGAATAAATAATTCCATTAGTAAATCCTTGCTCTGTTTCTGATATTAGTCTACCCATAGAGCTGTGATTTTGCCAGGATTCTCTTTGAAATATCATCATCATTATCATCATCACCCACCATTAACACCATCATCATCATTATCATTTCTGTAGCAACTCCCTTTTTTTTACATTAGGTGACATCAACTTTTTCTGTCAGTCTTATCTCTCATAATTAAAACTATTTCTAGAATTATTTTGGTCTACTGTTCATACCAGTTCCTGTTTTCAGAATATCAGTGGTGTTCTTCAAATAAACTAATGTAAGCATATTTACTCAGTCTGACATCCTGAACTGAATTCTCTATGACTTTGGAATTCTAACTCTCCCCTCTAATTTCACACATCCTTAACTTACCTTTCCCTATGTTTTAACCAGTAAGCCAATCTCCCTGATTCTCAACTCTTAACTTGTTAAACTGCTTCAGTGTTGCAGGATAAGCAGCATGACATGAGGTATGAAAGGTGCTTTACTTGCAATAATGAACTTTTGAGGTATTTTGTCCTCAGTCAACATTATGCTATCCAAATTCATCTGGACTCTACACCTTTTATTCCTAGAATATGCCCAAGTGGATTAGGATACTCTGCCAAGAAGAAGTTTTTTTTTCTGAGAAAATAAAGAGGTATCACTAATTTGGAGATTCTGAATAAAGAAGTATTAATAATTTGGAGAGTCTGAATACAAGAAATAAAGGAAGGTCATGGCCCGACAGATAATAACATTTATTACGAACATGCACTGCTTTGGACCTTATCACAGTGGTATGGAACAAATAGAATAGATTAGAAGTACTCCCTCAAATATTTTAACACATATAAGGATGTACATATGCATATTGTGCAAATGATTTTTTAATCACATATCAGCAGAAAGAGACTACATCTAATACATAGATGGCTTGGAAAAATTGGTTAAAATCTGAAAGAAATATTACATTAGACCCACTTTCATGAGAAAAAGCAATATCTTCTCTGGATGGCCCTGGCTGTTTTCCCTTCAGTAGCCTAGCAATGAAATCCCTTAGGTAGCCTAATAATTAAGAAGTCCAGTTGGACTTCTTAGCTTCTGGCTGAACCTAATGCTGATATTCAAAATTGTGAGGAATTTAGCATGTAAAAAGAGAATTATTTTTTCAAGATTGCAACCATGTCTTGTAAAGATCAGTGTCTTCTGACTTAGTCTGTTTATCCACATTCTCTGTCTGCGGAAGGAGGCAAAGAATTTGATGTTAACTGAAAGCAGAGACCAGTCTGTCCACGTGGTCCCAGTCTGCCTCTCCCTGAGATGTCAAGAGCCTTAAGAATCACTAGGATTCTAGTATCCTGTTAAGCCTGTGTATATAAAAATGTTTGTTTTGTTTTTCATATGTTTATTTTATTTTTCTTCTATTCTGACCCTGTAGTATATCATTTGTGGTGTTTGTGCTTACGTTTGATTGACATCTTTTTTTTTCTATAACACGTAGTAAAATTATTTCAAATGGTGTAAGCAATGTTAAGCAAAGAAGACAAATCATATAGGCATTTAATACCTGATATAAAAATATAGAATTCTTTTAAAAGCAAGAAATCAAAAAACGGTGTTAAATTGTTTTTAATACTATATATTCTATAATAAACGTACAGTGATTCTGTATGTCTACATGCATAATTAAATATTGAGAGATACATAACAGAAAAAGAGCCGTTTGTGATATAACTATGTTCACTTTTATCATTTTAAGTTAATTATGTCTTACTAGTGATATAATAGTTGATATAGTAATATAGTGAATTTGTGACATAAGTAACTAATCTGCCTCCTTGTACGCTTCATGCTAAAGGCTATGAAAATAGGAAAAGACTAAAATTTCAATGTCACGACAATTATTTGTTATTGCGAAAGAACAAAGTATGTAAAACTGGCCATTTTTAACAGGAAAATTAATGCTTTAAAATATGCATTCATTGAATTCATTGGGTCTCATATTAAATTTTGGCTGTTTTCTTCATGGAGCCATAAAGTAAGCTCTCACTGTTATAGCAGAAGTCAATTAAGCTTGCTGTACACGAGGATGCATTGTATAGATGATGTTTTTGGTCTTGGAACTGAAGAGGAGAAACCACAAAAGAGACAGAGATGGAGTGTGCAGAAATTTTATTTGAATCTCAAAGAATGAACTTAACAGAAGTCTTGGGTATAGTAATATATGAACGGTGATAGTACTATGTGTGATTTTTATTCTATCGCATAAAGCTAAATTTTTAACTTGACTCATAAATTTAATTTATAACCAGAATAAAATTATGCTACTTAAACCTAGCAAACACATAATTTTACCAAGCTTGAATTGATGTATACAGATTTTAAGTGATTTGTATGTTTAAAATTGAAAATTAACATGAAGAATTAACATGAAGAATGAATTAAAATTATTAATTAAAATGGAAGACTAGTTTAAATGCCCTCAATATAAGAGTGATATTTGAAAGGATAGTGTATGAATGTTATGCAGCAGTACCAGCTAAATGAAATTTTCAAAACTTACAGGACATCTAAAATTAATGGCATGTTTTATAGTTACAGGGGTCATTAGAAAATGGGAGACATGAAATATTTAAAACTGGATAGTATTTTAGAACATAAGCACAGTAGCTGGGTTGTGCATTTTGGCATATTCAGATATTTTTACAGGAATATTTTTTCATTCTTACCTTCTGAAAAAAGAAATAATTATTTTATTTGATTATGCAGAATTTTAAGGTATCTGAATATAATATGGAATTACGGACTTCCAAAAAGAAATGAACTGTTAAAGATTCATTTCTGTTTCTCCAATTTTTCTTTCTCTTATAATTTTATTTAAAAATATTTTTGATATAATCTTTATTTCATTGAACCTCACATGCATATATCACAGATTTAGTAGACTATTGCCTTTATTGTAATAATCTCCTCTTTCTGTCAGTACTCCCAAGGATATCTGAAATATGGATCAGAGTAGATTATCCTAATCTTTTTATTACTTTTTTCAGTACAAGCATTCAAAAATATATTCAAAAAATAAACTTGTAAATATACAGTATATAATACTACTGATCTTCCCTTTTTAAATATTCAGCCTCAATTTTCTTCCCATTCATCAGATTGGCTTGAGTGGTATGAGTCCTTCTTTGCCAACTCCTGCCTGCTTACTCAGGGTATTTTCTGAGGCCCAAAGACTGAAGGAGTCACCTCTAGGCAACCCTCACTCACTTGTGGGAAATCATGTGCATTTCTATCATCCCATAAACATCTTCATCTCATGACAGCTTTTAAACTGTTTGGAAACCTACTCCGCATGCCTAGAGATTTAGCAAAAGGAGAAGGATAAGTAAAAAACAGAGCCTTGGTTTTTAGTTTTTATTTTTACTCTATCAACATCAATGATTTTGCATCTAGTTTAGCAAGGAAATGATCGGCTCTGTGTCTCGGTGCTCTGGGAATTTTATCTCATCATTCAAAACTCCTACCTTACTTAACTGTTTGAAAGTAATGTCAATTTCTTCTTATAAGTAAAGGTGTTAGTTTGCCATTGTTACATATGGCATCACATAGTATGTATTAATACATACATAAGTACATTTGATTTAAAGAAAATTTAAAACTTCTTCAAATTAATCATTTCTAAATCACCAGTACAAAATATTGAATGACTGGTGGACAGTAAATATTGTGGAGTCCTGGACAAAGTCTTTTTTATCACACTATGTCAACAACATTAAGTGCAATTTTTGAAACATATTTGGCACTCAGAAGAGTTGTAAATAAGTGAATGAATGAGTAAATGAAAGGCAACTATAATTGGAGTTAGTGGTAGGAAATAAAAGTCAATACATAGAAACAAGATTTTCTCAAACATTGAGGTTGCTTTTCTTTTTTTATCCAGTGATAATTTTGAGCTCCTAAATCATGTTATTCTAGTTCCCCACAATTAAACTGTCAATGTTTTATTCTATAAGTACTATCTTCATGTAAATCAGACAAGCAGATTATAGAGCAGCATACAATACATGTCAGCAGGATAAACGTGCGTCACATCAAATCAAATTGGTTTGAATTGGGTTGAATCTGTATTTATGATAACTATTTGGATGTTTCATGAGTAAGGTAGGAAACTACTTATTGGAAGGTTATATTTGGTTTTTCTTCCTGAGCATTTACAAGTTCTCTTGTATGTGGTTTTATCAACTTTAACCCATTTATGCCTGAGGTTGCAATTTTTTGAATTTTTGCAATCAGACCTTGGCGATGACCTTGAGCAGTAGGGTATAAATAACTTCCACATGCTTAGCAGTCCAATAATGGAACAGTAGGCACAAATTCGTTAAATAGAACCAGAATACTTAATACACTAGACATTTGTTTAAAAAGTCATTTATCTAAAACAGCTTAAGTACTTTGATCAAAAGTGTTTAATAAAGCCAAAAAAAAAGTCACCAAAAAATGTTTGTATTGTTTTTGGTTGGTTTGTCATTATAAGTATCGTAATATGTCAGTCAGTAGGGTATGTTTAAATTTACTGCCAAATTTCCACAGCCTGCTCATTTTGTGGGTAATAAATATTACACTGTCAATAAAATCCTTAAAAATAGGAGAATTTCAGTCAACATTTTTTGATTCCCCAGATTTTTAATTTTGTTATTGAGTCAGAGAAAATAATTATGATATATGGGAACCAAAGTTTCAGCATTCGAGAGATGCCATATCTTATGAAAGAATTAGTATCTTTGTCTATGTAAAAATAAAAATCTACTCATACTCTGAAGTCTTTATTTTGGGAGAATACATAATTTTAGCCAATTCGGATAGCAGGTTTTATGCCATTACTAGATTGCTTGCATGTCTTGCAGTATCTCGACCTAGGCCTCTTTTCTTGCCTATTGGAAGTCATATTCATGTCAGTGTTTGTTTGGACGACATAGTCTACAGCTTTAAGAGCTTGAATCCCCACCTGAGGAATTGATCAAGTCACTTAACCACTCTGTGCTTCTGTACACACACACACACACACACACACACACACACACACACACACACACAAATCAGAATAGTGATACTATCCATTTTACTGCGTTATTATGAGGAATAGATAAAGTGATAGTTGCAAAGCCCTTAGAACAGTGCCTGGAATATACCAAGTAACACACAAGTGTTGCTATTGTTATTATCTTTATAGTCTGTAATTCGATGTTTTCTCAGTCAGGAATTCAACGTGGCTTATTGAAGGTATTGTCATAATTGTCCAGTGAATCTCTATGCTTCTGGAGCTCACAATTTGATATTTTAAAACTTCGAATTCACACAAATGCAAATAAATCTTTTAAAAGTTTAAGATTTATTCACAAGTAATTTTTTTGACAATCTATAACAAAGGCTAAAAATAATTTTTAAAAATAGATAGCTTTGTGTTATGATGCCAATGCATTAATTCCTACTGTTATTATTAAATAATTATGAGACAATGGGCAAATCATTTTTACTTCCTAAAGAAATTTGTATCATCTTTAAGAGGCTAAAAGCTTGCTTTTCAGATTTGTAATTATTAATACAATAATTTTTTATTTTTATTTAATAAAATAAAACAAAGCAAGTTGATTTTTATATATCACTTAAGAATTTCAGTAACTAAATTTTGCAATTGTAATTTTATTGTATCAGGCATTTATCATCAAATAATATAATTTTCTAGGTTTCATTTGTTTGTGAATTTGTATTGGCAAAGGGGCTGTTTTATTATGTTGCACAAAACTAACTTCCCTGTGATATTTCATAAGTAACAGCACATTCATATAACTATTTATATAGCATGTATAGATTTTATATATATATGTATTTTATATACATGCTTCTGAAAAAAAAATTGTACATCAAGTATCATAACTTTAATGTAGCAGAATGAACTAGGAGAGAAAAATTAAAGGTCAGTGATTGAACCTTAAAAATGTTCTATGGAGAATTACTTTTAAGGTACATTCTATTCCAATTGTTTTCAGTTATGCCACTTCATATATTTAGATCGATATACTTTCACTTTGACTCAATCTAAACTTTTAATAATTTTTTATATTTTAAAAATATAAAAACATGACAAGAATAGCATTTATCATAATATATATTATTCAAATATATATTACATATTATATATAATTTATAGTCTATGCATTCTGTATATATACATTATATATGTTATATAGTGCATATGTGTACACAGTACATATGTATACTAAATATACCTATATATACTATATAAATGTACAACAAATTTGTAACATCATTCTAACTACATTAAGGATAAATCCGGCCGGGCGCGGTGGCTCACACCTGTAATCCCAGCAGTTTGGGAGGCCGAGGCGGGTGGATCATGAGGTCAGGAGATCGAGACCATCCTGGCTAACACAGTGAAACTCCGTCTCTACTAAAAATACAAAAAATTAGCCGGGCGTGGTGGCAGGCGCCTGTAGTCCCAGCTACTTGGGAGGCTGAGGCAGGAGAATGGCGTGAACCCAGGAGGCGGAGCTTGCAGTGAGCCAAGATAGCGCCACTGCACTCTGGCCTGGGTGAAAGAGCGAGACTCCGTCTCAAAAAAAAAAAAAAAAAAAAAAGGATAAATCAATTTGCTTTTCATACAAATATGATATATTTTGTATGTATATTGTATATTTATATAGTGTGTGTATAGTACATAGTGTATATATATACTATATATACTACATATGTGCATATATATTATGTGGTGCATGTGTAGTTTTTGTATACAGTATATGTGTATATATAATATACAGTGTACATAATGTATACTACACATGCACTTTATTAGTCCGTTTTCACACTGCTATGAAGAAATGCTGAGACTGGGTAATTTATATAGGAAAGAGGTTTAATTGACTCACAGTTCCGCCGGACTACAGAGGCCTGAGAAAACTTACAATCATGGCGGAAGGCAAAGGAGAGGCAGGCACCTTCTTCACAGGGCGGCAGAACAGAATGAGTGCAAGCAGGGAAAACGCCAGATGCTTAGAAAACCATCAGATCTCTTGAGACTCAGTATCACAGGAACAGTATAGAGGAAACCGCCGCCATGATGGAATTACCTCCACCTGGCCCCGCCCTTGACACTTGGGGATTATGGGAATTATGGTTTGAGGTGAGATTTGGGTGGAGACACAGAGCCAAACCATACCAATAATGTATACATATACCACACATGCACTGTATATTTTATATACACATATGCTACATATACATTGTATGTTATATGTACACATGTATTATATATTATATATACACATATGTTTATATAATATATGTATGCATTTATGTGTATATAATATACATGTATTATGGTCATATGCTTGTTTTATTTTTATTTTTATTTATTTATTTATTTATTTATTTTTGAGACAGAGTCTCACTCTGTCGCCCAGGCTGGAGTGCAGTGGCGCGATCTCGGCTCACTGCAACCTCCGCCTCCCAGTTTCACGCCATTCTGCCTCAGCCGCCGAAGTAGCTGGGACTACAGGTGCCCACCACCACGCCCAGCTAATTTTTTGTATTTTTGTAGAGACAGGGTTTCACCATGTTGGCCAGGATGGTCTGGATCTCCTGACCTCATGATCTGCCAGCCTTGGCCTCCCAAAGTGCTGGGATTATAGGCGTGAGCCACAGCACCTGGCCTATTTTTAAATTTTTTATAAATCTATACACTATTTTTCATAACAGCTGTACCAATCTACATTTTGAACAACTGTGTTTTATAATCATTTCTTATCTTTAGACTTTTTGATGACAGTCATCCAAATGGATGTTAGGTGATATCTCACAGTGGTTTTAATTTGCCTTTCTATGATGATTGATGATGTTAGGCAACTTCTCATATGCCTGTTTGCCATTTTTATGTCTTCTTTGGGTAAATGTCTACTCAGGTCTTTTTCTAGCTTTTACTTTGGTAATTTGTTTTTCTGCTATTGAGTGGTATAAGTACTTTATACATTTTGGATATTAACTTTATCAGATATTTTTATTTTAATTTTTGTGGGTACATAGTAGGTGTGTGTATATATATGGGGCACATGAGATGTTTTGATACAGGCATGCAATGTGTCATAATCACATCATAAAGAATGAGATATCTATCCCCTCAAGCATTTATCCTTTGTGTCACAAACAATCAAATTATACTCTTAGTTATTTTTAAATGTATGATTAAGTTATATAGTCACCTGTTGTGCTACCAAATAGTAGGTCCTTTTGATTCATTCTATTTTTTGTACCTATTAAGCATCTGTACCTCCTCTACACCACCCCCACCCCCCGACTACTCTTCCCATCCTATGGTAACCATCCTTCTACTCTCTATGTCCATTAAGTGTAATTATTATGATCTTTAGATCCACAAATATGTGAGAACATGCAATTCTGTATTTCTGTGCCTGGCTTATTTCACTTAACCTAAAGATCGCTAGTTTCACCCATGTTGTTGCAAATGACAGGTCTCATTCTTTCTTATGATTAATTAGCACTCCATTGTGTATGTGTAGCACGTTTTCTTTATCCATTTATCTGTAGGTGAACACGTAGGTTGCCTCCAAAACCTGACTACGTGAGTAGTGCTGTAATAAATATGAGAATGCAAATATGTCCTCAATATACTGATTTCTTTTGTTTGGGGAATATAGCTAGCAGTAGTATTGCTGGGTCACATTTGTATTCTATTTTTTCATTGTTGAGGAATTTTCATGCTGTTCTCTATAGTGTTTGTGCTAGTTTATATTCACACCAACAGTGTTTAAGGGTTCCCTTTTCTCCATATTCCCACTAGCATTTGTTATTGTCTGTCTTTGTATAAAAGCCATTTTTTACTGGGGTGAGATGATAACTCATAGTAGTTTTGATTTGCATTTCATGCAAATCACATCATGGTCGGTGTTGAGCACCTTTTCATATGACTGTTCGACATTTGTATGTCTTCTTATGTGAAATGTCTATTCAGATCTTTTGCCTATTTTTAAGCAGATTATTAGATTTTCTCCTATGAAGTTCTCATCATTTAGCTGCCACTTAAAAGTGAGAACATGTGGTATTTGGTTTTCTATTTCTGCATTAGTTTGCTAAGGATAAAAGCCACCAGCTCCAACTATGTTCCTGCAAAAGTCATTAATTTTTAAGGCTACATAGTATTCCATGGTGTAATCTCTACCATATTTTCTTTATCCTATCTGTCATGGATGGACATTTAGGTTTATTCTATGTCTTTGCTATTGTGAATAGTGCCTCAATGAATATTTGTGTGCATGTGACTTTATAGTACAATAATTTATATTCCTCTAAATTTATACCCAGTAATGGTATTGTTCTGTTTTTAACTCTTTGAGAAATCACCATACTGCTTTCCATAATGGCTGAACTAATTTACACTCCCATCAACAGTGTATAAGTGTTCCTTTTTCTCTGCAATCTTGTCACCATCTTTTTTTTTTTTACTTTTTAATAATAGCCATTCTGCCTGATGCAATATAGTATCATCGTGGTTTTGATTTGCATTTCTCTAATGATTAGACTTTTTAATATGCTTGTTGGCCACATTTGTTTTTCTGTTTTTTGTTTGTTTGTTTGTTTTTTTTTTTTTTTTGGAAAAGGGTCTGTTCAAGTCATTTGCACACTTTTTAATGGGGTTGTTTCTTTTTCCCCTGTAAATGTGTTTAAGTTTATTATAGATGCTGGATATAGACCTTTATAGATGCATAGTTTGCAAATATTTTCACCCATTCTCTAGGTTATCTGTTTACTCCATTGATGGTGTTTTTTTTTTTTTTTTCCTGTGCAGAAGCTCTTTAATTAGATCCCATTTGTCCATTTTTGCTTTTGCTTGATTGCTTTTGATGTGTTTCTCATGAAGTCTTTGCCCATTCCTGTGTTCAGGGTGTATTGCCTACGTTATCTTCCAGGGTTTTTTAAATAAGATTTTGGTTTTACATTTAAATATTTAATCCATCTTGAGTTGATTTTTGTATATGGTGTAAGGAAAGTGTCCAACTTCAATCTTCTGCACCATTTATTAAAGAGTAAGTATTTTCTCCATTTCTTGTTTTTGTCAGTTTTGTTGAAGGTCAGGTGGTTGTAGGTGTGCGGCCTTATTTCTGGGCTCTCTATTCCATTTTGTTCATCTATGTGCCTGTTTTTGTACCAGTACCATGCTATTTTGGTTACTATAGCCTTGTTTGAAGCCAGGTAAAATGATGCCTCCAGCTTCGGTATTTTTGCTGAGAATTGCCTTGGCTATTTGGGCTGGTTTTGTTTCCATATCAATTTTTAAATAGATTTTTTGGGTTCTGCAAAGAATGTAATTGGTAGTTTGAGAGAAATAGCATTGCATCTGTAAATTGCTTTGGGCAGTATGGTCATTTTAATGACATTGATTCTTCCTCTTCATGAGAATGGGAAGTTATTCCATTTATTTGTGTCTTGTCTGATTTCTTTAAGCAGTGTTTTGTAATTCTCATGGTGGAGATCTTTCACCTCCAGGTTAGCTGGATTCCCAGATATTTTATTCATGTTGTGGTAATTGTGAATGAGATTGCCTTCCTTTTCTGGCTCTCAGCTTGACTGTTTTTGATGTATAACCCATTATTTTTAGCTGATAATAACTTTGTTTGCATAAACAAATAAAATACT
Source organism: Homo sapiens (assembly GCF_000001405.40). Taxonomy (NCBI): domain Eukaryota; kingdom Metazoa; phylum Chordata; class Mammalia; order Primates; family Hominidae; genus Homo; species Homo sapiens. The sequence continues at coordinate 23,033,751 of NC_000021.9, forward strand.
AATAAAAACTCTACTTTGTCCACCAGCTTTTTTTTTTTCTATTTATATGTTATGGTACTGTGTCTTAAAAATTGTTGTAGTTATTTTTGATTGGTTCATCATTTAGTTTTTCTAGTATGAATAAAGATAGTTTCCACCCACAGTTGTGATAATATTCTGTGTTTTTCTTTGAAATCATTATTAGCAGTGAGTTTTGTAACTTCAGTTGATTATTTATTGCTTATTACCATCCTTTTCTTTCTGATTGAGCATTTCTTATAGGACAGATCTGATGTTGATGAAATCCCTCCATGGGAAAATTGTTTGTCTGGGAAAGTTGTTATTTCTTCTTCATTATGAAAGGATATTTTTATTAGGTATACTATTCTAGAGTATTTTTTATTTCAGCATGTTAAATCTTTAAATATGTTATGCCGCTCTTTCCTGGCCTGTAGGACTTTCACTGAAAAGTCTATTGTGAGATGTCTTAGAGCTCCATTGTGTGCTATTTGCTTCTTTTATCTTGCTGCTTCTAAGATCTTTTGTTTATCCTAGATCTTTCAGAGTTTGATTGTTAAATGCCTTGAGGCAGTCTTCCTTGGGTTAAGTTTGCCAGGTTTCTATAACCTTCTTGTACTTGGAAATTGTTTTCTTTCCCTAGGTTTGGTAAGTTCCTTATTATTATTCTTTTGAGTAAACTTTCTACCCCTATCTTTTTCTCTACTTCTTCTTTAAGGGCAATAACTCAGATTTGCATTTTGAGGTTATTTTCTAGATCCTGTAGGCATGCATTATCATTTTTTATTCTTGTTTCTTTTGTCTCCTCTGACTGTATGTTTTCAAAGAGCTTATCTTCAAGCTCACTAATTCTTTATTCTGCTTGGTAAATTCTGGTATTAAAAGACTATAATGCCATTCTTCAGTATGCCCATTGCATTTTTCTACTTAATTCGTTTTAGTTATTTCAACCTCTTGTGTAATATACATGATGGAATTCTAAATTACTTCTCTGCATTATCTTGTATTTCTTTGAGTTTCCTTGAAACAGCTATTTTGAATTCTCTCTCTGAATGGTCACATGTCTCTTTTTTCCAGGATTGGTACCTGGTACCTTACTTAGTTCATTTGGTAAGGTCATGTTTTCCTGGAGTGTCTTGATACTGGTAGATGTTCATCTGTGTCTGGCCATTGAAGAATTATGTATTTATTATAGTCTTCACTGTCTGAGCTTGTTTGTACCTGTCTTCCTTGAGAAGGCTTTCCAGATATTTAAAAGGACTTGTGTGTTGTAATCTAGGCTGTATCTTCTTTTTCATGGGAATAAAAGTGGTTTCTGAGAAAATAAAAAAAGATAGACTGAATGATGTGGAAGAGTCTTTCTTAGATGGTATCCTAGTCCTTATTGACACAAAAAATGTTGCCCTTTTCAGAATGTTTCATATCCCTCATAACTTTTTAGGCTAATGAAAAATATGTGATATTCGTCATATATGTGGGTACTGTTGTGCTCTAATTTATGTTTTAAAGTTAGATTAAGCCTGTATCTACACTCCTGTGTGTAGTCAGATAGCATTTTTACTATTATGCAGTCACATCAGAATGTCAATTTCCTCCTATACTCCTTCTTTTAAATGCTGCTATTGATTTATTTATTTAATGTCATTTGCTTCACAAGGTTGTTACGGATATTGAGGCTCAAGTATTGTATCTTGAACTTATTTTCTACATAGAGCATTATGGTTATGTTGGGGCAATTACAAGGGTTAATTTAGGCAGTTTTTAAATCATCTATAAGGAGCAATTATGGTATCATCTATAAGTTATACCACCAAAAATGCATTCAAATTGTATTGTTTTGAATGCAGCTGCTTCATTGGTTGTCATTAAGTCAGGGAAGTGGATGTGATACTTTCAAGAGTTGCAGTTTTTGAATAAAAATTAATCCCACCCCTATTTCTCAAGTTATAAAACCATTAGCTTGACACCACCTCACTTATAAGGTATGATGTAGCCTTAAAAGTAAATGTGCTTTGGGTCAAATGGATATAGAGACAGTGAGATGTAATGCAAAAGCCTGAAAGTATCATAGAAAATATATCAGGCCCTATGTATTAATGGCTCTGTAACTTGAGCAGGTCACTTGATCTGTCTGTGTTTACTTTATTGGGTTTTAAAGAATCACCTTAAATAAATGTGAAAGTCACTTATATACCAATACGTCTTGCACATTGGCAAATCATCAGCATACCTCTATTCTATTGCCTGTCCCATAGAGTAATTGAAACCAGTTAACTTCTCTGAGGATCAAGGTTTTTAGTACTCATCTCTGGACACAAGATACTTGAGAAGAGAATTGATGCTGAGCAAATGTTTCTATTCAAGGGCTGTATATAGAATTGAAACTCAATGGGCTTTCCTTAAAAATATTTTTACTAGAATTTTGATAAACAAATTGCGATACTCAGGTCACTAGACTTTTCTGTGACATAGTGAGTCAGTGGAAGAGTGAGTTAAAGAATTGAACTTTCTACAAAGCAACTTCAAACCAAAGTAATTTTTATCAAACTAGCCTAATTACTGCAGCTGGGAAAAGTTTCTGAAAGTAACATGAGCTTATTTTCCTGTGTTTAACTGACTTAATAATAACCTTATCTTATAATAATATACTTTGCTCTGTCCTATGGAAAATTGTTTTCACAACAGTCAAATTAACACCAACTGAATCAAACTCTGTGTATAATGAAACTTAATATCAAATTATAAACAAATATGGAATTTCAGCTATGTAAAAAGGATAATGTTACCTTTTTTTCCCTTCAGTGATTTTTCCATTATTTCAAGGCTAAATTCTAACTTTTTTTTTTTTTTTTGAGATGGAGTTACATTTCTGTTGCCCAGGCTAGAGTGCAGTGGCATGATCTTGGCTCACTGCGACCTCCACCTCCAGGGTTCAAGTGATTCTCCTGCCTCAGCCTCCCAAGTAGTTGGGCTTACAGGTGCCTGCCACGATAACCTGCTAATTTTTGTATTTTTTACTAGAGACAGGGTTTCACCATGTTGGCCAGGCTGGTCTTGAACTCCTGACCTCAGGTGATCCACCAGCCTTGGCCTCCCAAAGTGCTGGGATTACAGGCATGAGCCACCGTGCCCAGCAGATCCTTAGGATTTTTGAACTTGATGTTCCCTCACCTGCCTCAGGACATTAACCTTGCTGCTTTCTTAACCTATAACAGCCAATTTCTACTATTTCACCCTTTGTACTCATTTTTCAGTTGCCACTATCAATATTTGGTTTTATGTTTTATCTTCAAGGGAAACTTGCCCAAGTCTGTGGTTTCTCTATTACACATGTAAACAGAATCTTAATTTTTTTCAGAATATTTCCCCAATTATACTGCATGTAAAATAAATCATTATTAGGAAAAGAAATAACAATTTTCTAGGGAGGAAACAATCTAGAACACAGTTCAATAAGCATTTGCATTATGCTTCTTGTGAATATTGGCTTAATATTTTTTACACACACTACGCTCTGAATTCCAGGAGTCTAGGAATTGTATTTACTTTGTTCTCCAGTGTATCTATCTCTAGTCCCAGGGCAATGTTCTAGACATTGTCAAAATTTAACAACTATACACTAAATAAATTAATTCAATTGACACCTTAGAATAATGTTGCTTATCTTCAATCTGCTAACCAAGAATGCCAACTGAAATGCAAGACAACTGCTTTCTACTTAGTTTATGCCCCTGCATGTTGAGGATGTAAATCAACTTATTGCCTAGCAGAGTTATTAAAATAAAAATTATGTTTACTCTCAGTATTCGATATAAATTTATAATAAAAAACAATCAGTGACATATACATTTTATTAACACCTTGGTTGAGCAAAAAAAACAGATTAACCTTAATGCAAAATTCAACCCAAAGTTTAGTGATTGCTTTGGAAACGTAGGTATACACTTTTTTATCTCTAGTACTTAAGATAGTTCATTTTGCTATTTATACAAATATTTAAATTTAAAATGACTAATAAAAACTGTATCTTTTGGAAAATCTTTCTTATACAATGAAAGGAGTGAGAAAATAAGGAAAAATTAGGTAATGGATACTAGGCTTAATACCTGCAGAATGAAATAATCTGTATAACAAACCCCCATGACACAAATTTACCTATGTAACAAACCTGCACATGTACCCCTGAACTTAAAAATTATGAAATATATATACAGTTAAATTTAAATGAAGATAAATATATATGTAGGAGTAACACAATAAATTTTTACATCTTTCCATATAGTTAACTTTCATGGACAGAAACAATCGACCTATGAAACAATTAGAACAATGTATGTTAATCAATTTAGATTGCAATTAAATACCATATTTTAAGCATCTTAAAATATACTCACCTGTTATTTTATTGTCTAATACCTGATTTAAAGTCACTTCCGTTCAGAAGCTACAATTTATCAGTGATGGTGAGTCAAATGGTTATCAGACAGCCTTCGGCATTGGCCAAAAGGAGAATTCACTTTTCCCTCTTTGTGCCTCATTATAAACACATGGGAAAAAGTGAATATACTGCTCATTTCAGTTTTAAAATCTAAGCATCCACAGAAACAGAAAGAAATACCTGCAGAACTAGACACAGACATTTATTCTATTTGTGGTGGTAATTATGTATTATTTTAGTATCAGCTGCACAAAATCACATCTGTGCCTGTGTCTACAATTTCCTCTAAGCTTGTTTCTAAATGTCACAATTAACTATATCTATTTTTGATAATTTGAAGAAAGTAGTGTTATTTTTGAAATGATAATGCGCTTTCTTTTTGTTTTTGACAGTGATTTTTCTGTTTTGCTTTATTCATAGGCACATTTTTTCTTTAGTTATATATTTGTGATGTTGAAATTGTATTCATTTAAATACACCCACAGATACAGATAATAAAGTAGCCTCTATCAAAATATCACTGTCAGGTATTTTAAATATGAACAGGAAAATTGGCATATGTATCTTATTCTAGTAAGAACCTATTTTCCCATACACCATATAAGTTTTAAGCTCCCACTTACGTAAACACCTGTTTTGGCTGTTGTTTCCAGTTTAATGAGTTTGGGGAGGTTTATATCTCTGAACTGAGAGTAGTTCTATCATTTTGACATTTAATTTTGTTTCTCTTTTATAAATGTCTTGTAAAAAGAGAATCATTTAGCATCTGTTTTGTTATCTTCCAACATCTGTCCTACCTACCCACTGTATCAAAAAGTGCACACTTCTTAAATCATAGATTGATTCAATCTTTTCAGGTGGATTTCATGATGCCATCAATTTTTTAGTGAAGCTTTAATGTAATATGTTATTGCAAGAAATGTTTTGTCATTTATTAAGGTATTATTAGTATATACATGTATAAAATTCTGAATCTACATCGAAAAATGATTTGGAGACTTGAACCAATTACTCACAAAATATAGGAGAGAGTCTTCTTTTTGAGAAAAAGGGGAGCTGCGTGCAATTTGTTCATATGTTTGGCATCTCAGCTGTCCAACTTGAATAAATCATGACATGCTTTCTCAAAACTTCAAATGATCGTGACTGACTTAATTTATGTACACTTGAAACCACTCTTATATTATTGTTTTGGAAGTATAATTAATATAATAATAATTTTGTCCTGTTTTGGGATATCTCTGCAATGAGATCATCTTTAAAGATTATAATTATTCTGTAAAATTCAGTAAAATACATTAAAAATATAAAATCATCCGACTAACTTCTTTCCCAAATAATTTAAAGAAAGCTTTTGGGAAGTAAGTAGGGCTCAATGAGGTCCTGGCGTTGAGGCCCTCATGATAGAATTAATGCCCTTATAGGAAGAGACACCAAAGAGATGGTTCTGTCTAACCCCCCTTTTCCACTTCAGTCTCCCATCCCTGTACCTTGTGAAGACACAATAAGAAGCCGGCTCTCCGCTAGATAAGAAGTGAACCATCATCAAAAATCAACAGTGCCAGCACCCTGATCTGGGACTTCCTCATTCCGGAAATGTGACGAAATAAATTTATATTATTTAAGCTACCCAGTCTGTGGCATATTGTTATGGCAGCTTAAGTGCGCAGAGACAATATACAAAAAAATCACAATCTGTAAAATGCATTCAAATTTTATTGAGCCAAACCCGTACCATTCAAACGTATTAATGAGAGACTTTGATTTGGAAGTGAGCGAATTGAGGAAGGAAACTCTAAGGAGATGGGAATTAATTTTTGGCTAATTCAGCAGGCATCTTAATTTCAGGAGCAGCTGTGGATTGAGTTTTGGGCACAGAAAAGGCATCAATGAAGCTGGCAGTATCATTAGAAGCAGCAGTTGCCTCCAGGGCTCAGTGAGGCAATGGCAATCATGATGTTTCCCTGACGGGCAATTTTTTTCTCCATCATGTTGTCGAGTTCTGAGGCTAGTTCCCCAACTCTACAAACAATTCTGCGAACTGATTTTATTTTTCTTTTTTTTTAATGACCATTTTCGCTTCATTAGCAGAATCACTTTCATTGACTGCTATTAAGATCCCTGACTGATACTGTGGAAATAAACAATGAATAAATAAATATGTAATGTATCATTATGATTTTATATACACAATAAAAATAAACCATGATAAAGAGACGAAGTGATTGGAGCTATGATTTCAAATAGGAATATGAAGGAAAGTTGGACCTAAAAAGACTCATGTTTCTGCATGTTTCAATTTGGGAGAAGGAGACAATATTTCAAAAGACTTGATTATAGTTTAGTAATGAGCTCTAAAAGATCTGGATAAGTATAGTTCATGCCTAACTAACAGGCAGTAGAAAGGCCCAGAGGTAAAAATATGCTTTGTATACATGAGAAGGAATATATCATCCAGAATATTTTTCAAATAATAAAATATTACTTATCAAAATTTTTTATAAGTACATCAGGCACATTTAGTATAATAATCTTTTAAATTGAAAAGACATAATAATCTAAGAAATGGATATACTCTCTTTGTTTAATAACAACAAAACAAAACAAGAAAACCATAAGAATTAGCACTATATTTAATGCTTTGCCTAAAAATATATGTCATTGTTTATGGTGCAACATATGCATCATTGACTCATTTTTGATAATATGATTAATGTTTATTGAACACTTTTTGTGCATGAAATGCATTCCATTCTGTTCCTGATTCTTTTATAGATTTATGTAACATAGCATTCATATTGAATATTAGAATGCAGAATTGTGTATTCCTCTTAATTTGTCTACAGCATATATTACTGATGTTTTGAAAAGTGACTTGTGATATTTTATTTTATAAATAGAAAGAAGTTCTGGAACGTTGCTTATAATTGGGGAAATAAGCACAAATGAAAGACCATGGTATGGTGAGATATAGAAATATAAATAAATGGAGAGATAAAGATATATAGTTAAATATGTATTGATTATTTCATATTTATCACTATTATATTTTGATAAAGCTTTGGTTTTACCTAATTTTTAAAATACTAAATGTTAAAATCCCATAGAAAATTAGAAATATAACTGAGAGCCACATGCATAGTTTGAAGTGTCTTCCTTTCGCTATCTATGTGGACAGAGACTGGGAAGTTTCTCCACTGCTCTAAGAGTAACCATTACCTTTACAGCTATAGTTACTGCTGCCATCATGACTTAACAGTAACTAAAATAACAAAAATGGATTATACACTTTTCCAAATTTGGAAAAACAATACTGAAATCTAACTTTGAGAAACTCATGTTCACTTTACTGCAATGATTAATCGTTTGCATTTATAGTTCCACAGTCAGAAGTACTGAGCCCCTGTATGTTCCCAAACTTTCATGAAGAGACAGGTTTCATTATCAGATAGAGAAATTGATGAAGGAAGAAATAGATGGGAAGATAGATGATAGATTGGATAGATAGATAGATAGACAGATAGATAGATAGAAATATTTATGATTATTTTTCTAGACTCATTCTCTAGGAAATCGAATATTGATCTCCCCATGAACTTCATACAAGTAAGTTTTCCATGAGATGTATTTATGACATTTTCCTTTTGTCATTTTTATGATCAAATATAAACAATATTTAAGTATATATATTTTCACTTAATTATGTACAAAAACATATTAGAAAACACCAAAAAAGAGGAAACTACTCCCAACTCTCTTAACTTTTCACAATGAAAACTTTTATCAACGATGCTATTTTTCTAAAAACTTTTAAATGTTGAAATTTGGCATGGTCTTCAACGTGAGAAACGACAATATCCTTGGCATCCAATACGCTTTTACTATTTATGCTGATGGCAAAAGAAAAAAAAAAGTGCTTGGAACATTAACAAAAGTGTTAGGTTGTTTTACAACATGAAAACTGAATTAGGCTATGTTCCACCAGTCTATTTCAAGAATTGTATTTTTGAATTTATAGTTTGAATTATAGTAGAAATAAGATTATTTTCTACCATTTATACTTTGTTATTCTATTGATAAGAGCAAGAGAAAAATTACAAATTCATAATTTAAGTGTAATGCTGTCTTCACAAAGCATTTAATTTGCCAATTTAGTAGATTTTTGTAGCATCTCATGGTTTCTGCTTCAAAAGACAATTTTCTGATAAGTCTAAAGAAGCATTTCCCTCAAAATTGAAAAAATGATACAATTGTTCAGGTTATATCTTTAGAGCCAACATGTCATAAAAGCATTTTCAGCAACATACAATGTATTAACTGTAAATGCTGAAATAGAAATTTTACCTAATTATATTCTTAAAAATAGCTGCTCAACCTCACTGCATTAGCAATTCTTCTAGGTTTTTTTTTTTGAATGGGATTCTTTTTTTTTTTTTTTAAATCAAATTTTCTTTCTGGGTATGTCCCCCAGAAACTCTTGTTACTTCTGTGTAAAGAAATTGAGAACAACTTGTTATTCTGTTCTATATTTTAATAACTCTTTAAGCTTCTAAGTATGTGCAAATTATTCTAAGCCTTGTCATTATGAAATGTGATGGATGATATTTATAACAGACACAGCTTTTTTCCTTGTATTGTGTGAAGAGTGCTTGCTGGTAAAAAATAAAATTATAGAACACAGATCACAAAATATTGAGGAAGACATTCTTTACTGAAGTAGGAAAGGCATTTGCGTCGCCAAAAATTATACGTGCTGTGTTTCAGAATATATAGACTTCCTCTCAGTTTAAACTTTGTTTGGAAAGAAAATTTTCCTCCAAAATGTTGCAGAAAGACTTGTAAGTTTCCAAACCTATTTCACTAAGATCTCTCATATCATGCTTGAGTTTTTTACTTTACAATGCAGAAAGCAACCTGGTCTGCTACTTGAAGACAAAGTTATTGCTTTAGCACAGCATCACATTTTGATAGTGTTAGCATTTATATAAGAACTGCCTTTTTCCAATAATGAACCTCCAAATGAACATAGGCAAATGTTATTTTTTCATAGTTTTTCAATATATCAACATTTAAGTCAGTTTTCTTCCTTTCTTCTTTTAAACAGCACCTCTCCATCCCCAATTAACATTATCTGACATTTTCATATACTTTCAACTTTGATTTTATTCTCATATTTAGTTAAAAACTTTTTTGGGGTCTTCCCTATTCTGCAGTACAAACGGAAAACAAAGATTGAAAATAAACTTTACTTTTGACTAACAGAGAAGCATTGTTCCTTTGGTGTCTCTTCTTATTTGATAATCAAACTAAAGCCAGAGTATGTATAATAATACTTTAATTTATTCCCCTTGACATTTTCAAAAATATTTTCAATGTTATAGAAACAAAAAGAGCCATCCATACTTTTAAATATAGTAATTATTCTTTTAGTCTCTATTAATGAAAAACTACAATCATGTCAAGACAATGATTGAATATTAAGAGACTGCAAAGGTAACTTCCCAAATCAGACATTCATCCACTGCTGCAGGTCTGTTGACATCATCCGTCTCTTTTCCTGGCTATTACAGCACATCGGCTTTAGTTTGCTTCATGGGAGCAAAACCTCGTAGTTTCTCTGTGCCCCTGCCTTGTATGTCCCCAGTAGTTTTTCCTTCTCTCACAATGTTTACCATTCATTACCAAAATGGAATCCTGCTCAGTGCCTCCAGATCCAACTTTGGAATATGGGGGAGTTAGTTAAAACCTTTGGCCAATGAATGCTAAAATATAAAGTCTTCATTCTCTTTTCATCCATGGGCAATTGAGACATGCAGTTTAGCTGGTTTCTTGGATCATTTAAGTCAGGAGTCCTCAACCCCAGGCGATGGAACGGTACTGGCCTGTGGCCTGTAAGGAAATGGGCCACACAGCAGGAGGTGAGTGGCAGGTTGAGCCAGCATTGCCATCTGAGCTCCATTTCCAGGCAGATCAGCAGCAGCATTAGATTCTCATGAGAGTGGGAACCCTATTGTGAACTGTGCATGAGAGGGATCTAGGTTGTGCACTTTTTATGAGAATCTAATGCCTGATGATCTGAGGTAGAACAGTTTCATCCTGAAACCATCCTCCCACCCGGCTGTGGAAAAAATGCCTTCCAATAAACCAGTCTCTGGTGCCAAAAGTTTTGGGACTGCTGGTTTAGAGGGATCATGTAATCAGTAGTAACGGTCAGGATTCTAGAAAAACAATGACCCCTCCCAACTTTCTCACTTCGTTCCCCTCATCTCAGACTACTGACTCAGGGATTCTTTCCCTAGTAAAAGAATAACATAAATTGCTGCCTAAAACACTTCTTTCTGGATAACTCGGGCTATGACACCACTTGTGCAGCCACAAATCACTTTGTTGAAAACATTATTTACTTTTTTTATTCAGAGTATTTGCAGAAATGAAATCAAAGAAAATGTGTTTCACTTTAAAATTGTTCTCAGTGTCCAGACCTTCTGAAGATCACTTACAAATATTTGTTAAGTATATTATTTCTGTAATAAAACCACAATAGATATACAGTAGAACACAATAGATGCATCTTTTGGCAAGTATGTATCTAGTCACACAAGGATCCCTTTTAATTTATTTACTTCATGTCTATAAACCAAACAAATGTGAGTAAAATGTATGTATATATTAAAACATCAAAATATAGATATAACCTTAACACAGATAAAATTAATATATCCTTATAAAAATTCTATATGTTGCTATCACCAAGATATTTTTTCCTAACCGTATTACAGATTGAATTCAATTTCAACATTGATATTTGTTTCAGTCACCCAGAATAGGAAGAGAACTAGTATCAGATCAGACCAAAAGTTGGGAACTATATATAAATAATTGGATCATGTCTAAAGAGATGAATTAGACTGTGATGTTGGGAAGAATAAAGGTGGAAAACTAACTTAAATTATTGACATATTAAGACATGTTAGAAAATAAATGGCTTCATTCCATTAAAGAGACATTTCTTTGAATTTAAAAAATGTGTATTTATAGTGAAGGAAAAAAAATGTAGAGTTGATAAATGTCTTCAAGCCTGACCTTGCATATTCTTTATTTTTATAATATTCAAGTTTTGATCATATTCTAAGCATTAGTGCTCATTCACATACATTTTTAGTTGGTAAATTTGTTTTCTTCACCAGCATATATGGGCACTGCAATAAAAAATTAAGCAATTATGTTTGATTTGGTGTAAAACTATATTTCGAGGAATATTTGTTAAAATAATTGCAATTATTTTTCCTGAGGAGTACCTTTTTTTTTGTCAAATATATTATTGAAAGTAAGCAGTAGTTACACAAGTTTCAAGCCTGTAATAAAAGAAGATAAAGATGTTTGCCATTATTTGTATTTTATGGAAATTGACAATGAAGAGAAATACATTTACCTCCAGACAATTATATATATATATATATAATAGCTAGATAGATAGACGTAGCTGTAGATACATGATTTCTATATCTATATCTACATATTGATATATATACATGATTCCATTTCTCACATTTTTTGTTATTCTCTATGTGCATGGCCAACAATGTAAGTTATTTAGCTACAAGAAACAAAATCTAGTCAAATTTTGCTTTGTATATAGCCAACATCATGAAAATACCATCCCCATTCGATTTTAAATGGGCTACATGGTCTTCATTATTAAAAGAAAAATGGAATGAAATGTCAAATCAGGAGCCGTGTCTATTATCATTCATGTTACATTTGATAAAGAAATATCATCAGTTTTAAATACTACTTCAATATGCATTACCTGATATTTCTCCCAGAGAAGAAAATTATAATGTTTGTTCTGTTTTTGGCATATCTCGTTTCCTAAAACTGAACTAAAGAAAAGAATTGTAGTGGTAGTGCATTTATTTGACAAGCTAATTGAAGTTGCACAATATGTCAGTCTGATTTCCAAGGACAGAAAGGTTAATGGATTGTGCTCCTGCATGCTTGCACAATAGCTGAGTTTTCTTTATTGAAATAACTGTGATTTCCTACATTAGTAGTTACTTAATTCAAGCAGCAAAGATGTATTTGAAAGGAAAACTTAATCCTTATAAAATAAACCCATTTTAGAATATGCAGTTCACAAACTTACATTGAACACATAATGTCATGTCCTTGTCAAATAATACAAAATGCGCAGTTCTCATTTTCTCTGTTAAAAGTGTTGTGATTTCAATGTGAATCTATTTAGTGGGACAACACAACCAGGGAGCATTTTAGACAAGTGGTATTTAGTCTGTTACATTCCTGCCATAGACGAGAAACATGAGATTTTCTTTGTTACAATTCAGCTCCAGTTAAAAATAAATACAAGGTGCATGTCAATAGTAATTTTTTCATATGAGGGTAATGTTTGAAAACCAGGTGGCTAGAGTGGAGTTCATTTAAAAAATAAAACTGGGTTAAGAAAGGCCATTGCATGAGTACAGACGTCAATGTAACATTTTAAATGTAATTATTAATGTTGAAATATAAAAAATGTCAAGGCCTATAAAAACTGAAAGAAGAGCAAAACATGGTCATTTTTATGATCAGCATAGTAATTTTTGACATAAGTTTAAGGGTATAATGTTTGACAGAAGTTTAAGGGTATAATAAATTTGACATATGTTTGGGATGTAATGTCCATAAATTTTTCATTACTCTGGGATTTATATAAACATTTTAAAATAATATTTATTTTTTAAATTACAAAACAATATAGGCTTAATCATGTATCTACCAGTTTAGTAAACATTTGTTATAATTTTACTGCATTGCAGACACTATTTTAAGTCTTTAGAGATTCATCAATGACCCAAATAAAGAAAAATTGTTGCCTGCATAGAACTTTTGATGACACTATAAGCAAGAAAAGCAAGCAAACTAAACATCAGTAAGATAATGACAAGTGCTAAAGAGAGCAAAAGAGAAAAGTGAAGTCAAATATAGGTATGTAGAAAGTTCCATAGTAAAGGGTCTAGAATAAATAGAAATGGCAAGGGAGAAATCTTTCAAAATATCTTACTATGTTTCATTCGTAGCCAACCAGTGTGTGCACTCTGTTAATTGTTCAATGTGCCTATATTGTTTCTCGTTATACTCTATACTCTAAATACATAATATAGTTATATATGTTACAGTCTATAATGCACACATTTTATGGTTAGAAATTTAAAAAATAGTTTTTTGTAGATTTCATTTTTAGCCTTATTGAATTAGAAATTATATGTAAAAATAGCACATATTTAATATATACATTTTAATGAGTTTAGACTTTGTATACACCCATGATACCATCACCACAATTGAGATGCTTAACGTAGCTATTTTTTTCTTTTCTTTTCTTTTTGAGACAGTCTTGCTTTGTTGTCCAGGCTGTAGAGCTTTGGAATGATCTCGGCTCACTGCAACCTCCACCTCAAATGTTCTAGTGATTCTCCTGCCTCAACCACCTGAGTAGCTGGGACTACAGGCATGCGTCACCAGGCCCAGCTAATTTTTTTTTGTATTTTTAGTAGAGATAGGGCTTTGCCATGTTAGCTAGGCTGGTCTCAAACTCCTGGCCTCAAGTGATCCTCCTGCTTTGGCCTCCCAAAGTGCTGGTATTACAAGTGTGAGCCGCCATGCCCATACCTTTCCTTGTTTTTGTGTGTCTGTGTCTGTAATTTTTTCATTTGCGATGTGTATGTATATGTGTGTGTGTGCACGTGTGTGTGGTAAGAACAGTTTTATGAGATATATCCTCTAAAGGGCTCAGTATGGTGTTGTGAATTGTAGGTGCTATGTCATGCAATGGATCTTTAGAACTTATTATATAACAGAAATATTATAGCCATTGAGCAACAATTTCTCATTTTCCTCTCCCCAGTCTCTTGCAACCTCAAATTTTTTTCTGCCTCTGTGAGTTTGACTATTTTATATACCTGTGACAAACTGAATCATGCAATATTTGACCTTTTCTGACTGGCTTATTTCACTTAGCTCAGTGTCCTCAAAGTTCATCCTTGCTGTCACATATTGCAGGATTTCCTTTTGTTAATGCTGGATTATCTTCCATTGTATGTATATATCATTTTTAAGAATACATTAATCTATCAATGGACATGTTGCTTGTTTTGGCTATTGTGAATAATTCTGCAGTGAATATGGGAGTGCTAAAAATTCTTTAAGACCCTGACTTTGGGCAAATACCCAGAAGTGGGATTTGCATATAATAGTTATATTTTTAATTTTTTGAGGAACTTCCATACTGTTTTTCATATTGGCTGCATCATTCTACATTCTCGCTGATAGTGTATAAGGATTCTAATTTCTTCACGTTTGCCAATTTAAAAAATTAACAAATGATGTGATTGTGTCAAGAATTGTGATCATTTCAATATTTGGTATTTCTTGCCAAGTACACCCACAGAAAATGATTTTCAATTTTATAATTGAAAATAATAAAGAAACCGTTACTGCATGGATGTGTAGTCACTTTCTCATTCCTGATGATAAGAGATAAATGGTACATGATATCACTCACTATAATGAACAATTTACTGGATTAAACGTTATCTTTTTGGTTATTTGAAACTTTTTACGGTTAAATATCATTTTTACACTGTAAATTAAGAACATATAATTTGATGAATTATTATACTGCAAAAAGTCGGGGCAGGAGATATAGCCTCCCTGGAAACATTCTACATGCCTCTTCCCAATCAGAAACCCTCTCTTGCTAAGAACAATGACTAGCCTGATTTTGCAGTAAATACTTCCTTTCTTTTCTTTATAGTTTTACCACCAGTTGTGTGCCACTTAACACTACAGTTGAGCTCTTCTATTCCTTATTCCCCTAAAGTATCCTTTAATTGTCTAAAGAAACTATGTCTAGATATCTTTGTAATTAACTTGTTGAAAAGCCATTGTATTTTTTTTTTCTGTAGAGTTTCCTTCATATATATCTACATGGCATAGGTTAGTGTGACTCTCTATAAATTAATAACTAAGTTGAGAGACTTAATCAGAATTAAAGTTCAGTTTTTTTGCTTGTCTAATTTATAGGCGGTAAGTTCTTCAACAGGAGGCATATACCGTAATTCTTTCTTTTTATAGTTTTAGCAGTTCTTAATGCTCCAAGTCTAAATCCATTTTTCCAATAGGTATTGAAAAATGATGATATTATAATTTTATTATTTCTTCTTCAGCTGTTTGCCTGAAAAAAGAAATATCTATCATTTGGTTACCCAGTGGTTTCATCCTTATTAAAGAAGCACTCCATCTCTTCTTTTCTTTTAATTACTAATGGCCTTAATCTGCTTGTGTTGCTATAAAGAATTACCCGAGGCTGTGTAATTTATTTTAAAAAATGGTTTATTTGTGTCATAGGTCTGCAAGCTGTATAAGAAGCATTGCAACAGCATTTTCTTCTGACAAGGGATTCAGGCTGTTTCCATTCATGTCAGAGGGAGAAAGGGAGCTGGCATACAGAGATCATGTGGCAAGAGAGGAAGGAAGATAGATAGGAGGAGGTGTCAGGCTCTTTTCAACAATCAGATATTGTAGGAACTAAGAAGGAGACCTCACTCACTCCAGTGAGAATGGCACCAAGCCTTTCATGAGGGATCTCCTTGCATGATCCAAGCACCGTTACTAGGCTCCACCTCCAACACCGGGGATCAAAATTTCAACATGAGATTTGTGGGGCCAAACAAACCATATTAAAATCATAGCAGTAATTTTTTAAAGAATGAATTGGGTCTCTAACATTGACCAAAAGTTATGACTTTATTATTATTATAATTTGCAATTTTTTATATGTAAACATATATGATGGGGTTCAATCTGCAACCATGCTTTTCCTTAATTATCCCTAAATTATTTCTTCTTTGGATAGGGGACACCTCTTCAAATTTGCTTCTGAGTCCTTTGGACATGGCCCTGTCATTGGGTATGAGAAGATGTTCTAGGCACATACTGGTCACTTTCTGACCTGGGTGTGGGTCAACTATACTTCAAGAAGCCATGTTTTGTTTTACTGAGAAATGACATTTCAATCTAATAACTAGGAATAGTTCTTAATACTGGTTTGGTTATTGTTTCAAGCCATTTTCAGTTGGCAGAGCAATACACGGAAAAGCATTAATTGACCTCTGACACTGTGACTTGCAATTCAGGACTAAAGATTGCTTACTTAATCTCTTCTACCCTATGGATGTATCATTTTTTCATCATTTTAATTATATTTAAATTGTTTATTTTGTGTGTTTTCCCCATTTACGGTTGTAAGTATACCACGAGATATACAGCCATCAAAATGTATTTTATACCTCTTACATCTCTTATAACAAGTATTCTTAGTTCTACATATATATATATTCAGTGTTGTGCACTAGTTTTTATATATTCTGATGTCTTTCCAGTCATTAGAATTGTTTGAAGCACATTCAGTGACCTCTCAAAGTCTCATTCTATGAATACTTAAAATACTCCACGACAGTTTTTCAGGCGCTTTTATATTTGAAATGTGTTTAATTGGAAAATAAATCTGTAGCTCATATGTTCTTTTATTAACTGTTAAAAAAAGATAATTTTCTCTTTTTGTCTGGCCTCAGTGTTACTCTTGGAAAGTCTGCTGATAATCTGGTTGTATTTTATAATTCCTTTGTTTTGTTGATTTTGTTTGTCTGGATGCCCAAAGCATTATCTTTTCTTTCTTTATAATCCATGGTAGGCACTATAAAGTTTCCCAAAGATGTCCATCTCTTAATCTCCAGAACCTGTGAAAATGTTGTCTTTCATGGAAAATGGGACTTTGCAGTTGTGATTATGTTAATGATTTTGAGACAGGGAGGTTAACCTCGATTATCTGGGTGGCTACAATGTAATCATAAGGGTGCTTATTAAAATAGAGGGTGAAAGAAAGGATCAGAGTGAGAGAAAGAGACGTAATGTTGAGGACAGATGGGGAAGTAATATGAGACTGCAAGCCTAGGAATGTGGAAAACCTCCAGAAGCTAAAAAAGTCAGTGAAGATACAGGTTTTCGCCTAGAGCCTCCAGAAGGAACATATTGACTTTTGACCTCCAAAAGTGAAAGATAACAAATTGTGTTAGGTTTGAAGTCTGTAGCATTTGCTGTAGCAGCAATAAAGAAATGCAAGGTCAACTATACTGGAATATGTATCAGTGTTAGTTGTTCTTGATTAATTTCCTCCAATAAATTGATGTTCTCTTTCAAAATGTAATTTCAGGGACGATTTTGAATAGTAGCATTTTTCATTTTCTTTTTTCTTGCTTTGGTTGTTCTTTGTCAGAAAAATCTATTACATGTGTGTATGTGTTGCCTATGTTTTAATTTGTCCTTATTTATTTATTTATTGAGTAGGAGTCTTGCTCTATCACTGATCTCAACTCACTGGAACCTCCGCCTCCCAGGTTCAAGCGATTCTCCTGCCTCAGCCTCCCGAGGAGCTGGGATTACAGGCAACCACCACCACTCCTGCCCGGCTAATTTTTGTATTTTTAGTAGAGACTAGAGATGAGGTTTCACTATGTTGGCTAGACTGGTCTCAAACTCTTGACCTCAGGTGATCCTCCACCTCAGCCTCCCAAAGTACTGGGATTACAGTTGTAAGCCACCATGCCTAGCCCTTCTTTCTTAAATAATTTTTGTCTTTTTATTTCTTTTAATTTTAAAAGCTTTCGCCTTTTAATCTTTTTCACATACAATATGATTTGTTTTTGTTTGCTCATGTGTTACTCAGAGGAAAATCTTCATTCCTGAAATGATTTTCTTTTATTTAACTCTTTCCAGAGTTCACTAACATATTTATGCTGTTTTTTAACAACTTTTTTTCATTTTTATCTTCTCTTTTTTTAAAATTATACTGTTGGATTACAGTGTTGTATGTTCAATTGACATATCTTTAGAATATATTTTATTATTTATAAATATATAATTCCAATATATACTATTATTAATTTTTAAAATGATAATTTTGTGTGTTATGCCCTTAATCAGGTTTCTTATTACATTTTTACTGTGAATTAGTTTTATTAAATTCTAGAAGAGAAGAATGGTTAAAGTTAGCCTGTCTAATTTTGTAGTTCTAGAATTTCCTCCACCGCTAGTTTTGTGAAAAGTTCAAAAATATTAGCTTAATTTTCTTAACTCTCCTGAAATTGCTTAAGTTCCAAAATTTTATCTAAGCCTTCCTTATATTTTGGGCTCCATTAACCCTTTCCTGCTCAGTTTTGATTTTTTGTTGTTGTTGTTGTTGTTTGTTTGTTTTGAGACAGAGTCTCGGTCTCTTGCCCAGGTTGGAATGCAGTGGCACGATCCCGGCTCACTGCAACCTCCACCTCCCGGATTTAAGTGATTCTCCTGCCTCAGCCTTCCAAGTAGCTGGGATTACAGGCGCCTGCCACCACGCCTGGCTAATTTTTGTATTTTTAGTAGAGAAGGGGCTTCACCATGCTGGCCACTCTTGTCTTGAACTCCTGACTTCAGGATCCGCCCAGTTCAGCCTCCCAAAGTGCTGGGATTACAGGTGTGAGCCACCGCAACTGACCTAGTTTTGATTTTTTTACCTTAGATTCTCCTCTGTAAGAGACTTTTCCCAAGAGTCTAGATTTCTTCAAGCCCTTCAGACTTTACTATAAATTATTTGCAACCAGCTGTAGGTGTTCACACTTACTTATTCAGACAACCATTTATCTGATTTTCTCACTGTAGATTAGTTTTGTCTACTCTAAAACAATATCAATGGAATGATATTGTACATACTCCTTTTTTTGGCTTATTTTATTTAGCAAAACAATTTGTGATTCATCTAGTGTATAAATACTCTGGATTTTGTGTATCTTTTCACCCATTGATAGATATTTGGAGTCATTTCTAGCTTTAAACATTTATAAAATACATGGGGTAAATATTTTTGCACAAATAAATTAGAGACTTAAGTTTTTATTTCTCTAGGATAAATAGAAAACTAGATTTGCTAGGAAATACGGCAAGGGAAAATAAATTTTATAAAAATATATCAAGCTATTTTCCAAAGTAATTTTAATGTTTTCAGATCCCACCAGCAATATATTAGTGTTAAAGTTGTTCTACGTCCTTGCCAACTCTAGTGTTGTTTTTATTTTTTAAATGTTTGTTGACACTTTTTTTAATTGAAATACTGTTCTATTTATTCTAGATACAACTCTTTGTCAACTAAAGGTGTTTAAATTATTTTCCATTCATTTGTGCCTTTATTCATTCAGTACAGGGTTTTAAAAATCTTAATTACTATGGCTACAAAACGGTTATATATATTTATGGGGTAGATGTGATGTTTTGATACAAGCATGCCATGAGTAATGATCAAACCAGGGTAGTTAACCACCTCACGCCTTTGTAATTTATTTATGTTAGGAACATTCCAATTCCATTCTGTCAGTTATTTTAAAATATACAATAAATTATTGTTCACTATAGTCACCTTATTGTGCTACTGAATACTAGATATTATTCATCCTATCTAACTGCATTAATTTGTACCCATTAACCATCACCGCATTCCCCTCCCATCCCTGCCACCTTTTCCAACCTCTGGCAACCGTCATTTCACTCTCTAGCTCCATGGGTTCAATTATATTTAAAGGGAAAAATAAGTTAGGCCAGGGAATATAATGCAGAGCTCTATTATCTCTGGAATATCTTCATTTTTCCTTTCTTTGTTATAGAATCATATGCAAATTGATGTTCTATAGGACATACCACATTGTCTTATTTCTTATAATTCTATAACTAGATTTATTTAAAAACATAATTTGAGTCATAGAACACATGATAGTAAGTCAAGAAAAACATTTTAAGAATGTTAACAATTTTTAAAATGGGTGATTTTGGGGTAATCACACCTAATTATGACATTAACCTGGAAGGCCTTCAAAAGAATGTATACATCAGAAATTGATGCATTATGGGAAATACATAGAATTTCAAAATATGTTGAACACATAGAATTTTAAAATATGTTGAAATAAATCATTTGAAGCACAATTCTCATAGATTCAATATTAGTCTATTCGTTTCCCAGGACTGCTATAACAAAATACCATAAATAGGGTGGCTTAAAATAATAGAAACCTATTTTCTTATAGTTCTCAAGACTAGAATTGTAAAATCAAGGTGTCAGCAGAGTGGTGACATTTGAGGCTAGGGAAGAATCCTTCCTGGGCTCTTACTAGTTTCTGATGGTTATGGTCCCCATTGGCATTCCGTGGCTTGTAGATATCACTTCAATTAGCTTCACCTGTTACATGGAATTCTCCCTGTATGTCTCTGTGCCATTACATGGCTTTCTTATAAGGACATCCATTGTCGAATTCAGGTCGACAAAATCAGTATGATTTCATCTTAACTAATTATATCTGCAAAACCCTATTTCCAAATAAAGTCACATGAGTTTCTGGGTGGACATAAATTTTATTTTTGGGTTAGGGACACTTCATTACATTGCACTTAGTAATATATCTTTTTGAGGCAAGAGAGCCACATGAGAATATAGCTTGTAACTTATTTTTAAATATTTTTCTATCCAAAGGAATCTTCATTTTATTCAAGTTAATCTTATATGAAGCATCATGAAATAGAATGAAAATGGTCAAAGCTCATCTGATTGCAACAGAATTCAGGGTAAGAAGCACTAAATCACAGTACCCTCGTGGCTTTCCTTTCGTCTGATAGTGCCTAGAAGACACAAGAGCTTAGCTTGAGAAGTCTATTGTTTTTTGTTTTTTTTTTTGGGAAAAGTAAAATTTTATTTCTTCAGTGTCTCAAGAATAGCCACTGTTAACATCTTAGTGGTCTTTTAGATTTTATTTTATGGATATATTCATATATATATGTATATGCACACAAATATCCATTTATATAATGTAAACATTTTATATTGTTATATGACTTTTCCCATTTAACATTACATTATGAGCCTTTCCTGTGTCATTAAATATTACTGAGGTACATGAGGATTAATAGATACATAATGATTTAATTATTTTCTGATTATTACATGTTAGGTTTCTTCTAGTTTGCCCCTCTTATATACAATTCTCTGATAGAAATTCATACACGTAAATCTGAGCATTTCTGACAGTTTTCTTTGGTCAGATTCCTAGGAGGAGATTATCGAGGTAAAGTGTTCTTTTTTTTTTTTAAATGCATTAAGGGCAGAAAAGAAAAAAAAAAAGAGAGAAGTCTATTGTTAATTGGATTGATGTTTAGCAGAATCTAAGGGCAGAAGAGAAAATACTTCTCAAATATCATATGAACTGAATATTTCTTTTAAAGTGGTAACAGAATTGCTGACAACAGTTCCGGCAAACATAAAATTAATAATTTTAGCCACTCTGTCTTTTTTGGCACAAAGTGATTCTATATTATATTGCAGACATTCTGCCTTACCTTGGGTATTTTCAGAAAGTAATGAGAAATGTCATTCAAGGATGTTTGAAGAACTGGAGATCAGAGAGCAAAAAGTCCTTTGATCTTGCTTTGAGTAAAGGAGATACCGAATTGGCAAATGTTACTATAAAATACAATAGAAATCCCATTAACTGAAAAAAAATTGTATACTGGCATGATGCTCAATAGTAAAAATAGAGTTTATTATCACATAACCTTAGTAACAATTCAAGCTCCACAGGAAAGCTAAAAATCAACTGGATTATACAGCCTTTCAAGTCACTATAGAATATAACTTCAGTCCATTGCTTTAAAGTTTTGCTAAAAAAATTGATGGAACAACTTTAAAATTAAAACCATCAATATTGTTTCGTGCATTTCAGCAATGGTCACTTGATATTAATTGATAATAGGAATGTTGGAGCTACTATGATAATCTAAAACAGTCTTATATCCCTTAATAGCTCCCAGTGTGACAACAACCGAGGAGAGAAGCAGTATTTCCAAATATATTCAGTGATGATCTAAGTCTGTAACTTATACCACTTTCTTTATATTTCAATATAACAACTTATTCATTGGTGCAAAGGAAACATCCAGTATGCACTATTCAACCTGCTGATTAATTTACTAGCCTGTTAACTCAAGAAGCCCCATATATTCACTCATTCATTCAGCAGTTTTCTTTGAGTTATCACGGTTTCAGTCAGTATTCTAAGTTCCAGAGGCACTTGACTAAAGAAGATGATAGACAAAAACTTTGCCTTGTGGAAATTACAGGTTAGTATGGGAGGCAGACAATAAAAACAACAAAAAAATAAGTTACACAATATTATAGAGGCTTGTAAGTACACGCAATAAATTTGAAGCAGAAATTGAGAATTAGCTGCACGTATTGAGTTGATGTAAATTGTAATCAGGGAAAGTCTCACTGAGAAGATGGCATTTGACAAAAAATTTGAAAGAAGTGAAGTGGGAAACTATGAGGATATGTGTGAAAGAGGATTATAGGTGGAAGGAATAGCCAGAGTAGAAGTCCTGAGTCAGGAATGTATCTCTTGAGTTTAGAATTAGCAAAGGGGACAGAGTGTGTCTCTGGTGGAGGGAGATGAGAATAGACGAGGTAGGAGAGATGACCAGAGGCCACATCATGGAGATGAAGCTATATGCTCATGGTCACCCAGCCAGTGACAAATACTGATCATTCTTGTGTGCCATGAATCATGTTACTCAGACTTTCTTTCTTTCTTTTTTTTTTTTTTTTTGAGACGGAGTCTTGCTCTGTCACCCAGGCTGGAGTGCAGTGGCGCGATCTCGGCTCACTGCAAGCTCTGCCTCCCGGGTTCACACCATTCTCCTGCCTCAGTCTCCTTAGTAGCTGGGACTACAGGCACCCGCCACCACGCCCGGCTAATTTTTTTTGTATTTTTAGTAGAGACGGGGTTTCACTGTGTTAACCAGGATGGTCTCGATCTCCTGACCTTGTGATCCGCCCGCCTCGGCCTCCCAAAGTGCTGGGATTACAGGTGTGAGCCACCGCGCTGGGCCACATGTTACTCAGACTTTCAATCAGGTTTTTCCATCTAACATTACGAATATATTTTAGATAATTCCATATGCAAATATACTAATACAGATAACTGAATATGCTATTAAAATATTTCTTTTATTTGTGACCCTAAAAGTTTAAAAATTTACTTGGTATAGGTATAAAATGATTTCTTCTATCTTAGATATGTAACAAAAGATATTTGATAGAGATGGTTTCTGCATAATAATATTATTTTAAAATATCAATATTTTTGATATACAAAGAAGACTAATTTTGGAATAATAGTATCCAAGAATACAGTTTATAATGCTCATCTTTCAAGAGAGCCCTCATGTATCTTACTCCAGATATTTTGCACCCACATGGTACCACAGTTGGTCTGGATGTCAAATAATATATGGCAGAAGTAAAATATGTCACTACTAAGATTAGGTTATAAAATACTGATATTTGATATTTTCATATTGCATGTGCTCTCTCTCTTTCTGTCTCTTTCTCTCTCTCTCTCCCTTCCTCTCACTGTTGCTCTCATCACCCATTCTGTGACAGCCAAGAGCCACCAAAGAACTGATGTCTGCCAAAACCCATATGAAGGATCTTGCATACAGGTTCACAAGCCTCATTTGAGCTTTGAGGTGTCAGACTCACCAGCTAACAGTTTGGGCGCAATCTCTTAGTTTCCAGAGCCAGAAGTTCTCACGTAAGCTACTCCAAGAATTTCAATCTTGACCCACAGAAACTGTAAGTGAAAAGAAATATGTGTTGTCTTAAGCTCCTATACTTTAGGATAATTTATTATTCAGCAAAAGAAAGCTGATTTTTTTCGGAACCAAAATTTCTGTTTGGAACCAAAAGTGAGATGCAAGAAAACAAACTTGAAATGTGAGAGTGAGTTTGAAACTAGAAAGTAGACCTGGAGGAGAGTTACAGTGAAAGCCCAGAGTGCTTTGAGGGAACTGTTAATGGAAGACTTACGCTCTTGGATAAGGCTGTGCATAACAGGGTTGCAGAAAAGTGGGACAGGCATTATTAGAAATTAGAGAAAGGAGATTGTTTTAATATAATGGCAGAGAGCATAGCAATACCATACTTAACTAAAGTTAATTAGCAAGTCATAAATGGTTGACCAGGCTAATGTAGTCATATACTGTGACACATTTGAAATCTTATTCTGCTTTGCAAGCTAACAGTGGAGACTGCCACAATTCCATTGATGCTAGCAGAAGCTATCCAACTCCTAGGTCAGAGAAAAAGAGCTTTTTTTCCTCAAAATACTGAATGCACCACAAGTTTCACATTTGCTTCAATGTTCCTTGTTCCTCAAGTCCCAGGGGTGATGCAGTGGCTCAGGGTGATGTTGCATAGGAAGAGAGTTTTGTCACAGGGAAAGAACTATTTTAAAAACAAATAAACAGACAAAAACAAAACCAAAAAACTCCCTATCTTATGAGAGAACTGTTAGCAAACTGTGGTAGACAAAATAACGTTTCCTCTCAAAAATGACTTTGTGTTAATGTCTAGAACGTTACTTGTGAAAAGAGATACTGCAGGTGTAATTATGTTCAGGATATTGAGATGGGGAGGTTAGCCTGAAATATTCAGGTGGATACAAGGTAAGAAGAAGGGTCCTCCTGAAGAGTGAAAGAGAGAAAGGAGAAGAGTCAGTGTCAGAGTGATGTATCATGAGAAAGACTTGAGTGGCCATTGCTGGTTTTGAAAATGGAAGGAGCTGAAAAAAGCAAAACCCAAAAACCAAACCAAAACAAAAAAACCAAACGGCTTTTCCCTAAAGCCTCCAGAAAAGAAGGCAACCCCGCTTGTACTTGGATTTCAGCCCAGTGAGAGCCATTGTGGACTTCTGCCCTCCAGAACTGTAAGATCATACGTTTATGTTGTTTTAGATCACCAAGTTTATGGTACCTTGTTATAGCAGTCTTAGGAAACTGTTACAGTCTACAGTACCTAGAAGTTGTGTGCTGCTCTAACAAATTAAAACAAAAAAAAAACTATGAAAGTGGCTTTGGAATTGAAAAATGGCCTGAGGCTGGAAAATTTTGATGATCGTGCTAGAAAAAGCTTAGATGGGCTTGTATTGACTGGTAGTTGAAATACAATCATTTAAGACTTTGCTGGTGAAACTTCAGAAGAAACTGATGATCATGGCACAGAAATCATATGTCACCTTAGAGAATTGCTAAATTATTTTCTGCAGACTATGGTTAAAAATATGGACCTTAAAGGTATTGCTATTGAGGGCTCAGTGAGAAATGAGAAATATGTTATTGGAAACAGGAGGAAGGGAGGTACTTGCTATATAGCGGCAGAAAGCTCAGTGGGATAGTGTCCTACAATTATGCCGAGAGCAAACTTTGTAAAAGAAGAACTTGAATAGTTAGCTGAAGAGATTTCCAAAGAAAATGTTAAAGCTGTGATCTGGTTGCTTCTTGGTGCTTATAGTAAAATGTGGGAGAAAAGACATACACTGAGGGAAGAATTATGAAGTAGAAAGAACCAAAACTTGATTATTTGAGAAATTCTGAGCCTATTCAGATTGCAAAAGATGCTAAATTTAGAGGTTCACTGTCAAGAAAGCATACTTTAAAACTAGCATTTGACTGGAAAGCTTTTTGTAAGTGCCTAAGAAGAAACTAATAGTTACAGTGTTATTCACATAGAAGTCTCTTGAAAGATATTAGTGAATCAGAGACTAGCACAGCTATCTGGAAGAAGACAGGAAGAGAAACAAATCATTCAGAAAATATCTGTGTGATAGTATCTTGACTAACAGAGCGAATTCCCATGACATATACAGGAGACTTACAAGGGTTTTAACAAATTTTTACCAGCAGAAACTCTACCAGCTGAGATAGAAAGAGACTGAGAAAGGAAGAAATAATAAGAGAATGTTGGTCCCAAAATTCTACAAGCACAAAATGGATATTACTTAGCTGAGAACATGTCCTGCATTTCTTAAAAAGAAGAGGTGGCTCCAATGGCAGAGCTATCATCCTCTGAGCAAGTAGAGCCAGGAATCAAAGAACATTATTACTAGGTCTTGAGACCTTGTGTCATTTGCCCAACTGGATTTAAAAATTTTGGACTGTTGAATATTTGTTTTTCTTTCATTTTCTCACATTTTAAAAGGAAATATATATAACTGCTATTTTATCCTCAACTACTATTGCATGTTGGGAACAGATAACTTGTTTTCTAGTATCACAAGCCCACTGATGGGATTAATTACATCCAGAGCTTTATTCATACCTGATTTAGATGATTTAGAGAGTAAGATTTGAGACTTTGAGCTGAACACACATAGATGAGATTTTGGATTTAAATTTATTCATTAATTGGTTGAAAATTTGGAGATGTTGCTGTGGGGTGATTGCATTTTGCAAGTGGGATGGAACTGAATCTTTGGAGTCCAAAGAGTGGAGTACCATAAGCAGAATAATGGCCTCTCATTGATACCCATGTTCTAAACTCTGGAACCTGTGAATACGTTATCTGTCTTACATGGCAAAAGTAACTTTTCAGAAGTGGCTAAATTAAAGATCTTGAGATAGGGATTATCCTAAATTATTCTGGATTACCCTGTAATTACAAGGGTCCTTATAAGTGAAATAGGAAGGCAGACCATTCAATCTTAGGGTGAGTTAGTAAGAGAAAGACTGGATCAGCCATTTATGGCTTTGAAGATTCAATGGGGCCATAAGCCAAAGAATATAAGCAGCTTTTAGAAGGTGGAAATGTCAAGACAATTGATTCCCCTTAGAGGATCTAGAAAGAAATGCAGCTGTTCTGACATTTGGATTGACATTTTGATTTTGGCCCATTGAATTAAATTTCTGATTTTTGACCTTCAGAAATGTGAGATAATGATGTCAGAGATGCAGATATACCAGAGACTATTTATAGAGAATCATCTTCCAATGAGATTTCCAATCAGTGTTGAACATGCTTCCTTGTTTCCTGTTGTTGCTTATAGTAATGTCAGAGGAGGGAGATAAAACAAAGGAAGGACTGGTAAACAAAATATTAACACTTGATGGTTTTGAACATTTCTAGTGTTTTCATTTCACAAAGGATGATAACTTTCTGAGGAAAGATAAAGTTACACATACTCCTAGGAAAACACAGACCAAAGATAAAGCTGAAGATGTGACTAAAACATCTTTGGTGGAGACCTCAGAAAAATCAAGGTTGTATATCAGACAAAAGGCCTTCTAAAGAGATAAAATGTGTGCCTCATATTTCCTTACAGTCAAACAGTAGAGCTTTTAAGAACCATAAGGTCACTGTCCCTCAGCCTTCCCAGATGAAATGCAAAGTAAAGAAGGTCTCATCCCCAAGAGATCATGAACATGGATTTTATCTAATGGTACAGATCTTAATAAGATTTACACACTTTTTAAAGGAATTCCAGATTGAGATATGATACCGTATTGAACTGAAAAGGACAAAGATAACACAACATGAAAAGAGGGCTTTTGTCCCACAAAATTCTATCAGCAGCAAGTGAGTGAAAAGCAGCCCATGATACCTTTCATTAAAAAGGAAGGAGGACTCTGGCCAGACGCGGTGGCTCACGCCTGTAATCCGAGCACTTTGGGAGGCCGAGGCGGGCGGATCACGAGGTCACGAGGTCGAGACGGTCCTGGCTAACACGGTGAAACCCCGTCTTTACTAAAAATACAAAAAATTAGCCGGGCGCGGTGGCGGGCGCCTGTAGTCCCAGCTACTCGGGAGGCTGAGGCAGGAGAACGGCGTGAACCCCGGAGGCGGAGCTTGCAGTGAGCCGAGATCATACCACTGCACTCCAGCCTGGGCGACAGAGCGAGACTCCGTCTCAAAAAAAAAAAAAAAAATAGGAAGGAGGACTCATAGGGTGGAACCAAGAGCCCAGAAAAATTATTTGTTGGCCTTGAGATATAATTACAGAATTTACAGCATGTGACTTGCTGAATTTTAGATATAGCTTTGCACACATGACTACTTTTTCCTTCCTTTTTAAAACATGTTATCTATGCCAATCACATCATTATACATTGGGTGCATTAAGAGCAGACAACTGGTCACGTTAGTTTCAGAGATGAAGAAAAACTGTATTCATGGGGTTGTACTTAAGAAACCATACCCAAGGAGCCTCATTCACTTCTGTACTGAGTGTAGATATAGATCCGGACTTGAGCTGATGCTGTAATGGGATAAGACATTAGGAGGCCCTTTATGAGGAGGTAATTGTATTTCATTTATGGGAGAAACATATAATTGAAAGCAGGAAGGACCGGAATAAGAAGCCTCCAATATAGCCTCCAAAGTTTCCTTTCAAGGCATTCACATCTTTAAAGAGTCCCCTCTCATATTTTACCAGGGTTTGTCAATGTGCTAAATAGCACGTGGCAGAATATTGCTCGTCTTCTCTCTCTCTCTTCCTCTCTCTGTAGTTTTCTATCTCTCATTACTCTTTCTAGTAGAAATGAGCTGTCATTTTTGGAGCAGCTGTATGAATAGGATCATATGCTGGTGAGTAACTAACATTTTCAGGCACAGCTTGTGAAACTGTGGCCTGCCAGCCCTCAGGTGGGTGATCATGGAAGCAGATTCTGAAGCTGCAGTTAGATCTTGAGATCCTTGCTGCTCCAGAGGAGAGCTGAGATCTTTTTACAAGCGCTGAGCTAAAACCAGACAGCTCAGCTGCTGCTAGATTCCTTCAGAAATTGGGTGAGATAATAGTTTCATGGCAATTTCCTAAGCAGTAATATAATACTTACCCAGTTTTGTTTTTGTTTTTTTTCAAATTAGCTTACTTTGAAACAACGACTATCACTTTAAGATATAGGTAATCTCAGTCTTATAGAAAAGGTAAAATTCAAAATATCTTTTTAAATGATAATATTAAATATGATAAATATGTTAAATGAATAAAATTTAGGGCAAAACTCAATCCAATGTGCAGCATATTTTTAAAAAGATAATGTGTAAAATTCACTCTAAATAGCTGTGAATGCCTTCTGCTTATACTTTTTATTTGCAAGCATTTATTTTGTACTGCTGATTTTGTTCTTCAACTGTGAATTAAAAAGTAAATAAACAGTAAACTGCTGACTACATGAAACATTACAAATATGACGTCTTTCTGCCCTTGCCTCAAAAAGCGGTAAAATATACCTAGTTTTCTGAACATATTTTCTATTCCTAGTTTGAATTTTAAAGAAAAAGATAAATTTACATGAAATAACAAATCATAATAAAAATTAATAGTTTTAATTAATTGGAAAATGCAGTCTGGAACATAAAAATAGAATGACTATTTTATTATAATTTATCATACAGTTATACTACAAAGAAAAAGCAACAGCGTTAATTTTAAAAAGGCACTTTTTCTCTGTGATAATTTATTTGAGTATCCTTATTCTTGAGTATAACTTTTTAAATGTGCAATTTACAAAGCTCTGCAAAATGCCTCATTTATACAGGCTCATGCAAAGCTCTGGATAATTGTTAAGCAAGATTCTTCTATTTTCATTACCAGATATCAATTCCTTTGTCTATTTGATGCCATAGTTTCATTAAAGCTGTTTTTACTGCATCTTAAATTCACTACAATGCAATTCAGTTGTCTCATTTAAGATAGAAAAAGTATGATCTGGAAATACTTAAGTGACTTACTGGAGCACAAATGCTATTTACTGTCAGAAGAAAAATTTGAATTGTCATTACTTAAGTTTAAAACTTTTGCTTTTAAAAGTTATTCAGTAACTTAGCCACTTCTTTACACATATCCATACTTTTTTAGATATCCTATTTCAATAATTCTTGATTGCTCTAAAATATTGTCATTGCTTTGTAGTTTCTTGTATCTTAAACAATAATACTAATACATTTTATAATTGACACATGTAAAAAATACGAATCAGAAAGCAATTAAAAAGAATGGAATCATTAAGTCTTCATCATTTAAAATTCTGTTTTCTGTGTTTTTCATTTTTAAGTTTCTTTATTAATGTGGAAAAGCTTTGATTTCTTCCTTTGTTTATATTTTAAAAGATTTTTTTTGCAAAGTAAAATATCGATATGTGTTCTGATTTTACATGTGCTATAGTTTCTATATTTAATAATTAAATAATGAGGAATATGTTACAATTCTAATGTTTTCACCATATTCTTACTAAATATCTTCCACCTGTATATATATGTAAAAGTATATATATATATTTTTTTTGAGACGGAGTCTCGCTCTGTCGCCCAGGCTGGAGTGCAGTGGCGCAATCTCGGCTCACTGCAAGCTCCGCCTCCCGGGTTCACGCCATTCTCCTGTTTCAGCCTCCCAAGTAGCTGGGACTATAGGTGCCCGCCACCACACCTGGCTAATCTTTTGTATTTTTAGTAGAGACGGGGTTTCTCCATGTTAGCCAGGATTGTCTCGATCTCCTGACCTCTTGATCCGCCCGTCTTGGCCTCCCAAAATGCTGGGATTATAGGCGTGAGCTGCGGCACCCGGCCCACCTGTATATTTTTAATTACATGTAATTTAATTGCCTGAAATAACGGTTGTATCTTATTGTACATCCTTATATACAATCAGGTTCTTATTTTTCTTAGTCTCTTACTTTCTTGCCGATGCCTGCTCCAAATATAAGTTTTAAAAATACATGTGATGTCTTAAAAATAATTTTATTTTGGCAATACCAAGACCTACTCCAAGTCTTTGTTGTTGTCCTAGGTGTTTTTTTTTTTTTTTTTGTATAAGTTTCTCTATTTACTTTTTCCATTTTATTTTTGAATTACCTTCAGGATTAAAATGAAACGATTTGAATAACTTTATCACAGGCCATGAGAACTTAATGTGAGGCTCCTGTGGATCTGAATGGGCACTCCTCCCACCCACCTAGTTTGCGGGTCCAGTATAGATAGAGACTGTAAGACAGATGTGTCCCTCCCTGCATCTCTCTGCTTGAGGGTGTGTTTTAGCCACTAGAATGTAGTCAGATGTTCCTGCCTGCCGCATGTGCAGAGTTTTTAATGCCTAGGAGTGTCCTTAAAGGGATGCGGTTTTTGAGCTGGTAGATTAATAGCCCAGCTTCTTTTCTGTAAAGAGTATAATAGTGGTATCGAGTTCCAGTTTTTCGTGAAGACAACTTGCCAGTTATGAAACTCTATGGGTTTTCCTCCCTTCCTGCATCATTTTCAGACTCCCTGCATATTTCTTGGAATAACTTCTCAAATAAAAATCTTAAACACCAATTGTTGTGTCAGGTTCTACATTCGGAAGATCTTAAACTAGGACAACTAATATGCTTCAAACTTCCAATGATAATGTATAGACAAGAAGACAGCTCTGTCCTCTAGGCTGTGCTTTTAGTGCCAACTTTCTTAATAACATCACCTATTCTGCTGACACTCACTCTGGAGGAATAAAACTTTAGAGCCCCTGGCTAAACAGGATCTGAGAGGAAGGTAAAAGATCAAGGAGACAGAATCATTATGTCGGCATGGCAATGCGGTAGCTTGGAAACCTTTAAATGTTTTAGCCTGGGAAAATGTATTTTGAATCATCAACTAATTTTGGAGTATTTACTCAAATGTAGAGAATAAAATGTTTTCTATTTATATGAGGACATAGAAGGGAATTCACCAGAATTTCAGGATTTGTTTGAAAGTGAAGGGGATGTTTTTGTTAATTAGAACTCAGAGTTCAAAACAGCTCCTTTCCTGAGTGGTCTCTGAGAATCAAGTAGAACACAATTATCTGTTTTGGAAATTTTCTCTTGGGTAACTTGAAGAGTTCATCTAGAACACATCTTCCTTCAAATCTATAAAACATTGTAATTTTTAATGTGTGTATATTATCAACTATAGTAAATTTAAGAAATATATTACCTTAATATCTGCAAATTAAATAGTGACTGACTCATGGTTCCAACTTTCTATCCAAAGCAACTTTCATGTGCATTTCATGAGTTCATCATTTTGCAGTAATATCATACTGTGTAAATTGAGATTAAAGTGTCTAAACTAAGCCAAGTACTTATATTTATGCAGCTTTAATGCTATCTGTGCTTTAAGATTGTCGTGAAAAGGCAACATGATTATCATTATGCCTGTCATACCTATTATTGTCATCATTATTAGTTTTAGCTCAGTAGTTCCACATTTATTTAGTTTCTTGCAATATTTTGTTTCTTAAAGGCATACCATCTATGCTGTCAATCCTACATACAAATAGCGATTTTACGCCAATTTTAGCATTTAGCTGTATAAATCAATGTGTTCCTAGTGTCTTTTTTTAAAAAAAAAATCTACCTTTCCTCAGCCCCCTGCCAAGAAGCCTCACTTGCATTGGAATGGAAGTAATAGCCCACATTTAATATTAAAAATGAAGCAACTTATATAGTTTTAAAAACTTATATTTGAGGAATAGAATAAATTAAAATCAAATGTATTTTAATTCAAATTCAAAGAATGATTTCTAGCATTCAGCTTTAAAAAACCACTTATGAAAATATCTTTAATCTTGTAAAGAAATATTAATTATAGAATCACTGAACCCTTTGAAAGCTGATTTATTTTGCTTTCCTCTTTATAAGTTAGCTTTCAGAGAACTAATGATTTGAAAATATTAGAATAGTGTAGCATATAAGCTTTTTACCTTTAAAGACATTTAAAGTACTAATTCTATATTGACCAAATGTTTTCTAAATGTATAGGTCAAGAAAAACATTCAGATAATTTTATTATAAATGATGTGTTAAAGTGGCATTTTGAAAAGTTTACTATTATGAAATGAGTATTGATAGATACTGTCATCTTTTAAGAATAGTCATGGATGAGATCATAAATGAATATGTCAAAGTAGTTATAGAATTCCAATAAAAACTTCTTTTTCATTAGTTTACTAAATAATGGGAAGAGATTCAATACATGGAAAGGTTCCTATTTTTATGATTTAAATCAAGAATTTCTATAAATATGCAAATACACAAATACTATGATTATTTCTTGAAAATCATTTTTCTTTGTTTTGTAGAATAGTTAAAATTCAAGCAAACACCAAATTCAAAATCAAACGTTTAAATTTTAATAATCTCTTATGGCATTCCATATTTAACTCTCAGAAATTACATCTTTCTACCATGATGAGTTGAAGAATATACTGAAGAAATTTATCTAGGCAGAATAAAATAATACTGTGTTGCTGGTACTTATTGGGTATCACTTACAAGTAATATATTAGAAATTCATTTTCCACAGACACAAAAGCAAATATACACAAACATGCAGAGATGCTTAAACTCAACAAGATTAAAACTAGAGTAAAACAAAACTTAAACCAAATGGAGCAATTCTTTACATGGTTAATGTGGGAAAAATAAAAATACACTCCATATTTTACCTGAAATTTTTCCTACAATATCAATAATAATTATTACTTTTTTCTTTCTCAATATTTTAGTATTTTACACAAAACTAAAAAACATACTAGCTAAATTAATGAATAAAAATTAAACTCATTCAAAATTCAGCATAAGCAAAGTTCTTCAATATTTAATAGTTTGATTTCCACTTCTAGGGTGAAGCAAACACTATTACTTGACCATCCAGTTAACTCATTTTTCTTTTTATTTTCTTTCTTTCTTCCTTTCATTTATTTATTTATTTATGTATTTATTTATTTAATTATGAGACAGTCTCACTCCATTGCACAGGTTGGAATCCAGTGGCAGTATCGTGGCTCACTGCAACCTCAACCTGCCACTCTCATGCCATCCAACCACCTCAGCCTCCCTAGTAGCTGGGACTACAGGTATACGCCACAATGCCCAGGTAAATTAAAAAAAAAAAATTGTGGGGACAGGGTTTTGCCATTACATGCATGACCAGTTCTAACCATTGTTGACTTTATGGAGAGTGTAAAAATTTTGATTTAAAAAAAATGAGAGCAGTATTTGTCTAATTCAATTTATTTTCCACCCTTCGCTTTCCCCCTTTGGATAATGGGCTAGGCTGAAATTATGCTTGGAGTTGTTTCAGGAATCTTGAGGCAATGAGAGAAAAGTTAAAGAAACATAGAGATGTCAATGTGGATCTGAAGTATCACTGGGAAGCCAATCCAACCTAGTGTCTGCCAACCTAGTACTTTCTTGGAGTCACTTGTATGCCTAAATTTTACAAACACTTTTACTGCTTAAAGCATTGTCATTAATACATAATGCTTACCTGAATGATACTTTAAAGACAATCATGAGTTATATTTAAAAGCAAGAGTTATAAATTATAACAAAGAAAACATAACAATTACAGTTACGGATTAAATAGGTATATTTTCATTTTTGACAAGAAGCAAAAGGATAAAATAAAGAAAAAGACTGCAATCAATGAAAGTAAAAACAGAAAGATAATCATGGTTGTTTAAAGATTAACAAAATGGACAAATCTCTAGCCAGACTGATTAGGAGTAGAGAGAGACTGAACAAACTGCCAATGTCAGTAATGAAAATGGGGTATCGCTACAGATCCTAGTGACATTAAAGAGATGATAATAAATACAATAAAAATTAATGTTAATAACTTTGACAGCTTTGACAAAATGGGTACATACTTTGAATGATAAAAACTGTCAGGCCAGGCATGGCGGTGGCTCACGCCTGTAATCCCAGCACTTTGGGAGTCTGAAGCAGGTGGATTACGAAGTCAAGAGATCGAGACCATACTGACCAACATGGTGAAACCCCATCTGTACTACAAATACAAAAACTAGCTGGGCATGGTGGCGTGTGCCTGTAGTCCCAGCTGCTCGGGAGGCTGAGGCAGGAGAATTGCTTGAACCTGGGAGGCGGAGGTTGCAGTGAGCCGAGATCGTGCCATTGGACTCCAGCCTGGTGACAGGGCGAGAGTCCGTCTCAAAAATAAAAAAAATAAAAAATAAAAAAAAAGTCAAAGTTCAGTCAAGAAGAAAAGATAATCTGTAAAGTTCTATATATATGGGAAAAATTGGATTTTTAAGTTAAATATCTTACCACAAAAGTGAAACCTGAAACCCAAAAAGCATTAATGACAAACTGTACCAAATACTTAAGGAAATAAAGAGTACCAATTCTATATGGACATTTCCAGAAAACAGAAAAAGAGGCAAGAATTATAATCTGTTGTAAAACCAGGATTACTGTGACAGCTGAAACAGAAATTCCAAGAGGGTAAATGCAAGAGCAACATACTACAAGGATATAAATCCTTTTTTTTGATACAGAGTCTTGCTCTGTCGCCCAGGCTAGAGTGCAGTGGCGCGATCTCAGCTCACTGCAACCTCCGCCTCCCTGGTTCAAGCAAATCTCCTGCCTCGGCCCCCCAAGTAGCTGGAATTACAGGCACCCGCCACTGCGCCTAGCTAATTTTTGTATTTTTAGTAGCAACGGGGTTTCACTATCTTGGCCAGGCTGGTCTCGAACTCCTGACCTCTTGATCCACCTGCCTCGGATTCCCAATGTGCTGGGATTACAGGTGTGAGCCACTGTGCCCGGCCATAAATGCATTTTTTCAAATTAAAAAAAACTAAATCCAGCAATATGTAAATATGGCAATGCATTTTCACCAAGTTACATATATAAGAAGCAGCTACTATGCGTAAGGCTGAGATAAAACACCATGAAAGACCACCTCTTTACTCCTAGAGGTGAAATCTGGACTTTTTTGGATAGGGCACTGCCATGGATCACTGGAAGGCATGGAGATCTCTTTGGCAACGCACTTCAGGAACTTGCTAGAAATCCACCCTCTCTGATGCTAGTGAAATTTGGTCATGGGATCAGGTCTCCTCAGAGGTTCTCAGCTGCAAAACCCCACAGCAGAGATATCACCTATCAGCAGGTGATAGGAGATGGGTCCTTCTGGTCACCAAGCACTGCAAAACTCTAATGCAAGGGGAGCTGCATATGCTGCAAAAGCATGGTTCTGGAAATACCATCTGTGTTATAGAACCTGGGCATTAGAGAAACTGCACATGCTAGGGTCTTGGTGCTAGAAACTCACTATTTTTGCCGCAGGACTCTAGCGTGAGAGAATCTGTACATTCTATATAGCTTGGTACTGGAAATGTCATCCATACTAAGGTACCCTGGCACAAGAGAAGATGTACATGCTCTAGAACGTTGGTTTTGGAAATGGAAACCTTGCTACTACTGGAATTTAGTGCAGTAGAAACTGCATATGTTATAGAAACTTTTCCACAATAAAAGATGTAATTCAGGATCTTGGTGCAAGAGTTACTGTGTATGTTGCAGAAACCTGGTGCTGGAGAAATTGCCTATGTGCAGTTGCTGAGATCTGATGATCCATTATATATCGCAAGTGCTCAGTGGAAGAAATTAACTATACAATAGGAGATGGGTGCTGGCACACACTGGAACCTTCATGTCCTCATTCAATGTCCACCAGTGCTTTTTACTAACAAAGATTAACATCTTAACCATCTTAACAGCTGGCAAATAGAAAATATTTAAATTGCTGTGATACACTCTCACAGAGAAGAAATGAAAGATGAATATGAGATGGAAGGCAAAATATTGAAAACGGCAATACTAGTAGAGAACAACTGCGACAGAACAAAATTAAAATTGC
Source organism: Homo sapiens (assembly GCF_000001405.40). Classification (NCBI taxonomy): domain Eukaryota; kingdom Metazoa; phylum Chordata; class Mammalia; order Primates; family Hominidae; genus Homo; species Homo sapiens. The sequence goes on from NC_000021.9 coordinate 23,070,827, forward strand.
ATTTATAAAAAATAAGAAATTTGTGGGAAAAATTTGCTTACAGTCTGAGCAAGTCTTTTAGCTATAAGTTTAAAGTATTTTTAGATCAACTGCAAAAGGCATAAATAAATTAAAAATACAGTGTTTTCATGGATTGGGATAGAAATATGTTTAAGCTGTAATTCTTTCCAAATTTACCTATGAACACAATACAATCACCCAAAATCATAATATGATTTTGTACAAGTTGTCAAGCTGGTTATTTACAAAAAAAAAAAGTAAGTGGCTCAGCATAGCAAAATAATTTTGAAGTAAACATAACAAAATTGCAGGATTTACGTCATCTGAATGTATAATTTCTTATAAAGTTACAATTAAGGTAGTGCAGTGCTGGTAAAGAATGGACAAATTGGTCTTTGGAGCAGAAAAGACAGTGCAGAATTAATAATAAACAAACATACAGATAAATAAAATTCTGATATTAGATTTCACTGAAATTATTATTTTAAATACTGCTAAGAAAAGTAATGACAAGCCACAGACTAGAAGAAAATAATTGCAATACATGTATCTTATGGAGAACTTTTATTTAGAATATAAAAAGAGTTCTTAAAACTCAATAATAAGAAGGCACAAGACACTAGTAAAAGGCAAAAAAAATGAATCTTTAAAAATCAATTGGCAGTTTAATGGGAACAACATTGAATCTGTAAATTACTTTGGGCAGTGTGGCCATTTTCACGATACTGATTCTTCCTATTCATGAGCATGGAAAGTTTTTCCGTTTAGTTTGTGTCCTCTCTGATTTCCTTGAGCAGTGGTTTTTAGTTCTTGAAGAGGTCCTTTACTTCCCTTGTTAACTGTATTCCCAGGTATTTTATTCTCTTTGTAGCAATTGTGAACGGAAGTTCATTAATGATTTGGCTCTCTGCTTGTCTGTTGTTGGTGTGTAGGAATGCTTGTGATTTTTGCACATTGATTTTGTATCCTGAGACTTTGCTAAAGATGCTTGTCAGCTTAAGAAGCTTTTGAGCTGAGATGATGGGGTTTCCTAGATATAGGATCATGTCATCTGCAGACAAAGACAATTTGACTTTCTCTCTTTCTATTTAAATATCCTTTATTTCCTTCTCTTGTCTGATTGCCCTGGCTGGAACTTCCAATACTATGTTGAATAGGATTGGTGAGAGTGGGCATTCTTGTCTTGTGCCAGTTTTCAAGGGGACTGTGTCCAATTTTTGCCCATTCAGTCTGATATTGGCTGTGGGTTTGTTATTATTTTAAGGTATGTTCCTTTTCAATACCTAGTTTATTGAGAGTTTTTAATATGAAACAATGTTGAATCTTATTGAAGGTCTTTTCTCCATCTATTGAGATGATCATTTGGTTTTTGTCTAGTTCTGTTTATGTGACGAATTACGTTTATTGATTTGTGTACGTTGAATCAGCCTTGCATCTTGGGAATGAAGCTGACTTGATCATGGTGGATAAGTTTTTGATGTGCTGCTGGATTCAACTTGCCAGTATTTTATTGAGGATTTTTACATCTATGTTCATCAGGTATATTGACCTGAAGTTTTCTTTTTTCTTTCTTTCTTTCTTTCTTTCTTTCTTTCTTTCTTTCTTTCTTTCCTTCCTTCCTTCCTTCCTTCCTTCCTTCCTTCCTTCCTTCCTTCCTTCCTTCCTTCCTTCCTTCCTTCTTTCTTTCTTTCTTTCTTTCTTTCTTTCTTTCTTTCTTTTTTTTTTTTTTTGTATCTCTGCCAGATTTTGGTATCAGGAAGATATAGAACCAAAAAAGAGCCTATGTAACCAAGACAATCGTAAGCAAAAAGAACAAAGCTGGAGGCATTAGGCTACCCAACTTCAAACTATACTACAAGGCTACAGTAACCAAAACAGTATGGCACTGGTACAAAAACAGACACATAGACCAATGGAGCAGAATAGAGAACTCAGAAATAAGACCACACATCTACAACCATCTGCTCTTCAACAAACCTGACAAAAACAAGCAGTGGGGAAAGTGTTCCCTGTTTAATAAATGGTGCTGGGAGAACTGGCTAGCCATAGGCAGAAAATTAAAACTGGACCCCTTCCTTACATCTTATACAAAAATTAACTCAAGATACATTAAAGACTTAAATGTAAAACTCAAAACTATAAAAACCCTAGAGGAAAATTTAGGCAATACCATTCAAGACATAGGCATGAGCCAAGACTTCATGAAAAAGACATCAAAAGCAATTGCAACAAAAGCAAAAATTGACAAATGGGGTCTAATTAAACTAAAGAGCTTCTGTACAGCAAAATAAATTGTCATCAGAACAAACAGACAACCTACAGTATGAGAGAAAGTTTTGGCAATCTATCCATCTGACGAAAGTTTAATATCCAGAGACTACAAGGAACATAAATAAATTTGCAAGAATAAAACAAATAACCCCATTAAAAGTGGGTGAAGGACATGAACAGACATTTTTCCTAAGAAGACATTTATGTGGCCAACAAACATGATAAAAAGCTCGACATCACTGATCGCTAGAGAAATACAAATCAAAACCACAATGAGATATCATCTCATGCCAGTCAGAATGGTTATTATTAAAAAGTCAAGAAACAACAGATGGTAGTGAGGTTGTGGAGAAACAGGAACACTTTTACACTGTTGGTGGGAATGTAAAGTAGTTCAACCATTGTGGAAGACAGTGTGTGATTCCTCAAAGACCTAGAACCAGAAATACCATTTGATCCAGCAATCCAATTACTTAGTATATGCCCAAAAGACTATAAATCATACAACTATAAAGATACATGCACATATATGTTCATTGCATCACTATTCACAATAGGAAAGTCATGGAATCAACCCAAAAGCCTATTAATGATTGACTGGATAAAGAAAATATGGTACATATACACCATATAATACTATGCAGCCATAAAAACGAAAAAGATCATGTTCTTTGCAGAGACATGGGTAAAGCTGGAAGCCATTGTCCTCAGCAAACTAACACAGGAACAGAAAACCAGACACCACATATTCTTACTTATAAGTGGGAGCTGTACAATAAGAACATACAGACACAGGGAGTGGAACAACATACATTGGGGCCTGTCACTTGGTTTAGGGGAAGAGAGAGCATCAGAAAAAATAGCTAATACATGCTGGGCTTAATACCTAGATGGGCCGGGCACGGTGGCTCACGCCTGTTATCCCAACACTTTGGGAGGCTGAGGCGGGAGGAGCACGAGGTCAGGAGATCAAGACCATCCTGGCTAACTCGGTGAAACCCCGTCCAAAAAATTAGCCAGGCATGGTGGTGGGTGCCTGTAGTCCCAGCTACTCAGGAGGCTGAGGCAGGAGAATGGCGTGAACCCAGAAGGCGGAGTTTGCAGTGAGCCGAGATCGCGCCACTCCACTCCAGCCTGAGCGACAGAGCGAGACTCTGTCTCAAAAAAAAAAAACAAAAAAAAACCTAGATGATCAGTTGATAGGTGCAGCCAATCACCATGGCACACATTCACCTATGTAAAAAACCTACACATCCTGTACATGTATCCTGGAACTTAAAATAAAATAAAATAAAAATTAAATTAATAAATTAAATTATTATTAATTAATTAAATTATTAAATCAATTGGGACTTGGAGGCAAAGACGGGAGGATTGTTTTCAGGAGTTTGAAACCAGCCTGGGGAACATGGCAGGACCTCGTTTCTACAAAACACAAAATGGTAGCTGTGTGTGGTAATGCATGCCTGTCGTCCCAACTACTTTGAAGGCTGAGGTGGGAGGATTGCTTGAGCTTAGAGGATTAAGACTGCAGTAAGCAATGATTGCACCACTGTACTCCAGCCTGACAACAAAGCAAGACTCTGTCTCAAAAATAAAGAAATACATAAAATAAAATAAAGTTGTAATATAGTAATACAATTAAATCCTACTCTACGATAAAAAGAAGAAATAACTGTTGCACTTAACAGTATGGATTAATTTTAGTAGCATATGTTGAATGAAATAAGCCAAACATTATTTATATGAAATTTGAAAAGACCAAAACTAGACCAAAGAACCCCTTACATTGGAGACCAAAGAACAAAAAGCAAAGGAGTTATTGCTTGGGCCTAGGATGGAGGGACTGACTTTATTTGGCAGGTGGAAACCTTTCGAGATAACATTACTTGGGTGCTAATATTGAATCATACACTTAAATGATGTGTAGCTATAAAGATTATTAACAACAAAAAAAAACACTTCCTCTGTCTTATGATGAAGATTCCTTTACTTCTCAAAATGCCCTTCATGCATTGCTCAGTCAATCATCAACGTAGAGTGCCCTTTGTTTATCCTCTGTCAGGGAAGGAGCTTTGTACTGTTAGATATATTTTAATTCCTTTAAAATTAGAGCTGTGTTTTTCTCAGTTAGGGTTTACTATAAGGTCTTAACTAGCAAATATGAACATTAGTTATTCCAGGAGAAAACAACAAAGATAAAAAAGAAACAATCTAAAGAATTTAGATATAAAATTTTAATTTTTCATTAATAGTAGCAAAATAAAAGAAACCCTAAGTAGAATTCAGTACACTACATGATAAAAAGGTAGACCTTATTTAATGAAAATTAAAGTGTCAATGTTTAAAATTACTTTTGTTCAATTTCATTTTTCTTAATAATAAAATGTAGACCTTGGATAGAACCATTATGGTGTGCTCTTCACATATGAGAAAATCAATATGCCTTCAAACAAGAGCACATCTAAACTATTTTCTATTAATAATTTTTTACATTTTCATTAGAGAGTTCCAGTAAAAACCCGAGTTTATAATTATCATTTTGCTTGTCATCATCTATCTTTGAATAATACTATTTAGTTTGAAAGGTTAATTGGCTATGAGCCATCTATGATATAATGAATAATTTCAATCACCTGACTTGTATGCTACACTTAGTTTTCTGAAATATATTATCTTTCACTTCTGTCAGTTTGCATAGTTCTAATTCTTTAATAATCCACTGACCAGAAACAGATATGTTAACTTTAAAACACATGGCCCTAACACTGTTTTAAAAATATGTTCATACATTGATAAGTCAAGCTTTCTATAATATGTTGAAATATTTAAATACATATCTTAGTCAGACACTTTTGTGTTTGTTATAATTCTTAAAAGAATAAAATGTTTTTATACTTTATTGAGGAGGTAAATGCTAAGTATCTGAGACATTCAATTATTTATAAGAACTCATTCTCAGAGACACAAAAATGCTATCAAGCTTAAATTTCTGGAACTAGTAAATGTTTCTATGCTTTATGAAAATTTTATGGATTAATGACTGGAGAGAATGCTAAGATCCTCATGAAATTGTAGAACTGGGAAGGAGGACTAGTGCTATTATAGAAATTCTCTAAGTAAAATAATTTGTTCCTTGAGTTGACAGGAAGTTTAGTGGGAAAAAGTGGAAAGAGTTAAAGTAGGCCCAATCAAATACGAAAATTTAATGCATGAAAAGGTAGTGCTATTTATTGATATCTTAATAAACAGCATTGACACAAAAGGATAGCCATTAGCAGTACAATAAAATTAGATCCATAACACATTCCAAACACAAGAGTGAATGTCAAAATGATCAGCCATATAAACATAAAAAAATGAAATAATAAAATACTGGAAAATACTTAAGTGAATTCCTTCATACTCTGGGTATAATAATATTAAACTATGCTTCAAAAACTGGGTGCAGAAAAGATAAATTTGATTAATTCAGTAATATTGCCAAAAACTTTTACATGCAAAATAACAAAATCCTAAGTAACTTCAAGAGTAAAATGAGAAACTGAAAAAAAGTATATCATAAAGGATTTATGCCATTAAATAACATTGTTATTTAATCACCTCCCACCCAGTAGCAGAATTAGTAGATTTTATGATAGTTTTATTTTTAATTTTTTGAGGATTGCATTTCTAAGTAGCTTTTAAAAATTACTGGAAAAACGGAATGAAAATCCAGGAGAAAAAATATGCAAAAGGTATGAACAGATAATATTAAAGTAATATAAACATTGCCTTACACATGTGCAAGACGTCCAGTTTCATGCAATAAGAGATTTACAAGTTAAACCTAGATTGAAACATTTTTCTCACCTATTAAAATTACAAAAATTCAAAATTTTGATAGAATACTGTGCTGGTAAAACCATGCCAAATAGCCACTCATATATGGCCAAAGGGAAGGAGGAATGGTAGAATTTCTATGGCTGGAAATATGGCACTAAGCAGAGAAACTGATGCAGTAAGCCCACTACTAAGAAATTCCTTGAAATTACACACCTAAAACAATATGAAAATAATCACAGTTATTAATTGTAGCATCAACTATAAGGTCACACTATTGGAAGTAATCTTAATGCTCACACATAAAAATAGCTAAATAAACTAAGGTATAGCCACACAATTTTTTACAATGCAGAGATTTAAAAAAAGGAAAAATGTCTCTATCAACTGCTAAGGAATGATAGCAAGGATATATATTGTTAAGTAACAAAGAGGAAAGTGTAAAGTAGTGTAAATAGTGTGTTGCCATTTATAGTAAATACCTTGGCAAAAATAAGCAAAGAAATGATAAAGCAAATGTTATAAATCTGGTTACCTAAAGAGAATGATTGATAAATGTAAGAAATAATGGGAAAGGGTTTTTAATTTTGAAATTATGTTACCAATTTATATATTTCAGTAGATATAAATGTTAAGAAATGAAAAAGAAAATTCGAAACAATGCAAAAACAAAATATATTAAATTGATAACATAAATACATTGAAGAAAAAAATAATACAAGTAACTTTGACATGTATTTGAATCCAAAGACAAAAAGAAACTTAGATATTTTGAAAAGGAAATTTGTTTGCTCTCATATGTTTGTTGCACCACTGTTTACAGTAGGTAAGATTTGGAAGCACTCTAGGTGTCCATAAACAGGTGAATGGATAAAGAAAATGTAAACATCCACAATGGAGTACCACTCAGCCATAAAAAAAGAATGAGATCCAGTCATTTGCAACAACATGGATGGAACTGGAGATCATAATGTAAGTGAAATAGGCACAGAAAGACAAACAATGCATGTTCTCATTTATTTGTGGGATCTAAAAATCAGAACAATTGAACTAATGGACACAGAGAGAGGATGGTTACCAGAGGCTGGGAAGGGTAGTGGAAGATTGGGAGGGGAGATGAAGATGGTTAATGGGTGCAAAAAATAAGAAATAAAAAAGAATGAATAAGATCTACCATTTGATAGCACAATAAGGTGACTATCATCAATAATAACTTAATTGTATATTTTTAAATAACTTAAATAATGTAATTGGATTATTTGTAATTCAAAGTATAAATGCTTGAGGGAATGGATACCCCATTCTCTCATTCTCTATGATGTGCTTATTTCACATAGCATGCCTATATCAAAACATCTCATATACCCCATAAATATATATACCTAATATGTATCCACACAAAATTAAAGAAATAAATTTTGATATTTTCTTTAAATATATTTAATTAACCAATAAAGATCATATATATTCTGATTACTCAGTGTGATAATTTAATATATACAATATTGAGTAATAATTATCAAAACAAATAGGGGCCTGCCTCTTAAAAAGAAAGATATTTTGAACCCAACTTCATAGGTTTGTTGTTCATAGTGCAGTTGGTATAACACTTTTGAAAATATATTAAACAAAGGGTAAGTATATTAATATATTTGAGAATTCTCACTGTGGGAAATGGAGAATACATGTATGTAATGGCATAAGTTTAGATGGATATTAGAAGTAGCAGAATAAACCCATAATTTTTATTTTAGAGCTTTATTGAGATATAATGCATATACTCTTCACCCACTTAGGATGTGCAATACAATGAAGTGTTCTCAGAGTTGTGCCTCCATCATCACAATCAAGTTTAGAACATTTTCATTAGCCCCAAAAGAAACTCCATAACCAATAATGGTTATTCCTTATTTCTCTAACTCCTCCACCGCCAGTTCTCCTCTCCCCAACCTTCCTGGCCTTATACAATCACTTGTCTACATTTTTTCTCTATATGTTTGCATATCTAAACATTTAAACAATTATTATATCTAACTTTAATTGTATATCCTTTGACCAGGATCACCCAATCCCTCTCCTCCTACTTAGCTCAGCCTCTGGTAACCACTACTCAACTCTCTGCTTCTACGAGTTCCACTTTTTAGATTCCACATATGTGAGATCATGTGGTATTTCTGTCCTGGCTTATTTCTCTTAGCATGAAATCATCCAGGTTCATTGATGTTGTCACAAATGGTGGGATTTTGTTCCTGTTTGTGACCGAATACTCTTCCATTATGTAAATATACCACATTTTCTTTAGTGATTCTTCTGCTAATAGACACTTAGGTTGATTTCATGTCTTGGTTATTGTGAATAATGCTGCAATGAATGTGGAAATGCAGGCATCCCTTCTATATACTGATGTAATTTTCCTTGGATTTATATGCAGTACTGAGGGAGTGGATTGTATGGTAGTTCTATTTTTACATTTTCTGAGGAAACTCCATGCTGTTTTCCCTAATAGCACTAATTTATATTCCCACTAACAGTGACAATTTTGGCACATTATTTACAATATTTATCTTCTGCCTTTTTGATAATAGTAATCCTAGTAGAAATTAGGTAATATTTCATTTTGGTTTTGATTTTCCATATCCTAATGATTATGATGTTGAGCATATTTTAATATACAGGTTGGCCATTTGTATGTTTTCATTTGAAACGTATCTATTCAAGTCTTTTAGCCATTTTTAAAAGGGTTATTTGTTTTCTTGCTATTAAGTTCCTTATATATTTTGAATATTAACTCCTTATCAGATGTATATTTTGCAAATTTTTTTCCATTTTGTAGATTGCCTCTTCACTGCTGTACAGAAGCTTTTTTCACTTTAAATAGTATAATTTGTCTAATTTTTACTTTTGAGGTTTTAAATAGAAAATCCTTGACCAGCCCACACGAATGTCGTGGAGCTTTTCCCTAGTAGCTTTCACAGTTTGGGATCTTACATTTAAATATGTAATCCATTTTCAGTTGATTTTTGAATATGGTGAGACATAGAGAGTCTTGTTTATTCTTCTGCATGTGAATATCCAGTTTTCACAGCACCATTTTTTGAGGAGGCTATCTTTTTCTCATTGGGTGTTCTTGCCAGATTTATTGAAAATCAGTTGGCTATAAATGCACATATTTATTTTTGGGCTCTCTGTTCTGTTCCATTGGTCTATGTGTCTGCTTTTATGCTACTACCATAATGTTTTGGTTACTATATCTTTATAGATAATTTTAAAGTCAGGTACTGTTATGATTTCAGCTTTGGCTATTTGGGGTTCTTTTGTGATTTGATACTAATTTTAGGATTTTTTTTTCAATTTATGTGAAGAATGCCATTGGTGTTTTCATGAGCATTGCATTAAATCTGTAGATCACTTTGGGTACACTTTAACAATGTTCATTCTTCTATTTAATGAAAATGAAAAATCTATATATTTATGTTTTCTTCAATTTATTTAATCAATGATTTATAGTTTTCAGTGTAAGATCCTTCACCTCCTTGGTTAAAGTTTTTTCTAGGGTTTTTTTTCTAAATAGCTGTTGTAAATGAAATTGTCTTCTTGAATTCTTTTTTTCAGATAGTTTACTATTAGTATATAGAAATGTAACTGATTTTTTGTGTGTTGATTTTGTATCTTGCAACTTTACTGGATTTATATATTAATTCTAACTGTTTTCTGGTGTAATCCATAGAGTTTTTTATATGTAACATCATGTCATCTGCAAACAGATAATTTACCTTTTTAATTTCTCTTTCAATCCCTTTTATTTCTTTCTTCTGTCTAATTGCTCTGGCTAGGACTTCTAGTACTATGTTGAATAGAAGTGATGAAAGTGGACATCCTTGTCTTGTGCTAGATTTTAGAGGAAAAGCTTTCAACTTTTCTCTGTTCCGTATGGTGTTATTTCTAAGTTTGTCATATATGGGTTTTATTGTGTTGAGGTACATTTCTTCTGTAACTAATTGTTGAGAGTTTCTTTTATTTTCATGAAGGGATGTTAAATTTTGTAAAATGTTTTTCTGTATGTATAAAATGTTTTTCTGTATGTATAAATCATATTTCTAGCCTATTTTATTTATTTCATTCTGATCTTTATTATTTCCTTTCTTCTAGTAATTCGGGATATAATTTGTTCTTGTTTTTTTTTTTGGTTCTCTGAGATGTGAATTTTGTCCTTCATTCTATTAATGTGGTGTATTATGCTTATTGATTTGCATATGTTGAACTATCCTTGCATCCCTGGGATGAATCTTACTTGATCATGGTGAATGAATGTTTTAATTTGCTGTTGAATTGGGTTTGCTAGTATTTGGTTGAATATGCTTGTATTATTCATGTTCAGCAGGAATATTAGCTTGCAGTCTTTACTGTTGTGGCTGTGTTCCTTGTCTGGTTTTGGTATTAGGGTAATTCTGGAATCATAGAATGAGTTTGAAAGTATTTAATCCTCTTAAATTTTTTGGAATAGTTTGAGAAAAAATAGTATTAATTGTTTTTAAAAATATTTGGTATAATTCAGCAATGAAGATAACACTATTAGTTTTTTTGCGTTTTTTTTGTTTGTTTGCTTGTTTGTTTTTTGTATGGGAGTTTTTTAACTACTTATTAAATTTCCCTACTTGTTACTGGTCTGTTCAGATTTTCTGTTTCTTCCTAATTGAATTTTGGTAGGTTACATGTTTCAAGGAATTTATCCATTTTTTTAGGTAATTCATTTGTTGGTGTATAATTTGTTCATGATAGTCTCATAATCATTTCTATTCCTTTGGTATCAATTGTAATGTATTATTTTCTTCTGTTATTTTATTTATTAGAGTTTTCTCTGTTTTTCTTTAGCTAAAAGTTTATTAATTTTGTTTATCTTTTTAAATACTAACTCTTCATTTTGTTGATATTTTGTATCATATTTCTAGCCCATTTTCTTTCTTTCTTTCTGACTCTTACCATTTCCTTTCTTCTATTAATTTGAGGTATAGTTTGTTCTTGTTTTTTCAGTTCTCTGAGATGCAATGCTTGTTTATTCAAGATCTTTTTTTTCTTTTTGGTTGCTGGAATGTATTGCTATGAATTTCCCTCTTAGGACTGTTTTTGCCATATTCCGTAGGTTTTGATATGTTGTATTTACATTTTGTTTCCAAACATTTTTTGAATTTTCCTTTTAATTTCTTCAGTAATATAGTGGTTATTCAGGATTACATCATTTCATTTCTATATATTTGTGAAGTTTCTGAAATTCCCCTCATTATTGATTTCTAGTTTTTTAAACTCCTTTAAATTTAAGACAGAGTGAGACTCCATCTCAAAAAGGAAAAAAAAAAGACAAAAGAAAAAAGCAAAGAGAAGAAAAACTTCAGCCAAATTAAATTTAAAGGAGTTTAATTGAGCAATGAACCATTCGCAAATCAGGCAGAACAAGTTTGTAGACTAAAAAAGGAAGTGACATACAGAAATCAGAAGTGAGGCACAGAAACAGCTAGATGGTTATATGTTGGCATTTGCCTTGTTTGAACACAGTTTGAACACTCAACAGTCTATGATCAGTTGAAGTATGGCTGCTGGCATTGGCTAAGACTCTGCTATTATTACAGGCACATACTCCTAAGTTAGGTTTTCAATCTTGCCTACCTATTAAGTATCCACAAGGACTCAGAGATAAAAGTATGGAGTCTTTCTCAGGCCATACTTCGTTCACTTTAACAGAAAGCATATGTTAACATGTGTGGAATCATTCCTTTAAGTGTTCTTTGGTTAAAACAGGAAAACCATATAACTGCTCATTCTCCTTTTGGTGCCGTTTTTATGCAGGCATTTTGACAACTGCTATCTTTCACATTTTACCTACACCAAAAATCAGTTTCTTTGTTTCCTTAAGAAATTTACTTACTCTCTGTAAATTTGAAAATTTGATCTTTCTTCTTTCTTTTCTTTCTCTCTTTCTTTTCTCTTTCTTTCTTTTTTTCTCTCTCTCTCCTTCCTTCTTTCCTTCCTCCGCTCTTCGTTCCTTTCTTTTCCTTTCTTTATTTCTCTCTATTTCTCTCTTCCCACCCCTCTTTTTCCCCCTCTCTCTGTCTCTCTCTGTAAATTGAGCTTATTTAAAGTTTTTTTTTTTTTAATGTAATCTGTCTTCATAAACCTGAGTAGGTCTGAAAGTTCAGGGAATTGTTTTTAAAATATCAAGTGACTTTTTCATTTGATGTGCATTTAAATGTTTTCTGGGGTGTAAAATTACAATCTTCGTGGTCATTTGTATTCACCATTGACATACTAGTAACTTACTTTGGCTGAGGCTTAGGCTTCATTTGCCGATGGACTATAGACTTTTAATTGAGAGCATGATGAGAATTGTTTTTCCTTCTTTTCTTTGTTTTAAGACAATGTTTTATGTTTTCCCACTGAATATTAAAATTTGTATATCTAGACATCTCACACCGTGATTTCTCCCAGTGAAAAATTCTTAGGAGAAAAGCATTCATCTCAGTTAAATGCTTATATGACAAAAATTTCAAAGTTTTGAAATTCTGATTAGCCTTACTGCAGGCAAAGTCTCTTAGAAGAAAGACTCTATCCTCATATTCTCAGGTCAGGAGCAATGTATTCATAATATCAAGGACTATAGAGCCATAAATATGGCTTCCAATCAGTTCTGGTTCTAATCTGTCAAACCTATTTACACAGAAAAATAATGTTTGATAACGGCATATTAAATATGCTTTTGTTTGCAGACTTTTTGTGGCGTTGTTTTTATTTTACTCTGTATTTAAATTTGTTTCTTTCTACAAATTCTCCTTTTGTCTTTGAACTATACCAAAAGATCTAACCTTTCCTGATTTATATTTTATAATATTGATTATTTAAAGGAATTATCCAAAATGTATTCAAGGATAGAGCTTAATATGATGCTTAATCAATTTTCTAATAGTTTTTTTTAGTGTATACATGGAATTAAATCTAAGCAACCAGTCAAGAATCTAATACATTTTTTTCTCTTATTTTGGTATCTAATTAGCTGTTTTCTTTTCTTATTGCAAGAGCACGCTCAGTAAAATGTAGAATCAAAATAAAATGAAATTATAGATATAATGTTGAATTAAATTAATTACAGATATAATGATATATTGCAGGTCTTCCTCTTTGAAGATTATAATACAAGTGTAACAAATGCTAATAATTAAATTAGAAAAAACCATAAATACTTACAACAGAGTAAAAATGTTGTATCCCATTTAAAATATATGTGTGATTCTATATTTACTTAATGTAGTTACATTCAGTCATATTTGGTATATAGTATAAATCTACCTCCTGCTCAAGAAGTTTCTTGCCACAATACCTCTCAATCATAGTTTTGTAAGAGATGTTCAATTATCACACTGCAACTTTGGAGCTTCCATAAAAAAAGATTGGCAAATATAGGAGAAGAATGAAACTTAAAATCTGGAAAATGAAAAGAAGCATTTAATTTAAAAAAATCAAATTTAGTCATACAATAAAGTTCCCAGAGGAGGGAGAGGAAGAGAAAATATAAAGCTATATTAACTTGGAGTTAGAGGAGTTTGTGGATTTAGAAGGAGCCAAGTGTTGAAGAAATGAGATGTTGATGAGCGAAAGGATAAGAGGATACAATAGTGGGACTTTAACTCAGTATAGCAGTGAGATTTTTCATAATTCTAGAGAAATATGACAAGGCAACTTGAGACTTTTTGGAATTAGTGCAATGAGAATAATCTTTCTGCCATTATTAAACTGATATGTGCTTATTCCTCCGTTTAAATCAGGTTCAGCCCAGTGGCCTTCACCTCAATTATTTCCCCAGGGTAGGAGAGTAGAACATATGATTTATACAGCTCTAGATATAGGTATTACTGGGAAAAGAAGTGATTTGTTAAATTTAACTTGTCAAATATTAAACCCAGGAGACTGACTGAAATTGGAATCCTCTCAAGTTATAAAAGACCAACCACTTTTACCTCTGATATGAATCAACTCATGTCATCACTGAATGTTTTCATTAATGTAATATCATTGAATACTAAAAACAAAACAAAAAAAAACAACATATACCCAACCAATTTATTCCAAGGACATCACTGACAGAAGAAAGCAGTGTGAAAGTGCATTGAAAGGGTAGGGCCATGTTTCTATATCCTTCTGTTATCACCAGAAATATTAATGAATCAACTAGTTTAATTGAAGGCAGGATATTTTTTCAAAACGGAGAGAAATACTTGATGACAAAAGGTGGACTTCTGTGTAAGTGTGAGAGTGTGTGTTGCTGTGTGTTTGTGTTCTCTTATCTAAATAATAAATGAGTTGCTTTGGCTCTCTCCGACAACTTCTCATTTGAGTTCTTGCATCATGGTTTAGTTTGTGGAATCATAAAAATTATTTCTGCAAATATTCCTCTCCTGCTTCTATTTTTTAAATTTTCTCTGGCATGTGCAATTATCACAATTCCACAAGGAACTACATCATAGTTCTAAAACATTAATGACAAAGGGAAAATGTTAAAAGTGTTCAGAAGGATAAACATCTATTACCTGAAAATGAATAATTATGACAAATAACTATAGTAGAGTAGTGCTGAATGAAGAAACAAAATAATGTTCTAAATATATTGCAGAAAATACATTTAGAATTGCATGTGTAATAAAACTATCACAAATATGACAGCAAAAGAATCAAATTTCAAATTAAAATAAGCACTTAGAAAATTTACAAAGTTTTTATTTTTAGTGGACTTTAGAGGATGTTTTTTAAGCAAAATAAGAGAGAAAGCTGGGAAGAAATCAACGTGATGTTGTTGGGAAGTAAAAGAAAGTAGATTTCTTAGTGAGGTGAGTGATCATGTTGATAAAATTTATCAGAGAATTAGGAAGAGAGAGAGAGAAAGAAGAGGAATTTATTCGTAGAATTAGAAATTCTAGAGGATTCTACACCAACAATTGGCAAAAAAACTGAGGTAATAGTATTCAGAAACTGATTTAGAATTTGTTTCAGGGAAATAAGCAAGGAGGTCATTATTTTGTTTCAAGATAATACCTAGCTAGATTTTCTATTTGTTGAGCTGTAGGGGTAAAGGCTAATGTATACGTTTTTATCCACTGGAAAGGCAAATAATTTATGGTAGAAGAGGTGTCTCAAAATGTTATGGTTTGGGTCCTGTACAACATGTCCTGTATATTAAAATTTCATATAATCATAACACCTTTATATGTGATGGTTCATGCTTCACTTTGCCTTCCAAATCTTGTGCAAAATTTCTCTTCTGGTCAACTCTAACCAGGTTGTATAGGAAAGAAGATTTTGTTGGGTATCTTTCTGATTAACATAAATTAATATTATCAAGGGAGTTCATGATGTAATTTCATATCATTCTCAAAAGTATGTATATATATTGTTTTTAATACTACTGTATCCTGCTTATTTAATTTGGGAATTGCACTTATTGGAAGGTCTACAATATTCAATATTTATATAGAGAACTGTGCTCCTGTTGTTAATTTTAAGACATTTTAAAGAAGTATCCTGTGTACTTTTAAGTGATTTATATTAATATTTTAGACATAATTGTCTTTATTCAACTACATACTGTGACTCAGAATAATTATATTGTTCAATCAAACCAGGTAGGTTGTAAATGAATGTTATGTTTTATGCATCAAACACAATAATCAACTAATTATAATATTTCAGAATACAATGTTATTCAACATTATAAGTCATCAGGGAGATGCAAATTAAACCATAAGAAGATACTATTTCATAGCCAGTTTAATCCAAAAGACAAATAATACCACACATGTCTTTGACGAGGATGTGGAGAAACCAGAATCTTCATACATTGCTGATTGTACTGTAAAATGGTGCAACCACTGTGAAAAATAGTTTGGCATTTTCTCCAAATGTTAAAACTAAAACTACCAGGTGATCAGTAACACCATTTCTAAGATTCTATGTATGTATATATGTATGCATGTATCTACCTATCTATTTCTTTTTCTTTTTTTTTTTTTTGGGAGAAGGTGTCTCACTCTGTCGCCCAGGCTGGAGTGCAGTGGCGCGATCTCGGCTCACCGCAAGCTCCGCCTCCCGGGTTCACACCATTCTCCTGCCTCAGCCTCCCGAGTAGCTGGGACTACAGGCGCCTGCCACCACGCCCGGCTAATTTTTTGTATTTTTAGTAGAGACAAGGTTTTACCGTGTTAGCCAGGATGGTCTCAATCTGCTGACCTCGTGATCTGCCTGCCTCGGCCTCCCAAAGTGCTGGGATTACAGGTGTTAGCCACCGCGCCCGGCTGTATCTATCTCAAAGTATCTGTGAGTAAAAACATGTTCAGAAAAAAACTGCATGCAATTTTTTACAGCAGCATTATTCTTAGTAGAGAAAAGCTGCAAACAATTTAACGTCTACCAACTAGTTTATGTTAGCCAATATATAATATGTTCACGAAAAAGAATATTATTCAAAATAAAATGGACTATTGACACATGCTACCTCATGAATAAACTTCAAAACACATGGTAAGTGAAACAAGCTAGACATAAGCCCACATATTCTATGAATCCATTTATATGAAATCTTCACAAAAGGCAAAAGCAAGACGAAAGTAGATTTGTGGTTGCCTAAGTCTAGGCAGGAACCAGAATCAATTATAAATTGGCATGATGGGAGAAAAATGTTCCAAAACCTATTTAGGATGATGGTTTAATCAGAGAAAACTCACTAAAAATGTTTGAATTATCTATATGAAATGGTTAATTGTATGATATCTAGAAGATACCTAAGTAAAAGTTAAAAAAGAATTAGAAAAATGCTCAGAATATTTTCATGTTTTATTTTATTTTCCTTTCTAATATCATCTGGTTCAAGATGGAAATGTGAAAAGTTTAAAGAGAAATGAAATCCTGTTGACTCATCAAACTCACCCTTATACCTAAGTAATTTGCTATACAATTAGTACATTGAAAAGAAGACACCACTGTCTACACACGTAAATGACCAAAAAAAAAAAAAATACACAGCTCTCTGATAATGCTACAATATTATCAACATTGAATATTGGTGAATTTGATTGCATATAAATTATATCTTTATAAAGATGGTAAAAAAAAAAACCACCCACAGTTAAAAGAACATGTGAGGAACTTCCAAAAAATCAACAATAAAATAAAACAGGTAACTCAAAGAAAAACAGGCAAAAGATAAACAGTCAGGTTATAGACAGAAAAAACTGAATAAGTATCAAACATATGAAGACCTACTCAACTTTGCTAAAGAAAGAAATTTATTTTTAAAACAACAATGAGATTAAGATGTTTCTAGATTAGACTGGGAAAATTAAATAAAATGAATTATGAGATTATAGGAAGTTTTAACAAAAATAAAGGGAAAAACTTCATTATCTAAGGACAGAGTTATCTAATATAGTCATTCTATAAAGTTATTGTGAAGAACTTAGATAAAATATGAATATGTATATTATAGGTATATCATTAGTCATGGGTGTGGACATTGATTGAAGTATTGTTTGTGTTTAGGAAGAATGGAAGCTGGTTTGGAGACTATTACTGGTAAAATGGAAAAGTAAGATATGGTGGTTGCACTCCATAAGCTGTGAAGAATTTAGATGTGTTAGCCTATAAACACAGCTGAACAGCTAGTTTCAAACACCAAAAGAAAATAAGGCATAGCACAAAATCATTTATACGAATTAAATTACTTGAACACATTAAACTAAACACTGCTTATTTTATTTAAATAGTTACTAACTCGATGATATATGTTAAACAGCTTAGAATATTGACTATATGGTGTAGAATGGGAAATAGAGGAAATGGGCCTAAAAGGGAGTAACTAAATAATGGCATGCATTTTCTATTGCTACAGGAAAAATGTAATGTAATTTAGCAGCTATGAACAATGCCCATTAATTATCTCATAATTCTGTAAGTCATACATTCAGGAGGTTTGCCTAGTTCCTTAAAGAAGTTTGGTGGCATCTGCTTAGAGTCTCAAAAGGTGAAAATCAAGGTGTTTACGGGGCTTCATTCGTTACTGGAATATCTTGAAGGAATATCTTTTTTCAGGTTCTGTAAGGCTGTTGGCAAAACTCAGTTCTTTGTGGTTTTAGAACTGAAGTCACATACCTTTGTTGCCTGTTGGCCAGGAGCTGTTCTCAGCTTCTAAAAGCTGGCCAAAATACTTGACTTATTTTATTTCTCTATTTTCGAGGGCAGCAATGTGGATGGAGTTGTTATGCTTCCAGTCTCTCTGATCGCTCCTTATACCTCACCTCTCCTCCACTTTCCTTTTCCACCACATCTCTCTGAGTCCAGTGAAGAAATTTCTCTGAAATTTTTCAGCATATAAGAATAACTTCTGATGGCATTAGTTATACCTTTAAATTATCATTTTTAGCATTTCATTGTATGTCTAAACCATATATTCTTAAATTTAATTACCACAGTTTTGCTTTTTTCTTGTTTTTGTGATTTGATACCAACCCTTGATTAGTAAAGAAAATGGAATAAACTTCTTCCTTCCAAGAAACAGCACTTTTTTTAAGTAAAGATGGAATATGTGTAATAGGTGAGGGATAACTAAAACTTGTCACATAAGGCAGGTAAGACCCCAACAATTGATCTAAGACTCAGTATTCAATGACCTATTCATTACTGAATAATTAAAAAGCTACATAAAAATCAATGCTACCTACACCTTAAAAATACATTTTAATTCACCCATAGATTCCCACAACCTTTTAGACATAAAGAGAAAATTTAGTATTAACTGAGAAAAATAACCCACTACCTATTGAATTCAGGTACTGTTGCTTAAAGGACAGCTACAGAATTCTCATCTCAATATTTTCATGTAAAATAAGTGGAAATCAATAGTCCAAATATCCTCATTAAGAAGGAGCCACTAATAAACAATATATTTATAATTTAGATAACATTTCATTCATATGCAGGTTTTGAACCCTGTGGAATATTTAATTTGCACCAGGCTTTCCAAGTACTTAATTTGTAAGAATTTTTTTTCAATGGGAGTTCTAAGATGACTTTTGAAATAATTATTAAAATGAAGACATCTATGTTTTGCAAACTATGAGGATTTAGATACAGAATACATTCTTTCATAAGATCCATCTCCATTGTGGATATGCCATGTGTCTTTGAAAGTACTTGAGAGAAAGGCATTCCCACATTCCGCATATTTGTAGGGTTATTCAGGAATTAGTTCTTTCATGTCCTCAACTAGAAATGGAAACACTTAGGGCATTACCACATTGTTTACATGCAGTTTTTTTCATTCAGTATGAGTGTTTTGTATTTTCAAAGGAAAGTGAAACAATTGCGTGCTTTCCCGTATTCCTTACATTCATTGGTTTCCTTCAAATGAGTTTTTCAGTGTGTTCAGAGGGAACTGAAACAGAAAGTTTTTATCACATTTCTCATACACATAGGATTTTTCTGTTGTATAATTTCATGTTTTCAAAAAAACTCAACTGTTTTCCCACATTTCTTACATTCCTAGGATTTCTATGAAGTATGAGTTCTTTCATGTTTACATACAGAACTAGAATATCTAAATGATTTGCCACATGACTTAGTCATAGGGATTCTCTCCAGTGTGAGTTCTTTCATGTTTACCTAGAGAGCTGCAATAGCTGAAGGCTTTACCACATTTCTTAGTCATAAAATTTCAGTATAAATTCTGTCATGTGTTTCAAGGTAATTGAAACAAATAAAGGCTTTGCAACATTATTTTACATTTATAAGGTTTCTCTCCAGTATGAAATTTTGTATGTGTTCAAATGGAACCTAAATGTCTGAAGGTTTTACTACATTTTTTACATCATAAGGTTTCTCTCTGGTATGAGTTCTCTCATGTATTTGAAGGTAACTGAAACAACTGAAGGTGTTAACCACATTTTTGACATTTATAGGGATTCTCTCCAGAATGAGCTCTCTCATGTCTTCTAAGGGAATGGTATAGACTGAAGGTTTTACCACATTTTTGATATTCATGGGGATTCTCTCCAGTATGAGCTGTTTCATGTCTTCTGAGGGAACTCTATAGACTGAAGGCTTTATCACATTTTTTATATTCATAGGGATTCTCCCCAGTATGAGCTGTTTCATGTCTTCTGAGGGAGCTGTATAGACTGAAGGCTTTCCCACATTTTTTTACAATCATAGGATTTCTCTCCAGTATGTATTCTTTTTGACTTAGCTTGGAGGAGGAATGACTGAAGACTTCACCACATTTCTTACATTTATAGGGTTTCTTTCCAGTATAATTTGTTTCATGTTTCTGTAGGGAACTAGAAAGAGTAAATTCCTTACCATATTAATTAACCACAGAAGATTTTTCACCATTGTGAACCCTCTTACGTGCTTGAAAATAACTAAGACAACTGAATTCTTTCCCGCATTTCCTACATTGCCAGTTTCTCTTAAGTATGAGTACTTTATGATTCTGAAGCTGACTGGAATATCCACAGGCTTTATGCCATTTCCGACATTTATAAGGTTTTTCTCCACTGTGAGTTCTTTCATGCTTTTGAAAAGAACTTCAAAATCTCAAGGCTTTATCACCTTTCTTCTATTCACAGGGTTTTTCTCCAATGTGAGTTACTTTATGCATTTGAAGTACATAGAGAAAATTAAATGTTTTCCCACATTTCTTATATTTATGAGGTCTATTTCTGGCGTGTGTTACCATGTGTCATTGGACGTTTATGAGAGAGATAATGGTTTTTCCCACATTGTTTACATTTATATCACCTCACCCCACATTCTTCACGTTCTTATGGTTTGTGTCCAGAATGATCTAAGATGTGCCTATTAAGAGATGAATGATATATAAAACTTGTCCAGGCCGGATGCAGTGGCTCATGCCTGTAATCTCAATATTTTGGCAAAGGCAGGCAGATCACCTGAGATCAGCAGTTCGAGGCCAGCCTGACCAACATGGAGAAAACCTGTCACTACTAAAAATACAAAATTAGCCAGGCATGGTGGCGCATGCCTGAAATCCCAGCTACTTGGTAGGCCGAGGCAGGAGAATAGCTTGAACCCGGGAGGCAGAGGCTGCAGTGAGCCGAGATTGTGCCATCACACTCCAGCCTGGGCAATAAGAGTGAAACTCCATCTCAAAAAAAAAAATTGTCCACACACATGGCATTCACATGAATTTAAGTCAGCAGAAATTTTCTCCTTGAGATTAAGATTTGGAATCTGGCTGAAGATTTCTCCACAATGACTAACTTCTATATATTCATAGTCTTCATACCATATGACTTCAGAGATGTTTTTCCAGAATTATTGAAATGACCTTCAGTGTCCTGGACTTCCCATTTGTTTCCATTTTCTGTCTCCTGGGATCTTCTGGCATCCTGCTTAGAGATCTCCCAGAACCTGCAGATCACAGGGCGACAGAGGCTCTGACAGAGCAACCTAGGGTCTCCTGGAACAAAGGAGACAGAACAACAAAGCTGAGCTGGAACTGGGCAGCCAGGCCAGAGAGACAAATGCCCTGCCAGATGGTGGAAGCCACCCGGCATTGTTCTTTCTTCATTGTTGTACCTCCTTCATGACAAGCCATTCACATTTATTAGCCAGGCAAAATGTGAATTTAATAAATTTATTAATACATTTATGCAATGTGAATGGCTTGTCATGAAGGAGGTACAACAATGAAAAAAATTCTTAAAAATGAAAAAACTCTCAAAAATGATAAAAACCCTCTAGAATGATTTTTTTATTTTACATTTTCACAAACAGCCCTGGATACCACCCATCTCATTGCTCACCTAGTGTATGTGAAAATTGTATCTCTTCAATTTTTCTGGCAATTCTTCATTTACTAACTGCAATGCTTTCTCTGTTCAAAATCCTTTTTTGAATTATTGCACATATGCCTTTTTATACTTTATGTGCTTTTTCATATTTAACATGGAAAGAGTCCTTAGATATTTAGCCTCCTAATATCTGAGATCTGATAGCAGATATAAAACTTCTGCTAATTTATAAATCAAGTTCATAATGTATGTAATGAGTTTTGGTTTTGCCTGGGGTTTTCAAATTTTTATAATTATACCTATTCCTGACAATATCAATACTTAGTAATTGTCTCAAAATACATGCACACTTTGTTAATGTTATCTTCCACTCTTTGGATGTATAAAAATGTTACTATTTTATTAGATATAAATTACTAATTCAGCGGTATTTAAAAATTGTTTGCTTCATAAACTAATTTAATATAAAATCCAGAAAGCTAAAATGCTTCACTGAAATAGCAATCAGAGATACAGTATTATAATAAGCCATATGCCCTGGAATCTACAAGACTCGCTAGCCTACCACTTACCCTTAGAACCAAATTATTATCTTTAAGTATTAGTTACTTTATCTGAAATGATGTCGTTTTCCAATTGCTTACATGAATTCCATATCAATTAAAATTATGTATTTTGCACACTTGCAATTTTGCACACTTGCAAAAAATAATAGTTTCTTCTTATTATATGTGACTGAATAAAATACAGTATAGATATATAATTGTCCTGAACCTTAAGTCACAGCTTTCTATGTACAACAGTAATCAATAGTCCTTAAATTAAATTTTGTCTCTCCTATCATGTTTAGAAATTTGTTTATAAATAATGTAAAAATACTCTCTAAAGAATATTTCCTACTTATCCTGATTTTTGAATAATATTGTAAAAGGTTGTATAACTTTTTACATTTATAAAACATTGTATATCATAACATTGAGAAATTGATGTACCATTTCTTACATGTACATTACAAAATTATAATTTTGACAATTTGGTCAAAGGCATTTACAAAATGCATTTCTAGGTTATAGCGTCCAATCTTTGATGTCACTTTAAAGAAGATATCAAGCTGTGACAAAAATAAAATTTTTGAAAATGCTTCATTAACCTGACCCTTTGAGGTCATTTATATTTCCAGTTTATAAAATAGGATTATCTTTTATATAGAAAGTCTGATCACACCTCCTGCAAGCTTAACATAATTAGAACCTGAAAGACAGTTGTTTTAAAATGCCAAATGCACCTTTAACCTTGATCCGGGTTACTGGCCCATTATTTTCAGTCTGGCTGTTAGAGTTCCTACACAGTGTATTTAATTCTATGTTGTGAAAAGGCTTTTTACACTGCATTAGTGAAATGGAGAATACATCAATACAAATCTTAAGAAAAGAGCAAAACTATAAATTTGGTAACAAACACCTTACATTGTAAATTATGTCGGGAAATATGACATAATCCCATTACAAATAAATGCCAACTACCTGTGAAATGTGGAGAAGTATATTACCTACCTGAGAAAGTAATTGTAAAATTAATGGACAAATACCTATAAAGTATGTAGTATAGTAAGATTTCTTTAAAATTACTTAATAGTATCAATGTTAATTTTTATGTTTAGGTCAATGAATTATGGGTACAACATAGGATACTTGTTACTACATTCCTTTCATATAATGTCTTAAGATAGGTATTTTTATGAGATGCATTAATTCATGGTAACCATATAGAACAGGTATTCTATTTTACAAATTAATAAAAATTATCAAGGACTGAACTCTGGTAAATAAATAATACCAAGAAATATCATTGCTCACCTGTACTAGAATGTTGATTTTAATACTCTATAGTGTTTCCCAAGTTTTGATAGTGATACATAATAAGATTGAAAAGTTATTTCTCTTAGGATCTTATGAAAAGAAACAAAAATTTTCATTGCTAAAAACTGACTTCTAATGTAGAATGAAAACTCTATGGTTATAACTTTGAGTTTGTCTGGTCAAATTCTTATGTAACCAATTGTAAATCATTCACAATGACTTCCAAATCAAAACATCAGAATATCAATAGGACATAATGGGAATACTTACAATTAATTTAATAGTACTTCTATTTACCAATTATATATTATAGTACTGACCTAATTATATTATCTCATTGAATAACCACTGTATATTACTGAATCAGTAATTGGTTATTTAAAAATTCTCACATGAAAAAGAACCAAAAATTTAGTTATGTTTATAGGAAAACATTTTCTAATTAGTCTTTAAATGTTCATTTTATATCTGATAATTAAATAACAAAATAACTTGTCAGCACAAGCACTAATTTTTTCCAAATTACAAAGTCATATGCAGACTTTGTAGAAGAATCTACAAAGAATCTATTTTTACTCTATTATTTTTATTCTGTCAGCTTTCTCTGCCTCCAACCAAAAATAACTTCTTACCATCATAAAAAACTTGCGTTTTCAAAATGAAAACAATATACATTAGAATGCTTAGTAATAAAGCAATAACTGAGAAGAACTAATTAATTATAACAGAACTAATTTTTGGTCAGTGGAATTTTTTCACCTATTCCATTTCTTTTTACTGAATTATTTTAGCTCTGAAATATTTTTAAAATAATATTTATTTTATTTTATTTTTATTATACTTTAAGTTTTAGGGTACATGTGCACAACGTGCAGGTTTGTTACATATGTATACATGTGCCATGTTGGTGTGCTGCACCCATTAACTCGTCATTTAGCATTAGGTATATCTCCTAATGCTATCCCTCCCGCCTCCCCCCACCCCACAACAGTCTCCAGTGTGTGATGTTCCCTTTCCTGTGCCAATGTATTCTTATTGTTCAATTCCCACCTATGAGTGAGAACATGCGGTGTTTGGTTTTTTTTCCTTGCAATAGTTTGCTGAGAATGATGGTTTCCAGTTTCATCCATGTCCCTACAAAGGACATGAACTCATCATTTTTATGGCTGCATAGTATTCCATGGTGTATATGTGCCACATTTTCTTAATCCAGTCTATCATTGTTGGACATTTAGGTTGGTTCCAAGTCTTTGCTATCGTGAATATTTCTTAACATTTTTACTTGTGTGTACTTCACTTTGTGAGAGTGGAAAATGGAAATGATCTATGGAAATAACTTATAAAATATACTACATAATTTCTTATATTAACAAACATAGTAGACTAAAAGAACATACGTATTAATGTTCAGGTGAAGCACATATTATTTAAACATATGCGCGAGGGATAATATTTTAATAGTAATTGAGCCCTGAGCATTGGAATTTTTTACTTTACCTATACAATATAGTTTTATATGTAATATATAATACTTGCATTACAAGCCATAGTTGTCTTGAACTTACAAAAGCATTGTGTGGCTTCCATTTATTTAGAACTCCGATCAGTAATGTTATGTTACTATGCATTTGAAGTCATTCTTTTTCACTTATAAAGTCCCTGAGTATATTCTTACATTGAGTGCACGTCAGAATAATTATGCTTTCTTCTTAGTATAAATGTAGTTGCATTTTTCTCTGTCTTTACTGTCTTTATTTCTCCTCTGTAGTATTGGGTTATGTTCAGGTATTTGGCTTCCAAGACATGAATAAAGACAAAGGATCTTTGGAATTATTTGACATTGGTATAAGTCTTCTCATATTAATATCAGCAGGATAAATCATGTATCATTCATTAATGATGACAACTTCATGCACATTGTGGTAGATTCTGGGCACGAATTACTTCCTAATTATCAATGAGAGGTGAGGTCTAATTCTCTTACCCATTATTCTATGCTGGTCTTAGTGCATCATACATAGTTGAAGTAAATTCAAAGAATTCCAAGGCTGGGTCACCTGAACACTTGAAGCTACAGTTTGAGCATCTAAAAAAAACAAATAAACTTTTTGGAGCTGTGAGAAATCATGTAAGTTCAACTACCTTGTTGGGAAAATCACATGGATAATTCTTGAAATAACATGACATGGAAAAGAGCCTCACAGACTCCAGTAAAACCCGTCAAAGTACCTCGTAGTTGGGTGACATGGTTTTAGACCCTACAGGCACTCTTTAGCTAAGGAATCTCCCAGGCAATTCCCAACTGAAGTCCTTGCCCATAAGTATGCAAAATACAATAAAATGGTTTTTTGTTTTGTGACAGTTGGTTACACAACAATAGATGACTGTTATACCCATTTTATACTTGCTGGCAGCTATCTCTTAACCAATATTAAAATTCTTATGCTCTCTCAATTATTAGCATATTTTCTTCTTTATTGTCTTCAACATTTAAAATTAAAATACTTGCCTTCCTATTCTAATTTCTTAAAGCCCACATTCCTATTCCATGGCTACAACTATTTTGTCACAGAATTGGGAAAAACCCTCTGGAAAATAAAATAAACTCAAATACTTATGTGTTCTTGGAATTATCCTAAATGTTCTACTTTCTTTTTGCCTCAGGGAAGTTCTTTTTTTTTTATGAGGAACATAACCAATAAGTTAAGGGTGGCCTTTTTTATACTTTTGGGTGAGTTTGTTTCCCTTTAAATATATTCAATTATCTTTTTTTTTCAGATACTTATGAAACAGGCCAGGGTCACTACTCTCTTCTAAGGTGTTATCTGAGCTCATTGTCTCATGACCAAGAGAATTAAGGAGCATGGACAGAAAGGGTGAGATTGGAGAGAAAGTTTAATAAGCAAAAGAAGAAAGCTCTCCACAGCAGAGAGGGGAGCCTGAGTGGGTTTCCATTTTTACAGCTGAATTCAAAAGCTTTTATAAGAAACCCCTCTTTTCTCTGTAGCTGTTTGAGTTACTTATCTGAAAAGCCATCTGCATAACTCCTTCTTATCTATGTAGTTGTGAGTATGTCTCTAGGCAAGCACAAAGTGCTGCTTCTCTTTTTTGTATAACTGTGGGTTTGTTTTAGGTAAGCCTCCCTCCTCCTTGTGCAAGTTCCCATGGAGCCCACCATATACATGTCTGAAAAGGGAGGAAACTTTTTCCTTGGAGCCCACCAATTATGCAAAGAACAAAAGCCTTCTGTACTGGACCCTGCCGGCTTATCTGTGCAGGTGCAGCCTGAGTTTTCCCCAGGCTACTCTATTTTTGCCTGTACCTGTGGTTTTTCAAGCAGGCTGCTTCTCGGAGGACCAGACTTAACTGTTTACTTAACTGATTTTATGTTTTCTTCTCCCTCACTTGTTGGACATGATTGAAAACAAAACCCTGAGAATACTGTACTATTACTTCAGAGCTCCAAAGTTTATTTTCATCTAAGATTAATACATATGTAAGGATTAGTATATATTCATATGTATATGTATTCATACTTAAACACCTAAGTGTAATACACACGTACTCAAGTATACATAAGTTCCAAATTCTATAACTAAAATTTTATGAAGAATATAAGTGATGCCTCCAAGTTTAAAATTAACAAGTGATATTTATGTATTAATTATCCAGGTAAACAGAAATGGAGATCACATATATACAGTCTAGGACTAGCACTAGGAAACATCATATATACAGTTGAGAATAAAATGGGAATGAAATCATAAATATATTCATTTGAGATCACCATAGATAGGAAGAAATATAAAAGTGTATAATCT
Source organism: Homo sapiens (assembly GCF_000001405.40). NCBI lineage: Eukaryota > Metazoa > Chordata > Mammalia > Primates > Hominidae > Homo > Homo sapiens. The sequence continues at coordinate 23,098,445 of NC_000021.9, forward strand.
ATCAAGAATCACACTTAAATACACACACACATACACACACACACACACGTTCTAATGCTGGCAAGTGTCAGCAGCTATATTTTCCTACTGAGATATTTTCCTAAAGATGTTTTTAGAGAGTGTTTCACAAAGCACCAAATGAAGGAAGAGATGAATACCGCTGAAGACTTTGAACTGTAACAGAAAGAACAGATGCTGAAGAACAGATGAAATTAACTTGAAACCGAGCTGTGACCCTTACTTAATACATAATATATAGCACAATTTGTTACATTTCTATATATGTATTCTTTCTTATTTTGGAATTACAATATTTACGCTAGGTTTATTGAGTAAGTAAAATAATTAAATATTAGTTAAATTGTCTACTTAATATATATTGATTAAATCTGAATTTATTAGTAATTTCTACCATGTGTCTGGCATAGGCAACAAAACACAGGAAAGGCATGGTTCCTGCCATCAAACTGTACAATTCATGGCTATGGGCCATATGAATTAATGTTAGTTTATTCCCAGTCTTAAGTCTTCACGTATTTTAATCAAATCAAATGAGTTATGCAGTTAAGTCCCATTTACCCTTTAAAAAACAAAAACAGAATTTCACCTATTTTTAAAAAGTTGTTGTGAGTCAGTACTTTCTCCATTTCTTTTTTACAGGGTAGATCCAGAATCTTTTCTTTTCTTATGAGTCAAAATCATTTTTGAAAATCCAGCGTTCAAAAAGTGTATTTTGCACCTGTTCTTATTTAAGTTTCAAAGGAGGCTCTCATGACAAAAAATATCTCCTGATTTCTGAATTCTTCCCTGCCAGATTTGATTTAGCTCATGTGACTCAATTTTATGGCATCTCAATGTGGAGTAGAAATCACTTTCAAAGTCAGATGTAACTCATTCTAACAAATCCTGTCATTCATCATCATTTTAAGTCTCTCTTGAGTAAACTGCAATTTGTACCAAGTTGTACAATATGGTTTGGGGATGTGTCATATTGTCTAGAGGAAGCTAAAACCCAGACTGTCAAATTCTTTTCAATTAGGACTTTGTGTAGGATTTGAGTTGCAGTAAAACCCATAAAATAGAATCTGCAGTTGACTTGAGATAGGAATGAGAATTATTACTTTAGGTAGTTTGCCAGGTAGGCTGAATCTTTCATAGCTTCATCCAATTATGTAAACTTCGCATGGAATTCTGATATTCTAAGTTTATTTAATACTATAAAGTTTTATCTACAGTAAAAATGAAAAAAACTGATAATAGAATTCATAGTTTGATCACTGACTTCAAAATGCCTCATATGGATTTTAAGGTATTTAATTTTTCTTGTACTATATTTGTGTTAATATAGAATTTTTATTTTTATTCATTCTTTTGTTTTAAATTATAAACACTACATATGCAAGACTGCTGCTTCCAGTTTTTATGAATTAAGACTGCTTTTTTTATTAAGATACAATAGTTCAGAGTAGAACATTATTCGGCAGTAACTATCAGGAGAAGTTAATAAATAATGAGAAATGTAATATCTTTTCAAACAATGAATAGCTTTATAAGGATCAAAAACTAGAAATGTTAAGGACTCAAAGAAGAGGTACTCTAAAAGATGAGCTAAGTGGGTACCTTTTCCTTGGGGGTCTTCCTGAGCCTGTGCTTATGCAAGGGACTGAGAAAGCACAATTTGTCTCAGTAGAGGGCTTTTAATTGAGGAAGGAGATAGGGCCTTCAAAGAGGCGATTCAGTCAGAATGAGGCCAGCAAGGCCAAGCTCTAATCCAATATGACTGATGTCCTTATAAGAAGAGAGAGAAAGACAACAGGGCCAGGTATGCAGAGCAACCACCATCCCACCATGGGTAGAGGTACCAAGCAGGCAGCCATGTGTAAGCCAAGGAGACAGGCCAGGGACAGATTCATCCCTTGTAAGGCTCTAAGAGGAAACCAACTGTGCTGGCACCTTGACCTTGTGCTTCTTGTCAGCAGAAGTGTAAGAAAATAAGTTTCTGGTGTTTAAGTCCCAAATATATACACAACATACACACACGCACATATATATATATATGCACACACAATGTATAAAATACAGTAAGATAAAGCTAAAGCAGATGTTAAATTCAAAACAAAAGTGCATTTACTAAATAAATTTAAATGTCAATACTCTAAGACTCTTATCTCAAAACCTAGAGCAAGTCCAGCAAATCATACGTAAGAAGAGTAGGAAATAAGAAACTACAAATAAGAGAGCAGAACAAATAAGATAGGATTATGTATAGTGAAAAGTTTGACTCAAATGGAAAAATTGATAATCCCTTATCAAGATTAATTTTTAAAAGTAAACAGAAAACAAAATCAGCAGGCTCAGGAATTAGAAAGCAATATCTCAGCAGATCTACTAACCTAAATAATACAGTAATGACTATTATGAACAATTTTATGCCAAAAACTGTGACAACATAGATATATTAAATTCTTAAAAACATGAAACTTATTGAACTTGAAAAAAATAATAATGCGATAGCTGCAAAAAGACGAATACAAAGCAAACAAACATAAAGCAGATTACAGTACATCTCCAAAAATCTTAGAAAATGTAAATCCTAATTACAAGTGATTTTTTCACACATGGAAAAAAAGTAACACCAAGAATACATGAACATTTTAAGAGAAGAAAAAAAAAAGTAGAGGACACCACTCAGCTGTTTTTATGAGACCAGCATTAAATTTATATAAAATTTAACCAGACAAAACTGTCTCCTTCTCCCGTGGTGGCAGCAGTGGTGGGGCTGCCGCCCGCCGGAGCATGTCGTGGACTCCAGCGGAGACAAAGGCGCTCTGCGCAGTGTGGGGCAATGAGCGGCTGGCGGAGGCGCGGTACCAGCAGCTTTAAGGAGCCAGTATGGTGGCTGGCAGCAAGGACCCCCGGGCCAGCCAAGTAGGAGCTTGTGTCTAGGGCCCTGGCCAAGCTGGGCTATGAGCGGACCTGTCCCAGTGCTGGGAGGCATCAAGCTGGTTGGATGCCCAGAACTGAATGCTATGCTCCAGCTGTGGCCTCACCAGTGCTGAATAGAGAGGAAGAGCCACCTTCATAGCTTACATGTAATTCTTCTGCTTATACAACCCAGTACCGGATTTACTTACTTTGACCATTTGCACGTGTTACAATCGGGTGAAAGAACATGGTGTTGCGAAAAGAAAGAGCAGTTACACAGTAGAACAGTTGGAACAGGTGTTTGCTCAGGCAGGATGGGATGCTCAGCCCTGCCAGACTGTACTTCTTAACAGCAGTAGCTTGTACCAGGAGCTGGAGTCAGATGGCGGCACCATGGAGGACTATTCATTCACAGGAGTACTGGGAACCCAAAGTCAGGATCTCCATGGCTATCCGACAGATCAGGAATCACAAAGAGAAAATTAAAAATTAAACGGCCGGGCACGGTGGCTTAAGCCTGTAATCCCAGCCCTTTGGGAGGTGGAAAAGGGCGGATCACCGGAGGTCAGGAGTTCAATACCAGCCTGGCCAACATGGTGAAACCCCATTTCTACTAAAAAAAAAAAAAAAAATACAAAAATTAGCAGGGCGTGGTGGTGGGTGCCTGTAATCCCAGCTACTTGGGAGGCTGAGTCAGAAGAATCGCTTGAACCTGGAAGGTGGAGATTGCAGTGAGCCGAGATTGGACCATTGCACTCCTGCCTGAGTGACAAGAGCGAGACTCCATCTCAAAAAAAAAATAAATAAATAAAAAATAAAAATAAGTTCAACAAGAGTCTTCTGAAGAAGCACAGAAGAGAGACATCAGGCAGAATACTGTACAGATTTTGGAATCGGTACAGTTGAAATGGGAACTTTTTCAGAGTTGGACAGAATTTTCAAGGCTCCTTCTTTCTAATAAACTGGCCGTTTTTTGGAATTGGTTATAACACCCGTTGGAAAGGGGATCTTCATTACCATTATGCTGAGATCACCTCCCAGGTGCCCCTTGGCAAGCGACTTCAGGAGTACTTCAACCCTGAGAAGTCTGAGGGAGGGATCATTATGACACAAGTGTAGAAAACGAACTGGAAAAAATGTTTATTACACATTTTTAGAGATCACTATTAGTGAAGCTAGGCGCTTGGAGCTGCAAGTGGAAATTGACTGGTAACCCATTGCCTACTCCAACTCGATCAGTAGGAATGTTCGATATTTATTGCCTGGAATTATTCCTAAAAGCCCGGGCCTTTATGCCATTGGCTATGAAGAATGTATTGAGAGGCTCCTCTCACCGTACATGCAGCAACATTCCCTGGACCCAGGAAAAGAAGGCGGGGTTGACCTGGAAACCCTTTCAGCACAAGCCTCATTACAAGTGGTAATAGAACCCACCAGAATTATCTTTTGCCACCTCAGGACTGCTGAGGTCAGGGCTCTGCAGCAGAGCTTATTTTTACATTTCCAAGTGAATACCAAAGTCTTCAGCAAATATTGGGTTGGTATTAACAGATTTGTCTCTCAGAGCTGTACTGGGGACCCCAGAGTTTCCCTCAAATCCATCTACATCAAATTTGTGGAAGTAGAGAGAGATTTTCTTTCCACTGGCTCTTTAGTTGAGTGCCCTGAAAAAGCCATTGGATGCCTCCTAAAATTTAACAACTGAAGGTCATCCTTCATAAGGATTTGGGCTCTTAGCTCCTTCTTCTCTACTCACTTTCCATTACCCAGACCACTCCTCATCCAGATGCTGCCATCAGACTCTTCATGGAAACTCTTTCCTTGATTGGGCCAGTATGACTTCTAAGGAATCATAGTAGACTTTGGCCAGAAAAAACAGACCTCACCTGAAAATGCTCATTTTGAGCAAGCAAGATTTATAGCAAACTTGCTTGGTGGGCCAGCTATTTCTTTTTTTAAAACACAAAAACAATTTTTAAAGGGATTTTAGGGCCCTAATATAAGCAAATGAGGATACATTCCATATTGAAAAAACTTACACTTTGAGTTTCATATGAAATTGAAAAATTGTATTTTTTCACAATGTTTCATTCTTACACATCTCTATGTCTCTATAAAAGTAATATTTACAACCCTGAATAAATAAGCAATAGAAAAATAAAACAGACAAGGACATTCCAAGAAGTGAGAACCACAAACCTATCTATCTGCCTCTCATGACAGTAGATAGGAAATCTTAGGTATTTGAAAATTAAACTTCATAATAAATAAGAAAATTCACAACCAAAATGAAGATGACATCGTAAAAGTTGAATTAGATTATATATTGTACCAGATAACAATTTTCCTCAATTGTTTTTACAGGTTTAATAAAATGTCAATCAAAATACATTGAGTATAGAATTTTTCAAGCTAATCTCAAAATACATATAGAAACATGAAAGGCTAGTAACAGAAAAATGGTGAAAATTTTTTAAAAAAGAGAGGGCAACACAATCAGATATAATAATTATTATAAACCTATAATGAAATAGACATTCCATTAATGGTAGATTTTAGACAATCCAAATAATGGAATGAAAAATAGGCCCACTAATATTAGCTCTGCTTAATTTAAATCACCTGAATTTATGTATGTATGTGTGTATGTATGTATGTATTTTTAACTTTGAAGTTCAGAGGTATATGTGCAGGTTTGTTACATAGGTAAACTTACGTCATGGGGGTTTCTTGTACAGATTATTTCATCACCCATGCATTAAGCTTCCTACTCATTAGTTATTTTTCCTGATGTTCTCCCTCCCCCACCCCGTTGTGACAGGCTCCAGTGTGTGCTGTACCCCTTTATGAGTCCATCTGTTCTCAATATTTAGTTCCCAATTATAAGTGAGAACATGCGGTATTTGGTTTTCTGTTCCTGGTAAGGATAAAGGCCTCCATCTCCACCCATCTCTCTGCAAAAGACCTGATCTCTTTCATTTTTGTGGCTGCATAGTATTCCATGGTGTATATGTACCATATTTTCTTTATCCAGTCTATCATCAATAGGCATGTAGGTTGATTCCATGTCTTTGCTATTGAGTCACTTGAATTTATAAAAGGATGACACCACAAAGAAAGTGTCTCCTTTGTAAATAAATGGTGATGCCTCACTGGATATCTACATATTAAGGAGAAATTATTGAACTTTACCTTACACTAAGTACAAAATAAATTTGAATAAACTGTAGACTTAATTGTGAAATGTAAATGATAAATTCATAGTAGAATTTATTTAGTAGATAAAATCTTCATGATTTTATGGTAGATTTATTTTTAATAAAACATAGAATAACAATGTGCAAATAAAAATTTAAAATATCTTTATCATCAGAGGACAAAATATGAGAATAAAATATCAAAGCATAATTACACATAAGTATATACACGAATATGTATGTATATATAACACATATATACACATACATATATGCATATATGTGTATATGTGTATATATGTGTATATGTGTGTATATATGTGTATATCTATATGTGTATATATGTGTATATCTTTATGTGTATATATGTGTATTGATATATGTGTGTATAGCTATATGTGTATATTTCATCATCCTAAAAAAATTGACTCTGATTTTTATTTTTCAATTTTACTTATTTTTGTGGAAGGACTGACCTCTAGGGGTTCTTATTCTGCCATTTTGTGTGATGTTACTTCCTTATGTTACATCCAGTTATACAAACACATATCTATATGTGTATAAACACATATAGATATACAGACACATATATACACATATACACATCTATACATGTATCTTTGTATATACACATACATATATGTATGCATGTAATGTATATAAATATATGTATAATATTTTTCTTATAAAGGATTCACTTTTGTAGATAATTTTTTTTTTTTGAGACAAGGTCTTGCTCTATTGCCCAGGCTGGTCTTGAACTCCTGGGTGTTAATACATGATGTTATTCTGTGGTACCCATTTGGCCCCAGTGTTCCTTGGAGTGTGAGAAGATTTGGACTTTCAAAATCGAACTACCACAGAAACTGCTTTACCCAAAATTTTGGTTCACAGCCTTCACTGGATTACACATTGGGACACAGTTTAGCCATGTGAATATGTTAATAGACCATTCCATGTGAAATTTCTGAGATTAAAGCTATTAGAGCTTTGTTTATGTATGTGAATGCATTACATATTTCGATGTGTTTATGTATATATACAATTATTATATTACATTGTGTACCAAATTAGCCTAGAAATAAAGTAAACAAGTACTTAATAAATAAAGAAGTCCAAACAATTTTCAAGTTCATGTGACATAAATAAATCTGTCATAAAAAAGCTGGCTTTAAAATTATTAATCAGATAAAAACTAAAATGTATTAAAAATTTTCAGCATATATTTTTGTCTGAGTTTCACGTTGGTCCTTGCTAAATATTTTGAGGTGTCAGGGTTTGGCACAAAAGGTTAGAAAACTGTAAACCATACAAAAATCAAAAAGGGCTTTGTACGAGTTTTTTGACAAATAAGACATTTAATATTGTTAGTTTAACAAAAACAGCTGAATCTTCTGAGTTATTGGCAAAAATACCAATGTATTTCACCTTAACATTCTTACTTAGGTAAATACCTGATATTCACAGGCCATTAAAAAATGGTTCCTGGCCAACATAGTGAAACCACCTCTCTACTAAAAATGCAGAAAATTAGCTGGGCATGTTGGCAGGCACCTGTTGTCCCAACTACTTGGGAGGCTGAAGCAGGAGAATCACTTGAACCCAGGAGGCGGAGGTTACAGTGAGCTGAGATTGTGCCACTGCACTCCAGCCTGGAGACAGAGTGAGGCTCTGTCTCAAAAAAAAAAAAAATGGTTAACAAGGAAATAACTTAAAATCATAATTGTCTAAGATCTCAGTTGTAGAAGTAATTGAAATAAACTCTAATTTTAACAAAATTAAGTACATATAAATGAAGTAAATGCCTGTAAGTAAACTTTTAATGTAATCTAAAATCTTAAAATTATTTTTGATGCTCCTTGAATGTCTGTGTCATTTCTAATTAAGAAAGGATTTTAGAGAAAACATGTTTTTAAAAACTAAAATGTTCTCATCTATAAAATAGTAATATCTGATAGATACTTTAGGATTTCTTGCATCCTAATTTTCACTCAAATTTAAGGTTTCAAATAATAAAAATTATAATTAATACAAAATTCTGTATATAAACATGTCAAAGAAGATGTGTTCTTATTAAAATTCAGAAATTTTCTAGAGGTTAATTCAAATTTTGGACTATGGTAAGTTTTTTGTCCTAAAATAAAATGACTAGCTATTTTTTTTTAATAAGACAAAATAGGAAGTCCAAGTATGCCATAGATCATCTGTGTAAGTAATATGTAGTCTTTCCCTGTTTCTCTATGTGTCTGTCTTTATATCGATACGGAGAAAATAAGAAATTATAAAAGGTAAAATAATAAAATATTGTTTAAAACCTGATAAAAATTGAAGAAATTTGGATAATTAACAGTGTTCATAGTTAAATCTCTTAGTCTTAATAAAGATAAAATATAAAATATTACAAAAATACATTGACTTTTGGAAATTTTGTTTTAATATAGTTAAGCATGAAGTCAGATTTAGCATGGAGCCAAATTTCACATAAATGCTTATATTGCTAGGTTTCATACTATATTTGCTATTCTGCATAAATAGTAAATTGTGTTAAAAAACTGGTCGTGTGCTTAAAGAACATTTCTTAACTGCACAAAATATATAGTGGTGTTGGTGGACTTAAAGACATTAATATACATAACACACATATATATTTGCTATTATTTTCACGTATTTACTGTTTGTTTTACTTTGGGTTTTACATATATACATGTGTGTGTGTGTGTGCGTATAACTCATTGGTTTTACATGTGTGCATGTGTGTGTACATATATATATATGTAAAACCATTGATTTATTTAGTTTCTAATGGAAGGCTTGTATTTGGTTCTATAAATAGTCATTTTATTTCCTAAGCATTTTCAACAATTCATCATTAGCTCTATCTATTTAAAATTCCTAAGTTACCTTTGTCAAGACTCCAAAAAATGATAGACCACACCAGTCATTTGAAATTGGATTGGTTTTGCTTACCTCTAATAATCTAAAGAGCTAGAAGAACTTTAAAGTTCCTTGAAGGAAAGAAAGATTTCTTTCTATAAATTCTAAACAGAAATAATACATTACTTTATTATTTTTAAATGTAGTTTGGACATGGTGACTCATGCCTGCAATCTTAGCAGTTTGGGAGGCCAAGGTGGGTGGACCACTTGAGCTCAGGAGTTCCAGATGAGCTTGAGTAACATGGTGAATCCCATCTCTACAAAATATACAACAGTTAGCTGGGTGTGATGGTGCACTCCTTTATTCCCAGCTACTTGGGTTCTGAGGCAGGAGGATCACTTGACCCCAGGAGGCAGAAGTTGCAGTGAGCTGAGATCACATTGCTGCATTCCAGACTGGGCAACAGAGTAAGACCCTGTATTAAAAATAAATAAAATTAAATTAAAATTAAAAAGTAAGTAAAAATAAAAATATTTAAATGATGTTTATTTTCTAAGTAATTCAATTCAATCAATACTTTGAGTTGGTTTTAGATCTTTTCCTTTAGGTGATGAAACAAACTTATAATATGGGTACAAAATTTTAAAAGTTCAGAAAAAATTGGCCCTGTTCTTAAAAATTATATTCACTTGGATTTCTCTCAAATGACTTCAGATGTGTTTACCATTATTAAAATTAAGTGACATTCACTTGGATTAAATAATAATAAATTAAAATATGAGGCTTTCTAGTACTTTTTAATTCCAAGCCTTTATCACTGTTTGGACTTCATGTGTGTATTTAGAAACAAAATATGTACAAATATTGCACTGCTTTAAAGATTGTAGTGGTAAAAGATACCTGATCAGTTGTCAGTACTCTTGTCTAAAAATCAATCTTAAAAATATGTAATGATACTCATTTAAATAGGAAATAATTACTGTGCGCTTTTGCTTACCTTGTCCCTGTTTTGTTACATAATATTCAAATAAAAGGGGATTATTTATCCTCATACTTGATTTCCAGAACTGATATTGGCATTTACCATTGTTTTTTAAATGGTAGGGGGAAAAATTAATTGTCTTACTTTCCTATGTTTGGCATAAGACCTATCACATTTCTGATGCTTTTGGTCACAGTTCTGTCTCTAGAATGCCAGCAATTAGATATATGCAAGGAGTAACCTCACCACTTTAATATAATGGTTTAAAGTGCTATGAGCAATAACTACTAGACACCAATCACAGTGTTTTAATTTGTGGCATGGTAGAGAGAATGATAGGACTTTCTGCAGTATAAATGTGCTGTTAACTAATCTTTGTGCTAATAAATTACAGGTTTTTACTCCTGGGTCTGAAAAAGTCATCAAATCTTGGTAATTCTTAGACACTGACATCAGTCAAAGCCTCATCTGCAGACCTAGGAGAAGGTGATAATAAAAATGAACTGCTTTTGTGAGACACGGGGCCAGAAATTAAAACTGTTCAATTGCTCTAGGCCCAAGCATTATTTCAGAAGAGGTGGGTATGTGAGATTTTAAGGTCTGATTTTGAGGGATAAAATTAATTCATAGTTTTTCTGTAAGTCAAACATTGATATCAAAAGCACACTAATGCAAGGCCAGTATCTGGGCCCCTCTGTCAGAAAAAATAGAGTTTTCTTGGAGCATTAATATGCTCCTTAATAAAAAATTATAAATGCTTTTCAAAAATTTTACCTTATGGTCAAACTGATTAAAATTAAATAAGTTTGTTTATAAAGTTGTAATAAAATTAACTTTAACATTAACAATACAACTTATAAAGTAAAATTTTGTTTTCCCTTTGAAACGAAAGTTTTTATATAATACTAATAAAAGTAATTTTGAAAATTTTATTTACCTTTTAAATAAACTGCAAAATAAAAGAAAGCGGAAAGAGATAGATTTAGTTGGCATTATGTTTTCTTTTTTTGTAGGGGGGTGGAGTCTCACCCTGTCACCCAGGCTGGAGTGCAACGCCACGATCTCGGCTCACTGCAACCTCTGCCTCCCGGGTTCAAGTGATTCTCCTGCTTTGCCTCCCGAATAGCTGGGATTACAGGCTCCCGCCACCACGCCCAGCTAATTTTCATATTTTTAGTAGAGACCAGTCTTCATCATGTTGGCCAGGCTGGTCTCCAACTCCTGACCTCGTGATCTACCCACCTCAGCCTCCCAAAGTGCTGGGATTACAGGCGTGAGCCACTGCACCAGGCCCATGCAGTCTTTACTAAGTCATATTGTTTGAGAAACTGTATTTTATTCAAAAGAAAGATTTTCATTGGTTTTAAATATTTAAATTATCATTTTGATCAAATGAAAGATTATTTTATAGTGACCTGTGATTCTATTTTGTGATATCAAGTGTGATATTTGAAAAACATCGACAAACTTTCCACAAGCAAACTTTCAAGTTCTAATTTCAGTATTTTTGACCTCAAACTAAATTTTTCTGGATATTGGGTCCCCTGAAGTCCAAGAGAGACATATTAAGCTTATTTGGTATATTAAAAACATAAAAAACATCATCAAATATAGTGTTTAAATTTATTTAAATTATATTTACATAAATGTTAATAGTATATATTCCAAAATTATATGAGATTAGTAAAATTCTAATATGTCATATATGTTGTCAGAAATGATTATAATTATATTAAATAATTATATGCCTAAAAATAACCAAATTTCCTTGTCAACGGTTTCTTTAACTATGGCTGTCCTAAGACTTTTGCCAGTAAAAATCTGTTTACTTTTATAACAAAACACACATAGAGGAACTTTTTATTTTGCCAGGGCTTTGGCTGACATGATATATTTTCACATGTAAGAATACTGATTTGAAAAATTAATATTTATTTTATAGAGCCAATGAAAACTCATAAGGAGGAATAGCCTTGTATCTTATCTGTGCAGTTCCTTAGTAGGGTTCCTGGTCTGTGATAAGTAGACAGTATCACTTTCTGAACAGGCCTAGGAGTCTCAAGTTGTTGTGAGGCCTGAATAAAAAAGAAGTTCACACAGTTCATGTACATAATCTGCAGGTGCGGGTGAATCCTTGGTTGGGCTGGAGAGGCCTTTAGAGGTCAAGTCTGAGATTCCTTGTGAGAGGTTTCATCAAAGCCAATTTAGGAAAGCCTCTATGGACAATGATTCTTGCTATACTTTGTGTGGGTAATTAGGCCTGGTATAGTGAGACTAAAGCTTATTTTATAGGTAGGTTAGTTCTGCTACAATTTGTCCTTGAGAAAAGTAGGGGATCAGAAAAAAAATTGTGTTTCAGAAAAGAAACTATAATATTAAATTAACCTTTAATTATTTGGGGGGACATGTGGTCATTCATGGTATGGAGATGCCCAAAACACCCCTCCTCAACATGAAACAGCCAAAAAATAAAAAAAATCAACGACTAGATTCCCGTGATTGAGGAATTAGTAATTAGAAAGTGGAGGGACTGAAACAAGCCCAGCTGTTCCATGTAACTAATGTTCATAGTTTCTTCTAAGTAACATAGAAATTGACCCTGTCAGTCTTAAAATTTGAGAAAGTTACATTTGTATTATCTGAATTCCTACCTCAGGGAATCATCAGCCCTCCCAGGTAGTATCACAGAACTAAAATTTACTGGATCACCGCTTCCAGACAATGAGAGGCCAAACCCCTTATCCGTCCTGATTACCTGACCAACTACCTGCTTCCTGTTGACCAGTTCTTCTTTTCCCCTCTCTAATTCCTGTTGTTTTACACGTGGTAACATTTCCTTCCTGCTGTATGAAGCCCTAATTTTAGTGGGTTGAGGAGATGAATTTGAGACTAATCTCCCATCTCACTGGCTGCTACACACAAATTAAGTCTTCTTCCCTGGTGATACTCATTGTTCCAGTGAGTGGCTTTCTGTGCAGCAAGTAACAGGATGTAGGCCACACTCCTGGTTTATCATTTACAGTGTCCATGATCTGGAAGGAGGAAGAATAGGGAGATAGCATTTAATGGGTATAGAATTTCACTTGCAGAAGATGAAACAGTTCTGAAGATGTTGGTAATGGTTGCATAACTGTGAATAATATACTTTATTATACAATTGTAAATTGTTAAAATGGTTAATTTATGTTATGTATGTTCAGCCACATACACACAATGGCTTTTCTTTGCTCTGCAATTAAGTTCCAAACTCCTTTGGACATTCAACATTCATATATTATCTGTTCCCTGCCTACTTCTCTAAGGTAACTTCACAATTCTGTGTTTCTTTCTTTCTTTTTTTAATTTGATTCTCTTTGTTTTTGGTTCTGTGGGGTTTTTTGTCTCATAACCTTGAAATTGCAATTTTTTTAACCCTCTAAAGGCCCCATTTTCCTGGGTCTTCTTTTAGTTGACTAATTATCAACCTTTTAGCCTCAGCTATAATATCATTTACACAGGCAGACTATGCTAATTAACAGCCTCTCACAGGTTCATACATAGACCATTCTTCCACCTCTCTCTCTCTCTGTCACAGACACACACATCAGTATATGTGTCCACTACAGTATATATCCTAGTATATATCCACTACAGTGTTTATCACAATACAAACCAGTTTTCACTTATTTGTCTTTTACTGATTTTTTTTCTTTATTTAATTGAATATAGTATCATTAAGCCCTGGAACATTGTTTCTCTCATTTAATGGAATATCCTTACACTGAAAACTAGACTATCACCTAAGTATATTTCAGAAAATATATGTTAAGTTACTGACAGCATCATTTGCTACAGGTTTTTATTATACATCATATCCACATTAGTTTGTTTTAGCAAAGTCTTTAACATGATCATTTCTCTGTTCTTAAAACAGAAAGATAATTAACTCATGTTTTAAATGGACAAATTTGGCAGTTCTGATATCAGAATTATGGTCACAACTAATGTGCCTCAGGGATCATGTGCATTTTGTAAATCTATGCGTATATAGATGAAGACAACAATAAGAACTGAACAGTGGAGAATTAAAGAGAAAATAATTTATATGAAGGTATTTCTTGCTATTAAAAGTACTCTGCTCACCAAGTAAAACAGGTCTAGATATATACAAATGGCAAAAATCACAGTGGAAAAATAAACATATTTCAAAATTTTTTCAAGCATGTCAACAAAATTTATTTTAAATACATAATATATAGAAAATACATAAAACATGAAGGTTTTTTAAATACATGGCATTTGCCAAATTTGTACTAATTTTACCAACATAACTACTAAGATATCAAATATAAAAATAAAAATGATTACAGCAACTTATTTTATTTTCACAAACAACACTTGGATATTACAGTATGTTGTCATTTTTAAAAAATATTGTTATATGATAGCTATCTTATGAGTGAGTTTTTAATGAATCAATTAGTCAAATTTAAAATAATGTTAAATTATTTGAGCAGTGGGCCATTTCTTCATCTTAGAAAGTTCTCCATCATTTTTCTGTAATACTTCTCAACTCATTTCTGTTCTAAAAATATTTCAAGAGAAATAAAATTTTGCCTGTTTATTCTACTAAATTACTGGTTTATGAAGTTTCTTCCAACCGCTTGTGATCAAACTCCACTAAATGCTAAAAATGTAATTTTAACACTGTGTCTTTTATAGATATTCAGTATGATAATGTCTCTTTAAGAAAATGTGTTCTGATTTTACTTCTTGCGGGAAAAAAAACTCTTCGTAATTCCTTGTTATCGATCTATGTAAGATTTATAAAGCAGCTGTCTATCACGTCTGGCAGACCAGATAAAGGCTTAAATATCTTTTCTGCTGATATATTAAAGACTCAAGGAGTGATGAAGATTCATTGAGATTCTAATGAATACTGTGATTTTTTTAAGAGAATAATGCAAACTCATAACTAATAAGACTTGTGAACATCTACGTCCTCAATTTTAAAAAGTATAATATTTTAAAAATGGATAGCATGGTAAAAGAATAGTTTCTATCTTTAGCGCATCACTCAGTAAACATGAAGATATGTTAGAAAATAAGAAGAATATGAAATGAAGATTTCACAGTAAATATTACATTTAGAAATCTATATATATTCACACCTATATATATATTACCCTAAAATCACATTATGAAATGTCACAGCTGGTATTTTATAATTTAGAAATGTAAGCCGTAGACCATCAATCAGAAGGCTCAAAATCACACAAAGCAAATAAATATGATTTGCAGAGCAGACATGAAGAAAAATTTTGGAGAGAGAAGTTGGCTTCTACAGTGATGTAAGAGGATTTTGCTATCCAAGTTGTCTGAAGATTATTGAAATGGCATTCATGAAATCACTAAGAGTTTGTAGTATATACCTTGCCTTTAGAGAACGCCACAGAATGTCATGTCTAAGGCAAAAATGGGAATAGTTGCTTTGGGTTCAATCTGCCCTCTCAGAGGGTTTGGGGACATAGTTGAGCCAAGAGTGTTAGAAAGTCAGCTCAGGGCCATTTGAAAGTGAGTCCTAGAGAACCACGGGGAGAGGTGAGATGACTTCAATAGTGAGAGTCTGTGAGTGAAGGATTAAGGTAATGCCAGGGATGGGTGAAACGTTCATTGATCACGTCACAGGAATTGTCATGACAGCATAAAAATGTCTGAAGAGTGTCTCAAAAAGTTCATGAAAGTGTCAGCTTTGTACAGCTGCCAGTGCAGAGACTGTAGAGCAGCTTACACTACCATCTATCACATACTGAGAAAGAATATTCCTGCTCCTCTATTCAATTCTTCCACCATTAACACTAGCTGTGTAGCAAAATAATACATGACTCTCTACTCATGTTAAGTGGCAAGCCCTATTCTTGATTTAGGAATTAAAAGTTTCCATTCAAAAGTGTTAATTCATATTTCAATCACGAATTCAAAAATAATACTCTTTCTCTCCAGATTGCCAGGCCATTGCCATAGAATGACAGACAAAATTATCATTTGTTGCCTCTCTCCAGCTCCTAGCTGCAGTTTGAGCCAGCTTCTAGGCAAGGCTGCAGCTGAGGGTAAATCCTAGTGAATTTTATAGCTGTGCATCTTCAGCAGCTGATAGTCTGAAAACTAAAGAGTTGAGTGTGCAGATTGTGAATAAGGGATTTGGGAAGGGCATAAAAGAGCCCACTATGCAAGTCATTCTCAAATGTAAGCTTGCCTTACCATCCGCTCTAGGGCATTTAACAACATGTATTTCAGGACCGCAGAGAATGTAATTTAGTAAACCTAAGGTGTGGCAGGTAAATTTGCAATTCCAAGTAATGCAGATGCTGATAGTGTGGGTACTACATTAGAATCGCCACACTCAGGGAGTCATAGATAAGATAAATAATTCACTCAAATTTTCACAATAAATGAGTTATATAGACCAGAATCAAATCAAGCTTTCTAACCCAATCCCACAATTAGGTCTCTATATCTAATTACTTGCCGATGTTGTCACTTATGTATATAGTAGATTATAAATGAAGTGGATATTAGGGAAAAAATCCTGGTATATGCTGGAGGTTTTAATTTTATATATATATTTATAAAATTTCATTATAAGTTAAATTTTGATAAACTATTTTTTCACATGTAATATAAAAATTTCCTGACAAACACTGTACAATTATGTAATTCTAGGAGTAATTTTATTATGACATTTTACATCTGATCAGCATTTTGAAGAAAAAATTAAATAATCTTTTCAAATCTACATAATA
This sequence comes from Homo sapiens, assembly GCF_000001405.40. Classification (NCBI taxonomy): domain Eukaryota; kingdom Metazoa; phylum Chordata; class Mammalia; order Primates; family Hominidae; genus Homo; species Homo sapiens. The sequence goes on from NC_000021.9 coordinate 23,115,208, forward strand.
AATTATGTAGTTGAACATCAACTTTGGAAGTTGTTTTATTATGGCTTATTCACAAGCATTTTAATGTTTTTCCCCATATATCTATATGCATGTGTGTGTGTGTGTGTGTGTGTGTGTGTGTGTGTGTGTGTTTGATATATATCGTGCTTTATTTTAACTCATAAGACTTTATATACTGGAAATTGCTTTTTTATGAAGAGTGGTAAACTCACACGCATTAGTCATATTTGTGTACCTTCAATAGTGTATACGAAGACAGAAGCATTCTTTAATTCAAGATAACTCAGTTGAAAATAAAGGCTGCAAAAATACAATTTTTAGAGATTAGTTCTAGAAATGAAGCATGTGCTTTGCCAAATCACATTGAACAAATTAACTTTTTACCTTTTCTTACTGACAATTTGGACTTGATGGAGAGAATATAGTATTCCATGATTAGAGTAGAAATATTTGGAAAAATTCAAATACATTATGGAATCCTGATCCCTCAGATGCTAAGCAACAATCATTTATTAACCCATGAATAATGGTCTTGATAGGTTTTGTAATCGTTTTGTAATTGCTTTTATTTTATTTACCAAGCTATTTAAGAGTTTTATTTCATTCAATATAGTGCATTAAATATGAATTTGACAAAAAGCAATCAAATTTTTGGGAGTGTTTTATCTTCAATAGCCACAAAAACCTGGAAAAATGAAAAATTTATTAAGAGGATATAGGGCAGGTTTGGTCATCTGTCTACCAAACTAGAGATGACACCACATTTCAGGAATGGTATTAGTCTGTTTTCATGCTGCTGATAAAGACATACCTGAGACTGGGCAATTTATAAATAAAGAGAGGTTTAATGGACTCACAGTTCCACGTGGCTGGGGAGGCCTCACACAATGATGGCAGAAGACTAAAGGCACGTCTTACATGGCAGCAGGCAAGAGAGAATTAGAGCCAAGTGAAAAGGGAAATGCCTTAAGAAAACCATCAGATCTTGTGAGACTTATTCACTACCACAATAACAGTATGGGGGAAAATGTCCCCATGATTCAGTTACCTCTCACCGGGTCCTTCCCATAACACATATGGTGTATGGGAGCTACAATTCAAGATGAGATTTATGTGGGGACACAGCCAAAAAATATCAGGAGTTAAGCACAATTACTCTACAGGAAAAAATGACCCTAATATATAATAACAGCATTAAGCTTGGGTAACCAATGCCTAACTCAGTTGGTGACCCTATGGCAATTAGATGAGAAACTTTTCCAGGATCTGAAAAGTAGATAGACATATTTGCTCAGGGCACTCAAAGCTACTGCCAGAAAAAATTTATTTAAAATAGTTATTTAAAATAGCATCTTTTTGATATGATTAGATTTATTAGCTTTATGATACGTCTGACTGTTCATATCCAAATTAATGCAAGCCCTCACGGTCATCTCACTTTTTTTTAGAATATTAGATACATACATACATATATACATAAACATGATAGAGATGATAGGTAGATAGATTAGATAGATAGATACATACATACATACCTAAACATGATAGAGATGATAGGTAGGTAGATAGATACATACATACATACATAAATATGATAGAGATTATAGGCAGCTAGATTAGATGGATAGATACATACATAGATACATAAACATGGTAGAGATGATAGGTAGATAGATTAGATAGAAAATAGATATATAGATAGATAGATACATAAACATGATAGAGATGATAGGTAGATGATAGATCATCATTTAGATATGAACGATAGGGCTCTCTATATATATATTCATGTGTATGCATATGTATTTTTCATGTATACACATATTTTTTCATGAAAATGCTATTTTGCTGTCTTTGAATATGGAGTAAAAGGACAGAAGCCAAGGAATACAGATGGCCTCTAGATGTGCAAGGCCAGGAAATAGATTCTCCCCTAGAGCCTCCAAAGGTAATGCAGTTTTGCCAACCCACTTCAGATTTCCAACCTCCAGAACTGTAAGATAATAATGTTGTGCTATTATAGCCCACTTAATTTGGAGTAGCTTCTTACAGCAGCAATAGGAAACAAATGCATCCGCCCACTACATTTTAGGGTTTCAGTGAATGGCAAATGATTGAAGTGAAAATGCAGCCTAGAGCTAAGAGGGCCACTGCCTGGCATGACTGGCTCTATGTTGTTTTTTTCCAGGATTTCTAAATGTCATTGTCCTTGAGTCAGTGTCCCAAGAATCAAAAACTCTGATTTAGTATGAATTTTAGCAAACTTTCACCCACACTCAAGTATAAATTTAAGAAATGTATCCTGAATATTCAGAGACTTCCAATTTTGCCAAAAACTTGTTTTAGAAGACACGAGCATTTAGCTAGAGTCACAGCAGCCTTGTTGGTTTCGAGTCCAAATGGCCTCGAAGGTTATTGTCTTTACGTTGTTCATTTGGCAATTTAGCTTCTGGATATCAGGTGCCTGCCATTGCTGCAACATTTTCTAAAATAATCAGAGACATTTGCCCTGACTAAAATAGAAATTTCTCTTTTCCCTGGGAGGAATATGCATGAAAACAAAACCAAACCAACCACGTCAACAAACCTTTCGTCTCTCACTTATGGCAGGCTACCACTTTTCTTTTATGTAAAACCTCCTTCCTCAGATCTGCTCGCTGAGATGCTAGCACCTTGACAATCCTGCCCAAGACTTAATTGTGTCTGGGACTAAATGGAATCCCTCTCCTGACATTTTATGTTTTTCAGGGCACTTGTTTCTGCTATGTTTTGTTTGAGGCTGTTCAAGTCTGATAAAGATATTTAAAATTATCATTCTTGCCTATCCTTTCACATTATTCTTAGTCCCAATAGGGATTATAATATCATGCCACAGCATAACTGGCTACATTCATAAGCTTCTACCTTCCTTTTTACTGGAAATCCACCCAGTGTTTGAAAATCATTATGAAGTTACCTTTCCAAAGCGGGCTGTTCACCATCCATTGGAATTCAGCAAGCAAGCAGTGCTTTGGAATTCCACACTCATCTCAGCAAACCATTTCCAACAGCTTCATAACCATCTGTCAAAATGAGCTCACTACAATTCCAGGAGTTTTAAGTGGTCTATTATGCAGGCACTCCTTGGCCTGAAATCTCAGCAAGCCCAGATGCAGTTCCTACATTAAATGGGTACAAATCAGAGTTTACAAAATGTGGAATGTGAAATGGATTGCTTATACTCTTTAATTTTTTAAAATTTCTGTTCCTCAATTTAATCTTGGATCTAAAGTAAACATTTTTCCAAGCTGATGGTAAATTCAAAGAGTCTTTCTAGAGGCTGTCTGTGCCTGGGTTGAGTCTAGGTTAATAAACTAAAATGGAATGTGAATTCTTCTCCCAAAAGAGTTCTTCATATCTCTAAAGGTTGGGTTTTCATATCAAAATAAAATGGTTTAACAAAATCTTAATATATGAAATCTGTAATATTTCTCAACATCTGTCATTAAAACTTTCATCCTTAACTTGGTTTTTTCTGATAAGGAAAGGGCTTGTACACAAACATAGCATTACATTCCTTGAACACTTTGACACTTAAGATTTTACTTAAAGTTATCTGTTTTGGATGACAAAGTTAGTTTTTTTGTTGTTTGTTTGTTTGTTTTTTAAGACAGAATCTTGCTCTATTGCTCAGGCTGGAGTGTAGTGGCATGAGCGCAGTTCACTGCAACCTCCGCCTCCTGGGTTCAAGCAATTCTTCTGCCTCAGCCTCCCAGTAGCTGGGATTTACAGGCATGCACCACCACGCCTGGCTAATTTTTGTATTTTTTTGTAGAGATGGGGTTTCACCATGTTGTCCAGGCTGGTCTTGAACTCCTGACCTTGTGATCCACCCGCCTTGGCCTCCCAAAGTGCTGGGATTACAGGCATGAGCCACCATGCCCAGCCGTCAAAGTTAGTTTTATACATTAATAAGCTTAAGACTTGTTACTATTTCATTTATATACCACATCAACAAAATTTTCTCCTTTTACTGTTTATGTCTTAGTCCATTTTTGTTGTTTGTAACAGAATACCTGAAACTGGGTAATTTATAGAGAAAACAAATTTATTTCTTTCAGTTATGAAGGCTGAGAAGTCCAAAGTTAAGGGGCCGCATGGGGTGAGAAGCTCCTTGGTGGTGGGGGCTTGGTAGAGTCCCAAGTCAGTGCAGGTCACCACGTGATGAGGCAGCTGAGCAAGCTGGCTCAGGTTTATCTACCTCTTTCTATGAAACCACCAGTCCCACTCTTGTGATATCCCATTAATTCAGGATTCCATTACTCTATTAACTCAGAAATTTATTAATCTGTTCATGAGGGCAGAGCCCTCATGACTCAATCAGCTCTTAAAAGCCCCACCTCTCATTAATGCTATATTGAGATCAAATTTCAATTTTAGCTTCAGAAGAGACAAACATCCAAACCACAGCACCTTACAAGGATCAAATAAACTGAAACTTAACCACTATGGCATGTAATACATACCTTGTTTCCTCTTTATCTTCTTCCCTACTAGGAAATGTCTCCCAGCCTTCACCTTTTTGCTTCCACTTGTGATGTGTATGCATGCCTTTCAGGCTGATGAACTAAATCAAAAATGACGTTGACTTTAAAGTGTATGTAAAAGCCTGTCATTCTCACTCTGCCTTTTCTCTCTCTTCCTTCTCAGTGATTCTACTTCCCAAAATAAAATTTTGCCTCAGGCTCTGTTTTGTAGGAACCAATGCCAAGATGTAGGGTTGTGAAGTTAATTTCCCGATGTGTTACATTTTACAAAAAAGGAAAAAATTACCATCGCACGGCATGTAATAATATCCAAATTTAACTACCTTATTGGTCCTTACTTTGAGAATTATAAGACCTTAATGTGTTCCACCCCACTTCCCCACCTAAAAAGAAGTCTCCCTGCTATCATTGAGTGTCACTGGTAGGGGGATGTGTGAGGATGTGTTTGTCCTGCTTTTCCTCCAGTGTTGCAGGTACTGGGCTTTTCTGTTACCGTTATTTTCCTGGGCCATTGATTGATACTATTAACATGTCAGATGCAGCTCCTCTGATCCATGCTTATGTGAAAAAACACCCTTCAAAGGGTTCTCTCTAGTTTCTCCCTCTACCACTATTTATAATTGTTGTGTATGAGGTATCCTACATATTATTTTTGGACAGAACCGCTAAATAATATGTCTTTAACAAGATTAAAGTGCATTTCTGTCTTATGTTTACAAATGAAATCTAGTCCAGATTGGAAGGACAGCTTCAAGACAGCTTGAAAACAGCTTCAAATCACCTGAAGCCTGGACCCTTCTATTTCCAGGCTCTTCTACCCTCATGCTCACCATTAATGGTTTCATCTCAGAGCCAAAGTTGGCTGCGTGAGTTTCACCCATCAGAAACCATTCCAAACAGCAGAAAAGGGAAAGGCCTGAGAAAAGGTACCATAATTTTAATTTTTCTGTAGTAAATATTAACTTGTCTTCGACTCTATGTGACTCTGGTGGATCCTGTATTTTCTGGAAGGCCTATTGTCTACATTTGGGGTTCTGGTCTGAGAGGAGAAGAATGATGGCATGACACCCACATCAGAATCTAAGTTTCCTGTTTCCTCTCTCATTCGCTCTTTGGTTAGAATTTTCTTTCCCATATCTTGTCTGGTATAGGAAAAGGGCAGCAGAAGAATGGTGGCAGCTAAGATAGGTGTAGAAAAAAGAAAAAAAAAGCTATATATATATATATATATATATATATATATGTTATATACATATATATATATATATGTTATATACATATATATATATGTTATATACATATATATATGTTATATACATATATATATCTTATATGTAGATATATATAAGATATATATGTGTATATGTTATATATAAGATATATATAATATGTATATATCATATATATACACACACACACATATATATACATCTAATTCAGCAATTATTCCTTAGGACAATTATTTGATCATACTCTGGAACCACAGCTTTGGGGAAAAGCTAAGATACTGATAAAATTATTTTATGACTCTAGCTTGTGCCATTGACATGCTTAGATTTAGTATGTGCAGAATGTTCAGACAAAGATGTTTTAGATATGTTAAGATGAGGCAACTAGGCATGTCAATGTTAAGTGAAACAGATGGACTTATTTGCTACCACATGTGTGTGTGTGTATGTGTGTGTATACATACATAATTTGTAACTTTATTGAGGTGGTGCTGAGTAAATATAATCAAGTTTAGGCAAAATTTATAAGCTTTCTAAGACCTCCAGATAAAGACTTATCAACCCCAAGGTAATCACATATGTAATTTACTGTTACTTAACAAGGAGTGCATTTATTTTTTAATGTTCACGTACGTGTCTGAGCATCACTTTCTAGAAATTCTGTTTAGTAGCACAGTGTGTAATTTTAAATATAAGCTTGTTATTATTTTTAGTTGGGAGAGATTAGGAGACAAATTTCCTCTAAGATTCCTTTAAAACAGCCAAGAAGTTAACTCTTACAACTCTCACAAATTTCAAAATACTATCATCGTAAAACATTAATTTTGCAATCTAGAAACATGGTCTTACCATTCAAAGAAATCTGAAAGATGAATTATCTCATTCAAATACTATGTACTAGGAGAAATGAAAATGATGAGAAACACATCATCAATTCTCTCAAACACTGTTGAACAGATATGTGCCTAGTCTTGTGTTATTTTGGAACTACAAAGCTGAAGAGTATGTGATGCTTTCCCTTAATAAGTTCATACAATTTTAAGAGAAAAATTTAGAAGTATGTCATATCCTTGAAATGAACACAGTATTCTTTTTATCTCATAATACTGTTTGAAGAAAATATTTTTCTCAGTTAGCAATTAGTCTTATTGAAGACAAGTTAACTTTAACTGTTAGCATGTACTCTTTTTAGTTGGTAAATATTTTATTCATAAATTCCTACTAATATCACTCCCTACACTTTTTTCATTCTGATTAAATTAAATCAAATATGTTTACTTTATAAAATAACTATATTGAAAACATTTGTTTATACCATATTGGAGATTTGTGCTATTTGACAGAGGAGAAGAGTTTCAAGGGAAGTTTCAAAAGTTATCTTCTTTTTTATGGTTGCTTGTTAATGAGTAACATAATTTCCTAGTCTACGGCTTTGATTTTAATACACACGTAACTTGCCTGTCATAATAGGGCACAATGTGTGCTTCTCAGGGATATGGTTTGGCTCTGTGTCCTCACCCAAATCTCACATTGAGTTGTAATAATCCCTATGTTGTTAAGGGCGGGACCAGGTAGAGATCACTGAATCACGGGGGCAGTTTCCCCCATACTGTTCTAGTGATTGTAAGTGAGTTCTCAGGAAGTCTGATGGTCTTATAAGGGGCTTCCTCCTTTGCTCAGTCTTCATTCTCTCTCCTGCCACCCTGTGATGAGGTGCCTTCTGCCATGATTGTAAGTTTCCTGAGACCTCCCCAGCAACGCGGAACTGTGAGTCAATCGAACTTCTTTTCCTTACAAATTCCCCAGTCTCAGGTATGTCTTTATTAGCAGCATGAGAACAGACTAATACACTCAGTATTAGTGGAAAAGGAACAAAATAACTTAAAATCTGTTTTAAAAATGAATTAATTCAAATGTGACTTTTGTTATGTATAATTTTGTGTAGAATATAGGTAGAAGTTTGCATATACCACTAAATATGATTTAAGATAAATAAATGTTAAAAAACACAATGAGCCAATTTTATTCAACTTAAAAAAAACTGTGTATACATATTCCACAAACCTGTGCAGAGTCTGTAAAAAAACATAAAATTCTAATTACAGGCAGAAGTTAATTCTAACTGAATGGGGAGATAGAGAATGTCCCTTAAGGGAAGTATAAATACTTCAAATATGTTGATTCTCACAAATTGATATATAAGTACAATAAACTCACTATCAAAATACAAAATTGTTTTGGCCTGAATTGACAAAATTATATAAATTTCATTCAAATAATTAGCCTCTGACATATAGTAAGTTAATATGGGGAATGGTCTTGCATTTCCAGATATTAAAATTCTTTATAAAGCTAGACTAATTTAAAAAGTTTGGACTCATGCCATGATAGACAAATAGAAATGCACATAAAAATTCAGAATATTCATCTCTAATTCATCATGTTATCCTTGCGACATCTATTATTCATGAGATTCCACCAAAACAACTCCTGTACTTTTCTCGAAATTGAAAGAAAGTATATTATTTATGTATAGTTCAAAAAGGGGCTGTGAAGAAAAAGTTTGTGTGTAACATAATGTTTTTCCTGTTTTAATAAAAATGGCTTTTAAAAGTGTAGTGAGATATTGATCATTTAATAAATGGTGTTGGGATAATTGTGTTGTACTCGAAAATATATTTCAGATGGAATTTATAATTAGATAAAATTTTATAGTATAATAATAATATATCATTAAGCAAAATTAATTAAAAAAGGATTCTAGGGCAAAGAGCAATGGAAAGTGATTATAAACTCAACATGAGTTTTTAACAAAAAGTAGATGTACATGTCTTCCTTGATATAGGAAAGTCCTGATTCTGTAACCATGTTATCTCCTTAGTGGCATCTTTTGAACATTACAAATACACTGGTGTATTGTCCAGCCTACTTCAGTCAGTCAAGGCTTCAATTTGTACATGCATAAAGGTATTATGAAATAGGAAAGCAAAAATATTTGCCCAGATATAACAAGAAGATATATGGGGACACAGTGCCCACAGTTCTCGCTCACTGACAATCGCCATAGCTGTTTTGATTCTAGATGCTGATGTAAATTTACATCTGTCATGTGGCCTAATTAAGGTCTGATTGGAGGACTCACACAGGATGTGCCTATTGTGAAGTCCAAAGGGAATCCACAAACCCTACTTTGGCTCAAATTTTTTTTCTAGATAGACCTGCCTTATTAATAGAAGATGGACTAACTACCATTACTTTTGCAAACTCAATCAGAAAATTTGAAATATTTTCCTTAAGAAGAAAATGTTACTAAGATAAGAAAAGAGGATATTTTAGGAAAATATTCAGCTTGGGAAGAATTAAGTGGTTTTAATACCTTTAACATGAATACAAAACTATTTCTATTAAATAAAAATGAAAAAAAGATCATAAGACACTCAACAGAAATTATAAGATTAGAAATAAATGAGGAACAATACATTATAATGTTAATAATGCTATGGAAAAATGAATGCTATGGAAAAATGAATCCATTGTCTATACAGACATTCAGAATGCAGATGTAAACTATAAAATTTAAAATAAAAAGAGGGAAGATGACAGATACAGAGAACAGCTAATAAACAGCTGAGTGTACTTTCTGAAAAAGATTCCAGAATAGAGTGACCAAAAGCACAAACTAAACACACAAAAGCAATTTTATAAGCTGTGGATGAGGCATCAGAAGATCTAAATCTGTGTATCAAAAAGAGTTACTGCAAACCACATTAAATGAATAGAAAACAGTGAAAGCTAGATATGTGCGGATAAAATGCTAGCTGTTTCTGTTTTTGGAAAGGTCTTTCTTATTGCATCTTTTAAAAGCTTTATTGAAGTACAATTGTTATATAAAAATAGTACACCTTTAATGTACATTTTCTTCCCTATTTTTTTTTTTTGAGACGCAGTTTTGCTCTTGTTGCCCAAGTTAGAGTGTAGTGATGCAATCTCAGCTCACTGCAACCTCCACCTCCTGGGTTCAAGCAATTCTCCTGCTTCAGCCTCCTGAGTAGCTGGGATTACAGGTGCCCATCACCACGCCCAGCTAATTTTTGTATTTTTAGTAGAGACAGGATTTCACCATGTTGGTCAGGCTGGTCTCGAACTCCTGACCTTAGGTGATCCACCCGCCTTGGCCTCCCTAAGTGCTGGGATTACAGGCATGAGTGCCTGGTCCTAATGTACACATTTTGATAATTTTGTTTGTTTGTTTTTTGTTTGAGACAGGATCTTGCTCTGTCCCCCAGGCTAGAGTACAGTGGCATGATCATGACTTATTGCACCGTTGACCTTCCTGGCTCAAGCGATCCTCCCGCTTCAGCCTCCTGCGTAGCTTGGAGTAGCTGGGCCATAGGTAAGCACCACCAAGCTTGGCTAATTTTATTTTATTTTTGTGTTTTGTAGAGATGGGGTCACTCTATGTTTCTCAGGCTGATCTTATACTCCTGGGCTTAAGCCAGCCTTTAGTCTCAGCCTCCAACAATTGCAGCAAGATTATAGGCATGAACCCCCACATCCTGCTGATGAGTTTAGATATATGCATACATCCTTAATACCTTAAACCAAGGTACTAAATAGATTCACTACACAATTCTCTTGTCTTTATTTATTGAGTTTGTTTTTCTTTTTTTTTGTTTTCAGTCTTTTTTCCCCCCTTTGGTAAGAGTACTTAACATAAGAGTTATCCTCTGAATATATTTTGAAGTGTACAATACTGTATCGTTAACTATAGGTACTTTGTTATACACAGATCTCCAGAACTTATTCATCTTTCATCACAGAAATTTTAAACCCATTGAGAAACAATTATCCATTTCTTCCAACCTCCAGCCCCTAGCAACTACCTCTTTATTATCTGCTTCTATGTGTTTGATTATTTCAGATACCTCATATTAGTGGAATCATGCAGTATTTTGTCCTTTTGTGACTGGCTTATTTTACTTGGCTTAGTGTCTTACCTATGTTGCTGCAAATGGCAGAATCTCATTTCTCAAGGCTGAATAATAGTCTGTTGAGTGTATATACCATGTTTCCTTTACCTGTTAATTCATCAATAGACCCTTGGATTGTTTCCGTATCTTGGCATTTGTGAATAACACTGCAGTGAACATGGGTGCACCAGATATCCCTTTGAGATCCTGGTTTAAATTCTTTTGCATGTATATCTAAAAGTGGGTTCACTGGATCATATTGTAGTTCTATTTTAAACTTTCCGAGGAACCTCCATGGTTTATCCATAGTGACTGGGAGAGGTAATATTTCACATTTCCATCAATAATGCATAAGAGTTCCAATTCCTACACATCTTCAGCAACACATGTTATTTTTTTTAATAATACTTATCTTACCAGGTGTGAAGTGATCTCTTATTGTGGTTTTCATTTGCATTTCCCTGATGATTAATGATGTTGAGCACCTTTATGTACTTGGTGCTCATCTGTATATATTCTTTAAATAAAGGTATATTCAACTCTTTTGTTCATTTTTAAGCAGGTTTTTGTTTTTTTTGCTATTGAATCATAAGGGATTCTCGTACATTTTGAATATTAATTCCTTATCAGATAGATTTTTTCTAATATTTTCTCTCATTCTGTAGGATACCTTTTCACTCCATTTTCTGTTGCCTATAACAGATACCTGAATCTGGGTAATTTATTGTTTTTAAAGAATTCATTTCTTGCAGTTATATAAGCTGAGTAGTCCAAGGTTGAAGGGCCATATCTGGTGAGAGCTGCTGGGGACTCTAAAGAGTCCCAAGGCAGTGCAGAGTATCACATGAGGAAGGGAATTGAGCTTGCTAATGTCCTAGCTCAGGTCTCTCTTCCTCTCCCCATAAGGCCACCAGTTCCACTCCCATGATAACCCATTAATTCATTAACCTTTTAATCCATGAATGAATTAGTCCATTAGGAGGGCAGAGCTCTTATGAGCCAATCACCTCTTAAATGCTCCACCTCTCAGTATTGCCTCATTGGAGATTACATTTCAACATGAGTTACAGAAGGGACAAATGTTCAAACTGTAGCACATCTCTTTGTTAAGTTTATTCCTAAATATTTTATTATTTTTGATGCTATTGTAAGTGGGATTATTTTCTTAATTTTGTTTTCAGATAGCATATTGTTAGCACATAGGTGTGTACCTGATTTGTGTATATTAATTTTGCATGTTGTAATTTTGCTAAATTTGTTTATTAGTTATAACAATGACTTTCCTTGGTACTTAGTTTAATGTGTGACATCCTTACTAATCCCTGGTCTCTGACCACTCTTCAACTTCTTTGTTGTGACCCACCATAATGTCCTGTTTTCATTGTATTTGAGGTGTGATACTCTTTTTCACTCTGGGGCTTTGCATATCCTGAGCCTTCTATCTAGAAGTTTTCACTACCCTGTTCTTCATACATACCAGATCAATTTTCCCTGAAGTCCTTCCCTAACAAGAAATATTGGAGTAAGTCACCTATACACATTCCCCATAACGTTTGCAAATACTTTCAAATACTTTACTTCCTTTAGATATTATATATCTATTGAGTTACCACCTAGTTCACAACAGACAACATAATTAATATTGAAAGAATGATGTATATTTGTTTGTATATCTATGTCTGGATGTATGTGTTTATGTGTGTGTGTATGAGAGAAAGAAAACAGAGACAAAGAGACTATATGTACTATTTTATCCAAGATTATTGGCGGGTGGTGTTATTGTTATTTTTTTCTTGTTTTTAAACTTTTCTGTGTGTTTCTAATTCTCCTTGATGCACACGTGTAACATTTTATTGAAAATAAGTTACTAAACACTTTGGAAAGAACAACCTAAAACAGTTCACCTTCTCTATTTCTTAAGATCAGGTGTTCATTTCCTATTGCTGCTATGGCAAATTACCACAAATTTAGTGGCCTAGAATAACAAATTTATTATTTACTTCTGAAGATCAGAATACCGAAATGTGTCTCAGGAGCTAACACCAAGGTGTCAGCCGCTTGCTTTCCTTTTTGTAGACTTGTCCTTGTCCATTTGAAGAATGTTGTTCTTGACATTGTAGAAGTAACATGCTGAATTTTTTGATGGCTACAAACAGAACCGTTTCTAGCATCTAGAGATCGCCACATTCCTCGGTTCATGGTTACTTTCCTTCAATTTCACAGCTAGCAATGGCAGGTGGCGTCCTTGTGATGGCGCACCTCTCTAACACTTCTTTCATCTCCATATCTCTCATTAACCACAACAAGGAATGATCCTGTTTTTCAGCATTCATGTGATTAGATTGTGCCCACCGGGATAACCGAGGATCTCTTCATCTCAAGATTCTTAACCTTATTTAGATATGGGAACTCCCTTTTTTGCCATGTAAGGTAACATATTTATAGATTCTGGCAATTAAGTCTTGAACATCCTGGGGGTACCATTAGTCTGTCTACCATAGATCAGAAATCAGTTTTTCAAATCATTTTACTTACCTTGAAATTCTTAGTAATTGGGGTTCAAATATGGATTTGCAAAGTCTGCAACTGGATTTTAATTTTAAAATGTTTAACAGGTGAATATATATATATATAAGGTGATAGAATTGAAAAAAAATCACACTAATTCAAATGTTTCCCTCCCTCCCTACCTCCCTCCCTCCTTCCAGGCTGGCATGAAGTGGCTCAATCTCAGCTCACTGCAACCTCCACCTCAAGGATTGAAGCGATTCTCATGCCTCAGACTCCCCAGTAGCTGGGGTTACAGGTATGCACTGCCACGCGCAGGTAAATTTTAGGATTTTTAGTACAGACAGGGTTTTGCCACGATGCCCGGCTGGTCTCAAACTCCTGAGCTCAGGCAATCTGCCTGCCTTGGCCTCCCAAAGTGCTAGGATTACAGGCATGAGCCACCGTGCACAGCTGATTCAATTTTGTTTTTATTTTGTTTTGTTTTGTTTTGTTTTTGTTTTTTGGGGAAGGTGTTTCACTCTCTTTTCTCAGGCTAGAGTGCAATGGCACAATTTTGGCTCACTGCAACCTCTACCTCCAGGATTCAAGTGATTCTCCAGCGTCAGCCTCCTGAGTTGCTGGGATTACAGGCGCCTGCCACCGCGCCTGGCTAATTTTAGTATTCTTAGTAGAGATGGGCTTCACAATGTTAGTCAGGCTGGTCTCAAACTGCTGACCTCAGGTAATCTGCCCGCCTTGACCTCCCAAAGCGTGGGGATTACAGGCATGAGCCAGTGCGCTCTGCCCTAATTTCAAAAGTCATTAAATTGGCTGAAGACAAATTGGGTCTCTCATGTAACAAACAGATCATTTGAAAGTTAATAAAAGAGGGAGCAATTTATTTTTCATTACTTTTTTGTAAATATATGAAATAATTATTCATTTAATACTTTCATGTTTTGTGATCTTTTCCTATCTCATTTCTTATTTAATTCTACAGGGCTGTAATTTCTCCTTTAATTCATCTTTTGTCAGAATAATAATGAGAAATAATTATAAATTATTAAAGGAATCTTGATCCATAGCAATTTCAAATCTTCCTCTTTTTTTACTGTTATTTTTATTTCAGAACAAATCATTATGTTTTTTCTAGGTCTAATTATATGTGCATATTTTTCCATAGGATGTATTAATTTCACTAAATGTTTTATCTTATTGTGTTTGAGATATATTCATTTTTCTCTCTACATTTTCATGACTTACATATGAACTTTTACTTTCTAATTCAGTACTATGTATAATCATAAAGCCAGGTAACTAAGACATGTTTTCACAAAGAATGAGGGGATATTTGTTAGTTAATGTAGTTTAAAATGGTGCTAAATAATACTATGAGTTCAAGATATCTCTAGTGCAGTTAGTCTTTAGAACCATCTACATTTTGTCATAAATGGCATGAAAACAGATTATACGGTGATTTTTATGGTAGTGAGCTGGAGAACTGATGTATTCTAATATAAATCAATATCTACTTAAAGAGTATTTGATTCCATTGTTGTACAAACAATGATATATAAAATGAAAGAGAAACAAGACTTCAGAAACCTAGGTTTTAAGATTTCCTAAGTCTATTAGTTGTTAGTCAATTTCCCCATTTATTCTCAGTTTCTTTAGTAGGTAAACGATGATATTGATAAGTGATAGTGTATTTTATATTTTATTTATCCCTGCTAGGCTTTCTGTTGTTATTTATTCTGTTTTATCTAGTTTATTCTGGTTATCTAGTAACCTTCTCTGCTTGGCTAGTAAATGTCGGACAACCCCTTTCTCTTACATTTATATGCTTGGCCTAGGTAATTTCTTCTACATCTTTAATTGCAATTACTTTATTGCACTGATTCTCACATTTGTTTCTCTGCTATGTTTGTGCTTATCCCAATCCTTGTGTCCAGTTGCTACCTTGATATTTCTACTATAGTTAGAAGTCCCAACAGTACCTTACAAGCAACATTTCTGAAATATAACCTATCTTCCTTCTGTTATTCAAAATGTTTACACTTGGTGATACTGCTAGTAGTCAAGGACACCACCACTAATTCATACAGCATTCCAGAAACCTAAGTCATTCTTAGAATTCTTTTCCTCATGCCTCTTGTAATCCATAATATCTTTTCAATTTCATTCCTAAAACTTGTTTGAAAATGTCCACTTTTTTATACTTCCATTTAATCTATGCTAATGTCACCTCTAAGCTGTACTCCTGGCACTTTCTCCAAAATAATCTTCTCCCATCAACTCTGACTCACTTCTAATCTACTGTCTCCACTGGTGACAGAGTTTTCTTGTTAAAAACTTGATTTTGTGCCACCCTTTTTCAAACCTGGGCCCATCACCATATTTCCCTAATAAGACCTCCAAGCGTCAGTTGATCAGCCAGACTTCTGCCTTCTAGATGCATCTTTTGCTATTTTCTCCTTAACCTTTTGGATTCCAGTCCCAGGGGCCCTTTGATTATTCAGGTCCATTAGCATTTCACACACACTCTAGATAGCAGTACTACCTCTCCTTAAATTAGTTTCTATTCATCTATCGATTCTTAGGTCAAAAACTACTACCGCAATGAGTGGGAAGTCAGATGATTAATGTCTGCTGTTTACACAGAAACTTGCAGAGATTTACAGCAAGAGCATAAGTATATCAAGATGACAATAACAACAATGTTTAACATCTAGAAGCCACTTCCAACAAAACCATGTGGAAGGCGGGAGCAAATTGCATAGATGTGGACAATGAGATTTGGAGAGTTTACGTAACTTGCTAAAGGTCATGCACCCGGAAAACTTGACAAAAGGACTGTATAGTTAATAACAATGCTGCCTCAGAATCAGTTTCCTTCCATGTTAATTTATTATTTTTCCTTCATTTTCACACCTAGCAACGGCAGGTGGCGTCCTTGTGGTGGTGCACCTCTCTAACACTTCTTTCATCTCCACATTTTTCATTAACCACAGCAAGGAATGATTCTGTGTTTCGTCATTCATGTGATTAAATTGTAGCCACCTGGATAACCTAGGATCTCTCTTCATCTCAAGATGCTTAAAAACAAGCATGACCTGGGACATGAAATTCTTTGCATTGTTATAGAAATGACAATTCTGCTTAATCAAAAATACAATAAAAATATTTTTAAAATTGTCTTGTATTTCTCCATGATTTTTAAATTTTGACTAGAAATACTTTATTGTACAGATTTATCATCTCTACTCTGTCATAGATGAAAATGTCAATCTATATCTCAGAAAAACTATTCACTATAAAAATAAAATTTCCTATTTTATCTTAATATTTCTTATTGAGTGATAAAATACAGTTTTTTTGCTGGGCATGGTGGCTCACGCCTGTAATCCCAGCACTTTGGGAGGCCAAGGTGGGTGGATCACGAGGTCAGGAGTTCAAGACCAGCCTGGCCAAGATGGCGAAACCCTGTCTCTACTAAAAATACAAAAAATTAGCAGGGCGTGGTGGCACGCGCCTGTAATCCCAGCTACTCTGGAGGCTGAGGCAGAGAATTACTTGAAACCTGGAGGGGTGGAGGTTGCGGTGAGCTGAGATCGTGCCACTGCACTCCAGCCCGGGTGACAGAGTGAGACTCCGTCTCAAAAATAAAAAAAAAAAATACAGTTATCTTTTAGCTCTCTTGTAAAACTAGTGGTTTGGGCATTTTTAAATTCCAATTATATGCATGGTGAATGATCTCTTTAATGTACTGTTGAATTTTGCTTGCTAGAATTTTGTTGAGAACTTTTTTGCTGTGTTCATCAGGGATGTTGGCCTGTAATTTTCTCTTCTTGTAGCGTCCTTCTCTCGCTATGATATCAAGGTAATACTGGCCTCATAAAACAAGATTGTAAGTATTCTTTCTTCTTCAGTTTTATGGAAGAGTTTGAGATGGATTGTTCTTTAAATGTTTGAGAGAATTCACCTGTGAAAGTATCAGGTTTTGTGCTTTACTTAAATGGGAGATTTTTTATTACTGATTGAACCTCTTTATGAGTTATTGGTTTGTTTAGATTTTCTATTTCTTCATAATTCAGTCTTGATAAGTTACATTGTGTCTAAGAATTTATCAATTTCTTCAACATTAACCAATTTGCAGGCATATAATTTTTCATGGTATCTTGTAATGATCCTTTGTATTTATGTGGTTTTGGCAGAATGTCTCCTCTTTCATTTCTGATCTTGTTTATCATCAAAAAGAGTCATTTCTTTTTTATTTACTGTGGATATAGGTTGGTTAATTTTGTTTATTTTTTCACAAACCAACTCTTCTTTTGTTGACTTTATCTTTTTTAGTCTCTATTTATTCATTTCTGCTCTGATCTTTATTATTTCTTTCCTTCTGCTAACTTTGCAGAATTGTGAAGTTTTAACGTAACTGAAAATACCAGGAAACTGAATTCAATAGCATGTTAAAAGAATCATTCACAATGATAAAATGGGGTTTATCTCAGGGATGTTTCAACATATGCAAATCTATAAATATGATAAACCACATTAACAAAATGAAGGACAGAACTGTTATTATCGTCTCTAGATTCAGAAAATGCATTTGACAAAATTCAACATTCTTTCATTATAAAAACTCTCAACATGTTAGTTATAGAAGAAATGTACCTTAACACAGTAAAGGCCATATATGACAAACCCACAGTTAATATACACAAAAGTGAGAAGTTGAAAGATTTTTATTTAAGACAGGGAATGAGAGAAGGATGCCTACTCTTGCCGCCACTATTCAACATATTACTAAAAGTCCTAGCCTGAGAAATTAGGCAAGAGATAGAAATAAAAGATCCAAATTGAAAAGGAAGAAGTTAAAGTGTCCCTGTTTGCATATTAAAGGATCTCTTGGACATTGACAAACATAAAAACTCAATAAAAAACTGTTAGAGCTTATAAACAAATTCACTAAAGTTGCAGAATATAAACTGCATACAAAATAGTTTATGATACTTTACCTGGGAAAAATTTTGAATTGAAGATTTGAATGTTGATAATACTCCAAAAATTATTTAGGACTATATATTGTATTATGCTAAAGAAGAATTATATACAATCATTTATCAAATAATTGCTGAGGACCTACTAGACATCAGAAAATGAGAACAAGAAGACAAAGGTGAAACATGGCCATAGAATTTGGCTGCTAAGATGTAACCTGTAGTTCCCCTATACAAGACAAACAGTTGCATGTAAAGTTAACAAAAGAGTAAAAAATCAAGCTAACACTCCACACTCACTATGGTAATGAAAAGCAACAGCAATACTACTCTGGAATCATATCTGTACAAAGGAACAATATAAGAAGTTATGTCAGTATAAAAATAAGCCAAAATCCTTCTCTTTGGCTAGCATAAGTGGCAACTGCCTTTTTACCAATGGCAACTCTAGCCCTGCTTCATTCCTCTCACCTTATAGATAAGAATTATTTCGATATCCAATTGTTGAATTGCCCCTCTTTTTTGGCAGCATGTTATCCAGAACAAATTGTTGCTTCTTTGAATCCCCTCCGAAATCACTTAATACAAGTGAAAATCCTATAGCAAGACCCTTCTAACTCTCTTACTGACACATTCTCAATTCCTTTAATGCCATCTCTTCTTTAGTTAAGCAAGTTAATAAGCCTAGCTTTTTTTTTTTTTAACCAAGTTGTTTTCTAGGTTGTCTTTTGGCACTAGACTTTAACAATACTGTGCCAAAAAATAAGTTCAGTGTTGTTGGAACTTAATTTTCAACAGAGTTGTATGTGACAATATTGAAAAGGCTAAAAAGGGTCAGTTTATGCAAAGCCAAATAGGCATCATTAACGTTTATTTTCTTGAATTTTATATTTATCATATATACATGTTAATTTAGAGAGGTTTCATAATTGATACTTATAGTATATAATATTTAGTTTATATTTTTACTACATATGTATGTAGATGCAGGCATACATATGGATGTCAGTTCTATTTTTCTTTTCAGTTTTACTAGGGTTTTCTATGTTGCCTCATTCAGCCTTTATGTGTATTTATCTTACATTTATTATTTCAATGACAATCAATGTAGCCCTGGGTCTTTATATCGATGTAAGTTTCTACATTTTTTTTTTACCACAGCAATCAACCAATCCAACAGTGCTTCTGTTTCATGAGTTTGAAACAGGATATTTCATGTCACTTTGGCCACAAGTTGAAAATTACATACTTTAGTCACCAGTGCAGCAGCAGTGTATAACAATATGGAAGTTCAAAGTTACAAGTATGCAAACAAACAAAATCTGATAGTATAATTATTTCTAATATCTTTTAAAATCTTATATCCTATCTGAAGTTCTGCAGAAAATTTGCTAAGTTATGCACAAAGGACTGGGATTCTTACTTCAATTTATCTTAACAATTAGAGTAAAGGGAGTTGAAAATATCACCATCATTAACTAATAAGGGAAACACTCTGGAAATTGCTTTTTAGGAAGAAATAACATTAGGTTTTTCTGTTCATGGGAACACAGAATTAACAGCATCTTGCTAAATGGCTATAAAGCCTTAACATATTGGGGGAACCCGCCCCCGATAATTCAACGTGAGTCCTTTTCTATTTTCCCTAAGTGTCGGCTGGTCTGAGAAATAAAGGGAAAGAGTACAAAAGAGACAAATCTTAAAGTTGGGTGTCCAGGACAGACATCACATGTCGGCAGGTTCTGTGATGCCCCCCCAAGCAGCAAAACCAGCAAGTTTTTATTAGTGATTTTCAAAAGAGGAGGGAGTTTATGAATAGTGTGTGGGTCACAGAGATCACATGCTTCACAAGGTAATAAAATATCACAAGGCAAATGGAGGCAGGGCAAGATCACAGGATGGGGTGAAATTAAAATTGCTAATGAAGTTTCAGGCATGCGTTGTCATTGATAACATCTTATCAGGAGACAGGGTTTGAAAGCAGACAACCGGTCTGACCAAAATTTAGTAGGCGGGAATTTCCTCATAAGCCTGGGAGCACTACTGGAGAGTGGGGCTTATTTCTTCCCTTATCAACAACCATAAAAGACAGAGGTCCCCATAGCAGCCATTTTAGAGGCCTACCCCTAGGAACACATTCTCTTTCTCAGGGCTGTTCCTTGCTGAGAAAAAGAATTCAGCGTTATTTCTCCTATTTGCTTTTGAAAGAAGAGAAATATGGCTCTGTTCTGCCCGCCTCTCAGGCAGCCAGACCTAATGGTTTTCTCCCTTATTCCCTGAACATCACTGTTATCCTGTTCTTTTTTCAAGGTGCCCAGATTTCATATTGTTTAAACAATTTGGCAGTTAACGCAATCATCACAGGTTCCTGAGGTGACATTCATCCTCAGCTTACAAAGATGATGGGATTAAGAGATTAAAGAGAGGCATAGGAAATCACAAGAGTATTGATTGGGGAAGTGATAAATGTCCATGAAACCTTCACAATTTGTGTTCAGAGATTGAAGTAAAGACAGGCGTAAGAAATTATAAAAGTATTCATTTGGGGAACTAATAAATATCCATGAAATCTTCACAATTTATGTTCTTCTGCCATGGCTTCAGCCGGTCCCTCCGTTCAGGGCCTCTGACTTCCCGCAACATTAACATGTAAATGTCAGGTGATTTGCAGTGATCTAGCCAAAGACTGGCAGATCATTTCAATCCATCGATTGTGCTAAGAGCATTAAATAACACATATTATAATTAAGCTATTTAATCTATTGACCCAATGCTATGATTAGAATCTGGAAGAAATTAGACAAATAATTACATGACAGATTTAGAAAGGAGAAATAAACCAGATAGCGGATTAATCCGTTATTTCTTTGAAGATATTTAGGGCAAGTGTAGCTGTTGTTCCATTTTTTTTAAAAAAAATGAGGAGACCCTCATTCTAATATTAAGCTATCAATCTCTAAGAAACAAATATCTTTTGGGAGTTAACCGTTACTTACAATAACAGTAAGCAACTCAACAAATATAATTATTCCTGGACTAATTATAGTATTCTATCATGAAACAAGTGCTTACTAATCAGATTTCCAATGAGACCATTACTCTTCAGAAAGAGACTGCCTGAGGGGTAGCATAAAAAACCCCTTGTCCCTGTTACCACACCAAATTAAAAACTCCCTAGTTCTTTCAAATACATGTAAGACATATGTCTTGCCCATGTTTTTAAGATCTCTAAAACTTTCAGGACCACCATAGACTACTCTTGTTCTCTGAGAACAGATACTGTCACACACCAAGAAGTCTGTTTGAAGAGGTAGAGACCTCCATCTTTCAAAACCTAGTTTTAAGACCCAGACATAAATCTGGACTAGAGGCCATAGATGCTTCTTTCTAGAAGCTAAAAGCCTCCTGAAACCATTTTTTAAAAGTGTTTACCTGAAACACAATATGCCTCATATTATTGTCCTGACAACCATCATGAGGAAATTGTTTCTTTTCATCTCCTACTCTACTTTTATCCCTATAATATTGTTTTTTACTTCACTATTTCTGATCTCTTTTTTCTAAAATCACACCCAATCATTGGAAAGGCACTGCATCCAATGTAAGTAGGAGAAATGTCTGATTCATTGGTTTAATGGGAAGAGGGAACAGCACAATCACAAGGGGGGGGGATGGATTAATTAATCTGAAGACATGTTCATAGGATAAGTACGAAGCAGTCAGACTAGAGGAGGTTTTGCAAAGGTATTAAGTGTATCTGAATGTTTCCAATGCTAGCACTACAAAAACATTTGATTTAAAACAAAATTACAAACTTTATTTCAGTCAGATTATTAGATCAACAACTTCCATCAGCTCAATCCATCTGAAGCAGCTTTGAATTTTACTTTCTATAATAGATTGTTATGTTTAACATATCTATATGTTAAAAGATATGTAGAATTAGGGAATCTATTAATATGTTCCTTCAATACAGGGGTCAATAAATTTTTTTCAGTAAGGGCCAGATAGCAAATATTTTAGGCTTCACAGGCTAGTCTTCATGGGAACTATTAAACTTTGAAATAATAGCATGAAAGCCATCACATATAATAGAGAAATTAATGTGCAGAGCTGTGTATATAAAAGATATATAGTAAAACAAGAGAAAGCAAGATTTGATAGATACCATATCTACTAAAGTAGGCATCTGTGAACTGCCTGGAGACAAAAATCCTACCTACTGTAATTTTGAGTGTGTGTGTGTGTTTATTTTTAAATAAACTCTAATAAACTCTATTAGAACACAGTTACACACATTAATTTCTCTATTATATGTGATGGCTTTCATGCTATTGTGGCAAAGTTGAATAGTTCTGATGAAGGCTAGCCTGTAAAGCCTAAAATATTTGCTATCTGGCCCTTATTGAAAAAAATGCATTGACCCCTGTATTAAAGGAACATTTTAATAGAATCCCTAATTCAAATAATTTAAACAAGACATTTTTTGTTATAGTTTTAAAGTATGTAGTTATTCATGTATTGTAATAAATTTATCATTATCCAAATAATTGTGATAACTAATAATGTATAATTCTGTGCAATAATGTTTCTATTTAAAAGTTATTAGTATATTTTTATGACAAATAAATACATATGCTATATAAATATAAAATATATTTATTTCAACTATCACTCCTACCAGGTAAGTTCAGTCTAGGGTTACAAACAGGAAGAAAAGCTTTATCTGGTCTCTTAGGGTTTATAGCCTGCTGATATATTTTTTCCCATTATTTTTTGATGCTTCTGTGAATAGTGCTAATACTTGCTGTCAAAGGTCTTTATAAATGTACCTTTTCACCTTTCTCCTATTTATCTCCAAATAGCTGACCTTTCCTGCTTGTCATAGCTGGCTCTGCTTCACCCTGATGCTAAAATTTTTGTCACAAGGGATGATGTTTTGGATTTGAGTCTGACAATAGCTGCACCTTTTACAACCACACAATGTGAATTTTGCAGCCTGGGATACTGTAGCTTCAGATCACTGCTGACCCATAGCATATATTAACCAATTGGACTCATTTTCTTTTGGTGCTCCGATATGTGGAGTTTGCCCTAATTTCAATGTTTTCTGTTAGAATATTCTATTTTTATTAAAGTAATTTTATATTTCACACAAATATTCCAGTTATTTCAGATTTTTTCCCCACCATAGTAGTCAGATACAAGTCCACCAGAGTAGGTGTTGGAGATAATTCTAATGACAGGAACATTAGAAAATTCAAATATGCTTTTCTCCTCTGTTTTCTGAGCCAATATGATTGTACCAAATTGTCTTGTATAATCTACTTTTTTTCTTAAAATTAGTTAATTTCAAAAAGATTTTCCTTTCTAGGATTAAGGACCCAATAAATTGATTGTCACTAATTATCCACCAATTCTCATAGTTTTGTTTATCAGTGACAAACTTAATTTATGCTCTATTAAAACTTCTACTATACAATCTCTCTAGGGAGAGAAGGATACTGACATTTAAATGGCAGGATTACACAACTGTAAAACATACATAAGGTTACCAAACTCTCCCTAAAAATTACACATAAGGAGCTTTACTAAATAGTAGGGAAAGATTATGAGTCACAGCATTTTCTCTGAATGCATTGTAACGTGAACCCCAAATATCTGAGCTAGGTCTCAGTCAGTTTAGGAAGTTTATTTTGCCAAAGTTAAGGATGTGCACCCATGACACAGCCTCAGGAGGTCCTATGACATGTGCCCAAGATAGTCCGAGCACAGTTTGGTTTTATACATTTTAGGGAGACATGAGATGTCAATCAACATATGTAAGATGAACATTGGTTTGGTCCAAAAAGGCAGGACAACTCAAGTCAAAGGCAGGACAACTTGAAGTGGGGAGGGGGCTTCTGGGTAATAGGTAGGTAAGAGACAATTGGTTGCATTCTTTGAGTTTCTGATTAGCCTTTCCAAAGAAGCCTATCAGGTATGCATTTATATCAGTGAGCACAGGGATGACAATGACTTTGAATAGAATGGGAAACAGGTTTGGCCTAAGCAGTTCCCAGCTTGACTTTTCCTTTTAGCTTAGTGATTTTGGGACCCTAAGATATATTTTCCTTTCACATTTGCCCACTTTCTTTTTAAAATCTTTGAGAGAAAGAATTTTAGAAGAAAATGAGTCTCTGGTCTCAGGTTTCCTATACTCTCTCATGGCTAGGAAGGTTTATTCCTAGATGGGTAGGTCACATTTTATTAGGAAATCTCATTTTTTAGCAGGTTGTGAAGTTTGATATCCTATGAAGAGAAAATAAGGGGAGGAAGGGAGAAAACAACAACCAAAATCCATTTCCAGAAAATTCATATAGGTCATATTACTCTTAAGTCCATACATCTGTAGGGAGGTATGAAAGTGGCAAATGTATGTAAATAGGTTGCAGTTATTTTCTTCTGAAGTGTGAGTTGTCTAGCTTCAGTTTGCAGGGCTTTAAGGAAGTGCAGCTTAGTTTTCAGTAATCGCAAATTAGAAAAAAATTGGAGGAAAAGTAAAGAAAGAAGAAAAAAATAAAAAAAAAACATTATTTTGGAGACTTGTAGCCAGGAAAAATTAGATTCTAGTCTACTCTGTAGAAAATAATAAAAATTGAAAAACATAGGGCAGGACTAGAAGCTAACAACAGGTGGACTATAGTTTTTGAAACATAATTTTTCTCTCTCCAGTTTCCTAGTTTTACTAAAGAAAAATCATGGTAGAATCAATTTGCTTTATTATACTTAGCCAGATTATTTGTATAAAGTGCAAGAATAATTATTTTTTACGTAGGTTTTTTTTCTCCAATGGTGTCCTGGTACAAAAGGAAATATTCTTATTGCACTTATGCAAATAACTATATTGTCATAAGTTAAGTATATTCAGAAATAGTTTCCAAATTCTGGAGAAATCAGGTAGAGAGAAACAAATATGCTCCAAATTTTGTGCACAGGAGTATAATTTACTCAATTGCTACAAGTCGTAAATAGCTCAAATAAAAAGTTTTCTTGACTCTGTTAAACAAAACAAAGGTTCAACAATGTTTTAAGCAAAAAAGTCAAAAGATTACTTGAGTCTTGTATTAGTTCATTTCATGCAGTTAACTCCCGTTCTGCATGATATTCATGAACATTCCAGCTCTCTATGAGAGTCATGAAAGTTATTTTCCTCTATTCTAGTGAACAATCTCCAAAGTTATCAGAACCCTGTATTCAAGAACACTTGTTAAAGTTTTATATCTAATTATAAAACCACCTTCTAAAGTGGACCAAAACAAGGCAACAGTTGTCAGTGAATGACATAATGTTTTAGGACAGACACAGTCAAAGACACTATTGACAAGGAAATTTGTTACCTCTGTAGCACACAATAATTTAATATAACAATTATAATCATTACTGAGAATGTATACTAAGTCATGTCAGAATTATAGAGCTTCCCATAATTTTGTAACACATACCAATAAGATATTTATACAAATACATCCCAAAGAAAGCTAAACACCATTTCATATTTGACAATACTCCCTGTATGATTTTTATAACAAAAAAATGTCATTTTTGGACTTTAGGGAATCTAATATCTTAAAAGATTAATCAGGTCAGAAAAAGACATAATTTATATTTGACTTTGGAAAGTTTGTCAAATATCAAGGGTTTATAACATTTGATATCACAAAATAGGATCAAAGATCATTGCAAAATAAGTCATTCATTTAACCATAGTGATAACTCAAGGATTTCAAAAACAGGTGAAAACCTTCATTCTTTGAGAGAAGAGACTTAATATTCCAAACAATAAGCCCTAATAAAAACAACATGAAGCTAATTAAATTTATTTTTCAAAATTTTATCAACAATCTATAACATTTTGGTCATCTTGACCATAACATATAATTTTCCTGTCTTTTATAACCTTTACAACTTTTATTAAGGAGCCAGCTAGTGTTTCATGAAACCCTGGTACTTGGACAGGTGTCTATATGCTTTTCTTGCATCAGTGTGCCTTTTACATTAATGGCTAATTTATAGAGAAAATAAACTTACGTTATCTCTCAAAATCAGCCCTTATAATCTCAGGCACTCACCTCTTCCATGATAGTTACTGGAATTTGAGAAGTTGAAGTTTAATTTCTGGCCCTGTGTCTCACAAACACAGCTTATTTTGATGGACAGCTTCTGAAGATAAGGCTTTAACTGCTGTCAGTGTTGAGATTCAGCAGGATTTGGTGTCCTTTTAGACACAGAAGTCGAAGCCCAGCAACTTAAAGGCACAAGGACTTTAAAAGCACATACAGAAAGTTACAGGGATGTAATAACCTTAATTATAAAAAATCTTATTTTTTTCTAAGCAAACCAAATTTAGTAATAATAATATAGGAATTATTTTGAGAAAGTGTAAGTTCTGTTTTTTAGGAAAAAAAGTATAATGTCTTGTAATTTATTAAGAGTAAAGCGATACCTCAAGAAAATTTTGTAGTTTGAATAAATTCTTTAGTATATGTGTTTTTCTTAACCAAAAGTCAATTTCTAGAAATGCCATTATAATTTCCATTTAATTATTTATAACTTTATTTTATAAGTTTTTTTTAAAATAAATCTTATTATGACATACACAGACCATTTATAACATGCTTAGACTTTCTGGTTTGTCCTGAACATTCCTCTTTCTTAAGCAACCATTCATTTTATTCTAGGACAAAATTTACCATACAAGATTCTTACTCATATAAAATTATTTCTCTTTAAGCCTTCTTACCAAAAATTGCCTCTTTATTTCTACAACTTTCTTTACATCTCTCTTATTTCCTGGTTCCTTTTACCTTGTTTTATACATAACCTTTAAATAATCTTTGAATTAAACAAAAATTATTCACCCTTTTTAAAAAGGACTTTTTTTTAGAAAAAATGTTTTCTACAATATACTGTTATTGGAAAATACTCAAATAATGAAATATTTATTGTTTAATTAAATATAATTTTAGATTCTCAATTATGACAAGTTTGTCTACAAGTACTTATCCCATTCAATTTAACTAATTATTTTACTTTAATAATTTATCTAGATTATTTATGAAAACCACAAAAGTCATCAAGTAAAGTTATGAAACTGCCATTACAAAATTGGTACTGAGACAGTGAAAAATATCTGACCTAACTGACTCCATCTTGCTTGTAATCCCCTGGCTATTCTTATTCATTCCTGGGTGTAGGCCAAACTAACTTTGGGAGGAACTTAGTTTATAGTTTAGCTTTGAAACAAAGTCGATAACAGTCCTTCCTCCAAGCAAACCTCCTTCCTGCCTGGGAACTAGACCATCTAAAGCCACAAGATTAGATGTTATGTTTATTTTAGTAAATAATTCAATATTTTGCTATTTTCATCAAATCAGCGTCAATGTCTTATTTACTTAAAATTCTACAAGCAAAGATTATTCTGTTTTGGGATGGTTTATAGTTTTGAAATCACTATGCCAAATTTTGACACCTGATAGTATTTGGCAGGGATAAGTATGAAATGTCTTCATCAATAAATGTAAACAAAATGTATGCTGGCATTTCTTAAGACATTTCTAATATTACTTTACCAATAATTTTAAAGCTAGCATTTTATTAAAAATTTTACTTAAGTCATGCAAACTTGAAAAAGCATTTGACCAGTCTTTCCTTTTTTTCTGATGAAGTATTTTATTTAAGGGCTTCTATTTTTCTTTAAGCCAATTAATTAGAGATCTTTTATATATTTTTAATGGTGAAACACTGTGTACACAACACATAATACATAGATGTATTGGCATACCGATAGTAGTATATCTTACAGATTCATAAAACCTTCTTTTTTCCCCTAACTAAAACTTGCAAACTCTTGATAAGCTGTTTCATTACCCTGGCAGTTGTCAGGTAAATAGCCCTAAATCTGTGTTTGAAGGAAACAACTCTTAGGTGAAAAATCAGACAGCAAAATTTACATCCCAGGGTACAGACAGAAAAAGTCTGGTGGTGTGAGAGGGAGATTAAAGTTGTATGCCAAATGAAACATAAAATTAGAGAAATCTATCATAGGACTGTATAAGGGGATCAATTTTATTTAGACAGAACTACCAATCTTTTAACTGCATCTCTGATCTCTGGGTAGAGCCCACATAGAATCCTGGGTCTCCAAAAAGGGAGGATTATTATTATTATTAATATATATATATTTTTGAGATGGAGTCTCACTCTGTCACCCAGGCTGGAGTGCAGTAGCACAATCTCAGCTCACTGCAACCCCCACCTCCTGGGTTCAAGCGATTCTTCTGTCTCAGCCTCCAGAGTAACTGAAACTATAAGTGCGTTTCACCACACTTGGCTAATTTTTGTATTTTTAGTAGAAACAGGGTTTTACCATACTGGCCAGGCTGGTCTTGAACTCCTGACCCTGGGATCTGCCCGCCTCGGCCTCCCAAAGTGCTGTAATTACAGGTGTGAGCCACCACACCCAGCCAAAAAAGGGAGAATTATTATGAGGCTAGATCATGTGATGCTTGTACAGTGCATACTAAAAATTATTTTAAAACCAAGACATCTGTAACTGTCTAAACTCTTCCTTAAAAACTCAAGTAGCCTCTGTTGTAGTATTTTGGTAAAAAAAAATCAGGTAACATAGTGAAAAAGCAAGCAGTTTCAGAGCTGAGATGAACTTGTCTGTTTATACATTTGGGGTTCCACAAGGAAAAACAGAGTTTTCTCCCCAGAAGGGAGTCTGGTGTCTTCTCCATTTCTTCCATTTCTTTAAGGAACCCTATGCTGTCACAAACTAGTTTAGGTCCCTCATGCAGCAGAGGGTGCAAGAGAAAGGAGAGACAGCAGAATTATGAAGAAAACAGAATTCAGTCAACTGAGAAGACAAAGAAAAAGCTTTTGCTCAAAAAAGACAAGGTCCTAGGAAAGAAAAAAACAAAAACATGAGGCCTTTTAAGTACAAACACACACATAGGCACACAATCACACACACATCTTGAATGTTAGATTTTAATTAAGCTGACTTTTAACCATTGAGTGCCTTTAAAAAAATATTTTTAGGTCGGGCGAGGTGGCTTATGCCTGTAATCCCAGCAATTTGGGAGGCCAAGGTGGGTGGATCACTAGGTCAAGAGATCGAGACCTTCCTGACCAACATGGTGAAAACCCATCTCTACTAAAAATACAAAAATTAGCTGTGTGTGGTGGTGCGCACCTGTAGCCCCATCTACTTGTGGGGCAGAGGCAGGAGAATTGCTTGAACCTGGGAGGCAGAGGTTGCAGTGAGCCGAGATCGCACCATTGCACTCCAGCCTGGCAACAGAGCGAGATTCCGTCTAAAAAAAGAAAAAAAAATCTTTTAAAATCTCATTACTATATATCAGCTAGGACAATTTGCTGCTACTTCAGAAGTACCAAATAGCAAACCAGAAAGGGATTGATTTAGGAACCAAACCCAGGCTGTTGTGTGGAAAAAAAGACGATAGAACCCTAGCTATGGAACTGCATTGTGGGGTGATAGCCATTGCTCTTTCAGCCAAAAATCGGCCTAGCAAAAATTGGCCTTGTTATGTAAGTGAAGCCCCTTAAGTAGTCAAAATAAAAAATCTTTATTTTTTATTTTTTTTCCTTTTGCTGGTCCTTCTGCTCCCCCCAACACATCACCTTTATTTTTTAATTAATTAATTTATTTATTTATTATTTGGAATTTAGCCACTTCAGAGGCCTTGTTCCCCACAATTTGGAACTTTCCTTCAGATTTGATCAAGTTGGATAGAGTTGGTCAAACCCAGTAAGAAAAAGACCAAAACAATAACAAAAACAGAAACAAACAACAACAACAAAAACAGTTAAGCAAAACAAACAATCACACAACTTATACAATTACTGAATGCCCTACTGGTAAAAAGAAATTAAGACCAGCTGGTTGTTAATCTTAACTTTAGCCAAGACAAACCCCAATTCAGTTACTTACCTGGGATGGATTTCAGGCAGAAGACTGCTATCATCCTAGAAGCAAGGAAAAAACATAAAACTTGCCTTCTTTGTTGGAAGTGAGTTCAAACTCCAGAACGTAATTTTCTGCCTTCCATCATCATGGACGTAGTAAAACTTGCCTTCCTTGTGTTGGAAGCAAGTAAAACTCCAAAAAGTAAGTTGTACAGCAAAATAAACTTCAGATCTTGACCAAATTTTGCAACATCAGGAATTCTCTGGAGGGGGTGCTGCCAGATCTCAGCAAATTGTCTTGTTGGTGTGAGCCATAAAGATAGCTCAAGCTGGTACCAAGCACCAATAGGAGATTTGTCAAAGGTGAGGGGCACCTCCACCAGAACTCTTTTGTGGTTGCCAAAATGTGAACCCCGAATATCTGAGATAGGTCTCAGTCAGTTAAGGAAGTTTATTTTGCCAAAATTAAGGACATGAGCCCTTAACAGGCATGATAAAGCCACAAGAGGTCCTGACAATATGTGTCCAAGGTGTCCGAGCACAGCTTGATTTATACATTTTAGAGAAACACGAGACATCAATCAGTATATGTAAGATGAACATTGGTTTGGTCCAGAAAGGCGGGACAACTCAAAGCAAAGGTGGGACAACTCAAAATGGGGAGGGGTCTTCTGGGACATAGGTAGGTAAGAGACAAATGGTTGCATTCTTTTGAGTTTCTGGTTAGCCTTTCGAAAGAAGGCAATCAGATATGCACTTATCTCAGTGAGCGGAAGGATGACTGAGCAGAATGGGAAGCAGGTTTGCCCTAAACAGTTCCCAGCTTGACTTTTTCCTTTAGATTAGTGATTTTGGGATCCCAAGGTTTATTTTCCTTTCAAACTAATAATGACATATATAATTATTTCAATAATTATTAATAGTTTCTTTTGTTTATTGTTAAATTCAACAATCTAATCATTGTATATTTATTGAATATCTGTTTTGCAATATTTTATAAATTTATAATTTTTATAAATTTTATAATTTTTAAAAGTAAGGAAAATCTAGCTTTGTTTTCAAGGCATCTAATTTCTTTTATAATTTTTATTGTGTATAAATAACATGATAGAGAAGCAAAATATTATGTGGGGTCCAAGGAAAAGTATATCTGTTTGAGGATGCTCAGAATAACTTCATGTAGAAACTTCTGTTCAAACTGTGATATGAACAATGGGTAGCATTCTGAAGACCATACTTGGGAGTGAAATAGTCTCTAGAGATGCTTTTATTATTATTATTATTATACTTTAAGTTTTAGGGTACATGTGCACATTGTGCAGGTTAGTTACATATGTATACATGTGCCATGCTGGTGCGCTGCACTCACTAACTCGTCATCTAGCATTAGGTATATCTCCCGATGCTATCCCTCCCCCCTCCCACCACCCCACAACAGTCCCCAGAGTGTGATATTCCCCTTCCTGTGTCCATGTGATCTCATTGTTCAGTTCCCACCTATGAGTGAGAATATGCGGTGTTTGGTTTTTTGTTCTTGCGATAGTTTACTGAGAATGATGATTTCCAATTTCATCCATGTCCCTACAAAGGAAATGAACTCATCATTTTTTATGGCTGCATAGTATGGAATCATGATGTATATGTGCCACATTTTCTTAATCCAGTCTATCATTGTTGGACATTTGGGTTGGTTCCAAGTCTTTGCTATTGTGAATAATGCCGCAATAAACATACGTGTGCATGTGTCTTTAGAGCAGCATGATTTATAGTCCTTTGGGTATATACCCAGTAATGGGATGGCTGGGTCAAATGGTATTTCCAGTTCTAGATCCCTGAGGAGTCGCCACACTGACTTCCACAATGGTTGAACTAGTTTACAGTCCCACCAACAGTGTAAAAGTGTTCCTATTTCTCCACATCCTCTCCAGCACCTGTTGTTTCCTGACTTTTTAATGATTGCCATTCTAACTGGTGTGAGATGGTATCTCACTGTGGTTTTGATTTGCATTTCTCTGATGGCCAGTGATGATGAACATTTTTTCATGTGTTTTTTGGCTGCATAAATGTCTTCTTTTGAGAAGTGTCTGTTCATGTCCTTCGCCTAACCATGTAGACAAAACTTTGATGTTTGAGATTCCAGGGTGAGTTTAGAATGAGTATATAGTTTGGTTTGACTAAAATATTTAGGGATGAGAGGTAAAAATAGAATAAACATACATACTACAAGTTAAGAATACTTACCTGAAATGCTTGAAAACAGAAGTGTTTCAGATTTTGACTTCTTTCAGATTTTGTAATATTTGTATACACATATATATGTATATGTAATATTTGTGTATGTATATTTGTATAAATATTTGTGTGTGTATAAATATTTGTGTGTGTATATATTGTGTGTATAAATATTTGTGTATAATTGTGTATACTTGTGTATAATTTGTGTATAATTGTGTGTATAAATATTTGTGTGTGTGTATATAAAATGAGGTATCTTTGGGGTGGGACCCAAGTCTAAACACAAAATTCTCTTGTGTTTCCTATACTCCTTACACATATAACCTGAAGATAATTTTATAAAATATTTTAATAATTGTGTGCATGAAATAAAGTTTTGACTGTGTTTTGACTACAACCTGTCACATGAGGTTATGTGTGGAATTTTCGACTTGTGATGTCATGTTTGTGCTCAAAAAGTTTTGGATTTGGGAGCATTTTGAATTTCATATCTTCAGATTAGGAATATGAATACGATAACTTGATTGCCAGGAGAATGTTTTTTCTTAATCCGTTATAAAATTTGGAGTCACTAAAGCATGTTTAAACAAAATGATATATGATCAGAATTTTTAAGTGATTAGAAATAGTTGGATGCATTGTTTAAGTAGAGGTTAATATTTTATTTATTTCCTTAATACATCTGTCATTAGTTTCTTTTGAGAATAGGATCAATGAAGAGGTTGCTGGTATGAGATTATTATAAAGGAACTCTAGATCAGGAAAGTGAAGAAGAAAGTATTTCTGGACTATCGCCACTTCTAAACTTTCATGTACTATGATGTATTTATACCATAGAATAAATAACAGCACATTTTGGTGCTCCGTAAATGGGTCCATATCTCTGTACTTCATAAACTGGTTCATATCTTCATGTTGTAAAAAACCCAATGGCATACTTTCTGAAATAGTTCACCCAAGGGGAAAATAATAGTAATAACGGAAGCAATTGGGTAGAGAACAGGATTTAGGACTTCAAACATATTTAAAGCTCAAATAAATTTATTCATTTTTAGCCTATTTTTGGCTTTAATACATTATATTAAACATTAAATTTAATATTCAGATAAATATATTCTGACCCTAAGGATTTTAATATAAAATGCAGTCCATGTAAATAAATAAAATCTTGCAATTTTTATTTATATGTAGTTCTAAAGCTTATTGTTTTACAGCTTCTTTTACTTCCTGTATTGTAGGTTATAGACAGCTAGTTGATCATTTTGTAGCTTTTACTTTCTTATGGAAAGCAGGATTTTCTGTATATTGCATTGTGAACCCAGAATGTGCTAGTTTATTAATGGAAAGTGCAACTTCCAAGTCTCCATTTATTCAAACACTAAAATTTGAAATAGCAGAGTAATTTTTTAAACATGTAGTCAACAGAATCAGATGCTACCTTTTGGAAAGGGCTGGGTGTGTATGTATCTGTGCATAAATTGACTATGAGCTTGCTTTCAAGTTAACTTTATCATTTAACATTTACTGAAAATACTAGTAATGAAATAAACATAATTTTGAATAAAGAAACATTGAAATTTTCTACAGTCAAGAACAAACATGTTCAGATGACTGTTGTTTAATGGGCCCAGGGGCAGCTTATACACATGACTTGGTGCACTCTGGTGCTTGCCAATAGAAGGTGACCTACAGTCACTTGCTAGTCATCAAAAGAGAGTTTGCTTAGACCTGGATATAGCTGAACACAGTGTGGTCTGGTTTTGAAATAAAGAGGAAGAGCCCTACCTAATTGTATATTTTTTATGACATAAACATAGGAATAAACTTGAATTAGAGAAAAAATATCACAGGCAGCAAACAGAGCTACTAGGACAAGGATTGGAAAAATGCCAGAGCACTATATGGAGATGTTGATTGAATTCATGTGAAGCCCCTCTTACTTGCTAAAGGGTCAGTTACTGAACATCCCTCCAGGTAAAGAAAAGCCAAAAGCCGAGCCAGCTTGTTGTCATCCAATTTGGCAAGAACACCCTGGGTCAGTCACAAGCCAGTCAGTAACTCATGCTCAGGTTCATCTGTTTTTAGTGATATAGTGTCTCACCTAGAAATTTGAAAAAAATGGTGTTTTAAAAGTTATGAGACAAGAAGTAGTATACCAATAACTTTTCTTAATATTAAGCAAACCCATTAAAATTAAATAAACAAAATAAATGTTGTGCATACTCATAAGAAAAATAGCAACTCTTTGTTGAGTGCTAACCAAGCATGCCATTTTAGTTTCTTTACAGTTATTATTATTATAGCTCAACAACAAACCTCAGAATTATGTTCCACTGTTACCCTTAATTTAGATGATGAAACAGAGGTATATAGAGTATGTAGCTCATCCAAAAGCACACTCTACTTAGTGACAGAGTATTCAGACTCTAGCTACTTAATAGCATCTTTCTTTGATAATTTTATGAGTTTATCCATGTAGATGGTGTTTAGCAAGACAAAAACTACTACACTTCAACATTACATGCAATTATCTAGAATCTCAGTTCTTCAAACAAGGGTGACTTTTGTTGTGAAGTCTGGTAGACTCTCATGACTCGTCTTTACACTTTTGGTAACTTCCTTTGATTAGCTGATCCAGAAAATTCTAGTCCAATTCCTTATGAATAATAATGAAAGAGCGTATCCCCTACTGATTACAAAGGTACTATAAGAAAAAATAAAGACAAAACAATACTCATCAGAAAATTGCTATCCTATATATTAAATAATTCAAATCCTAAATTCAAGCATTCAGGAAAGATAATGGCAAGCCATTAGAGAAATTAAATAGAAGATTCTAGAACCCAATAAGGAAAGCAAGTTATTTAAACTACTGAAATTTTCAGGTTTGTTACTGTAGTATACTCTAGTTGATTATGACAGATCCAAAGATTAAAAACAAAATATTAACTATTAGAGACATGAGATGGAGATTCAGCATGCATGTATCACAGAAGGAGAAAACAAACACAGTACTGTTAGAGAAAAAATATTTAAAATGTTTCAGGAAAATATTCTGAAATGAGAAATAAGAAAATGAGGATTGGGTTAAAGATCAAAATAGCCTTGAAAATTTCATCATATCGACATATTCTCGTCGACAAGAACATTCCAAGAATATGCAATTCTTAAATCACTTTTTGATCACTTAAAAAAGTGATAATCTTTTGAAAGACTAGAAAAACAAAATAAAACTTAAGCCACATATAAAGATAAAAAATTCAACTAGTTTTCGATAAAATATTTTAAATGAGATATTCACATTACGTGATTTCTTAATTATCTTTCCACTCTAAAAATACCATCATTCTGTATACATAGGCCATAACCAATAAAAATAATGTCTGCCGTTACTGATATATGCTCTGCCTGAAAATTGTTAAATGGTCTTGGCCTATCAACACATCACTCACAAGGAACACTTAAAAATAAATTTTCATTCTCTTCAGAAGACAAACACAAATCCTGATAAGAGACTCTCACAAAATCAGTCTCAGCCTCCTAGAAACATCTGATTTTGATATTCTTCCTGGGTGGGAAATGACACAGGCAGATTTGTGTTTCATCAGCTTAGAGATAATTGGTCAAATTGCAAGGCCGACTTTATCACTAATGGAATGAGGGGAAAAAGAAAAGCCTCAAAGACAGGACATTAGGAAACATCTAAAGTGAAAAAGAGGGGAAAAAGAAGTCAGTAACGGGCAGAAAAAGACATCAGAAAGTAGGAACATAAAAAAGACAACCAAGAATAAATGATAGTCAATACAGTCCTGTACTGCAATGAACGTTAAGAAAGTTGAAGGCTGCCAGGCGCAGTGGCTCACCCTTGTAATCCCAGCACTTTGAGAGTCCGAGGCAGGTGGATCAATTGAGGTCAGGAGTTCGAGACCTAGTCTGGCCAACATGGTGAACCCCATCTCTACTAAAAATACAAAAAAAAAAAAAAAAATTAGCCAGGTGTGGTGGTGCGTGCCCATAATCCCAGCTACTTGGAGGCTGAGGCAGGAGAATTGCTTGAACCCAGGAGGCAGAGGTTGCAGTGAGCCGAGATTGCACCACTGCACTCAGGCCTGGGTGACAGAGTAAGATTCAGTCTCAAAAAAAAAGAAAAAAAAAAAGTTGAAGGCCAAGTGTATGTGCTTGATTGTTTTCAATTTCATTTAAATAATTTATTATATATTGCTAGGGATTGAATGCTCCCAAAGAGCACAGTCAACGGAACTAAGAGCAGAAAAACAGGGGACATGAGAAACAATGGACAGAAGAGAATTCCAAAGCTTCTAATGTTGTTATTTTCCTTTCTGTTACAAAATGCCCCCAGGCTAGTATGATTTCCAAACTATATTACTACTGTTAACATGATATAATTTTTCAAGTAAAATAATGGAAATATATTAGTTTCCATCTGATTCTAAGAATGCATTGCACTCTCACAATTTGATAAGGTATTTGAGGAACTCATTTCTGCTCTCAAAAAAAATTCTAAAAATAATGCATAGATAAAATTAGGTGTGTTATATATTGAGATCACTATAAAACACTTTTCTTATTGACATTGCTTCATACATGACAGATGTTTTGACAACCACACTTATTATCTCTGTGTGTATTCCTCTCTGCCCTTCCCCTTGCTAACATCTACTGACAAACAGTGATCAGTGTTAGCAAACAGCTTCTCTGGAACTGAGCATCTATCCAGCAAGCCTCCTGCCATCTACAGGCAAAATAAAAATTCCTCATTGCAAAGGTGAAGAATTAAACATTGGTAAGTCTGTTCTGTTGTTCTTACTGAAATTGAAGGGACAGTAATTTAAACTGTAATGATATTTTGCCAGAACAAACTAAGGCCTCATGTACGTGAAAATTAATGGTAAAATACAATCTTCTCTGCTTGCTTGCTAGCAAAGCAAAGCACTGACGTTATTGTGGGGAAAAACTTGCCCTTTGAATTTTTATCATTGTCATGTCACATTTATTAAACACTGATATAATTTTATTGAGCTAGGTCTTCTCCAAGCAAGTTTTACAAGCCCTGACATTTAAGAGCTAGGATTTTAAATCAGCCAATGTTGATAAAGTTGATTGTAAAATGTTGGTACTTATAAAAGAGAAATTAAAATAAAAATTGATGAGGGAAAGGAAGTGATACTGAGGGAAGAATAGAAAAAAAAAATAAACCCAGATGTTTTAGCTCTAGGAGAGATAAAGCTGAGTTAAAACCAGAACTTTGAGTCCAAAAATTACCTAACCCTGGAAGTGTGCCCTTATTTGCTAGGTAATAAAAACAATTTAAAAATAGTAAGAAAAGATTATGAATCCAGGTCAGAATGAAGCAAGGGATGCAAGCCACAGCCATGATCTGATATCAGGTTATGTTGTGAAGAAGTTAAATTTTATAACTATTTGTATGTGGGAATGAGGTTGGAGAAACTCCCAAGACTTATCTGGAATTGTTCTTTGATCATCAGTGTTCAGCGATAAGTATTTTAATTAAAATTTCAATAGATTTTTCTTTGATGAGTATCCAAGCTATTCTCTCAGCAGATAATCTCCCTGAATAATGTGATGGAACAGAAAACAAATGAAAATCTAAAATCAACATAGGCTGTACTACGAATGCACCTAAAGTTACATCCATTGTAGGAATCATGTGTACTTTCACATACTGAATTTTTTACAGAAATTAAGAGGAAAGCAATTAGACACTAACAACTAAGATCTGATGAGTCAAGGAGGAAGTGTATACAGTACACACATTCTTTTTTCTTTCTCACACAATGGGTTCCATTCCCACTACTACTCCATTCAAATTGAAGTGCCTTCAATGATTATTAAAAAACTCTCTTTAAAATAGCTCATGTAACCTTACATCCTTTGACTGAGGCTCAACTCATGTCAATGCTTCAGTATCAACTTTTCCTGCCACTTGCAACATATTTTGTATGTCTGTATACACACATACATACATACATATATTTAGGTGTACATGGTGTAATGAATGTTCTGTCAACCATGTGGAAATAAGAAAAGGACGTCAGTTTGTAACAGTCTTCTGTAAAAACAAAGTATTTGGAAGATATTTCACTGACGTTAAATAAAGTATTCTCGGTTTTAGGACCATTTTCAAATAGCTTCTTTCCTATAAGATGTAGGTATTAAAGATTAAAGGGGTTATGAAATAGGATTATTCTTACTTGAAGAAGGCTGGCTAAATGTTCTAGGAAAACTTCGGAGGCATTATTTAAATGAAGCCACTAGTGTCCACCAGTTAAGTTTTCAGTTTCCAAGCTAGGTTATTATTATTTATTTTTTTTGAGACAGAGTCTCCCTCTGTCACCCAGACTGGAGTGCAGTGCCCTGATCTTGGCTCACTGCCAAGACTGGGTTCAAGTGGGTTCAACTGGGTTCAAGTGGTTCTCCTGCCTCAGCCTCCTGAGTAGCTGTGAATACAGGCACATGCCACCATGCCAGGCAAATTTTTGTATTTTTAGTAGAGACGGAGTTTCACCATGTTGGCCAGGCTAGTCTCAAACTCCTGACCTTGTGATCAGCCCACCTCGGCCTCCCAGAGTTCTGGGATTACAGGTGTGAGCCTCCATGCCCAGCCACAGGGCGTTATTCTTATAGGAACTGACACATATTACCAACATTCACAAAGACTGATTAAAATGCCATAATTTAAATTTTACCTTGTAAATATCAATGCAAATGTCATGATATATGCATCTTTAATTATAGCATTTTTTTGCCACTCTAAGATATCTATCTTGAAAGTTAAGTTTTAATCAATAAGTTGTTGGTAAGTATGAACTCAGAGGGGAGGACTTTTTTATTTTACATATCTCAATGGCAACCAGCTAACTACATACAGAATACCTGCACCTTTACAGTAAGAATATATACCTACTGAGTATCTCCTCTTTTAAAATCTACTGGAGAGGGCATTTTTCTTTTGGATATGTATAAATGTGAAATGAGTAATTTTCCTTCTAATACCTCTCTGCCTTTTACTTTCATGCTGATTATATCTCTTCTTGAAGTTGTCTATTGTAAATTGTTAGATAGAGCCTACTTTCAGGCCAATTGCCTTTTTGCAAATTACCCTTAGTGTATCTATTATTAGGTAAATATTTTATTTTGGCAAACTTACTGCAGATGTTAACTCTTTTATGCTATTAAGATAAAGTCTGAATCAGAAGAGGCAGCAGGGTCCTCCATAATTGTTTCTGAGTTCAATCTCATTAAAATAAACCATTTATTAAAGAATTCTCTGAGCTGGAAGACTTACAAGACAGAATCTTATCCCCTTTGTCATATCTTGTTTTTTAATTTCATCTATAAACTCCACAAGGCTAATGTATTTAAGCTTTCTCCATGAGCAAACTCTTCAAATAAAGCCTCTCAATTGGCACCTGTTGATATGGCAGGAAATGCAATTTTCTTTCTTTTTCACTGTAACCTTTTATAAGGAGGGGTATGTACGTGGCTAGGACTTTTCCACTGGAAGATGTTAATAGACAATCCCTCTGAATTTGATCCATCTTTACCCACACCAGACCGTTTAAGTCTGACACATAGTTGTAATAGTATTAATTTACTATATTTTTAATGTAAAAGAGAGTATACATAAAGACTGAACCTTAAAGGACATACTCTAACAGTAGAGTTAACAAAGTCATTATAAAAATCAAACAGTGGGTGAGAAAAATTGTCAGGACTGGGCTTCTTATTGCTGAGTGAAAGATAGCAAGTTATCAAAGGTGACCCACCATGTGTGACACAGTCTGACAAGAAGAAAGGTCATTTTATGCTGATTATGACTTTTCTATCTGATCTTATGAGACTTCTACTTCTCTTCCTTAAATAGATGGAGAGTGATAGTGAAGAGATGAAAAAGAGAGATACTTTAGTTCTCTTTGGGAACCTTGGAACTGAAGAAGGAATGCAGCGTACTGTTTTCTGAAATCTGATACTAGAAAAGACCTAGAGCGATTTGGTAATGATGGGATTTAGTATGTTCTTGAATTCCCTAACTTATATATTGGTAAGCATGCTATATTCTGTTTTTAAAATTTTATGCTTTCAACCACATTATCTATACTTTTATGTTTGCACAAGGCAATCAGAAAGATATAAATAAAATGTAAAATGATGTGGCTTTTTTAAGAGAAAGCAAAAAAAAGAGAGATTTCCAATAATAAAAAGATGGTAAAGTCAAAATATATTTAGTGCATAAGACAAAGAGGTACACTTAACTCTACTAAATTTGGGGAAATAAACTAATATATTTAAACTGTTTAAAATGGTTTTGCAGGGCTGAAATTTATTTCTAGATTATTTTAAGTAGATTTCCAGATACTTTTTAAATTTAAAAAAATCAGATTCAGATGACAGATTATAGTTCAAATATCTATGAAGAAAACTACATTTGTAGGAATGATTATCATGGATGTTTAGAATAACCAGGTCAAAATTTATTATAAAATAAATGTATGTTTTTACATAACTAAAATTTAATGATATTTATTTTGCTGTAAATGTAATTTAAATTTACTTACTAAAACATCACATAATTTTTTAAAGTATTTATTTTTT
Organism: Homo sapiens; assembly: GCF_000001405.40. NCBI lineage: Eukaryota > Metazoa > Chordata > Mammalia > Primates > Hominidae > Homo > Homo sapiens. The sequence continues at coordinate 23,156,265 of NC_000021.9, forward strand.
ACCATTTTCATAGAGGGTAAGATTTTTTTAACAGATGTCTATAAATACAGATAGAAATCTTTGTATTTTCAAATTTCAGAGTGAAAGGGAGTTCACATTTCTTTTTATTTAAGAGAAAAATTGTGAGTAGTATCTAATCAGGTATGCAATAGTGGAAATATGCCTATAAAGCTCACGTAGTTAATCATTCATTCAATTATTCTCTCTGATTTCATGTGCTCTTATATATACAACATTTTACAAAGCTTGTGGCAGATTAAATAACTTTAAAGATTAAGTATGTTTTATATAAGGTTATCCATCATTCAGAGTACATGTGAAAAAGCTTTTGAAAAAAAAAAAAACCTCAACTACATTAGGCATATTTCACTGACTGATAGCTTTACAGTTAAGATTTGTCAGCATTCCTTTTGTAAATTAAATTAAATTTGATCAAAAGCTCACTCCTCACGTAGCAAACTGTAACCTAACTTGAGGGTATATTTTTATGAAAGTAAGAAAATCTTGGCCAATTACAGTAGCTGAGCTTTCAGCCAGTCACAGACCGCCAACTGCCTAGACATGTCCAAATAAGGAAAACACAAGGTGTAACCAATCAGGCTAATTTGTGTGTCACTTCTATTTTCTGTCTATAAATATTGCTGGCCCAGGTTGCTTGGTGGACCTCATTGAACATTTACTGGTTATAAGTGCTGCCCAATTCATACATGTTTCCTTTGCTCAAATAAACTGCTAAGTTTAATTTGTCAAAAGTTTTTAGTACTGTGAAGCTTTTGTTTTACGCTTGTTAATGTTTTATTTCATATTTTTCTCTTTGTCATGTTTTATTTTATAATTTATTTTTATTATAGTGAAAAAACACATAAAATGAGATCTGATCCCTTAACAAATGTTTAAGTATACTGTACACCATGAGCACATGTGGTGTAGCAGATTTCGAGAACTTTCATGTGTGTAACAGAAACTTTATACCCACAAACCGCAACACCCCCAATTCTCTCTCCCCAACCCCTGGCAAACACGATTCTACTTTATGCTTGTATGAGTTTGTCCATTTTACATACTTCAGTAAAGTGGAATTGTGTAGTAGTTTTTATTCTGCAATTTGGTTATTTCACTTAGAATGACATCTGTAAAACTAACTGATGTTTTCACATATGAAAATATTTCTTTTTTAAGATGGAAAAATATTCTATAATATGTATTTATATTTTCTTTATCCATTTATCAGTTGATTGACATTTGGGTTGCTTCCACATCTTCATTATTGTGAATAATAAATTTTTTTTAAAAAATTATCTATTTCTGAAGTATTAGGACTAAAGTGAGGTTATATCATGGAGATACATTATGGTAAATGGGGACCACATCAGTGGCTAAGATAAAACAGTACAGTCAGGAAGTCACACATAGAGCTGGGCATTTTTTTTTCAGTACGCATACTTTTGTCATGGAAGATTACACTACATTGTGATTCTCATCTGGGGATTATTGTTAAGAAGTGGGGCATTTCACAGGGAAAGCAGAAATAATTCAGTATCAAAGTAAGTTTTGGATTTCACTGCAAATAATAACATAAAATTGAAATAAAATTATTGGCCAACAGGAAATCTATTTCTTAGGATTGCTCCATTCTTAATCATCACCTCTTTATTTCATCGCTTTCTCAGTTCTAACGTGCTTTTTGTTATGTATATATATTTAATTTACCCATTCATCATTTTCTTTTCTGGGCTTGAAATTGTTAAACAGGAACTCAAAAATATTTGATGTGACCTATATCAACTGATAGTTAACACTGGGTTATATACATTTTCTCTTGAAATACAACTGAATAAAGAAAATTCCACAACACATATGAAGAAGTATTGAGGTTCTAAAGAAGAAAATCATTCTGTGGATCTTGAAAAAGTGAACAAATTAAAAGCATTATTACACAATTAATTATCTGCCAATAATAACAGAACATATAGAATATTTCTATGTAAACAATATGACGAAGGAAAAGGAAAATATATAAATGGTATGATGAACATTGGATCTCTAAATTTGTATAAGAGAAATAAGAAGAAGCAGTATGAAGTTATAAAAGATTTCAAATAGAAAAAATCGTATGAGTCTTGTAAAATTAATGATGGTAACAGTGAAAGCACATTAGATAGAGAAGGAAATAAATTCCATTTAGTACAATTTCCACAAATTTCCTGAGAATGTAAATATAAATAAGTGAAATAAAATATGAATAGTGGTTGATTGTTACTGAAGGAACAACATATGTATTTAATATACATCATCTCTATACTACATGACTGAAAGTTGTGAATGGAAATGTCTAATGCTAGAATGTCTCCTAGAGGTTCAAGTGTCAGAATTTGGTTAGATCTTTACTGAACAGTCCACTGTCCTCGTATCTATGTATATTCTGGTTAACCTGGAAAGTGGCAATAATTGGTTTATTTCATTCACATATGCTGAAAGAAAGGGTTATCCTATTGATGTTAACACCAACTAATCTACAAAGAAAGAGAACAAGATAAACAAGAACAAAATTCAAACTCCTCAAATAAATACTTACTAAATGTTATTACAAATAATTGACTATACATTTAGGGAAAAATTTTTACTATGATTTGCTTAATTTTTTGTCCCTTTTGTTTGACATTTATATTATGTACTTTTGAGTAAATTATATGAGTAATTGTTATTCTTATATTTTTAATGAAAAGTCAAATTATAGTTTTCAAACTATATCAGACATAAATATGTTGAATTTTCATAAATCCATTATTTTTTAAGACATGGACATTTACATTTATTTCTATAGAAATATTTTTCCTTTTTTAGTATGTGATTCAACTGTCACTTAACCTCTCTGTCTCCTAGGGACTCCCACTGCTTTGCTGGTTGCTTTACTTCTCAGCCTCCATAACATCATGGACACATGTCATTTTTATCTACCATATATTTATTAATAAGTTATCTACTTATGTCTAACTGTCAGACTATGGGATAATTGCTATTTCTTTTTTTTTTTTTTTTTTTTTTTTCCGAGACGGAGTCTCGCTCTGTCGCCCAGTCTGGAGTGCAGTGGCGCGATCTCGACTCACTGCAAGCTCCGCCTCCCGGGTTCGCGCCATTCTCCTGCCTCAGCCTCCCGAGTAGCTGGGACTACAGATAATTGCTATTTCTTATTAATTTTTGATAATATATGATCCATCACAGTACATCTAGTGACTGTTAAAAATTTGTTTAATGAGTAGGTGTTATCTTCAGAGTGAGGATGAAGGGAAGTATTTAGTTTAAAGCGACTTTTACATCAAAACATTTCAATTACAGCTATAATAATTACAAATTGCGAAATCTTAGGGAAAATACATTATGTTTTTCCTCACTTGCAGACTCTGATAATTATGTTTTCTATGGTATGCTCTTTTGGATGTTTACTTTCTTCGCTGTACTAAATATTCGGGGAAGAAAAATCTTTGTTTATTCCCAAGTGTTAATCTTTTGGGGGCTACCCGATTGTGTTACTTCCATTTCCCTTGCAAGAGATTGACTTAGAATGGAACATGAGATCTCCTCCTGGCAATTAAGGTGCTGGTGGAAATCTGTGAAGAAGGAACTCTGATTTCTATGAACATTTTCGAAGTCTCTGTATGTGGAGTGTAGAAATGGGTTGCCTAGAACTACTGTAGTCATCTTTGGACGATGCAGTGAGGTAGCTGGCATGCAAACCGTTAAACACCATCTTGTTTGAGTAATAAACTGACAGACTATGTTTGCAGTTGGAGTGAATTCTAATTGAATGTTATTATATATTATCTCACACTTTAATTTTTCACTCTTGATTTTTATTTTTCAGCATCTATACTCATATAATGCGGTGTCTAAGCACACATTTTTTAAAATGTATTATGTTTTCTACCTTCTTTACATATTAATGACAAATATTTTGTTTGTATTTCTAGTATGTATTGCTTTAACTTTTTGCTCCCCTCACCCTTTTCTCTCTGTCTCTCTCTCAGGTAACATTAAGCTCTTCTTAGGAAGCATTCTTTTACATCCAATTACTATCTTAAAAAATAACATACTATACTCTTAGTCTTGCTCCTAGTTCTGTTTTTTTCTGTATCTATCTTCATGGAAACATACTAGCAGAGGGGCTAGACAATGCTGGAGAGATTGATTTGAGGTTATTGGCCTTGATCAGTTTCCAGATAAAAAATGCAAACATACTATTTACCAAGCTATGGGAAACCTGCAAAAAGGAAAAGAGAAGTCCTCTGATCACTCAGAAATTAGAGTAATGTGTGGAGTTTATCTTTTGGGGCCGTAATTTCTGTGTGAAGACTGGCTGACTTAAAGGGCCAGGAGTGGGGTGGGCACCAACTAAATCAATTCATTTTGTGAAGATTGTGGAATGTGCATTTACCACTATCACCGTAAATTACTTTTAACAGCATTTGTTTCACCTTACATTACACTTAAGTTATCAATAAATTCCCTCTTCAGGCAATGCTTAGAATTCAAGTATAGTTTTTTCTTGCCAAAATTTATCTAACTAAATGTTTATTCCTAAATAGATTAGTAACAAATAAAAATAAATCAGATAAATAAACTGGACAGTAAGATGTTGAAAGATGAATTGAAAGGTTAATTTTTTGTAGAGTTCTCCTAAAATCTCACTTACAAGAGCTGAAGGAATAAAAAGCAGTCTTCTAATAGCAAAAGCAATTTTATTGTCCTGAGTACCTGCCAAGGACAAAAATGTGTTTCTTGTTTTATTAACATTTGCTTTACAACTACAAAGCAATTGGGATCATAAGCAATACATCTCCCCCTTCTGGTGAGGTGAGTTTTGCTGTGGGTAAGTCAAAGAAAAGCAAGTCTCATTTTTGTAATTTTCAGGAAGATTGATCCATAAAACTAGGAATGAGAAGCAAGAAAATATTGACTGAGACCTGATATCCAGTAAAGCTATGTGGCACAGCCTTGCAGACTCTCGTGGCATATTGAAAAATAGCTCACCTTCTTGGAATTTTTTTTTTTTTTCCCAAAACGTGAAGAGTCACTATATTTGCATTCATCGATCAGCCACACAGCCATCATAATGCAAGTGTTTTGTCATCTTGAATATAATGTACTGGAAGGAAATGAGACAAGGGTAAATGACTTTAATGGTTTTCAACCTTTCACAGGACAGTCTTTACTATCATGGCTACTAGTTTGACAATTTCTATTTAGTCATAACAAAAATGGGATTGTATGTGAAATGTGTTTTTCCATTAATCAATACTACTCAAGCCCTGCTCTTATTTATTATACCAAAAAGTAACTTAAAATTTTAACATATCACTCTTTCTACTTGCTTGATAAATTTCTATTTAGTCATAGCAAAAATGAGATTGTATGTGAAATGTGTTTTTTCATTATACGATACTTCTCATACCCTGCTCTTGTTTATTATAGTAAAATGTAACTTAAAATCTTAAAATATCACTCTTTCTACTTGTTATAAAAATAAACATCACATCATACTCATCCTCTGAAATGTCTTTTACATGTGTCCCTTTCTGTCTAGTCTTGCTGATACTGTATTGGCCTGCACCATTGAATTCATTCTGAGGCCGACTGGAGCACAGGCTTTCCAATGATCCCTTCATAATTGGCTTTTGACTTACCCACTAACTGATTTTTCCTGAAATTTAGGATTTCTTATTGTGTCACTCTGCAGCTTTAAAATATTAATTGACTCTATATAGTAAATATTGCTGAGGTTTGTAATTCTGCCTTTCAAAGCCTTGATAGTTTTTATCACTGTGCTGACTCAATTGTATCACTCCCTAATTTTCTGACTTGCAGTTTTAAGTTACAAACAACTCATTTTAGAGGAAGTAACTCTTGTACACATAAACCACCATAGTTTTTCATATTCTCATGACTTCATTTGATTTCCTGTCTCTTAAAATCCTCCTGTCTTTACTCTTCTTCCAGTCCCCACATCAGTTAAGGATGAACTGAAAGTCAAGCTTTCTTAGGAATCATGCTTTGGAATCTCTTCTGTAAAGCCTCAATAGTGTCTTCTTTCAGCATTGCTCATAGGAGCATAAAGCTCTATTCAGTGGAATGGTTTATTGCATGTGTATTGCTTCCCAGTGGGGTCGTGTGTACAAAAGCCAAGACTGTAGAGTCAGTGTGAGAGAGGACAGGGTACATACATTTCCTCAAGCTTCATGAGGGCAGGGAAATTATATACACATCTTTATTCCCTTCATAGAATTAATGCCAGTAAGGAAACGTATTTTGGGTTGTTTTTATTTGTTTGAAGTAGTGGGATATTTTGGACAAATGCAATTTAAAGAAGATTATGGCAGGAATAAAGCATGTTGACTTTAAGCTGTAACTACTCATTGTTTGTCTGTGCAGTACCTAATGTCATGACTCACATCCCCTCCTCAAGGACTACAGTTTCGTTTACAGCCTAGTGTGACTGCAATGAAATTCAGTCTATGTCAGCGAACCTGTCAAATTCAACATCATGTCCTGTCATTGTCTCCAGAGCAATGAGGTGTTACTGTGATTGATCTGCATAGTTGCCAAATACTTGACATCATTCAGCTATGCCCTGAGCTTTGAATGAGTTCATGGTTATCAAACAACATATATGTATATATATGAAACTATTTAACTGGAAAGTCTTGTGGCATTAATATTACTAAATCCATTGTGATTTGTGCCAAATGTGTTTAAAAAGTGTAATCTGTGATATTGAATGGGATATTTGGGCTTTAAGTTATATTTCAAAATTTTGTATAGCTACAGTGTACTAACTCATCTTTAGGAAACAAAGTTCTATTTTCACTGCCCTATGATAAAACTTTTAAAATTTCATTTCAAATTGTTAAAAAGTGGCAATTATAAAAGCATAAAAGGTTTTACAGAATAATGTGTAATATTAATATTTCTACATACAAATGACTTTTTGGAACATTTTACTCATTCCTAGCTCAAATGCATGAATGATTTTTTGTGAAAAAATTAAAGTCTTGTATTAAAAGAAGCTAGTTTTACTCATTTCATTGTCATTATGTCTAAGGAGAAATAATAATTATTTAAAATAATTTAATTAATTTTTTGTATCACATTTCCTCAAATTTCTGATTTTGTTATTCTACAACAAACCAGTATTTTATGCATCATGAATGAAGGAAACATAGATACTTCCAATAGGATCATGATATAATTTTTTATAATAATTTAATAGTTGCACATTTGGTGAAAAATCCATTTCACTCTTAGAGACTTATAAAATTACATATTACTCTTGAGATGACTAAGAAAGATGTGATGAATGAAGTTATTCAGTTAATGTATTTCTAAAAATCTTTCTGTTGATAATTAAATTCTCTTGAATCAATTTTTGATTGAGTTGATATTTATATTTTTATATACTATTATCTTAAGATATCTTACATTTTAAGAATCAAAATTCTTAAGAGGGCTTAATTACTGACTCTGAGGTTTCTTAATATTGTGACACCTATTTTGCAAGTTTATGTGTATTCAAGCAGACAATATCAATTACATAATGCCTATCAACAGCCACTAAGTGATTGTAAGGTCAATTCTGATTTCATGTATATTGAAATGTGAGAAAAACGTGTAGCCTTAAAGGATGAAATAAAATGTAATAGTGTTTTCCTTCCATTTACGAACAAATTTAATGTAAATAATTTAATTTCAGACAATATTTTGTAAAAATACATTTGTTGAAAAATTGTTTTGGCATTCTTCCCGAATATAACTTTGTCACTGTTTTCTTTTTCAGCCTTCGCTGCAGAGGCAGCTTATTCTTATCAAATACCCCTTAGGTTTTTGTGTAGATGTATTTTACTTAATTTATCTCTTATAATTAACTTGGGGTCACGTGGCTAAGTTCTTGCTAAAAGACTGTGAGCAAAGGGAAGGCATATACCTCTGGGTTAAGGCTGTTAAGATCCAGTGTGCCTCCTACTTCCTTCCCTTTCAATCTCGTGGAGACCTTGGAATCTACACATGGGAAGACAGTAATACAAAGTGTGTAGCCTGGATTCTTCAAGTGCGTGATGCTTGATAAGCTTACCTCGGTAAACAGCTTATTTTTCAAAAGCACTGATTTTGGCATTTTTCTCTGTTTATGCTGATCTAGGTAATGACGCTGATGGCAAATTTCTATATAAGTTGGGTCCTATAGTTTATAAACTGTGAAATTTATCATCATTGAAATATGAGATTTTGGAATTGAACAAAATAATCTCCTTCTGGTAAATACTTAACATATTTGTGAGCTGAGATAATTTTAATTTTGAAGGAAAAGAAATTACCACCAGTTACATAGATGATATTGGGAACCAAGAATGGTTACTCTCCCTGCTGCTGCTATGTAAGCCATACCTTCTGATTCTGCTTCTAAGTCAACAAGTAAAAAACATAAAATAGGCTGGGCACAGGGCTCACGCCTGTAATCCCAGCACTTTGGGAGGCTGAGGCCGGCAGATCACCTGAGGTCAGGAGTTCAAGACCAGCCTGACCAACATGGAGAAACCCTGTCCCTACTAAAAATACAAAATTAGCTGGGTGTGGTGGCACTTGTCTGTAATCCCACCTACTCAGAGGGCTGAGCCAGGAGAATCGCTTGAACCCAGGGGGCAGAGCTTGCAGTGAGCCGTGATGGCACCATTGCACTCCAGCCTGGGCAACAAGAGCGAACCTTCGTCTGAAAAAACAAAACAGAACAAAACAAAACAAAAAATAAATAAAATAATAAATATGATTATTGTAAAAGTTTAAATATGAAACGTTACACTTTGGATAGGTTAGAAGCATCCAAATATATATGACAAATATATTTTGTTTATTATAAGCCCCAAAAGGCTAACAGATAAAGAGTTTAACGGAACAGTACATCATTCCATTTGGTTACTTAAAAGATATAAGTCTTATTTTTCCTTTCTTATAATAACTTCACAATTGATGGCATTACAGGCAAAAATTTTTTTTAAAGAAGTGTAATACAGTCTCACCAGCAGGTTGTCCCTTGCCTCTAGCCTTTCTGTTCTTGCCTCAGTTTGCCTTCTTTGTGTGAAGCCTGAGAGTATGAACAGGTGAATGTCATCCTATGCCAAGGGTTGAGTTGCAGCTCTTAAATCATTCCCTCATATTGAATAAAAAATAAATACACACCTGTCAGATATACACATACACAAACACACACACACACAAAGCTTAAGTGGACGTACAGATTTTAATTGTATCCTCCATGGATTATTTAGGGGACACCTGCATAATTTGAATATTTAGGCCACTTTTAGATGATGCTAATACTTTGAAACTGCTTATCATTCACTTTAAGGACTGTTGTCCATGAGACTTAAAGCATTTAAAACTTTAAATTTATGTCATTGAGCCACTTACAGCACATAGACCATTTATTATAGATTTAATTCACTTTTTGGGAAATTTTGTGATTAATCTGAAATGATAATAAGTTTACAACAGACTTAGAGTGTGATTTATGAAATATTTCTTTCAATATCAACTTTGCTGCATTTTATCAAAAAACATTTGGTCTGGAAGCAATTAAAAATGTAAATGATTATTATAGGCACATAGTGCAGTACTCACTTAAAGAAGGTTACACTTTAGGGCCATTTCTGACTTTTCTTAAGTAAAATAATTTTGCACTTAAAAAACTAAAATCAAATTACCAAGCAGTGTTGGTCGCCATTAATTTTATAGTGTAAAGATTAATTCTCTTTTATCTTATGATTTGTAAGGTGTAATATTAGGAATAAATTGCAATTGCTAATTCGATCTTAGGTTAAATAAAAAGAAAATGGCTTTTTCATGGTGTTCAAGACGAAGCATAAGGTATAGAGAAAAGTGTCACTGAAGATTTCGTACTTTTAAGAAATCGTGTAATTTTCATCGGAATCATCAAGCATCACATTACAAATGACATTTAGCTATCTAGATCAGCTTATAAAATCTTTACTAAAGGAAATTTTGAGATCATTTCGGATAATGTGAAATAAATTATAAATTGAGCTGACAATTTCATTAAAGAGATTGAAAATTTTATATATTTGTTTAATTTTCCATATAATGGCCTTCACTTTTTACACAATAGCTTAGGAATTTAAACAATTTTTAAAGACACCCTATAGTTTGTGAAAATATTTTTAGAACCACTGAACTTCAAGAAATTGTTTTGATGTAATCTCCCACTGTGAGAGCAAAATTCTGTAGCCATATAAACACTGGTATCATAAACAAAAACATTATTATCTTATTGATTAATGAACCTATTAATTTATTCATTTGTTTATTGAGTAAGTACTTTCTATTGTCCACATGACTCAGTACTCAGTTATAAAATCATATCACGTGCATGTCTACTTCTTTCTTATACTGCTGAAATACTTAAAAAATGATATCTTGAAAGCAGATTTTTAAATGATGTCTACTTCCCCTACATTACTGGTAAGAAGTTGAAAATTAACAGAATGCTGCCACGTGATTTCATTTCAACATCCTAGATCTGGGTGCTATTCTTAAATATTTGTCAATTCCAAAAAACTAAGTTTTACATGTCTTTCCAATCACCCAGCTTACACCTAAATTCCCTTCTGTCAAGTATAACCCAGCTATTTTGTAATCCTTTTTTTGTGCTCAAATCTGCTCATTTTTTTCTAAATTCTTTATTTTTGTTTCCACCATTCCAGCAGTCATTTTAACCTCAGTCCCACACTGAGCTTAGATTTCTAACTGTAGTTTGTCTGCTTAGTCTCTCTCATACTTATTTCTTTGATTTATTGTTGATTCTGAGTGCTTCATGTAACTAGTAAAACTTTATATAGCATTTTTATTATTACAAAAATCCATCTATGTTAATTATAGAAAGCTTAGCATATACAGGTGAGACAGTATAAAAATTATCTATCACCTTTGCACTATGTATTCAAGTATTGCTAAACATTTTCTCCACCTCTTGTTCTTTTCATCCATAAATCTACCTCGCTTCTAAATAATCGTATAAAACATTGTAGCATACATTTATATGAGCCTTGTGATTTAATCTAAGTATAAAAATTTATGTTTTATTCAATTTTATGAATATTTATGCTGTAGTTATTTAGTCCTAGTTTTGGGCACTTAGATGACTTCCAAATGTTGAATTTACTAAAAACATGAAGCAATGACAAATGTGCATTTTTATGATTTCCTTCTGATTAAGAGTTAGAAGGATTCTGTATTAAAAGATAGGAACAGTTTTCCTGCATATGGCTAGCCAGTTTTCCCAACATCATTTATTAAATAGGGAATCCTTTCCCCATTGCTTCTTTTTGTCAGATTTGTCAAAGATCAGATGATTGTAGATGTATGGTGTTATTTCTGAGGCCTCTGTTCTGTTCCATTGGTCTGTATGTCTGTTTTGGTACCAGTACCATGCTGTTTTGGTTACTGTAGCCTTGTAGTGTAGTTTGAAGTCAGGTAGTGTGATGCCACCAGCTTTGCTGTTTTGCTTAGGATTGTCTTGGCTATACAGGCTTTTTTTTTTTTTTTGGTTCCATATAAAATTTAAAGTAGTTTTTTGTAATTATATGAAGAAAGTCAATGGTAGCTTGATGGGAATAACATTGAATCTATAAACTACTTTGGGCAATATGACCATTTTCACAATATTTATTCTTCCTATTGGTGAGCATGAAATGTTTTTTTCATTTTTTTGTGTCTCTTATTTCCTTGAGCAGTGGTTTCTTGAAGAAGTCCTTCATATGCCTTGTAAGTTGTATTCCTAGGCATTTTATTCTCTTTGTAACAATTGTGAATGGGAGTGCACTCATGATTTGGCTCTCTGTCTATTATTGGTGTATAGGAATGCTTGTGATTTTTACACATTGATTTTGTATCCTGAGATTTTGTTGAAGTTGCCTTATCAGCTAAAGGAGATTTTGGGCTGAGACGATGGGGTTTTCTAAATATACAACCTTGTCATCTGTAAACAGAGACATTTTTACTTCCTCTTTTCCTATTTGAATACCTTCCTCTTGCATGATTGCCCTGGCCAGAACTTCCAATACTGTGTTGAATAGAAGTGGTAAGAGAGGGCATCCTTGTCTTGTGCTGGTTTTCAAAGGGAATGCTTCCAGCTTTTGTCCATTGAGTATGATATTGGCTGTGGGTTTGCCATAAATAGCTCTTATTATTTTGAGATATGTTCCATCAATACCTAGTTAATTAAGAGTTTTTGGCATGAAGGGGTGTTGAATTTTATCAAAGGCCTTTTCTGCATCTATTGAGATAATCATGTGATTTCTGTCATTGGTTCTGTTTATGTGATGGATTATGTTTATTGATTTGTGTATGCTGAACCAGCCTTGCATCCCAGGATGAAGCTGACTTGATCATGGTGGACCCCTCCCTTACAACTTATACAAAAATTAACTCAAGATGAATTAAAGATTTAAACGTAAGACCTAAAACCATAAAATCCCTAGACGAAAACCCAGGCAATACCATTCAGGACATAGGCATGGGCAAAGGCTTCATGACTAAAACAACAAAAGCAATGGCAACAAAAGCAAACATTGACAAATGGGATCAAATTAAACTAAAGAGCTCCTCCATAGCAAAAGAAACTATCATCAGAGTGAACAGGCAGCCTACAGAATGGGAGAACATTTTTGCAATCTATCCATCTGACAAAGGGCTAATATCAAGAATCTACAAAGAACTTAAACAAATTTACAGGAAACAAACAAACAACCCCATTAAAAAGAGGGTGAAGGATATGAACAGACACTTCTCAAAAGAAGACATTTATGTGGCCAAAAAACATATGAAAAAAAAGCTCATCATCACTGGTCATTAGAGAAATGCCAATCAAAACCACAATGAGCTATCATCTCACACCAGTTAGAATGGCGATCATTAAAAAGTCAGGAAACAACAGATGCTGGAGAGTATGTGGACAAATAGGAACACTTTTACACTGTTGGTGGGAGTGTAAATTAGTTCAACCCTTCTGTAAGATATTGTGTTGATTCCTCAAAGAGCTAGAACCAGAAATATCATTTGACCCAGCAATCCCATTACTGGGTATATACCCAAAGGATTATAAATCATTCTACTATAAAGACACATGCACACATATGTTTAATGCAGCACTATTCACAATAGCAAAGACTTGGGACCAACTCAAATGCCCATCAATGATAGACTGGATATAGAAAATGTGGCACATATATGCCATGGAATACTATGCAGCCTTAAAAAAGGATGAGTTTATGTCCATTGCAGAGACATGGATGAAGCCGGAAACCTTCATTCTCTGCAAAATAACACAGGAACACAAAAGCAAACACCGCATGTTCTCACTCATAAGTGGGAGTTGAACAATGAGAAAACATGGACAGAGGGAGGGGAACATCACACATCAGGGCCTGTTGGGTGGTGAGCAGCTAGGGGAAGGATAGCATTAGGAGAAACACCTAATGTAGATGACAGGTTGATGGGTGCAGCAAACCACGATGGCATGTGTATACCTATGTAACAAACCTGCACGTTCAACACATGTATCCTAGAACTTAAAGTATAATTTAAAAAAAAAAAAGATGTGAACATTTTTGAGAAATTTTTAAACTGCAATTTAACATATGTTTGATATTTGAAAACATAAAAACAAAATAGAGACAGGAAAGTCCAATGAGGGTGAAAATTACCCAGTCACACTTCGCTAGCATAACTACTTTTAACTTTCCTTCTTACGTGTTTTCGGTAATATCTGTATCTAAAACTATACCTTTATGCCTATATACATCTGTAAGAAAGGAAAAAAGAGAATAAAAAAACTCTATCCATGTAGGTATATTTAGATATAGCTTATATATATACATATAAATATATACTTCTATACCTATATCTATTTACCTGTGTCAGTATCTACTTATAGGTACATAAATATATTTCTAAACCTATTTATATATGTACATCTATATGGGTATATAGAGCTTTTTTTCTGTTTGTCTTTCCTCACATCAATCAGGATTTTCCTAATAGTTTTTATATTACTGCTTCAGGTGATATCTTTTAACATTAAAATTACTGATTTAGATTTTTCTACAATACTGTATTTTTACTAATTCAAATGTAGATTTTAAGGTGTCATTACTTTAATTTTCATTTGATTTCAACAAGTATGAATTTGACTACGTTTACTTCCCATTCTATTCAGTTTTATTGCATACTTTTTTTTTTTTTTTTTTTTTTTTTTAGACAGGGTCTGCCTTTGTCACCTAGGCAGGAGTTCAGCAGTGCCATCATTGCTCGCTGCTGCAGCCTTAACCTCTCGAGCTCAAGCTGTCCTCCCACCTCAGCCTCCTGAGTACCTGCAACTACAGGCATGTGCCACCATGGCCAGCATTTTTGCATTTTTTTGTAGATATGGGGGTCTCATTATGTTTCCCCGGCTGGTCTCCAACTCCTGAGCTCAAGCAATCTGCCTGCCGCGACCTCCCAAAGTCCTGGGACTACAGGCATGAGCTACCAGATCCGGACCATACATTGTCTTTTAATGTTGTCTATCCTCTTATATTAGTTTTATGCTGTTACTCTGAAAATGTTATGTTTTAATTTTTAGTTCAATTGTATTTATATATATATATAAAACCGTCATACATATGCTTTGAGAATATGCATTATATATAATATGTAATATGCATTGAGAAGTTTTTTAAATTTTCCGATATTTTATCTTTATTTGCCAGCAAGATTTATTATTAAAAATGTAATTATAGCAACATTTATGTCATTTCTCTACATGTTCAGCATTCTTTTCATCTATTATAAGGAAATAATAAATGCTTGATATGGAATGTTTTATACATAAAATATACAAAGTAATGCTATATTGAGCATCAATTTACCTGTGACTCAACTAAAGAAGGAAAATAGATAATTTTAAGTCAAGTCAATATTTTGTTGTTGGTAGACCTTTTCAATGAGAGTCCTATTTGAACTATTCTTATCTCCCACTCTTCTTTGCAGTAATATTCCCTAAGTAACAGACTTTACTCATTTTTGACTGAGTTGTGATTTTTAAAGAATATATGTTTCAAAAGATCAAATGTGAATTTCTCTTTTACCTTCTCTCTTACCACTTAGTCTATTGACACAGTCTCCTAGATCTGCAACTGCTGTGTTTACGTACAGATTAAGCCCAACATTAGTTAAAATTCCGTTCTATGCTTAGTATTCATCTAATGCACAGATGTTTGTCTTCCCTCTCAGTAAAATATATTTCTCATACAACACTCTTTATTAGTCTTTCTTATTTATCTAGTTGTTTGTTTCTGAGGGTTTTGTATCTAAATAATTTTGGAATGATAATGGTTGTGGAATAATTTTCCCATGTTCTCTGACAGTTTCAGAAAGCAGTAACTGCATAGCAGAGGGCAGAGGGATAGAGCTCCAACTTAGTATTAGAAGTTCATAGGCTTGAGGCCGGGTGTGGTGTCTCATGCCTGTAATCCCAGTACTTTGGGAGGCCGAGGTAAGCACATCACTTCAGGTCAGGAGTTCCAGACCAGTCTGGTCAACATGGCAAAGCCCCATCTTTACTAAAATTACAATAATTAGCTGGGTGTAGTGGCGCACGCCTGTAATCCCAGCTACTTGGGAGGCTGAGGCATGAAAATCGCTTGAACCCCAGAAGTGAAGGTGGCAGTGAGCCGAGATCACACCACTGCACTCCAGCCTGGGTGACAGAGTGAGATTCTGTTTCAAAAGGAAAAAAAATAAAGGAAGTTGATGGGCTTGGATACTAGTCTCTACTGAAATACAAATTATGTCTTTTACCCTGTTTGGAAAAGATTTACTTGGAAGGAAATATCTGGCTAACACATCCTATTAAATCTAGTTTAATAGCTCTTTCTGCCTTTGAAGGAAAGTTGGGAAATGTTGCTATAAAGGCATTTTTTTGTATCTAAATGAATTTTCCAATGCTGTCGTATTGCTGAGAAATTTTGTGTACACAAAAATTTTAAGTAGGAAATTTTTTTTTCAAAAACTAAAGTGATGAAATATACAATAGTATCCTTTTTAGATATCACTCAGCCCCACAACCACTTGTGAGTATAAAACCTTGACTGCGTTAATATGCCCCACAATATCTGAACAATGTCATCTCTGAAATTGAACTGTTGATGCATTGTGATCCATTTACTGCAATATATGGCAATAGCCTTTTGATCCAATATTTGGAATACATTAATTTCCAATATACAAAAAATAGAAATATACAATTATATACAAATATATAAAAATATACAAATATATGCACAAAAAATATACAAATATATACACAAAACATATGCTATATACAAATGTATACAAATATATACACAAAAATATATACAAATACACAAAAATATACAAATATATAAATATACATATATATCAAAATATATACACAAAAATATGCAATAATTTGGAAATAATTGGGCCTATTTCTCTTTGTCTTTATACTGTGCCAAGAGATGCTAATGTCTTAAACTCAGCCTTTTGACAGTGATAATTTAATTTTTAAAGTGTTGCTTTCAAAATCTCCCACCACACTAATTTTGGCCATATCAAATTAAAAACCATCAGACTAGTTTATATTAACAATTCCTAACATTTATATCAATCTGACTATCCAACAGTCAATATCATAACACTTTTACATACATTAAGTAGTTTAAGCTCTTTGAACACCTGTCAAGTTTGGAACTAGTATGGTCTCCAATTTATTTATAAGACACTGAAACACCAAGAAGTCAAATGACCTACCTCATGTCAACAAACCACCAAGTGGCAATACCCAAATCAGAAGCCTGCTTCCAGGTCCTATTTGTCTGATTTCTCTTGTTTATAGCAGAATGCCTGAAACTGGTTATTTATAAAGAAAAGGAATTTATTTCTTACAGTTATGGAGGCTGAGAAGTTCAATGTTGAGGAGCCGTATCAGGTGAGAGTTGGTAGGGACTCTTTGAATAGTCCTAAGGCAGCACAGTCGGCCAGCAGACTGAGGATGCTCGTGGGCTTGCTCCCTTCTGTCATCCGCTTCTCATAAAGACACCAGTTCCACTCCATGATAACCCATTATTCCATGAATCCATGAAGAGATTAATCCATTTGTAAGGGCAGAGCCTCATGATTCAATCACCTCTTAAAGATCCTGCCTTTCAATACTGCCATATATTTTATGATGGCAGTATATATATATATATATATATATAAAATCTAGCATGTTTTGTGTATGTATGTATGTTTTGTGTATATATTTGTATTTTTTATATATTTGTATATTTATATATTTGTATATATATAATCTAGCATATGTTTTGTGTATATATTTGTATATTTTTGTGTATATATTTTAATATATTTGTATATTTATATATTTGTATATTTTTGTGTATTTGTATATATTTTGTATATATATTTGTATACATTTGTATATAGCATATGTTTTGTGTATATATTTGTATATTTTTTGTGCATACATTTGTATATTTTTATATATTTGTATATATGTATATATTTTTGTATATATAATCAATCATGTTTTGTGTATATAGTTGTATATATGTATATATTTTTGTGTATATATTTGTACTTTTATATATTTGTATTTGTATATTTATTTTTGTGTATATATTTGTATATTTTTTGTGTATATATTTGTATATATTGAGTATATATTTTGTATATATCTAGTATACATATATATATATATAAAGTCTGACATATGTTTTGTGATATATTTTGTACTTGCTATTGTTTGAATGTGTCCCCTTCAAAGTTTAGCTGTTGCCAATGTCATAGTATTAAGACCTGGAGCTTTAAGAGGTGATTAAGTCATTAGGGATTCTCCCTCATGTATGGGATTAAGGCTGATGTAAAAGAAGCTTCACACAATACTTGGCTGTTCTTCTGCCGTCTGCCATGTTAGGACACAGCATTTCTCCCCTGCAGAGGATATAACCCTCACCAGACAATCAAGCCCATGAGAATCTTTGTCTTGGACTTCTCAGCCTCCAGAAATATAAGAAAATATATTTCTATTGTTTATAAATTACCAATTTTCAGGTATTTTGTTACAGCAGGACAGAGTAAGCAGAACTTATGTAATATTGGGTTATTCACTCATTGCATAGTTACTGAACATCTACTTTTTTGTGGACACAGTACTAGCTACTGAGGACACTCAGAATTCAAAATAGAAATATCTGCTCTTCTGGGGTTTATATTTTAGGGTATGGGTTATAAAATTATAATTGGTTTATTACTTCAAGAGAAGAAGACATCAATCATAACACATTAAATATCTCCATGAATAATTTCATTTCTATGGAAACTGTTGAGGTTCATCGAATTATTTTGTAACGGTTTGTCAGCTTCTTATAAAGTTTACCATATACATATGATTTGACTCACCAATTCTATTTATTTACCAAAGTGTAATTAAACTTATGTTTACATAACATGGTTTGTAAAAGTTTGTAATTATAATATAATAATTGAATTAACACGCTGAAATTTCTTTCAACTGCTAAATGAATAAACAAACTATGATACATTTAAGCAATGAAATACTACTTAGAAAGAAAAAGAAATGAACAAAGGCAAGCCAAATGACAAAAGCAGGAACATGAACTCTAATGCATAATACTAAGTGAAAGAGGTCAGGCTTCTATATAGTACAATTCTGGTTTTCTTCAGTGTTCCTAAAATATATGTGATAGGAAACATTATTTGTTACAACTGTTGAACTATTTAATATAGTCTGCCCTGCTTAACTATATGTAGATTAAAAATTGTCTTTAATTATCTACATTTGAAATTAATGAGAAAGACAAGTCAACAAGTAATAACCAAAATCGATGTAGTTGGAAATGAGAGCAAAGCTCTGTATCTTTTGCTATTTAATTCCCTGAGTTCTCCATCTGCTTTTTAATACAGTGGCTCTTGATGTATTATGTTTCTTGGACACTTAGTCATAAAAAAATGAGAAAAATTAAATATTGATGTTCACAGTAGGATAGTTGCAATATTTCATAGGCTTTTACCAAATAAGCAATATTTCTGCTTGCCAGGACATTCTCTGTTGATGAAAGATTATTTTTCTTCTCACTTGAAAGGAAATCTGAAAAGTCATTTTAAACTATATTTAGCTATTATGGAACTATTTACTTCTTTTTTTTTCAGAAGCAAACAGATGTGAAATGCAATAGAATTGTTGACAGAATCGGCTTTTCCTGGTGACAAATCTGATGATTTCAGTGTTAAAACAGCCTTGTTTTATGTAGAAACATGGCTATATTCTAATTGAAATGTTTGGAATATTTTATGACTGAAAAACTGTTGACTCCTTGTTTAGTAATAGATTTATCCTTCCACTGTAATGAAAGACTCAGGTGTTATTAAAGTATAGGAATTGACAATCGATCAACAGATAGATAATATATTACATTGCCCCATAACTAATGAATAAAATGTATTATCTCTTATTTAGTGGGAAAATATATATCAATATCTATATTTTTATTTTTAAAACATTTTCCTGTCAACCTCTAAGTAGGTATGCTCTGGAATATAACATTAATGCTTTAGAAACAATTCAACTAAACAATCCAACTCTCTTTTAGATTTTCTACTAAATTCAAGGTCATTTATGACTAAAGTAAATGGATGTAGATCCAAGTACCATCATTTATTTTTTTCACTGGTTGACATACTAAATGTCAAGAGATTCTTCACAGACCAAAAACAAAAAGTAATTTAGAAGGCAAGATTGAAAACAAATAAACAAAAAATAAATTAACAATATTAAAATGAGGAAGTAATATATGTCCTGAGTCAAAAACTATTGGAAATGTTTCAAGGCACTGGAGATTTACCAATGAACAAAACCACATAGTTTTAGAAATGCTCGTTCGGAGAAACTGTGCCTTGTTTTGCACATGACAGGACCATGTGTGGGATTCATCATTTGACCTTGATCCCTGTGAGCTTCCTGACTACTAAGCAAGATGTGATGCATATCTATTTTAAAGAGATAAATAGTGAATATTTATGATATGTATCAAATGATTACAAAAAAGCGAGAGGACTATATCTTAGGAAAATAAAAGGAAACTTCCAAAAATATCAAAGAAAGACACCATGAAATTGTTTTACCTGAGAGAGTCACTGAAGGACAATTGAAATTTTAATAAAAAGGGAAATGTGGAGATATCTAAAATTAGGTAAATTATAATATATTAAGTGTTTGCCATGCAGCAGATATTATTGCAAGCATTTTGTAATCATTATTTCTAACATTATTAAACACATACACTACTATTGCTGCTTTTGTAAAATAAGGCAAAAAAGTAGAGGCCTGGGACTAAATGGCCTATTCTAAGTTAATTGATCTATTAAATACTAGATCCAGGATTAAAACTCAGACTGACACCTGATCTTGCTCTCCAAACAATACTGCTACATTGTATAAATATTGCACTGGGGATAAAAAGATATCATAGTGGTAATAGATAGGTTAAAGGCATATTTTTTACTCTTAAAATTTACATAAAGTAAAAAAGAAAAATAGGGCTAGAAAAACATAATGACATTGGATTATAAACAACCATGGAAGACAAGAAATTTGAATTTAACTCTATATTTAATGAGAAGTCTTTTAATAAATGAATGAATAAATACAAAGTGTACTAATGACTATTAGTCATTCATGTTCCTTCATCTGTTCTTTCACACACTCATTTGTTTACAAAGTTTAAAAAATGGTTTACGGAATGTGTATTCTATACCAGACTCTCAGTTACATATAAGAATCCTGCTCTGAATTAGAGACCTTGGCAGCTGTAAATACTTACTAGAAAGATTTTGAAAGTTTGGCAAAAATTAAAGTTGAACATGAAAGCGACACTTTTGGGTGTGGTATACTGTTATTGTTACAGATTGTTGTAGTATATAAAATTATTTATATCTTAATAAAGAATATATGTATATGAATACATATGTAACAGAAATACACTTAAATTATGTACAATTTTAGGTGAATATGATTATACATTTTATTGCAGACTTAATTTTCTTTTAATATGGAGATAATATAGATAGGTTTCCTCCTGTCTCTGTCTTATCTATATCAGACCGTTATCCCTAAAATGCAACGTCACCTTGGGTTAATAAACTTTTTATTACAATAAATATGTACGGATCTGTCTGCTAGGACTGTCATAACAAAATACTATAGAATGCATGGCTTAAATGACAGAAGTTTATTTCTCAATGTTCTGGAGGCTGCAAGTCTAAGATCAAGGTGTCAACACATTTAGTTTTCCCTCAGGCCTCTCATTTTGACTTGCAGATGGTTTATTTCTTGCTGTCTCCTCACATGGCTTTTTCTCTGTGCACAAGCCTCCACAGTGTCTCTTCCTCTTCTTATCAGGACACCACTCATAATGGATTAGTGTTCCACCTCTATGATTTCAATTAGCCTGGATTACCCCTTTAAAAATAATAACTCCAAATACAGTCTTGTTGAGGATAAGGACTTCAACACATGAGTTTTGTGGGAACACATTTCAATCCATAACAATGTAAAATATGTTCACATTCAAATATAAAGTGTTGACTATTTTTTAAAATAAGCTGTTAGACACAATTATTACATCATGATTTTTTTTCACTTCAAAATACTTTGTATACAACATTAAAAGTCATTTCACATTGATTTAAATTTTTGCAAGGACTACATATATTTCACTGTATGGATATAGTCATGATTTATTCTCCCATCTTCCTAGTAATGAGCATACAATATGTTGGCCATGTTTATGCCACTTCAGCTTTTGTTCAGTAAATATCTTTGCATCCATACTTTTCTGTATTGGAACATTAGATTTTTTGTATTACAAATTCTCAAAGTGCAATCTGTGGATCAAACGCTTGGTGCACTTGGGTTTCAGAAGAAATTGCCAACTTAATTTTCAAAAGGCAGTAAACTTGGCATTTCCAACACATACCAGATAGTAATCCTTTTATCATAGACTCCAAAACAATAGGGCTTATAGGTCTTTATTCTATTTTAAAAATCACTCATGTGTTTGTTACTTCGCTACAAATTTAATTTTATCCTTAATATTAGTAAATTTTAGTATTCTTTATTTGAATTAGCATCGCTGAAAATTGAATTATATACCTTTTGCTAGTGT
This sequence comes from Homo sapiens, assembly GCF_000001405.40. Lineage (NCBI taxonomy): Eukaryota > Metazoa > Chordata > Mammalia > Primates > Hominidae > Homo > Homo sapiens. The sequence continues at coordinate 23,178,569 of NC_000021.9, forward strand.
TTAAATGCTTTCTCTTGTCAATTTATAATAATTATTTGAAGATTATGCACAACTTTATGACTACCACCTGCTTTTAAATTATTTACTGGGATAATATCTCAATTGGTGATATGAGAATGTCAGCTAGTCATTTTCTTTTCTTTCTTTTTTTTTTCAATTCAGGAGGCTATTTCAGGATCAGAGCTTGACATAGGCTGAGGTCTGCTGATGGGAAAAGAAAAAGCAGCAAATTTCTTAGTAGCTGCTTGGGGATAGAATGATTGAGACATCCAGAGACCTCAAATTCATAACTTTTTTATTTTACCCAAATATACATTTGCTAAATTGTGCTGCATAGAAAGATAAAGAGTTAGGCTGTAAAGTTTTCATGCTGGCTCTTAAGAAACCAAAATCTGACAAAGCCAGAAGGCTTAACAAATAAATAAGCAGACCAGAAAATGAAGTCCTGGAGATAGTGGTAGATTAACTCTGAAGTTCCACAACTGCTTCTCACTTGGGAACACTTAGTGATTATGGGTCCAAGTAGAGAATGCAAATCAGGCTTGGCCCTGCTAAAAGTGACAAGGAAATCAGCAGCACACACGTGGAACTGGAGGGAGAAGATAGGAGTCTTGTAAGCCTTAAAGCATAAACAATCTCACCATCAAGACATTTAGCAAATTTTAAAACAGCATGGAATGAAAAATCAAAGACCTCAACAGAAGCACTCTGAAGTATAAAACTGAAACTTCTGGAGTGTATCAGAGCAGTGGAGGCAGAGTGCTGCCCTGTTCCAAATAAAAAACTCCGAATTAATCACCCTAGGAATAGTGGCATTCCACAGGTGGGCTAACTTTTATGGAACTTGCATCCCAGTCACAACTCTGCATAACCTCTGATTGGATTAATTTGGTAATCACACCCTACCACACACATATACACCCCCATCCCTGTCCATCATATACCCCACAAAAGTAAGTTGCAATCCTATTTAATAGAAGATAACTTAAAGGCTTTAATTTTATTTTATACATAATGTCTAACAGAAAAAAGTAAAAATTACTAGACATTTGAAGAGGAAATAATACATGAACAGTAGCTAAAAGAGTAATTAGTCAATAAAAACAGAATTGCAGGTGAACCAGAATTTGCAGCTAGTAGAACATAACATTAAAATAAATATGATATCACTTTTGAGAAAACAGGGAGAAATTTGGACAAAAATACATAAAGCAATGCATAAATTAGCCCCAAATTGGCAATGATGAGTATCAAATGGGGTTTCTAGATATGAAATATATGAAAAAGGACTAAAAATACATATATCCCACTAGGCTTGGTTTATTGTCCTTCGTGATATAGTCTAAAATCTTTTGTTTTCCATTATTTTTTCAAATATTGCTTCTGGATCATTTCTTTCATCTCCTGTTAGGGTCCAGTTAAATATATGTTACACCATTTACAGGTTTTGTATGTACATATTCTTCAGTCCTTTTTTGTCTGCGATTCAATAAATAATTTTATAAACCTGCCTTTCAGGTAATTAATTTTACCTTCCATTATATTTAATCTGTTATTAAACTCTTTTTTTAGTGTGTGATAGGAATACTGTTTTCACTGAAAGTTTACTATGCAATGTATTTTATTTTTTTAGACGAGGAGGAATATCATAAGCAGTTGAGGGACTAGGAAGTGGGGAGATCAGGAAGTAGGTCCTCTAGAGATGAGGAGGCACTCTGCTAGATGGCTTTTAAAATATTTCCTCCAGAGGAATTTGCCTCATTAACAGCATTTTTTGGTCTTAAAAATCAGTCTTTGATTTTATACAATGACAATTTCTGACTCTGTTATAAAGGTATGCTGTCCTAGTTCTTCCGTAAGTTCATCACGTGTTTTCACCATGTTGTCATTAGGCATGTTTTCTGCAGTATTAACATCGTCTTCATTGTTCCTATTATCATAATTACCATGATTCTTAAAAATGTCAGCTAGTTCTCCATTGGTCAATGAACGAACAACTGGAGCCTCAGTATCAACATTAAAAATGTCTTCAATATCAATTTCTTTCAGTTTATCGGATTCTGAAGGTATACTTTTTGTATATTTAAGGAGATAAGACATCTTTTTTTCCTCACTTATCATATAGAATCTTTCAAAGTCACCATCTTGTTCATCAACAACATTAAATTTAGTTACTGGTCAGAGGTGGTGCCAGGAATGCACAACAGTTTCTTTAGTCACTGTCTTCCAAGCACTGGACACATCGTAGATGGTGTTCTTCATGCTAACTTCTTTTGAAAATTGTCCACACCTATGCCTCTATTCACTAACGCTAGCATGCTGTTCAAGAGAGCTTCTTCATATTTGCTGTTTATTAATCTAAATATATCCTAGTCACATGGCTAAATTAATATAGTCACATTTGGGTGAAATTTCATGAACATTTTTGATGAAAAGTTCAGCTGTAGAATGAGCAGAACACTTTTCAAGAAATTAAAAAAAATTACAGTGTCATCTAGTCTGGCTTCCCTGCAGAGAGCAAGGACCTTGCTACAAAATGTTTGTGAAATTAATCAGACAAGTTGTCCCTGGTGATCCATACCTTTTTATTAGCATGATAATTAGCTGATAACAACTTCACTACTTGAAAACAGTGGGGACACAGGCCTTTGTCTATCTCAAGGTTACACTTATGTTTGCCTGCTGCATTAGCACATATCAGCACAGATAGTGTGTCTTTGGCATTTTTAACTTCTGTCAGGGATATCTCACTAGCTGTAATCAGTGTCTTTCTAGAGCAATAACACCAAAACAGTGATGTTCCATCAGTATTGCAACTTTGTTCTAGTATCAGATTTTCATCAGTGATGATCTTATCAAACTCATCAATGAATTTCTTTGTTGCTTCATGATCAACAGATGCTTTATCACTATAAAATTTAAAAAATGTAATATGTCCTTTCTTAAATTTATGTAATTAGCCTATAGAATAAATTTCCCCTCCTTTTTCAGTTTCTTGTGATAGATCTTTGCTGTTTCATGATTAGCATACCATTTGGTGGCATGTATTCACTGTGGTGCTGAAAGATCATCTCTTACAGTACACATTCAAGAGCTTTATTTTTAGTTTTATATAATGTCCTTATAATTTTTGTTAACTTTTGTTCAACACTTTTTACATGGAACACCAACAATTTAAGCTTCTGTTTCTTCAGGTCATATATGGTGCTCCTTCCAACATCATACTTTATTGTAAAACATTTCACACTTACACCACTGACTAGTTTCTTCAACACCTTGACATTCTGTGCTCTAGATAAACATAAATGATTTCTCTTTTTATTATCACTGGTACCCATAGGAGTGTCTGCAGGCCTTTTTGACATTTTCAACAATATTTTTGTATGAGACAACTGAAAATAAACAGAAAAATGCAGGGAGCAATGCACGAAGGTCTTGGCCTTAAGTGGGCCATTGTGATGAAATTGCCCTTGGAGTGTCTGGCCTGCACACATGCCTTTTTAATAGACTTAGTTGGTGTACTTGTGTGCGGGAATCAGAAAAAATATATTGCAGGTCAATGGGGCTGTTAAGAGTCCTTTATCCGTTGGAGACAGTGAATCAATTGTGCACTGTTCATCTGCATTTTGACTGTGATGCATGACGTGTGCTCAGGTGTGAAATTTTCCACATTCAGCATCATATCGGTGCTCAACATTTTTAAAATTTTGAAATATTTTGGATTTCAGATTTTTCAGATTAGGCATGGGCAACCTATACTCTTTTTCAGTTTACAGAATAAACAGAATCAATTTTTTTAAATATAAAATCTGAACACAGTTAACAATATTGATCTGGCATATTTAGAACAACGTGCACAACACAACAATAATTAACAACTTGTTTAAATGCTTATAAGAAATTTACCAAACCTACCCCATGTTGGGCAATAAAGATAATATCAATAAATTTTGAAGACGAAAATTATTGTTTGTTTTGTGACCACAGTAAATTTACTTCAGAAATTGAGAGGCAGATATCCAGACAATTCCCAACAATAATAATAAGCATTGCCTTACAAATAACCCAATGTCAAAGAAAACACCAAAATGGAAGCAATAAAATAATTCTAACTTATCCATAATAAAGATTCAACACATCAAATGTTTTAAAATGCAGAAAATTTAGTAAGAAATTTGTAACCTTAGAGGTATGGATTAGAAAAGAAAACGAATATCTAAAATTTAGTGATTTAATACTTTCTTTCAAGAAATTAAATGTAATAGCACAAATTAAACTTACATAAAGTAAAATAAGATAAATTATACACAAAAACAAAAATTAATAACATACAATAAAACATTAAGAAAGAAAAAATCAAAAAAGCCATATGCTAGATGTTCAGTTTTAACAATAAAAAATACGTATTAAAACTCTAGGGGAAAATGTCCAAGGTTAAAAAGACAACCACAATGACCAATATTAGGAATAAAAATGGGATATCACTGCAGCTATCATAAAAAGTTAAGAAACGCATCTAGTGTTTTCTGCCTCCAGTTGCTGTCAAAGAGCTTCTAACACCTTTGTAATTTTCTAAACTCGAAGGCTGCTAGGAGAATACTTTGTTCTAATATTTGGTCTTTGACCCCAGTTCTAGACACAGAGCTACTGAATCCCTTGGAATTTTGGGGGATGATAGAAATATCTTTTGTTCTAATAACGCAATTCTTGTTGGGCTCCTATAGTGGGCTGTTCATTAGAAAGACCAAGGTATAATTATAAGATTAAAGAGTTCAGCCCCATCCCACTTTGCTAGAGAAAGGAGAGATGCTAGACATGGAGATAATAATCAATCGTGCCTATATGATGAAGTCTCCATAAAAGTCCCTGAACTATGGGATTCAGAGAGCTTCCAGGTTGATGAACGCACTTAAATTCTGGGAGGGTAGTGCACACAAATTCCATTGGTCTCACCACAAAAACTCCTGTGCTGAGACCCTTCCAGACATTGCCCTATATATCTCTTCATGTGGATGTTCACCTGTATTCTCATTATATCTGTTATTAATAAATTGCCAAACATAAGTACGGTGTTTCCCTGAGTTCTCTAAGCAATGCCACCAGATTAATGGAACCCAAGAAGGGGGTTAAGAAAACCCTGATTTGTAGCCAGTTGGTCATAAGTACAGTCATGTGCTATATAATGATTTAGTCAGCAAGAGACCACATATACGATGATGGTCCCATAAGATTATAATGTATTTTTACTACACCTTTTATATATTTAGATACATTTAGAAACACAAGTTCTTACCATTGTGTTTCAATTGCCTACAGTATTGAGTATAGTAATATGCTATGCAGGTTTGTGGTCTAGGAGCAATAGGCTATACTATATGGCCTGGATGTTTAGTAGGCTATACCATCTAGATTAATGTAAGTATAGCACACTCTATAATGGTCATCAAATGACAAGATCACCTAAGGAAAAATTTGTCAGAATGTATCTCTATTGTTTAGCAACACATGACTACATAGGTGACAACCTATTGCAATGAGTATTTGAAGTGGAGGGCAGTCTTTTGGGAGTGGGCCCTTAACGAATATGATCTGATGCTATCTCCAGTAGGTAGTGTGAGAATTGAATTGAATTACAGGACACCCAGCTGGTGTCTTCTGCAGAATGATTGGTGTGTGAGAAAGTACCCCCAAACATCTGGTGTTAGAATTGTGGTGAGGAGAGGTGTGAAAGTGGAAAAACCACTTGTTTTCTCCTATTATAGGCACTAGATAAAAAAGTAACCAAAATCTATTCTTTAAGAGCTTTTACCAATATGTGATCAGATGAAACTTATGAATTTCATTTTGAAAACTCAATAGAGAGGGAAGCAGAGCAAGATGGCCAAATAGAACCCTCCAGCAATCATCGCCCCTACTCTTCAGGAACACTAAACTGAACAACTATCCACACAAGAAACCACCTACATAAGAAACAAAATCAGGTAATAATAGTACCTGGTTTTAACATCATTATCAAAGAAAGAGGTACTGAAGAGAGTAGAAAACACAGTCTTGAATTATCAACACTACCCCTCCCCTATCTCAAGCAGCCACATGGTACAGAGAAAGAACTTTTGTGCTTGGGGGAGGGAGAACACAGGGATTGTAATGTTACATGGGTACTCAATGCTGCCTAACATTGCAGAAAGCAACACAGGGCAGAATTCAGCCAGCACCTATGAAGGGAGCGTTGACCAGTGGGGAACTGTCTATCACAGTGGGAAGAACCTGAGTTCTAGCAAGCCCCTAAACCACCGAATGAAGCACTCTGGGCACCTAAATAAACTTGAAAGTCAGTCTAGGCCACAAGGACTGCAATTCCTGGACAAGTCCTGGTGCTGCGCTGGGCTTGGAGCCAGTGGACTTGGGGTACACACGACCTAGTGAGACACCAGCTGGGGTGGCCTCGGGAATGGTTTATTCCCTCACCCAATCCCTGACAGCAGAGCTCCAAGCTCTGGGACAGACTCTTTCCTTTTACTTGAAGAGAGGAGATGGAAGAGTAAAGAAGACTTTGTCTTGAAAGTTGGATACCAGCTCAGTCAGAATATAGTAAGACACCAGGCAAAATCCTGAGGGCCCCTTCCTAGGCCCTTGCTCCAGGACAACATTTCTAGACCCACCCTGGGCTGGAAGGGAAATCAGTTCACTAAAGAAAAGGACGCAGTTCTGGCAGGATTCATCACCTTCTGTCTAAAAAGCCCTTGGGTCCTGAATAAACATTAGCAATAACCAGGCAGAACTCTACGCAGGCTGAGGGAGAGACCAAGGGCTATGCTGACATCATGTGTGACCCAGCACATTCCCAGTTGTGGTGTCCATGGGAAGAGTCTCCTTCTACCTGAGGAAAGGAAAGAGAAGTGTAAAGGGGACTTTGTCTTGCAGCTTGAGTACCAGCTCAGCTACGGTGGAGTTGGGCACCAAGCAGATTTCTGGGGTCCCTGATTCCAGGCCTTGGCTCCTGGATGGCATGTCTGGACTCACCTTGAGACAGCGAGGAGCCCACTTTCCTGAAGTGAAGAGACCCAAGCATGGCAGCATTTACCACAGACAGACTGCAGAGTCCTCATTCTTTGAGTGAACATTAGTGGTAGCCTGGCAGTATTCTCTGTGGGCCTGGAGTAGTGGTGGCCACAAGAATAGATTCCTCTGCTTGAGAAAAGAACAGAGAAAAGTGGGAAGGTCTTTGTCTTACAGCTTGGGTGTTAGCTCAGTCATAGTATAATGGAGCACCAGGAAGATTCCTGAGGTTCCCAGTTCCAGGTAGTGCCTCCTGGACAGCATGTCTTGTCTCACCCTGGGCCAGGGAGGAGCTTGCCACCCTGAAGGGAAGGAAAAAAACTTACTGGACTCAATATCTGATGACTGAAGCACTCTTAGGCCTTGAGTGAACATTGTTAGTAGGCAGACAATTGTTGCCATGGGCCCAGTGCTATGCTGGTTTCAGGTCTCACCCAGAAGTCCCAGTGATGATGCCCAAAAGGGCGTTTGTGTCACCTGTCCATCAGCTATGGGCAGCTCAACATGGAGAACTATAGGTGCTCTGATTTTCTGGGGGAAAGTAAGGAAGACAAAGTATCTCTGCCTCATAATACAGGGAATTATCTCAGATTTTTCCAAAGACAACCAAGGCAGTACCTCTGAGTTTGTAAGATATAGCATTGCTGGGCTTGTGCGAGCAACTATTTCTGAAGTGACAAAAGACTCAAGTCCTTTTGAACACTTGGAAAGCCTTCCCAGGAAAGATGGGTACAAACAAGCCCAGACTGTGAAGATTACAATAAATACTTGACTCTTCAAGTCTCAGACACTGATAAATATACACAATCACTAAAACCATCCAGGAAAACATGACCTCAAAAATCAAAGTAAATAAGGCACCAGTCACCATTCACAGAGTGACAGTGATATGTGAACTTTCAGACAGAGAATTCAAAAGGGCTGTTTTGAGGAAGCTCAATGAAATTCTAGACAACAGAGAAGGAATTCAGATTCCTATCCAATACATTTAATGAGATTGAAATGATTTTTAAAAATCAAAAGAAATTCAGGATCTGAAAAATACAAAGGACATAATGAAGCATGCAGCACAGTCTCACAAAAGAAAAACTGATCAATCAGAAGAACGAATAAATGAACTTGACCATAAACTGTTTGGAAATACACAGCCAGAAGGTACGAAAAATAGAAAAAAAATGAAGATAACGTACAAGACATAGAAAATAGTCTCAAATAGCACATCTAAGAGTGACTGGCCTTAAAGTGGAGGCAAAGAGAGAGAGATAGGTGTAGGAATTTCGTTCAAAGGGATAATAACAGAGAACTTCCCAAATCTAGAGAAAGATATCAATATTCAAGTACAAGAAGGTTATAGAATACCAAGCAGATTTAACCTAAATAAGATGTCCTCAAGATATTTAATAATCAAACCCCCAAAGTTCAAGGATAAAAAAAAAAGCATCAAGACAAAACAAATAATATACAAAGGCACTCCAATATGTCTGGCAGAAGACTTAGTGGAAACCTTACAGGCCAGGAGAGTGGCAATGCATACTTACAGTGTTGAAGGAAAAATGCTTTTATCCCAGAATAGTGTGTAACCAGTGAAAATATCCCTCAAACATGAAGGAGAAATAAAGACTTTTCCAGACAAACAAAATCTAAGGAATTTGATCAGCATCAGATCTTTCCTACAAAAAATGGTTAAGGAAGTTATTCAGTCTGATAGAAGGATTGTTAATGTGAAATACAAAATCATCTGAAGGCAGAAAGCTCACTGGTAATAGTAAGCACAGAGACAAACAGAATATTGTAACAGTGTAATTGTGCTGTGTAAATGACTTATATTTTGAGTAGAAAGACTAAAAGATGAACCTATCAAAAATAGTAACCATAACAACTTTTCCAGACATAGTATAAAATCTACACATGGAAACAAAAAGTTAAAAAATGAAGCCAATGAAGTTAAACTATAGAGTTTGTGTTGGTTATCTCTTTACTTGTCTGGTTGTTTGTTTGTTTCTGCAGTGTTAAATTGACATCAGTTTAAAATGATGGGTTATATTATTTGCAAGCCTCGTGGCCACCTCAAATCAAGAAACAACAGATATGTAAAAGATAAACAGCAATGCATTAAGTAATACCACTAGAGAAAATCAATTTTACTAAAAGGAAGAAAGAAAAGAAGGAAAATAAGACCAAAAACCAACCAGAAAGCAGAGAATAAAATGGCAGAACTAACTTCTTACTTACCAACATTGAATGGAAATTAATAAAACCCTCCAATCGAAAGATATAGAGTGGCTGAATGGATTTTTTAAAAAGGACCCAAAGATCTGTTGCCTGCAAGAAACACACTTTACCTATAAATATACACATGGATTGAAAATAGGGACATAGAAAAATATATTCCATGCAAATGGACACCAAAAGAGAGCATGAGTACCTACAATTACATCAAGTAAAATAAATATCAAATCAAAAACTCCATGAAGAGATAAAGAAGGTAGTTTTAATGGCAAAGGGTCAATTCAGCAAGAGAATGCAACAATTATAAATATATGCACCCAACAGTGGAGCAGCTAGATATATAAAACAAATATTATTAGTACTAAAAAGAGCGATAGACCTCAAAAAGAATAATAGCTGGAGATTTCAACACCCCACTTTTGGCATCGGACAGATCATCCAGACAGAAAGTCAACTAAGAAACATCAGATTTAATTTGCACTATAAACCAATTGAATATTTATTGATATTTAAAGAACATTTTGTCTAACAGATAAAGAATACAAATTCTTCTCCTCAGCACATGGACCATTCTCAATAATAGGTAATATATTGGGCCCCAAAATAAGTCTTAAATAGTCAAAAAAATGAGATCCTATCAAGTATTTTTTTTCTGACCCCAATGAAATAGAAGAAGAAATCAGTAACAAGAAATTTTGGAAACTTTAAAAACACATGGATATTTTTATAAACAATATGTCCCTTAATGAGAAGTGGGTCACTGAAGAAATTAAGAAAGGAATTAATCAGTTTTTTTAAAAAAACAAATGAAAATGGAAACACAACATACCAAAACCTATGAGATAGAGCTAAAGAAGTACTAAAAATATAACAGTAAACAACTACATCAAAAATGTAGAAAACCTACAAATACACAACCTAATAATACATCTTACGGAATAAAAAAAGAGCAAACCAAAGCTAAATTTAATAGAAGAAAATAAATAATAAATATCAGAGCTGAAATAAATGAAATTAAAAATTTTAAAAATACAAAACATCGACAAAATAAAAGTTGATTTGTTGAAAAGAAAATCAACAAATTTTTAGCCAGATTTACTAAGATATAAAAGAGAGAATAACCAAATAAATAAAACCAGAGATCAAAAAAAGAGATTTTACAATTGATAGTGCAGAAATTCAAAGTAAAAATAAAGTAGTTGCTTAAGTATCATTAATCGTCTGAAATTGTCATTTGCCACAACATGGATAGAACTGGAGGACATTATGTTAAGTGAGATAAACTAGGCACAGAAAGTCAAACATCACATGTTCTCACTTGTTACAGCTAAAAATTAAAACAATTAAACTCTTGGAGATGGAGGAGAATGATGGTCACCAGTGGCTGGAAGTGGTAGAGGGGGAGGATTGGAAATGGATAGTAAACACAAAAATATAGTGAGATAGAATCAGTACGATCTAATATTTAATGGCACAACAGGGTCGTTCCGATTATTATCCTTTAGTTATAACTAACTTTTTAAAACCATTTTAGTTAAAATAACTAAAGGATTATAACTGGAATGATTATAACACAAAGAAAGCATTAATGTTTGAGGTGATGGATACCCCATTACACTGATGTACTTATTACACATTATATGTCTTTATCAAAATATTTCCTGTACTCCATAAATATATACACCTACTATGTACTCATCAAAATTTTTAAAAACTCACTATATATGACAATATTAGAAATAGTAAAATTACTATTAACATACAAATCCTTTATTATAAACCTCCCATATAGAAAAGCAGAGATAGCTTCACTTCTAAATTATTTCAAGTTCTTTTAAGGTGCAAATAACACTAATTTTTCACCATATTTTCTAGAAATTTGATAAACAGGTAAGACTTTCTAACACCTTTTATGATTTATTAATAAAATATTATAAACATTGAAATACCATTCTTAAATAAAATGTTAGCTAAATTAATTTTAAAAATATATAAAAATAATGATAGGTCACAGGCAGTGGATTTATTCTAGCAATAGAAGGATGACTTAATATTAGAAACCACATCAGTATCAGTGCAACTCATCATATCCATATGAAAAAGTTATTTAGTAAAATCTAAGCACACATTTCTGATTTAAAAACAACACTAATCAAAATCAATCTTTTAATAAGCTCATAAAATTTATTTTAAATAAACTCAATTTGATATATGGTATGTCAGTATAAACTACAGACAATTCCACTGTTATTATACATCCAAAGTGTCCATACTGAGATTAGGTTAAAAAACCCAATGCCACCTTTGACTTCTATTTACTAGTTTACTGGAGTTCCTAAAAAAAGAGAAAGAAATAAAAAGCAACATTTTCAGCACTGAAATACAATTTACTTTGTACATTGTACATACATATATGTTTTTTTCAGATGAAAGATTGTAAATATAGGAAAACCAATATAAAAGCACTAGAAAATCAGGAAGTGAATCAGGTGAGTTTGCTGGATATAAAAACTTAATATAAAATTCAGTTGTATTCTGTACACAGCAATAAATAAAAAGTAATAAAAAAGTTTTGAAACCTCCAAAATGACACAAGATGAAGATACTGCCTTACCTGTGTCACATCACAAGAAATAAAGACATCACACACCATAGATTTTGGTAAAATTAATTCAGAAAATACTTTTAATAAACTCCTAATTTCAAATAGGATTTTACATGAAAATATATGACTCATGGGACTCAAAAACTCGACAGTTTGCAAGTGTGTATAGGCTTTTGTTCTCAGACCTCCACTAGGCCTTCCTGAAAGCTTGGATTCAGAGTAATAGACTAGAGAAAGTCTTCCTTAGTGGTTCATACCTATAGGAGAAGAGAAATTCTGCTAGAATTCTCTTCCCCAATAGAAAAAAATATATATTAATCATCTCGGAGTCACAGGATTCATAAATGAACATGTCACTTCAGTCATTTTTGTAACTCATTATAGCATAACATTTGCCCAAATGTCATGTTGAATTATTACCTCAAATGTTGGAGGAGGGTCCTGATAGGAGGTGATTAGATCATGGGGGTGGATTTCCCCCTTGCTGTTCTTGTGTCAGTGAGTTCTCAAGAGCTCTGGTGTTTAAAAGTGTGTAGCACCTCCCTGCTGTCTCTCTTCCTTCTGCTCCAGCCACGTAAGAGGTGCCTGCTTCCCCTTTGCCTTCCACCATGATTGAAAGTTTCCTGAGGCCTTCCCAGAAGCCGTCATGCTTCCTGTACAGCCTATTGAACCCTAAGTCAATTAAATGTCTTTTCTTTATAAATTACCCAGTCTCAGGTATTTCTTTATAGCAGTGAGAGAAATGGACAAATACACCACTATTAAAACTAGGTATTATTATTGATCCATACCTCACACCTAAATTTTTCAGTTCCAATATTAGATTATAACTAATTGTCAGTACATTAATTAAATTTAAGGGTTGTCTGAATCACCTTGAAGAGAGGCTTTAGTTATGTGTTTATGAGTTGAATGACATCTTTCAAAAAATAATAATATTGTCTTCATAAATAGTTACTTAAGCATCATTAATCTTCTGAAATCGTTAGGAATAATGATGGAAGACTACAATTTGCTTCTTAATACTGTTATGTGGAGTTCAAATTAAGTCATAAATCAAGGAATTTCTAATTTGCTCCAGTATTCCAAAGCTCACTTAAACAAATTGTTTTACATACACTCTCTAACATGAAAAATCCCTTAATTTTGTCTTACTATTTACTAGATTTTACTCTAAGAATCCAGTTGATTAGTTCAGTAATTAGCCTAGGATCATTGTATAAAACTAGTCCTACAAGTTTCATGTTTAAAAACCTGTTTATTGAATGTTAACACATTCCATAAGAATAATATCCACTTTTAAAAGATATCTGAATTAAGTTGCATGTTTTCATAGCTTTTATTATATGGACATTTATTAGCCCACAGCACCCTCAAAAGATCTGAACTTCGAAATCTATGCAGACATTTTCACTCTTTCATGCTTAAGGATAAAGTCACACTGTCCTCATTTGGCCACATGTAGTCACTTTTTGAGGGACAATGTGTGGGGGTTGATTTCTACAAAGCAAAATGTAAACATATAATGAAATACATATAAGCCAGATGATGAACAAAACTTCTTACAAATGATAAACAAACAAATGTTTGTTGTAATTCATTTTTTCCCTCAATGACAATTCATTTTCTTTGTTTGCTTGTCGGATTTTTCTGATTCACTTGAACAGCAAGTACTCTCATTTAGAATAATTTTCTCAACATACATATAAACCAATATTTTAATATATATTAACTTAAAAATAGTGTTCTGTTCATGAACACCATACTATATCTGAAGGCTTTTTAATCAGTGCATTTTAAAATTGTGTTGCCATTCTATCCAGTAGGGGACGTGTCTGTAAAAATTTGTTACCAACATTAGGTGCCATGGGCTACCCCTTTAGCCTCAGCAACTCAGAAGGCTGAGGTGGGGGGGCTACTTGGGGCCACGAGTTTGAGACTAGCCTGGGCAACATAAAAAGATTCTTAATTTTTCTAAAAAAATGAAATAACCAGAGCTTTGAAAAAAATATAGTAATTAACCTGATGGTGTAAATTAAACTGTGTGTATTCAAGTCTATGAAGTTCTTTCTATTAAAGCCATTTAAAATGGAGTCATTAAACATCACAGTTTTAACTGCTACATTATTATCTAAGCAATATCTTTTGAACTTACCAAATTAAAGCAAAATAAACATGATATTTTTATAATACTTATTTCCAGGTCCACATTTTCATAGAAAGGTTGAAATTCAGCATTGCCCAAATAATCCTAAAGCCTAAAATGTTAGTCATTAATATCTCACATGAAAGTAGATGAATGAAAAATGTGGTAGAATACTAATTAGCTGTATTGTAATCTCTATCTTAAGTGGATATAGTACTCATTAGATTTCATTTTAAGATGAATTTCTCATGCACAGTCATTAAATCCTATTTTCCTATCCAAGAGACCTTCACTGTCCTGGGGACAGAAGGCAGACGAGTTTTCCTCTGACCCATCTCATTCTGTCTTTGTCTGTGACAAAGAACCAGTGATGAAATGATACAGCCTTCATCAAGGCCAAAAGATAATTACTCACAACATATCCAAGTAGAAAAATTTGCAAAAATAATGCAATGTGTGATGCTTAATACCATGTACAAAAATAAAAAGTGTTTATTGCTTTTCAAAACATATGAAAGAGATGATAATGAGGAGATTCACCAGTGGTTGGGAGAATTCCACAAAACCTGAATGATGGAAAGAGGAGAGGCCTGTCTGAATGCATAAAATAAGCTGACAATTTGGCAGTCTAACAACTAACACAGCCTAATATAGCTTAATATCATGAGTTTGTTCTTTGGGGAAGTTCTATGCTCAGAGTTCAAACACTCAATTGTGATCAGGAGTGAAGGTAGTAACCTCCATCTGTCTCCTCTGCATACTCAAATCAGAATGAATTCAACCCACATTCCTTCCACACCTCACAACAAACTCCAGACAAAACCCTAAAAGTCTGTCCTTACAGTAGCTGTGACATATGAAATTTCCTCTTAGTGTGGATGAGAACTCTCCAGAGTTAAGCTATCTGAATTTTGGCTTTGAGTGTCTAGTGGTCTGACAGCTGGCTCTTTGCTCAGTCAAAGAAAAGGAATTTAGATGTACTTATCAGTATTCCCGATCGAAGACAGAATTATTGGGCAACTAAATCACAATGCACACACATAACACAAATAAAAAAAAAAGGAACTTAGTAGCTTAATAATAGTGATGTGTTTGTATATTTCTCACTAAAATTATAAAATAAAGGACTCTAAAACCATGAAGAAATCCCTGCCTAAATAATAGACTACCTCAATAGAAAAACAGAAAACTCAAGCTATAAAAGAAAAGCTCAAAAATCAAACAAAATAAACCAACAATCACACCAACAAGCCAAGTCAAAGAAAAATAAGCACTAAGGCTACCCTCAAAATAAATAACTGCATGTAAATACAGATATACAAGAAAATAATAAAATAATTATAACAGGGTGTTTTTAAAAGTAAAAAAATGGAAATTTCTTAGCAATATAAAATATATTTAAATAAAATTAATATAATTTGGAAAATTAAAACTGATGAAATACCTGAGAATACAGAGTAAAATAAAGAAAAAAAATATGGGAATACATAATGACTTGGAAGACAAATCTAAAAATTCCATTTACTAGTTACTAGAAATCCAAGAATGAATGAACTAAAATCCAAGAATGAATGAACTAATATTAACAATTAAATTAATGAGTTCTCACAGTTGAAGAAGTTTCTTTATGTTGAAAGAGAATGCAAAGTGCTAAGAACAATGATTCCAAAACAATCTAAACGCAAACATGTGCTCAGAAAGTCTGGAACATTTAGTGATCTGGATGGATGACAAAGTGTAGAAAATGATAGCCTAACACAATTAACATAGCTGAATGCAGCTTAGTGTCATGGATGTATTCTTTGGAGGGTTCTGTGCTCAGAAGTCAGACTCTACTACGGACAGGAGTGAAAGGTAGTAACACTCATCCCTCTACACTCAAGTTACAGTGGGTTTGGTCCGTATCTCCACCACATCTGACACTCAATTCTAGGCAAAACCTTAATAGTTTCCATAAAGTATAAGTGGATTAGATCATATTTAAGATAAAATAATCTAAATTTGGGTGACAAAAACAGCGTGTTGTTCCTCTATAATTGAATGATATTTGGTCTGGAGTCTGACTCATGTTCTGCTACAGCAGATTATAAAGGTAGTATTTCTCAAAATTTATATGTATCTTAATCACCTAGAGAAATTAAAACAGATTTCTGTATTTTGTCCAAGTCAGTAAGTCTAAAATACAGCCCCACAAGCAACAAGCTCCAAAGTGATGATAATGATGGCAGTTTGTGAATTACCCTTTGAAGAAAATGATCCTGGAAGACAATAGGGAAATTATTCAAAATCCTTAGAAAAATGATGTTAAACCTTCAATTATATTCATAATCAAGTGCTTTTATTTCCAGTTATATTCTTTTATTCTTATTTTAATATCTATGTATAACTATGTCTTTCAAAATTTCACTTTCTCATTATCAAAAAGGTATAGAAATCAATTGACATTAGATTATTATTTTTATTACAAGTAGTCTTGTGAAATCCTTTTATTAATTCTATTACTGTATTCTCTAAATGAATGTATAGTTTTCACAGATATCTAAGGATTACTTTTTTTTAATCTGACGTTTTCTTGAAAAGTTGACTTCATCATTTGTTTCACTATAGTAAGCAAAACATGACTTTTAAATGTATGAATTTATTTTTATTTATTTATTTTTGAGATGGAGTTTCGCTCTTTTTGCCCAGGCTGGAGTGGAATGGAGCAATCTCGGCTCACTGCAAACTCTGCCTCCGAGGTTCAAGCAATTTTCCCGCCTCAGCCTCCCAAGTAACTGACATTACAGGCATCCACCACCACACCCGGCTAATTTTGTATTTTTAGTGGAGACGAGGTTTCACCATGTTGGTCAGGCTGGTCTTGAACTCCTGACCTTAGATGATCCACCCTGCCTCAGTCTCCCAAACTGCTGGGATTACAGGCATGAGCCACAGTGCCTGGCCTTAATTTATTTTCAAATAAGGTTAGAGAGGAGGGATGGAATGAGGTGGGAGCAGGGGATGAAATTCTTAGAAGAGACGATTGCTTACAAGAGACAATAAATAGCCAACACACTTTAACCTATTATTGCAATTAAGCCTTTTATTGTATATTTCCAAATATTCTACACTGCTACATATAAATAAAAATATTTGCAAAACCACTAGTTATGTATCAAAATACACAGGTAACTTATGATTTATCATCATATATTTACATAATTTGCATTTATATTTACTACCATAACAGGACAAATTATTGTAAATATTAAATTTTGTGTATATATTTTATCTTAAATTATTCTGATACATTTTCAAGTAAAGTGTGGGTATTAACAAGGTTATTTAAAAATGGCTTGTTCCTGCTGCATGAAGGGTTTGTCTGTCACACACAGCATGTGTCTTTTCATTATGTGGCATTCATTTATATTTCGGGTTTCAATCATCACTATGTTACATGAAAACAAATGTTGAACAAATCCTTTCTGGTGACTCAAAGAAAAGATTAACATTATAATTTTATGGAATCTCTTGAAATCTGTTGACATTACTGATTAAATGGTAATTAAAGTTAGGAATAGTTTGCAAATTTGTATCAATTATAATATTATCTATATTTTTTCCTATCTTTTCTTATGTTTTTTCTCATTCTGTCTCTCCTTTTACTCATCCTTTTTTTTCCTGCTAATCTGCCACATTAATTATTCCTATCTTGGGTTTTATAAAATCTAAATATTGACACCCTATATGGAAAAATCTTGAATAACTGTAACCCAAATCCTAACTCAAAATGTGAATTTATTTAAATATATTGATGGTGACCCTCATAATTTCACAAATAAGCGTTCCTATATGTGTGAATAGCTAGAAGTATTACTTCTAAATTGCTAACAATAAAAGTCTGCCTCAAAGAATAATTACACTAATTATCATACAGACTTACTTTTTATCATTGAAGTCTCCCAAAATATTTTGAAATCTAATAGCATTTCCAGAAACTTCTTTTCTAAAATAATGTACTCAATACAACTATTCTTACAACCTTGAAATCCCATTAATGATATTTTATTTGATTTAAATTTTAGTAATAAAATTTAATTCTGCATGTACCCTGCACCCTAATAGGCGTTTTACACTGAAAATCTTGTATTTATAAGGAGTGCTAGAGTTTAAGGATCTGTTTAACAAGAACATATTTAATGTTCACACTTAAAATTTTATAGATTACATTATATCCTCTCAACATTTATCTTTCCAGACTTAAATGATCTCACTTTTGGTATATCTTACGTGAAAATCTGTGTTTTTTCTCACTTTTTACTGGATTTGCCTCACATACGTCGTACCTCCCTCCCTATAATAAAATACATCATTTACCATTTTAGAAATGCAGTCTTCTTTTCAACAGTGTATACGTAAGAGCTCACATTACATGGCCATTTTATGAGCCTATGAATTTGGATTTTTTTTGCTCTTTGCATGATAACCCTAGAACAGCAGGTTGGTGTTATAGACTATTTTGGAGTTCTGTGCTGTAATTTGAGCAGGACTTAATTACCTTGTTTCACATGGAACCTCTATAATAAACCCATCAGACTGTAGTAACTGAGACTTACTGAAGAATTCTTTTGGCCTTCTATAGATTATTGAGGTCAAAGTTGCCCACGGCTCACATTTATTTAGGATTTTATTGAGAAGACTAATTTCCTTCTATAGAGAAAGAAATTAAATAATATATGGTCATATGAGAGAAAGAAAAATGTTTCTAAATTTGTCATTGACTATTTCTACTTACTACTCAGCACAGACCTTATAATCTATCACTGAAATGCGTCACAAATAGTTCACAAAACTCCATGGATTCTTCTGTGCTTAATCGATGCGTCACCTTTAGGCTTTAGTTAAAATGATATTTTATTTCTGAAAATCTTTATAACAATATACCTGGTCATTCTTATAAAGAAAAAAAGGCATTTTATTCACAATTTTGATAAAATTTATTATTTTTCTTTTTAGAAAACAAGAGGACAAAAATTAAAAGTAGGGACTAACGTGGCTATGGAATTTATACACAATTTCATGAACCCCATCATAGGGCTCTTTTTAAAGGAGATTTAAATCTAGATGTGGGTCGAGACTTCAAACATTTAGCAAGGCAGACAAGCGTGAATTGTTTTGATTCTTCTGCGAAACATTGCAGAAACTGGTGTGATCTGTTCCCCAGTGTGTTCCCACAAAGTCACCAATATTCAGAGGCTCTGATTCCATTAGACAACAAGCAATGCTCACAGAAATAGAACTTATGCCTTGTCTGACTGCTCAAGCACATGGCCGCAAACCTTACTGAAGTCAGCCTTGTCTTGTGATTGGGTTTCTAACTTCATTCCAAGCTCTCACAGAGAGTAGAATATTAAAGATGAAAGATTAAAGTTGCACGGTAGAATTCTTTTCAATATAATAAACATTAAAAAGTGGTAATTTACAAATGAAAAAGCTTCCATGTCTATTGGAAGCATAGTTTACAATTCAAGCACATACAGATTGAGCACATCTAATGTGAAAACCTGAAATCCAAAACTCTCCAAAATCCAAAATACTGAGTGTCAACATGATGCCACAAGTGGGAAGTTCCACAAATAAATATTTAATACAAATTTGCTTCATGCACAAAATTATTAAAATGTTGTGTAAAATTAGCTTTGTGCTATGTGAATAAAGTGTATATGAAAAATAACTTAATTTCATGTTTAACCTTGGGTCCTATCCCTAAAATTACTTATGTATATGCAAATATTCCAAAATTCAAAAAAATCCAAAACACTTCTGGTCTAAAGCATTTTGCATAAGCAATACTCAACACGTACATCTGTTTTATGTAGAAAGATGATGAATATCTGCCTATCTTCATTCAAACCTCTCATTTCCAATCCAATGTTCATTTATTTATTCAAATTCAAAGTATATACATATGCAGGCTTTTTTTTACCTCATAATGATGTATACATATCAGAGCATATATAACTCATTGATTAATATAGCATACTTTAATTAATAAGACAAAGCCTAATTTACTTGATATATTAGATTATATGCAATATGCGTTAGTGTGTGTGTGTGTGTGTGTGTGTGTGTGTGTGTGCAGTTTTTGTGTGTGTGTGAAATAGAGAAATGAGAGACAAAGGAAAATACAAAGAGGCAACCCAAAGAAATCAAAGAAACAGAAAAACAAAAAGATGATTGAAAAGATTAAGGACTGCATTTGGGATATTAATAAGACTTTTATTGTAACTAGTGTCATTGTAAATATTTTTCTGTTATCAATTTAATTTTCATGGAATAACAACAACAACAAAACCCTAAAATAAGGTTTTTATTTTAGGCCTTCCTGCCTTCTTCCTTCCTTTGCTGCTTGCCTGCCTTCTTCCTTTTGTGATTTTTTAAGTTTCTTTAAAAATTCCATTAGGTAGGCCTATTCACAACTACTTACTTTTGACCTGCTTTAATACATTAAAATACAACTTTATATAATTTATGAAAATATATTCTTACATATTTCATACAAGACTTATTCTTACTATCAAGTTATTTTAGGTTGACAATATATCACTTTAACTAAGTAGAGTCTACCTTCAAATATCATTGTACCACTTTGCGTGCAGCTTAAGGAGATTACAACAGTGCATTATCAACCGCTTCACTCTCTTATTTGTATTATTTTGCCACACTTTTTATATAAACTATAAATACGTGATGCATTGTTACTAGCTTTACCTTAGCTAGTCAGTTTTCTTAAGAGCAATAGAAAATAAGAAAGCGTAATTTTCTCTTAATTTGTTCATTTTCTGAGGCTCTTTCTTTGTGTAGAGTCTAGTTTCTATTTAGTATTATTTTTCTTCTTCAGGAAGTTCCTTTAATATTCCTTGTAGAGTACATCTGCTGGCTGTTTGGTTCCTCATTTTTTGCTTGTTTGAAGAAATGGTTTTTCTCTTTCATTTTTGAAATATCTTTTTATTATCTATAGAGATGAGTTGATAGCTTTCGTTGTTATTTTGCTTTGCCTTTCAGCACCTTAAAGAACTATTTCCATTATCTTTTAACTGGCATGATTCTTGACAAGAAGTGTTTTGTAATTTTATCTTTGTTCCTTCGTATATATCCTTTCTTCTATCTTCAAGGTATCTTTTGTTATTTTTTTCCATTAGTTTGAATAAGATATGCCTAGATGCTGTTTTGTTATTGTTTGTTTTATTGTCATTTGTGTTTTAATCTTTTTCCTATTTAGTGTTTCTAAGTATCTCGGATATGTGATTGGCTCTCATTTTACTTTGAAAATGCCTAGACCATCATTTATTTAAATATATTACTTCTTCCTTGTTCTCTTTTCTCTTTCTGAAATTCCAATTACACATATATTAGGTCAATCGATACAGCCTGACAGTACTCAGATGCTTTTTATTTTCTTCTTTTTTCTCACATTCAGTTTTATTGCTTTCTATGGATTCATCTTCAAGTTCATGATTATTTTCTCAGCTGTGAGAGGTCCGTGAATGGCATGCTTCACTGTTTTCACTGTTTTTATTTCCTAGCATTTCCAATTCTTTCTGATAGTTTCTTTACTACCTCCCTGATGAAACTGCCCATGTAATTTTATGTTTCCACTAGAGTTTTGACATAATCAATCACAGTTATTTTGCTTATACAGTGTTGGTGAGAATGTAAATTAGCTAAACCACTGTGGAAAGCAGTTCAGAGGTTTCCCAAAGAACTTAGAACTACCATTGGACCCAGCTATCTCGTTACTGAGTATATACCCAAAATAAAATAAATCATTCTGCCAAAACACACATGTGCTCGGATGTTCATCACAGCACTATTCACAATAGCAAAGATATAGAATCATCCTACGTACCCAACAATGGCGGACTGTATAAAGAAAATGTGGTACATATAGCCCGCAGGATACTATACAGCCAAAAAGCATGATCATGTCCTTCGTGGCAATATGGACACTGCTGGAGGTCATTATCCTAAGATCAACACATGAACAGAAAACCAAATATCACATGTTTTCACTTGTACGTGGAAGTTAAACATTGGGTAGAAATAGACAAAAAGATGGCCACAATAGACAGTGGGGGCTACTAGAGGCAGGAGGAAGGGAGGAAGGCAGGGGTTTAAAAACTAACTATTGGATACTATGCTCACTATCTGGGTGATGAGATCAATCACATCCCAAACCTCAGCATCGTGCAATATACACATATAGCAAACCTGTACACGTACCACCCGAATCTAAAAATAAGATGAAATTACTTTAAAAAGTTTAAAAATAGCCAGGCACGGTGGCCCATGCATGTAATTCTAATTACTCAGGAGGCTGAAATGGGAGGATCACTTGAACCCAGGAGATTGAGGCTGCGCTAAGCTAGGATCATGCAACTCCACCCCAGCCTGGGTGACAGACAGACCCGCCTGTCTCTAATAAATAAATAAATAAAATCCCAGTTATTTCAAATTTATTGTCAAATAGTTACTAGATGTGTGTCATTTCTGAGTCTGTTTCTGGTGATTGCTTTGCTTCTTGGCAACTTTTTAAAAAATATTTCCTTGTGTTTTTGTATGTGTCGTAATTTTTGTTTGAAAGTCAGATATGGTGTGCAAGACAGTAGAAAATGAGAAAAAGAAAGGCAGTAAGCACATTTTTTTAAATTTTAAGCCTTTATTGTGAGAATTAGTACGGGTTAAACCATTGGGATTTAGACTAGATTTTGTTTGTCTGTCTGTTTGTTTTGCTCTGGTTATCCTCAGAGCAACATAGACTACAAATTCTCCTATTTCAGTGTTTCCTAGCCTTGGTGCCATTTACATTTTGTATTAGATAATCCACATTTTTATGGGGAGATTTCCTGTATGTTTTAAGATGTTTAACAGCATTTCTGGTTTCTATATGTTAGATGCAAGTCATAAGAAAAAAAATCATTTGGAGATACTGTCAAATGTCTCCTGGGAGAGGAAAAGGTGACCTGCTGGTAAGAACCATTGCTCTTGCTGTAACCTTATATTTAGATGAAAGGTGGTTTTCCAGAGGGTGTTTGTAAATGTTTGCACCACACTCAGCTCAGATTGTTCCTTTTATGCTGTGCCACAGAATGGGTATCATTTCATACACTTATCTCTCTCCTGCCCATCTCCCTTAGGTATTTTGCTATTACTTTTTACTTGATGCTGGTTAGTCCGCTGGTGAGGGGAGCAGTTGACAGATGTTTCTTTGCTGCTCAGATTAAACTTCAATGTTAGGCTGGCTCGTGCCCTGAGTGTTGAGGGCATGGCTTCCTCAGTGCTCCTGCGCCTCCATTGTTCTGAGCCAAGCACATATTTCTGCCCTTTCCTGTGGGTATGTGCTTTTTCCTCCTCCAGTTCTCTTTTGCCAAGTTCAGTGGCTTTTCACCAAGGTCATAATTTAAACATTATTTGTTGTCCTTTATTCACAAATGAACAGCAGCAACAAAAACTGTAAGTTGGAATAGAATCCCTCAATACCAGCATCCTACAGGAGTTACACACTTCCTGCCAGTCCACATTTTCCTCCACCTGTTCATTAAAACATCCTCATTGAATTATTTTAACTGCCTATAGTTGTGTGTCCTCTGTGTACCGCATGCAAGCCAGTGCTTATGTCTCACGTCTCTCCACAAGTACATCTTCCCCTATTATTGAGTCATTATTTATTCTTATTTTTTTTGCCTTGCAAGCTCACTTGGTCTAATAGGATCAAGAAAAGTCATAAATCTGCAGTCGGCCAGGATGCTTTTTATTGTATGGATAGGAGGAATACTCTTACCTGCTGTTTACACCCTTAGAAGAAACTTGAAGTGTGTCCAATGACTAACAAAGAATCATGATTGGAAGGTGGTAGTGGCTCATTCCTGTAATTCCAGTACTTTGGGAGGCAGAGACAGGAGGATTGCTTGAGCCCAGGAGTTCCAGACCAGCTTAGGGCCACATAACGATACGCCATCTCCACATAAAAGAAAACCAAAAAAGTTTTCTGTGTTGTTATTTAATGAAAGTCAGTTGAATAATGATGGTTTTACCAGCAGGATTTTGAGACCAAGTTTAAAAATTAACTGTGTAATCTTGGGTATTTGACTTTACCCAAACAAATTCAAATATATTTGAATTTGCTCATCTGCAAAATGAGGAAAAATATCATGGGTGCCTGTAAAAAGTTTAGAAACTTCAGAAAGGTTTTTAACCCATAGTAAGTCCCCAATAAATATAGATTAATATTGTCAGTCATTATTATCTAGGCTGACCACATGATATCAGACATGTAACCTTACTTAGGCTCTTCTAGTTACACATATTGCTTATGAGTTTTTTCAGAAATCAATTCATGTACACATATAACACTGTCAGTAAAATTTCCACAGACCTAGGTAATCTTATTTAAAAATTAAGTCATCAGCTTTTTTATTCACTTTTTTCTTTTCTTTATGCCAAGTACATACCCTCTTCTCTCCTCCAAACTATTCTAGAGAAAAAAATAAAGTGATAAAGTGGATTCTTGTACAAAAAGACTTACCTTAAACTGTGTCTTTTTACTCTTTTAATATTTAAATGTTACTAAAAATCTTTGAAAGTATATGAAAACATTTTTGAAAAGCTCTTTTTGCATAATAAATATTAGTCATCAACATGCTAAGTATTTTTTTCTTGACAAAAATTATTTAAGAGCAGAATAATTTTTGTATAGATTTGGAACTCATCTTGCTAATGAAGATTTTTATAATTTATGTCATTTGGCTCATATTAAACAATCTTTTGGTACTTAGTAAAAGTTAAGAATTAGAAGTGGATTCATTTATTTTAAATTTATGTGGTCACTAGCAGCTACTGTGTACATACTGCAAAATGCATGTAACTTGATTGCATAAAATGAATTTATGAAAAATTGTTGGTTCCCAAGGATTTCTTTAATGTGTTACATTAAATGCAAAAAGTTATAACATGATTGCTTTTTATTTTTTGCATTTTTTTTACATTGGTGTGCATTATTATTATTATTTATTTATTTATTTATTTATTTATTTTTTTAGACGGAGTCTCACTCTGTCGCCCAGGCTGGAGTGCAATAGTGCGGTCTTGGCTCACTGCAACCTCTGCCCCCCGGATTCAAGCGATTGTCCTTTCCTGCCTCAGCCTCCCCAGTAACTGGGATTACAGGCGCCCGCCACCATGACTGGCTAATTTTTGTATTTTTAGTAGAGACGGGGTTTCACCATGTTGGCCAGGCTGGTCTCGAACTGCTGGCCTCATGATCTGCCCGCCTAGGCCTTCCAGAGTGCTGGAATTACAGGCGTGAGCCACCACACCTGGCCACTTGTTTTATTGCATAGTTATCTAGATGGTGAATTAAGGAAAAATGATACATTAAAATCATAGTATAATCTCCAAACCTTTGATGGTATTTACCTACAAGTAAAATCAAGAGTAACCCAAACACTAAAATGAAAACTTGGCACTGTATTTTTGTTACTATTTCCAATATTGCTCGTAGTTTGAAATAAAAACTTTATTATAATTTATACATTTAGTCTGTGACCTTCAATTAATTATAATTTTCAACTAGTGTTACCTAGTTCCACAAAGCTGCATTTATGAAGTTTTCAGAATAAACACAATTTATTTTGCATGTAAATATAAAGTTGTAAATGCAGATTAGTAACATTTTTAAGATATATTATGAAACAGGTACAATTTAGACAATTCAAGGTGGAGGAATTATTTAAAATTTAAAACGAGAAACAGATGGTACTTAGTTATATTTGATAGATCCTTTAAATTTCATCAGTATATATATATATATATATATATATATATATATATATATATATATATATATATATATATATATATATATATATATATATACACAAACAAAAAGAGCAAGATGCTACATAGCTACATCATATCAGTTTTTAAAAACTCAGTTTTCTATTACAAATTTAACAGCTAAATTGGGTATTAAACACACTGTCAGAGTCAGACATAACTTTCTCTGGTTTTAATATAATGTATTAGCCACGATTTATAGGCCATTAAAAGCATTTTGAAGTTGCTGAAAACAATATACTGTTTCCACCATGTATTTTATTAGAGCTACAAGATAATAGGTTTCTTATGACAATAATAGTCATAATAAAATACAATGAAAAAAGTTTATGGCTTTCATTGAAAAAAAAGTAGATTTAAATAAGAACAGTATCTTTATATCCATAGTTCAATAATTTTTCTGAAACCTACTGCACAGACCTGTAAATGTTATTATTTTATTTTATTTTATTTTTGGAGATGGAGTCTCACTCTGTTGCCCAGGCTGGAGTGTAGTGGTGCAATGGTGCAATCTCAGCTCACTGCAGCCTACACCTCCTGGGTTGAAGTGATTCTTCTGCCTCAGCCTCCTGAGCAGCTGGGACTACAGGCGCAAGCCACCATACCCAGCTATATTTTTTAATTTTTTAATTTTTATTTTTAGTAGAGACAGGGTTTCACCATGTTGGCCAGGCTAGTCTCGAACTCCTGACCTCAGATGATCAGCTCACCTCGGCCTCCCAAAGTGCTGGCATTACAGGTGTGAGCCACCATGCCCGGCGTGAATATTATCTTATATAAAATAATACACTGGATTTTCCTATGTGCATTTTGATGTTTTTGTTCTAGTAAATAAAGGAAAACCATCCACTACATCATCATAAAGAAGAATTCTTTCAGTTTTGCTTGAGTGCAGGTGGTATAGCCTTCTGCTGACTTTTAATCATCCATAAAAATATTTATAAATAAAATATGTTTTTCCAAGCTTCGGGCCATTGAAGTCATTATATTCATAAATAAAACAAGAGCTTATGCATAGTTATCCAGTACAGAAGACAAGAAATGACTTTCCATCCTAATATTAATTAGCAAATATTTGTTTAAATTACAATTAATAAATTATAAACCTATCATATTTACAAATATTTTGAACATATTAATTATTTATTTTATTGTGAGCAGTAGTACCTTAATCCTGAATTGCTCTAAGTTCATTCTTGTGACTATTTATATAAACTTTTTCAAAATTCCCATAATTTATCTTTCTAATTAAAATATAGTTTACTCTAAAGTAGTCCTATCTGAAAAATACATTATTATAATGTTAATATTATGTAATATTATTTGCAAAAAATACATAAGTTATATATATTCATGAGGTTCCTAGATACTGAATTTAAAAGAATGATTAAAGGGCATTCCACAAATATCTTCTTTAATTTGTGATTGTGAATTTCCATTTGAAACAACAAATTAGAAAAATAAATTAAGCATCATAAATATCATGTCGGAGAAATTGTTCTCTGTAATAATAATTACATGTATTATAAAAATCATAACTGTAATAAACAGTATAATGAAAGGAAAGACTATTTCTCTAATTTTCAAAAATGAAATATTGAACTAATGAATAGATTCTTAAGATAAGTCTTGTTATTACTGGAGAGATCTTATAATTTTTTTCAAATTATTCATTACCTAAGGAAATCATGTTTTTTCTTAGTCTACCTATAGTTTTTGATGAAATGATTAATAATCAAAGGTGCTTATTTCTCACTGAAGCGAGCAACTCAGTGTTGTTCTAGAGTGTTGTGGGAAAAGTGATTTTCTTTTGTTGTATTTCTCGATAGAAAAATTTTGCTATGATATTTCTACTGTAGCTTATTTAATTTTTTTCCAATGTTGTGAAGCTATGGCTCAGGCCAATGGGTGAAGAAAGATATATAGGACTATAATCGTTTTGACAACTCCATATGACTGTGAGCCTTTTGATAAGGCTAGTCATCATCTGACCACTTAGAATTGAATAAAATTTTGAGGAACAAGGTTTTTAGTACAATGATGTATTACTTTCTTCATATATCCACAGTATTTTTACCTAACAGATTCATGGAAGAATGATGATGTATGCCAGAACACCAGATTTGATCAATCTTTGAGATTAGGTAATAATAAGACCCTTAACCTAACTTTACTCAATTATTTTGCTGTTTCCTTTTAGAATTAGTTTGATAAAAATTGTGGAATATTTTTATCTCTATTAAAATAAACTAATAACATATCTTAATCCATTTGTGCTACTACAACAAAATACCAGAGATTGGGTAATTTAGAAAAAACATAAGTTTATTTTCTCAGTCTGGAGGCTGGGAAGTTCAAGATCTAAGTGCTGTTAACTTGTGTCTGGTGAGGGCCTTCTTGCTGCCTCCTTCCATGGTGGAAGGCAAAAAGGCGAGTAGATGAACTCCCTTCATCAAGCTCTTTCATAAGGGTACCCAATCCCATTCATGAAGGGATTGGGCCTAATCATGGTAATTAGCTGATCATGACCTAATTGCTACTTAAAGTCTCCACCTCTTATACTGTCACATTGGCAACACTTGAATTTTGGAGGGAACACATTCAGACCATATCCAGCAGATAAAAAAGTGAAAATAAAACACAGACAGAACATATAACAAAGCTCCCATCCCACATGAATTAGTACCGTGAGAATTTATCTTATATAATTAACATAGCACTTACCTAGAATATATGAATCCTCGAACTTATGTGTTAATTCTTGATCTCAATGCTAAGGCTTGAATCTTCAATTCATGTGACTGTTTGATTAATCCTCATGAATACTTGACCGTTTTTACAAAATCAATATTTTGACTTTTTGTATCACGTGTGTTCTATTCCTTTCTGAAATTTCTTAACACAGCTGACAAACACAGGTACAAAGATTTATAGCTTGGGTTCTGAACTGAGCTACTTTGATATGAATCTAAAAAGACATGCCATATTAAAATATGCCTTTAGTCTACAGCCAATTAAAGAAATTAGTGTTAAAAGAAGAAATCTGGGTGATTCTGAGATTTAGTTTATAATCTGGGAGGAGTGCAAATATTATTAATATTATAAATTAGTAGTATGAACCATAATAATAAAAATAATAAAGCTTCTCATGTAAACTCCCCAAATATAATAATTGTTTTATAGGTATCTGACTCAGGGCAGAAAATAGATCAGCTTTATAATATTGACTGTCTAATGACTACAACTTCCTTTGTTTTAATAAAAAATTAAGATGGCCAAATAACAATGAAATTGTGACATTCAAATATACTTTTCAATTATAAGCACTGAGGCACCCCAAACTCTGTGGGCACAACTTTTTTTGTTTTACTCCAACTTTAACAATATTTTTTTTTAATCACTCAAATAAAGAATTAAATTAACCAAGTCAAGATGGATTAAAGACTTAAACATAAGACCTAAAACCATAAAAACCCTAGAAGAAAACCTAGGCAATACCATTCAGAACATAGGCATGAGCAAAGACTTCATGACTAAAACAACAAAAGCAATGGCAACAAAAGCCAACATTGACAAATGGGATCTAATCAAACTAAAAAGCTTCTGCATATCAAAAGAAACTATTATCAGAGTGAACAGGCAACCTACAGAGTGGGAGAACATTTTTGCAATCTATCCATCTGACAAAGGTATAATATCCAGGATCTTAAACAAATTTACCTGAAAAAAACATACAACCCTATGAAAAAGTGGGCGGAAGATATGAATAGACACTTCTCAAAAGAAGACATTTATGTGGCCAAAAAACATGAAAAAAAGCTCATCATCACTGGTCATTAGAGAAATGCAAATCAAAACCACAATGAGACAGCATGTCACGCCAGTTAGAATGGTGATCATTAAAAACTCAGGAAACAAAAGATGCTGGCAAGGCAGTGGAGAAATAGGAAAGCTTTTACACTGTTGGTGGGAGTGTAAAATAGTTCAACCATTGTGGAAGACAGTGTGGAGATTCCTCAAGGATCTAGAACCAGAAATACCATTTGACCCAGCAATCCGATTACTGGGTATATACCCAAAGGATTATAAATCATTCTACTATAAAGACACATGCACATGTATGTTTATTGTGGCACTGCTCACAATAGCAAAGACAAGGAACCAACCCAAAAGCTCATCAGTGATAGACTGGATAAAGAAAATGTGGCACATATACACCAAGGAATACTATGAAGCCATAAAAAGGATGAGTTCATGTCCTTTGCAGGGACATGGATGAATCTGGAAACCATGATTCTCAGCAAACTAACACAGGAACAGAAAACCAACACAGCATATTCTCACTCATAAGTGGGAGTTGAACAATGAGAACACATGGACGCAGGGAAGGGAACATCACACACTGGGGCCTGTCAGGGGGTGGAGGGCTAGGGGAGGGATAGCATTAGGAGAAATACCTAATGTAGACAACGGATTGGTGGGTGCAGCAAACCAACATGGCACGGGTGTACCTACAAAACAAACCTGCACATCCTGCACGTGTATCCTAGAACTTAAAGTATTATAATAATAATAATAAGCAGGGTTTAATTTGAACTGGTTAATGCATGTGTTTTAATTACTTGTGTTCCTCCAATCAAATGTTTGCTGCTTTAAAATTTTTCATATTTTAATTACCTGGTCAATGATGAATACAATATCTGAATATATTTTTGTCTGTTTTTACTTTAACATCAATAACGTCATAACTTAAATTTGTTGTTTCATACTTAGTAATATATAAGCCAAAATTCGGGAGTTAGGCTTTAAAACTAAAGCTTTAATATTAATGTTGTACGGTAAGAAAAAGAGCCGATGCTAGGTATTTCTATGTTTTATCTGGACTGTGATATAAATTAGCTTTACCATTTTAAGTGATTTTCATGTTGTATTCAGGGAAGCAATGCCATTAAATGATCAGAATAGATTAAAACACTTTCATGTTTTCAAAGTATAAACCTAGTAAAGAGCATCTTCTGTTTTTCTATATACTCATAATTGTATAAAGCCACCAGTTTAAGCTATTAAAAGTATCCATGCCATTCTACAAAACAAGACAAATACATTTATCTTGAACATGCTAAATATTGTCTGCACACAATTTCTACACTCAAACATTTTAGATAAAATATGTTACTATTTCCTATTTATCAATGAATAAGAACATATTGGTTTGAGCTATCAGCAACAAGTATATTAAACATGTATTAACTTCCAAAAGAAATAAGAATATGATGTAGTGGAGATATTAAATTATATTTCCAAAGAACTATATGACAATTTGTTGTCTTATAAGACTTCAATTACTTTGGATGGGGTTATATATCCCTCTAGACATTTTTTTTTGATAGAATGAACATATGGTTCTTAATTCAGCTAAACAAACACACATAAAAGAAATTTTAAAATATATGTTTTGTTTCATTTTATCTCAATGGCCATAACTTTCTTATTCTTTGGAAGAATCAGCTAAATTAAGCATGGGCTATTTGAATGATTTTCTTGCAACAAGAGCTAAAAGACTGAACTGTCTTTCTGAAGCCATTGAGAAGACACTATTTCTTAGAATTTTAAAGTCTCTGGTTCAATTAGTGAAATAGTAGGAAAGTTCAGCTCTAGGGTGAAGAAGATGTTTCAAAACCTGCTAGGGGAAAGTTACAAGTCTGCATTCACATGCTCTAAGTTTTTGTCAGAAATGGGATTTGGGGGGTTATTTGACTGTCCTTATCAGGTTAAATATTACTGAGACCTGATGTTAGAATTACTGTTATAATAAATGAGAAAATATAAAATAAAGCCAGAGAGAGGGAGAGAAAGAGAGAGAGAGAGAATGAATAAGGCCAAAGGAATGTGTTGCTTTTCCCACCTCTCAAACAGTTTAGCCTTCTGAAACCTACATTTCCTGGTATTACAAAGTGAATTATACAGTGTGTAAGAAAAAATTCCTTCCCTGAAGCATTATGGCAAACCTGAAACAATTTCAGGTCTGACATCTCCCGCAGCTGAATCTGATGAGAAACAGATCAAAGTCAAGGTGAATGTTTTTCCTTATTTCCCCCCTGAGAGTGGAAGCTGGATTGTGTAACAATTGGTACAAAAACCTGCTACCAGCAACAGTAGAAGCGGTAATTCAAAACAATCCAAGTTTATAAAGAAAAGCATTAACAATGTTGCCTTTTTAATTTTAGTCTTACCACTGTGCAATTTTGCTTTCCAACAAAGAAATTAGATGACACTAGAGAATTACATGACATATGTATTCAATTTTGGGTAACTTCCATTTTACATAAGTTGTTTTTAATATAAAAATTATGTTTTAATGGATGGATATAGATTTCCCTGGAGAAAATCTTATGACTTCGTAGGAATAGGAGAGTGAAATCAAGAAAGTAATAATTATCAGGTATGATAAGGTTTTAAAAGGAGTTCCTACACATAAACTCTTTGTAAATGGCAAATTAAAGATTCTTAAATTTTCACTAGCATTAGCCCAAACTGAAGGAGCTTAGAATACAGATTTCTAGCCCTATAACTCTGAGATTCTAGTTGATTAGTTCTTGCTGGAAATCTGAATTTTAACATCACCTGAGAGGTGATTTCTGATGCAGTTGTTGCATGGACTCTACTTGAAGGAACACTATGATAAATGCCAATTGCATGAAAAGCAGACAAGGAGACAAAAACAAAGTTATGCCATGTGAAGGGCAGTGTCTGTATTCCTAGCTACTACCATGCTACTGATCTAAAATGATTCCCCTATGTTGCTCTTCCTTTATCAGTATTTCTCATCCAACTCATTCTCTCTAAGGAAAAGCACCTGCGAAATGTGATTCTTCATAATAGAAGAAGCCAACTTACTCTGTAAGATTCATATCACAAATACATAATTTTAACCAAGTTTTCTTTTATTTTTGTTCAACTTTATGGAGAACTAATCATTAAAGAAATTTTGAAGGCTGTAATTCAAATGTGCATCTTTTAGATACTCTAACCCATCATAATCTTTCGGTTTTCTAAATATTTTCTAACTTCCTAGAAAATAAGTTTCCAAAAAAATTTACTTTCTAAAAATTAGTACTTGAAAATTTCATTTTAGTGCTAAATTAATGAGTTACTCAGCTCCATTGCTGGTGTGGCTTTGCTACTACAATCCTGACAAAAATGTAAATGAAGGTTCTGTCCCCAAGTACATGTTGGAGCCAAGAAATGTCTTGTCCTCAAACTGCTCTTGGTTATTTTGGTCTCAGTGTGTAACTATATACGTTTCTACTTGTGGGCACACTGACCTGAATTTGAAGTTGTTGTTTTTCCCTACTTTCTCCAAGATAAGTAACCATATAAAAGTCCTTAGGTATCATTCAGTTAGTATTTCCAAATATAACTCCCCTCACCCAATATTATATTTCTTTTACCTGGCAAGTTTGAAATAATATTATTTGCTAGCACACTAACTTAAGATGTTCAAGGTATATACATTTGTAGCAGGTCAACCCACCAATGCCTATTTGCATTTACTAAAAGATAAAAATAAAATTGAAAATAAATCTTTAACTATGTACATTCAAATATTGATATCAGGTTTATAAATTAAAATATTTGGCAATTTATATCTCCCATGACCTTTGTATTAGTCCATTTCACACTGTTATAATCAACTGCCTGAGACCGGGTAATTTACAAAGAAAAGAAAGATGTTTAATTAACTCACAGTTCCACAGGGCTCAGAAAACTTACAATAATGGCAGAAGGCAAAGGAAAAGCAAACACCTTCTTCACAAGGTGGCAGGGGAGAGAGAGAGTGAGGGACAAGCTGCCAAACACTTTTAAACCATCAGATCTCGTGAACGATTATTATCATGAGAAGAGCATGGTAGAAACCACCCCACGATCCAAACACCTCCCACGAGGACTCTCCCTCAACACATGGGGATTACAATTCAAAATGAGATTTGGGTGGAGACACAGAGCCAAACCATATTATTTCACCCCAGCCCCTCCCAAATCTCATGTCCTCAAATTTCAACACCAATCATGCCTTCCCAAAAGTCCCCCAAAATCTTAACTCATTTCAGAATTAGCTCAAAACTTCAAGTCCAACATTTCCTCTGAGACAAAGCAAGTCCTTTCTTCCTAGGAAAAAAATAAAAATAAAAATAAAAAAAGTTAGTTACTTCCAAGATATGATAGAAGTACAGGCATTGGGTTAATTTTCCTATTCTAAATGGGAGAAATTGGCCAAAACAAAGGGGCCACAGGTCTCATACAAGTCCAAAACCTAGCTGGGCAGTCATTAAATCTTAAAGCTCCAAGCTCTCCTTTGACACCATGTCTCAGATCCAGGGCACACTGCTGCAAGGGGTGGGCTCCCAAGGACTTACATAGCTTTACCCTTGTGAGTCTGCAGGGTCCATCCCTTACAGCTGTTTCACAGGCTGCTGTTGAGTCCATGAAGCTTTTGCAAGCACATAGTGCAAGCTATGTGTAGATTTGCCATTCTGGGGTCTGGAGGACAGTGGCCTTCTTCTCACAGCTCCACTAGGCAGTGCCCCAGTAGGGACACTGTGCAGGACTTCAACTCCACATTTTCGCTCTGCATTGCCCTAGTAGAGTTCTGCATGAGGGCTCCGACCCTGCACAAACTTCTTCCTGGACATCTAGGCATTGCCATACAAATTCGGAAATCTAGGCAGAGGCTCCCAAAGCTCAATTTTTGTCTTCTGTGTACCCACAGGTCTAACACTACATGAAAGCCACCAAGAATGGGGCTTGTACCCTCTGAAGCAATGGCTCAAGCTGTACCTTGGCCCCTTTTAGCCACAGCTGGAGTTGACACAGCTGGGACACAAGGCACCATGTCCTGAAGCTGCACAGAACAGCAGGGCCCTGGAGCTAGTGCAAAAACCATTTTTCTCTCCTAGACTTCTGGACTTGTGATGGGAGAGGCTGCTATGAAGGTATCTGAGATGCCCTGGAGACATTTTTCCCATTGTCATGGCTATTAACATTTGGCTCCTTATTACAAATGCAAATTTTTGCAGCTGGCTTGATTTTCTCCCCAGAAAATGTTTGTTTTTGTTTTATTACCACAAGGTCAGGCTGCAAATTTTCTAAACTTTTGTGCTCTGCTTCCCTTTTAAATAAAAGTTCCAGTTTCAGATAATCTCTTTATAAATGCATATGACTAGATGTTTTCAGAATCAGCCAGGTCACCTCTTAAATGCTTTGCTGCTTAGAAATTTCTTCTGCCAGATACCTTAAATCATCTCTCTCAAGTTCAAATTTCCACAGATCTCTCAAGCAGCAGCAAAATACTGCCATTCTTTTGTCTACAGCATAGCATGAGTGACCTTTACTCCAGTTCTAAACAAGTTCCTCATCTCCATCTGAGACCACCTCCGTCTGGACTTTATTGTCCATATCACTATCAGCATTTTGGTCAAAACCATTCAACAAGTCTCTAGGAAGTTCCAAACTTTTCCACATCTTCCCATCTTCTTCTGAGCCCTTCAAACTGTTTCAACCTCTGCCCATTATCCATTTGCAAAGTTTCTTCCACATTTTCAGGCAGTTCCCCACACCTGGTACCGATTTTCTGCATTAGTCCATTTTCACACTGCTATGAAGAACTGCATGAGACTGAGTAATTTACAAAGAAAGAACAAAGGTTTAATTGACTCACAGTTCTGCATGGCTCAGGAAACTTACAATCAAGACAGAAACTGAAGGAGAAGCAAGCAACTTCTTAACAAGGTGGCAGGACAAATACATAGAGAGAGAGCACAAAGTGGGAAATAGCCAAACACTTGTAAACCATCAGATCCTGTGACAGCTCACTCACTATCATGAGGACAGCATGAGAAAAACTGCCCTCATGATCCACTCACCTCCCACCAGGTCCTTCCCTCAACATGTGAAGATTACAATTCTAGATGAGATTTGGGTAGGGACACAGAGCCAAACCATATCAATCTTCAAATAATATCATAGATTTATTATCCAATTGTATACTTAGAAATAACCTTGACATTGTCTACAATATATAATCTGTTACAGTAAGTAATTTTGAATTAAAATAGTAGAATGCATTCTGATACAGGAAATAGAAACCTAAGAATGAATTATTTTACCATTGCCAAATTATACACAACATATAAGTAGTAGAAATTGTAGATGATTTAAAGTGTGTTGTTTGTACTTTAAAGTGTGTAGATGATTTAAAGTTGTGTGTGTTTTCTTCTGATAAAGTGGATCTTTACATGATAAATTAGTAACTTATTATAAAAAGTTAGATCTTACATGATAAAAATAAAACATCATGTATGTTTTAGGTTAAGTATTTCTTTTGTCTGAGTTAGATTTTTGCAGTAAAGTTGCTGTGATGAAGCCTGATGCAATTGTAATACTAAAGTCTAAAAAAATTAGATTTATGGTAAGATTTTGTAAAGTTATTCATAGCCATTTAATAGTGTAAGACATTTTTAAGCATCTTCTAAAGGATGACAAACATTCCAAAGGATGACCATTTAGTTCTATTTTTGCATATTTTAAAGAAATATTAGACACATCTTTACACTTGATATTGTATTGGAAGGGAATTAGATACAATGAAACATATAACCTAAAAGAATCTCATTAATCTAGGAAAAAATAATGGAAAAAATCTAGGAAAAAATAATCTAGGAAAAACAATGGTATGTTTAGGAAAATAGCCTGTTGCATGGTATGTTATATATCAAGAAGGTATGTTTAGGAAAATAGCCTGTTGCATGGCAAGAGAGATGCCACCTTGAAGTAAAACTGCCATGAGGACAAATGTTTGGCTCTCATGTACAAAGATGTTCTGCAATAGGCCTTGAAACAATGCCTCTAACATAGATAATTTATCATAAATGTGGTTGTGTAACCTCCCCAGTGGTCATGAGTCTTGGCAAGAAAGTCTGAAGACATGGCGAGCTGCACCTGTTTTACCCTGAAAGTTTCCTTTATAAAAAATATGTTTTGGAGTGTAGATATGGGAATCCACTCTCTTGTGGCCACTCAAGACATTACTTCTGTTTTTAAGTCCCCTTTAATTTTTTTCTTTCCCTGAAAAACTGGATTCATCAGCCTCTTCTGTGGCCTCTCTTGTCCTTCAGGCTTTGGGGATGGGTTTGCATTTATTTGCTCACCATTAAACAGTATGCATGTGTGTTCTTCGTAACTATTTACCTATTTGTGTGTGTGTACTTCTTTTTTAAGAAAATAAGTTTATATTTCTGGAAACTAACGATGTTATTCACTTTATAAATTGTAAAAAAAAACAGATTTTTTAAATGACATGTTTATTTTCTGAATTATTTGTATTGATCTTTATTATGTACGAGAACTCAGAGAAATGGTTTTTAATATATTGTTAGAATACATTAAATTAAATTTAACAGAGTTCATTTGAGCAAAAAGTGAATCATGAATAAAGCAGTACTCAAAAGAGGTTCAGAGAGCTAAATTCAGCAAATTGGCAGCGGGTTTTTATAGACAGAACCAGGTAATAAAGCAGAGAAATAGCTTGATTGGTTACACCTAGGCAATTTTCTTATTTGGACCTGGTCCAAATAAGATTGCTGATGATTGGCTGGGACCAGAAATCTGTTACAAAATATACAAAATTAGGTTTTAGTTTGTTTACATACTGGGTGATGTTCCAGATTGTTATGTGGAAACCCAAAGTACGGAGGCAGCCTCACACTTAGGTCTTCCTGGTTTGTTTGTTTGTTTGTTTGTTTTTGTTTTTGTTTTTTTGTTTTGTTTTGTTTTGAGATGGAGTCTTGCTCTCTCCCAGGCTGGAGTGCAGTGGCACGATCTTGGCTCACTGCAAGCTCCGCCTCCCATGTTCACTCCATTCTCCTGCCTCAACCTCCCGAGTAGCTGGGACTACAGGTGCCCGCCACCACGCCTGGCTAATTTTTTGTATTTTTAGTAGAGACAGGGTTTCACCGTGTTAGCCAGGATGGTCTTGATCTCCTGACCTCGTGATACACCCACCTAAGCCTCTCAAATTGCTGGGATTACGGGCGTGAGCCACCGCACCCGGCCTGTTTGTTTAACCTAACAGTACCTTAAATTACATGTTGTTTCCTTACATATATTAATTAGCAATTTCAAAAACAATTGAAGTTATGACAGACTTTATCTTAATGTTTTTGGTAAGATGAGATATTGATTTTATAAAAATTTCCTTTTTAATTGGCTTGGCATATTTTAAATAAATCATATTATAGCATAAGATAATCAATTGATGATGTGATTAATATACAAGCAGTTTTAACTTTATTCAGAAGTAAAAATAACTGTAATATGTTTTCTTAATTAATGTAGGTCAAATTAAATATTTTTGAATATTATATTGTTAAGAGAACTTTTACGGTCTTGAGAAAGAAAGTAGAAAAATACAATGTAAAGGATAAGATGTAATACAAGAGAATTGGAATTATATTAACTCAATTTGAATGTCACTAAGAGTTTACAAATCACTTTCAAAATGAGCTGTTCATTTTGCTAAATGTTATATATCAAGAAAAAAAGACTAGAATGACAAGGCAACTAAGAAATTAAATAAAATCTTTGAAATAAATATTTTCTTAACTTTTTATCTAATATAATTTCACAGTCAGGCTACAGACCTATAAATGTAGCCCCTAATTTAAAATAACCTATAGTTTTAACAATATATACATATGTAATAAACTTTGAAAAACCATAGATTTTATATATTATATATAAATGTATATATATTTAATGGAATGAAATTATGCTTGATTTAATTGGCCTAAATAATTACATATTTTGTATACTGATGTTTTGAAATTAAGTCAATATATTCAGATCAAATAAATATTCCAAAGCCTCTAAGTAGGCACAGATTTTCATCTAATGCCAATGAAAGTGTAAACTATTTAATCATATTTTCTGTTACTCATTTAATTTTTAGTCAGTGATTTACAATGTTTTTTTAACAATATTCACAATAAAACAAAATGTCAGTAGTCTTCATTATAAAGACTTTGCTACATGCTTACTTGGCTAAGATAAACTATACTTCTCATAATTTCCTTTTATTTGCATATTTCCATACATGTGGGCTACAAGATTTTCCTGGAGAGGCAGAGGCACAAGAGACACTACAACCATTTTGTACAACTCAATTGTTGCTGATCTGCTGAGTCAACTCATTCAAATAAAGCAGCAGCTGTACCTTTATTTTCTTTCTTACTCCTGGATTTCCTTCAGTTTCTGTGACTCATGGGACATATGTGTGACTTCAATTCCATCTGAAAGAGCATAGGATTCTGCAGGATACCTTAGTCACCAAGATCAGAGGGAGATCTTAATTGCATATGACAAACTTATTGTAAGAATGAATGGTGATTATGTGTTCTGACAAAAACACAATCGTTTATTAAGCATTTAGTACATGCCAATCTGCTAGACATTTTACTTGTAAATAAGTAAATATTCAAAAATGAAAATACCCCAAATTAAGATACATATATTTAAGAGATATAAATAATTGAGAGATTCATTTGCTCTCCAAATTTGCAAATAACTACCAATCCTCAATGGCTTCATCTTCATAATAAAAGATGTTAAAATATATATAAGATTATTTACAACCTTAAATTTGGGAGAGTTAATGAAAAGGTAATATGAATTACCATTTCTATCTTATTTTTAATAACTTTATAACAGATATTCAACAAATGTCCTATATTGACCTAAATTTAGATTCCTGTGTTTAGCAAAGAGTGCTAAATTAAACATTCATTTAAAGCAAAGCTTCCTCACATTTTAGCCCTAGATTTTTCTATTTTTCATTTGAATATATTTGCAATAAAGTGATATACTTTAAATACGCATATATGAAATATGCACATATAATATAAAACTTTTGTTTTTTAGCATAAGTGTTTGCAATGATGGAAGTTTATATATATACACATATATACTTGTACATATATATGTACATACATACATGCATATATGTTTAGTTATTTAAATGATTATAAAATATTATATTATCGCAGAAAAACACATAAAGCCTGTTTCTTCTACATCTCAGTGCTAAGAGATATTACCACTAATTTTAAATTTTGTCAATCATAAAGATTTAAACTTTTAATCTTAAATTTTTCCACTGCAGAATAACTGTTATTGTTTTTTATACCTATAATATTTGTAATAATAGCTTGTTTACTTATGAATAGATGTTGAACTTTCAGAGGTATTTTCTAGAAATATTACACACATTTCAAAATTTAATCTTTCCGTAAGTGAGTCACTACTGCATTCCTGAAATATGACTTCATGGGACATACCACATTA
The DNA here is from genome assembly GCF_000001405.40 of Homo sapiens. Taxonomy (NCBI): domain Eukaryota; kingdom Metazoa; phylum Chordata; class Mammalia; order Primates; family Hominidae; genus Homo; species Homo sapiens. Next base: position 23,218,879 of record NC_000021.9, read on the forward strand.
TGTAAGATACACTTCTGTATTTCACTGCCAAATATTATTCTAATTATTTTACAATTTTTTAAACTTTCAAGTTCAGGGATATAAATGCAGGTTTATTACACAGATAAACTTGTGTCATGGGGGCTTGTTGTTATACAGAGTATTAAGCCTGGGACTTATTACTTTTCCTGATCCTCTCTCTCCTCCCACCCTCTACCCTCTGAAGGCCTTAGTGTGGGTTGTTTCCCTCTGTGTCTATGTGTTCTCATCGTTTAGCTCCCAAATCTTATTTATAATTGAAACTGCATGTGAATTATCTTTTTTAGTATGCCGTTTATCAGATTTTATTATTGTTTCATAAAAAATACTCAACCTCCCTTTTTTTATGTTTAAAACAATATTTGTAATTACTAATGATCATACTTGCTAAAATTGTTTGGTTCAAATGTTTGTAATAATGGGACTAGTTGCAATCTAGTTTTAATGAGCAAGGCAATGTTATATCCAAGACACACCCAATGGTACCTCTTAAACTTAGCTCAGGAGATTTCTATCAAGATTCAGATGGCGATAAAATAAGTATACAAATCTGTTCACAAACATTAATAAATATCTGAAAGTTGATTGCAAAACAAAATGAAAACCTTAATGTAAGCACATATTTTATCAAATGGTTCCATCATTTCATTGAGAATAAAAGCATTGTTCTTTCAAAGTTTATAGAATGTTCAAATAATTCATGTATGCTATATGAATTTATAATATTTTAGACGTATATAATATCAGGTTAAATTCAACACATTTTTATTCTGTAGGGGCATGACACTAAATTTTTGCTTATAGAATAATTTCCAGTGATGAGTAATTATTTTCTGTTCTACCAAAATTCTATCAATATTTTAAACAATCTTGCAATTAGTTTATTTTAAAGTTTATATAGCCCTCAGACATGAATTAACATGATGCTGATATCAGACATGATGCTAGATTATTATTTATCTTTTCAATGTTTTTTACCATACTAAAAGCATAATGCATTATTTTAAATTTGTTATTTATGTTTTGTCAGAAAATAATGAATGTTTCTAAGTTTTCAGATTTGTTCACATATATTTATAGCATTCTCTTAAAATTTTAATGTGTCTGTATTGTGCGTATAACAATATTTTTTCTCCCTGATTTCCTTAGCTGAATTATAAGAATTTTTTAAAAACTTTTAAATAAAAACCTTCTAGATTTATCAATTCTACTAGTTTTTGCTTTACATTTTACTAATTTCTATGCCATATTTAATACTGCAGTATTTCTAATTTGTTGTTTTCTCTTTACTAGCTTATGTTATTAATTATCACAGTCTATCTTTCAGGATTACGTTATTTCAATTAGAGTATAAGAACTTTTCAAGGTACCCTTTTGTGTTTCCATTACCAAAAATTGTGTTATTTTTGTCATAATTATTATTTTCAGTGTGTTATGAAAATTTCTCTCCATTGTTGTTATTTTCATTTCAACAGCCAATTATGCTTTAAGGAGACTGAGATAATGATTTAGAATTGTATACATATAGGTAGTATTTTCTGTGCTCTTGATTCATTTATATGAATCCATATTTCTATACAGTATCATTTTCTTTTTGTCTGAAGGATTTCTTGTGACATTTATTGTGTGACAAGTCTTCTGGTAATGAATTCTTTCCTCTTTTACATATCTAATACTGCCTTTGTTTCATGTTTGTTGAACAGTTTTTTGATATAGAAGTCTATACTGATAGTTTATTTTTCCATTCAGTAACTTAAAAGTTTTATTCCACCACCGTCTGTCTGACGTTATTTCTCATTAGAAATCTGCTGTGATCTAGTTCTATGTATATCAGTCTTTTTTTCTGAATTTAAAAAATTTCTCTTTATCACTACCTTGCACAATTTCATTTCAATGTGCTTTACATTCATTATTTAAAATATTTTCTTGCAATTGGGTTTTTTTTTGAAGCATTTGAAACTTTGTAGTTTTCACCAAATTTGGAATGTTTTCTGTTATTCTTTTTTTTTTCCTTTTTCACCTCTCTTTTTTCTTTCTTTAGGAACTCTAATTTTATTTATTGTGGGCCACTTGAAGTTATACCACTGACATTTTCTTTATTTGTTAAAAATTATATTTCCCATATTTTATTTTGAATAATTTCTATTGATATTTTGAGGGTAATTATTTTTCAACTGCAATTTCTAAACTGTTGTTAATTTTATTTTCTGTATTATAGTTTTCATCTCTAAAAGTTTAATTTTTCATTTTTAATGTTTTCCAAGTTGCTAGATTTAGGCATTTGCAATACAGTTATAACAACAGTTTTAATGTTTGTTTTTATTGTCTGCTAATTCTAACATTTCTGTCATTTCTGGATAACCTTTGATTGATTGATACACCTCACCATTATGGAACAGAAAATATTTTTCTGTTTCTTTGCGTTTTTCTGTTTTTGTTTCTTTGTAATTTTCTCTTTGTATTTTTCTTTGTATTGTTTCTTTGTATTTTTCTCCCATAAAAATGTGTTCTTTTCTCCCATAAAAAAGTGTTCTTTGTAGGATAACACTTTGCGAATTTTTCCTTGTTTATGCTAGAACATTTTTATTTCTATAAATATTCTTGAAATTGGAATATGATTAACTTTCAAACAGTTTTATTTTTGGAGGCTTTTATTTTAAGGTCTGTTCAATGAGTACTCTCTGTGCTGAAGCTAGGATTAATATTCACCACTGCCGAGGTAAGATTTTCTATGCTTTTACCCAAGACCCAATGCCTGTTGACTTTTTCCATCTGGATGGTGATATTCTTAGCTCTGTGCGCACCTGAGCACTGTCACTTGTAATTCATTGAGTTTGTTCTTCTCTAGGCCTTAGATAGTTTCCTCAAATGCATAAGCAGGTCATTACACAGATGAATACTCAAGGATACTCTCCTCTCTGGTCTCTATTCCAGATCAAGTCATCTTGATCACCATGGTTTCTCAGCTTCATCTCTTCAACATAGAGATTCCTAGTCTCTGCCTATCTTCCCCTTCCCTGTGCTACAGCCAAGAGTCTCTCTTACTGCAGTAAGCTGGGTAATTAGGAGGCTGATTTTGTTTGTTTCTCGTCTCTCAGAGATCACTGACCTTTACTGCCTATTTTTCAGTGGCTTGCTACTTTTTTTTCCACTTTATTGGTTATTTCAAGTAGGAAAATGAATCCAGCTCTGCTATTCCATCCTGGTTACAAATGGAGACCTATAATTCAATATGTCATTTTTAGTTACCTTTTACTAAAATTAAATTTATTTATATGTAGGAATCTAATCTACATTATTTTGTTTTCTGCCAAATATCTGAGCAGTATATGTTGTCTCATCATCACATTATTGAAACAATGCAGAATGCTATAGTGACTGACATTGGAAGAAGTGATTTCTGATCAATAAACTGCCAAAATGAACACCTTCTTGAGCACTACATGAAAGCAAATATTCCAAATGTCAGCATTTTATATACATGTGCCTTTTGCTTAAGTATATACATAGATTTGTTCTTTGTGCGTCCATTCTGTAATCTCCGAGGTAAAAATTGTGACAAATTAGAATTTTCAATAAAATATTTTAATAAAATAGGCCAGACGCAGTGGCTCACGCCTGTAATCCCAGCACTTTGGGAGGCCAAGACGGGCGGATCACGAGGTCAGGAGATCGAGAACATCCTGGCTAACATGGTGAAACCCCGTCTCTACTAAAAATACAAAAAATTAGCTGGGCGTAGTGGCAGACGCCTGTAGTCCCAGCTACTCGGGAGGCTGAGGCAGGAGTATGGTGTGAAGCCGGGAGGTGGAGCTTGCAGTGAGCCGAGATCACGCCACTGCACTGGGTGACAGAGAGAGACTCCGTCTCAAAAAAAAAAAAAAAATTAATAAAATAAAAATTTAAGTCCCAGAATACTAACTTTTTTCACATCTTAAAATATCTCCTAACTACTGTCTGGTTTTATAAAAATAATTTTATTTTGCTTATGATGTTAGATGATTGAAAAGAGTCAGTTGACTAACCAGAATTTTCAGTAAAACTCTTGTAATTCCAGTCAATTTTCAGTCTCTCCTTATGATCATATTAAGGAACACATTAAAGAGAATACACTTAGAAAAACACACCAAGCTTTTTGATATCTATGGTTTATAATTTTTAATGTTATATAATATTTAGTTTTATAGTCTGTATTATTTTATTGTTTAGAAATATAATTTGTTATTATTTAAATTTTTTGATTTATATTCTAAATGAAAGATTTTATTCAGGAATGTTCTTTAAACATTTTCCGTTACCAAATTGGACTGGCTATAAAATGCCATTTGTTAGAATTCAGTTAGACGGTATAAAGAAATCAGATAACAGAAATAAACACAAATTCATTTTCAACTAAGCATTCCTAGTTCTTAGTCAACATTACACATTCAAGCAAAATACATTTAAAATACATTCAAGCAAAAGTATTAAAATGAGATTCCTAGGTTTTTTTAAAAAACAGAGTGTTAACTTTTCTTACTACAGTATCTTAGCATTGACATATACTCTATGGTCAACTAATTGATGTCGTACCTTCTGTGTGTGAGTGATAACAGAAATCTTAATAATATATTTACAAAATTGGCCACCATGACTTATTTTAGGCAAAAGAATTAGAAAAGCACACAAAATTGAAATGAACATTTTCAAAGAGTCACAGACTTAATAGATTATTATTATTTTATAAATTACAAGTTATGTTTATAAATGTATTACATGTTATAGCAATAACAATACCTAGGTACTTAAAAGTATCCTTCTCCCCTTTAATTCTACTCTCCCCATTATCACCAATCAGAGATTATTACTATTAAAATATTCAGTGTGTCTACATACAATCTTCATACAGTTGGTTAAAAATATAGAGAGACTAATATAAAGCTCTTAGATGTCAAAATATAAGGTAATAATATCTTCTGCATAAGTTTAAAATATCTACCTCATAAAGTGGTTGAAAAAATCAAGTGAGTTAATATTTTCAAAATCTTGTCATAGCCCCAATCGCCTTTTTAAAGTTTTGCATGTTATTTCACCTATTGGGATACTTATGCATTTATTTCTATGGAGTCAGAAAAGCTGAATCACTGCATCACATTTATATGTTAATAGGCACTGTCCCAGCACCCCTGATGTGTCTGCCTGCTAAGAAAGACAGTGGGAAGTGCTTTATTTGAACTGAGTTCTCTGATTTCAATGGAGATTATGGAATCCCAAGGCAGCCCCAAGGTGGCGGGAGGTAAGAGTAAACATTAAATTGTCAGAAGCAAGATGAATGTGACTACTGTAATAGGAAACAGATCACAGCTGTAATCAGAATGGTTTTACCCATTTATATTTTTGCATTGCCTAATTAATCATGGGAAATCTATGAAATCATTATCGAAAACAACAAAACAGTCCTAACAATACTAACTAAAAGTTGCTTGATTTGTATAGTGAAAAATTTTTAGTAATGGTGCATTACCAATAGAAAGTCACAACCCAGTTCCCAGAGTAGAAGCTTATCATATCCCTACAAAAATCTTTTGAGTAAAGAGGAAGGTGACTACCCTTGAACAAGAACCCCACACTGTCTCCCCACCCCCAAATTGTAATATGTATCTTCCTTCCAATTTTTCCCAAAGTAGTCTTTGACCATTTACTATGTAATAGGGTAGGAAATATAACAAATTTGGTGGGAATTCACTAATAGCGAATTGACAATCATTCCTGGTGATTTAAGAATATGGGCTAATGGAATTAAAGTACTCAATGGAGCTTTGGTTCCTGGTGGTAACAGTGAGTCCAAAAACACATTGTGTGTTTATTTCCTCACGTCTAGAATGTATAGCTTCTATAGATATGCCCAACATTAGTCAGAAATTAAGCAATTAGCTCTGACTCTGGGAATTCACTAGTCTTTTTCTTATCACCCTAAGTTGGGATGACTAATAACACAGCATCCCTTATCTAACAACAAGCCTTGAAGTCTCATATCTAGAACCATCTAGTGATTAATACAGTGTGTGATTCCGTTAATGTCCACCAAGATGTGGTCTTTGTTCTGAATTAGTGACCAAATATTAATATGTTGCTGTTTTCCCAGGGCCTGAATTCACATGTCTGATAATCAAAGGTAAGAAATGTAAGCAGCTAACTTTCTATTAACCATAATGATCTATCAGTAAAGATCTATCCATTTTTTTCTTCCCTTCATACAGCGCTTGCTGATTTTAGAGACCTTAGCTGAAAATACCACATGGTCCCTTTGAACTGAACAGGAAACAAGTACAAAGAAGAAGGTTACTAGTTGAGCTAATTAATTCTGACCCCAAATAAGGGAAGGAAGAGATTTTGTAGTACATCTCTTTGTACTTCTGTTTACTTTGATATGATTTTATAGAAAATCAATCACATCAAATGATACAGAATGAGCTATCAATTTCTCAGACATTTCTAGAAAGAAGTTTTGGGTCACCCCCAAAGGAAGCCACCATAATCAACAGAATTGCTTGGTAGAAAATGAAATTTATAAATACTGGTTAAAACTATATGACCTCATACCAAAATGATGGCCATAGGAGTTATAGTCATTTTTTTCTCACTTTGATATTAATTTATATTAATGTTATATATATATAGTATTTCCTTTCCTGTTTTTTTCCAATTCTCTTACTATATAAGGGAATATGAACAGCTGTCAGTAGGTTATCTTGAATTTCAGTATTTAATTTATAGGCACACAAGACAGAATGTGACTCCAAATAAGTATGAACACCTTTTAAAGATGGATAAAGTGTTGGTCAAATCTTTAATAATTCATCCAAATTTAAAATGGGAAAAAAAGGCATTTGTATTATTTTCCAATTTCCATTGTGTCAATACTCTAATTTCAGTTTGTTAATGTGATGTCACTGCATGAAAATTTGGTATAAGATGCACAATATTAACTCCTATGAATCAATGTAATACAGCTCCAACACAACACTGTAAAGATGACCAAGCTAATATCATCTCTTCCACACGTTCTTTTTATGATGTGACTGATATTCCTCCCCCTGAGGATTGGGCTCTTTCTTTTTCTTTTTTTTTCTGTGAGTTCATGACCCCCAAAAAAGTAATCTTATGTAATATGCTATGCTGGGTCACAAAAGACAATTCAGCTCCTTTCTGACGGATCAACTGCAGCAACCACTTTTGTGAGAGACCCTAGGCAGCCATATGGGGAGGCTACATGTATATATTTTCACTGGTAGCCCCAGCTGAGTTCCCAGCTCAACCAACAGTCATGTGAGAGAATGAACCTTCACAGGAGTCCAGCCCTTAGTCATGGGGTTCAGTTTGGCCTTTGAGTGAATAGGCTACAATCACTCTCTCTACAACTAAAAATTGTATTTTGAAGGAACATTTACATACACTTAAATCATATCAAATCCAAACACATTATACCTAATTCCAACATTTGTACAGGAATAAATTATATATTCCAGAAATGTTTGACTACTATGAGATATGGAGCACCCATGGAGCCCATACGTGACCATTCTTAAAATGTCTATATTGGAGTGTGGTGAAACTCTTTAAACAGCTTTTTACAACTGCTCCTGCCCTTTCCAGTGTTGAGTTTTTCAGCTCCAAATAGGCACCATTTGTGCTTTTGCCCCAACAATATTCCCTTATATGAATGACCATTAGAGAAAGAGTTGATATCTGTGACAAGTATGACTTGACAGCAGGGTTAGTATAGTAAAATAAAATTGAGAAGTGTTGCCAATAAAAATAATGACAGAAGAGTCAAACAAGGAATTCTTACGTAAGCAGCTACCTGGGTTTCTCAAATACTGGGACTGGATATGATTTCAGAGTGAAAATAACTGGTACTGACAGAAAATATCCCATGGATATTTTGTTTTTCTATTTATTTTTTCTTGCAAAAAAAAAAAGGCATTGATAGCCTCTTATAGTGGACTATCTTTTCAAAGATGTATAGCAAAGTGCCTGGAAAGATAGAAATAATGTCTCCCTCCAAAAGAAAAAAAAAATGACGTTTGCTTACTTTCTATTATAAAGTATTTAGTTTCCGTAAGTTCATTGGAACCCACTCTGTGTGTAGTCATAAACGTAGGCCCATTCACATTACCCTTGTGGAAGCTGGGACAAAGAGAATTGATATAATTATTCTGGTTCTCATGTGCCTGACTTACTGTGAACAGCGCAGTCCTTTTCTCCGATCCACGAGCTTTGCGTCTTCTGCTATCTTCTATGAAGCTGTGGCAACTTATGTTGACTTGGAGATACAAATCTCAGAACCTTCACCATTCTTGACAATTAGTGGTCCAGGATGAGTTGAAAACCTGGCAAATGTGATACTTTTACATGCTGCTATTAGAATGGTCTAATACTGAAGTTTTTAAAAAAAATCCTTAGAAATTTACATTGCAGGAATTTATTGAACTGTATTTTAAAATATTGAGAGGGCACACTTTTCAGATTTCTATCTTCTCTGAATTTTATAATCTTTGAAAATGTCTACTAAAACCTCATTAAATGCATGTTTATCTAAGTAGTACTGAATTTAAAATTTTAAAATATAACCCTCCAGACTAATAATTCATTGTCTAGGCAAACACGAGTATTAGCTATCATTCTAATTTGGTTTTCATCAATATTATTTTTGTTTCTTTGGGGTTTTAATTATGTTTCCAATCCATTCCATCTTATTTAAAATTTACTTTACATCAATGTTTGTATACCATTTAAAATTGCACATTTTAAAACATCTGTTTCAATTAGGCTGTCTCTTATTACCATATTTGCTGCAGCTGTTTCTATCATTGACTGACTGATACTAGAAGTTTATTTGGCTTAATTTTCCAATTTTTTTTTTGTATTTTAGGATGAAATGCATTTTTAAACATTTAGATTAGGGCAAACATTTTCCCATTATTTTCTTTGTATCTTTGTTAGTTTATTCTTTGCTTGAAAGGAAGTAAGTAGTGTTGAGACAAGTTTATAAGGAAACACTAATTATGAGTGGAGACATATGGAAAGGGTTTTTACATGCTCAGTTGAAGGCAGAGGACTCGGCTGTGTCTTCCAGCACTGGACAATGTCACTACTGTCAGGAATCTGAAAGCAGAGTACTTCACGCACGAAGCCGAAAAATGGAAGCTATGTTCTTCCTCATTAGACAATACTCACTGCCCCATGCCTCCCCCACATCTTTTCTAAAAGTTTTATTTTCTATATGCTTGTTTAGAAATACTTCAGAAAGACCTAGACACAGACGTTGTCATATAAGCTACAGATTTTTTTACTTTGGATAATTGTGTCACTTTAGACCTAAAGGAGAAGCAAATGAATCAATGTGTTATTCACAGACTTCTAAATATTCTGGTAGTTCATTACATTACTCACATCTTTCCAAACCATAAAAAGGATTTTGGGATTTTTAGCCCTTTGTTGCTTGTATCTATTGAATATATTATGACATGATTTATTTCTTTCTATCTATCCATCTATCTATCTATCATCTATCTACCTAGTGTCTTGTTATTGAACCATTACTTAGGCCACATAAAATAAAAACATTTGGAATAAGTGAGACATTTAGTAGTTTTTTCATATTTGTAACTTTCTACTAGAAACATCCACAATAAGAAAATGTGTGTGGCACTTAAATGATGTTGCTTAATAGGCTAGAGAACTTTAAATCAATTTTACATCTAATATAGTTAAGCTCTTCACATGAATACTAAGTGAATTCTTATGCTCTCCACTTTGTGAAGGAAAAAGGCTGAAATTCAGAAAATTTTACATGATCTATATTCCCAAAGTCACATACATACTAAATGATGGAAGCCAAACAGGAACCTTGGTCTTTAGACTTAAAACATAGCTTCCTTTCCTTTCATGTGCAAGTAATGAATATATCACATGTCTATTTTTGTGTAATTCACTTTATGTTTCTAATTGTAGCTTGATCAATATGTATTTTTAGTTGGTATAAGCATACAATGTCATAGAACAAATAAGCCCCAATCTTGAATAGCAGAATAGGGTGACTATAGTAGTAACATTGTATAATTTATTTCCAAGTAGTTAGAAGAGAGGGCTTGAAATGTTACCAACACATGGTCATGGTTACCCCAAATGACCTGACTTGATCATTACATATTCTATGCTTATAACAAATACCACGTGTAACCCGTAAATATGTAAAATATTTTGCATCAGTAAAAAAACTGTATTTGTCAATAGGCAAATAATTTTTACTCTCTAGTGTTCATTCTTTTATTCAGATACAAAAAAATTTGGATCAATGATTCTCTAGATTTCTTCCAATTTTAAGCTCCTAGTTGATACATTATTTTGTAGAACCAAATTTTCTTATGCAAAGACTCAGAATTTACAGTTATATTAAGTAGATTATTGACACGTACTGATATGCATGTGAATATTAATATATCATTTTAAATATAACATATACCCTGTACATGTGTGTTATTTCTAATACCATTGCAGAAAATAAATTTTAGTCTTTCTACAGCAGTCTAAATTAGTCAAATTATTTTTTATTTGTTATATAAATGACCTCTTCACTCCATTTTCTTTTACTCAAACAATACTAACTTCAGGAAGAGTGAAATATTTAACTATAATTTAAGAAATTTCCAAATATAGTGGTAAATATTTCCTTATGTGGTCATTTTAAATTGATCTAGGAAGTTTTAACCCTTTTAATAATGGATATTTTATGACCTACTATAAAATTGTTCTGTCTAGTTACCGGATAGATTTTGCTAGAGAATATTTTGGATAGAGCAACTGACTCTTGACGGTAAACATTTTGTTTGCTATTGCCTTTTTCTCTCATGCTTAAAAATTGTCAGACTTTTCTTGGCCATGATAATAATGTTGTTAATAAAGTAAAAACCTAAGTAAAGTGTTTTAATAGATGAATTATAAATGATAGGGATGAGTATATAAAAGACTCTCTGGATTCTTTTGATTTGGTCAATTAACAAAAATAAGGACATTTATGTTCGATATGTGCACCCTTTTATCTATCTTAATAGGAGTCTTTTTAGATATGTGGCAATTCTTTCCATTTAGGTAGTTTATAATTGCCATAAAAACATTTTTGAGGTTTACATTTATGAAATATAAAATAAAAAAATCTTCTTATTCAAGTAAGAAAGGAAATAAAGGAAATTAATCATAGTAAGATATGGAAAAGATACTTGAAAAATTTTATATGAATAGCTACACTAATTGCTGGGGCCATTCCTTGCTCACATAGCTATTTATCAAAGACAGAATGATAAATATAAGCTATGGTTTATAACATTCTTTTGAAAATATTAAAATAAATAATTCATATTGTGCACAGATGTCTAAATGCAAGAGTACTGCATTGTGTATTCAGAGATTTTTTTTCTTTATGAATTGGGTAGGATTTTACTGAACTAAGTATGCACAATACATTTTGATGAATTATTGATATGATTAAGTTTTAGGAGACTTTTAAACTATGAAAATCCTGCTAAACCATCAGAATAAATTTGAGTTAAGGAGTTTTAGTGTAACTTTTAAATGTGTAATTCACAAAACTATGGAATTTACACTCATGAGCTTATCATTCTATGGAAGGAAAAACGAGTGCTAGTAAACATCCGAACATCTTATCTTCTCTTTATTGTATGAACTCTGCACTTCTAAATTTGTTGATTCTATCAGCATGAAGTCTATTAAGCCGTTTTAATCTATTCTATACCTGATACTGCGAGTGGCACGCATCTAAGTGTACTTGAACCAGAATATTTGCATAGAAAAAAAAACTACTGCCCTTTTGCTTCTGGTTGATTTTTATCTTATTTTAACCAACAAAATATCGTAGTTTGTTGCTCAGATAGTCTGTAATAAGATGAACATTAGCAAGACTATGTTTCTAGAATTGATGATAATTGTTCCTAGATATGATGAAAAAAACACATTGAGAAAAATAACATCAAATATTCAGAGAAGTCCCCACTATTTCCAAATTTGTTTTTGGACAAATTACTTGCAATATTACCTCTTTGCAAGTAGAGGTAGATAATTTCCTTAATCTATGTCATAGAAATTCTTATCTTCACTCTCAGTAAATGGTATGGTTACAAATCAAGTAATAAATAGGGGCAATATTTTTTTATTTTTCTTCCATTTATTAGAGAAAGGACCAGAATTTTTTTCTGTAAATGGTCAGAGAGCAAATAATTTCAGCTATCTGAGCCATACAGTCTCTATAGAAACTACTCAACTCTTAATCTTGTAGCACCAAGGCAGTCTTAGGCAATGCCTAAAATGAGTGAGTGTGGCTGAATTCCAATAAAACTTTATTTACATGAACAAGTGAGTGGTCATATTTGTCCCAGACAGTTGTTTGCTAAGCTAAGTCAAATATAAAATAAAATCTTCAAACACGCCTAAAGCATGAATACGCCAGGGATATGCAATCCCTGCAGACTGCTCTGGATGATGCACTTTTAAGTAAACCATTTTAGTAAAAACTACTTGGAGAAATGCTGGAGTTGTCACATGTTTGGACATAGTGAACAGGAAGGCAAAAGACTCAGAATAACCAAAGCAATCCTAAGCAAAAATAACAAAACTGGAGGAATCAGATTACCTGGTGTCAGATTATACTACAAAGCTATAGTAATTAAAACAGCATTGTATTGGCATTAAAACAGATACATAGACCAATGGAACAGAATACAGAACCAGGAAACAAGTTCACACACCTACAGTGAACTCATTTTTGAAAATGGTGCCCAGAACATATACTGGGGAAAAGACAGCCTCTTAAATAAATGGTGCTGGAAAAACCAGATATCCATATGCAGAAGAATGCAACTAGAACCTTATTTATCACCACTTATAAAAATCAAATCAAAACAGATAAAGACATATCTAAGACCTTAAACTATGAAACTATACAAGAAAACATTGGGAAAATTCTCCAGGATATTCGTTCGGGCAAAAATCTCTTAATACCCCACAAGCAGAGGCAACCAAAGCACAAAGGGATACGTGGGATCACATCAAGTTTAAAAGCTTCTGCACAGTAAAGGATACAATCAACAAAGTAAAAAGACAACCCACAGAATGGGAGAAAATGTTTTCAAACTACCCATCTGATGAGGGATTTATAACCAGAATATATAAGGAGCTCAAACAACTCTATGGGAAAAAAACTACTAATCTGATCAAAAAATGGGCAAATTATTTGAATAGGCATTTCAAAGGAAGACATACAAGTGGTAAACAGGTATATGAAAAGGTGCTCAACATCAGCGATCATCAGAGAAATGCAAATCTAAACTAGAATGAGATACAATCTCACCCTAGTTAAAACTGCTTATATTCAAAAGTCAGGCAATAACAAATGTTAGTGAGGTACAAGGGTACCCTTGTACACTGTTGGTGGGGATGTAAATTACTAACAACCACTATGGAGAATAGTTTGGAGGTTCCTCACAAAACTAAAAATTGAGCTACCATATAATCCAGCAATACCACTGCTGGATATATACCCCAAAGAAAGGAAATTGGTATGTGAAAGAGATTATCTGCATTCCTATGTTTGTTTCAGCACTGTTTACAATAGCTAAGATTTGAAAGCAACCTAAGTGTCTACCAAAAGATAAATGGATAAAGGAAATGTGATAACTATACACAATGAAGTACAATTCAGTCATTAAAAAGAATGAGATTCAGTCATTTCCAACAACGTGGATGGTACTAGAGATCATTATGTTAAGTGAAATAAGCCAGACACAGAAAGACAAATAACACATGTTCTCATTTATGTGTGAGATCTAAAAATCAAAACAATTGAACTCAGGGACATAGAAAGTAGAAGAGTGGTTACCAGGGGCTGGCAATGCTTTTGGGGCTGGGGATGTGGGGTTGAGATGGTTAATTGCTGCAAAATCAAATCCTTAGAAAGAATGAATAAGACCTACTCTTTGGTAGCACAAAATGACTATAGTCAATAATAACTAAATTGTACATTTAAAAATAAAGAGTGTAATTGGACTGCTTGCATGTCAAAGGATTAATGCTTGAGGGGATGGATACCCCATTCTCCATGATGTGCTTATTTCACATTGCATGCCTGTATCAAAACATCCCATGTACCCTGTAATATATATACTTTGTAGCCAAACATTTATTAAAAAATAAATAATAGAAACTAGGAGTAATATTCTGTCAACATGCAATAATTTTAGTCTTCTAAATTTACAATACAACTGTGTCTGTGATACTAAATGTCTCATTGATTTCATTGAACTAATGCAAAACTCACAAAATCATATTATGCAAAATAATACAAATGTAGCATGAGGTTATAAGTTTATGTATTCATCATTATTATTTTACACTTTAAATGAGGCATTTAATGCTATTGTTTCAAAATGAGAGCAAAAGTATGGTTCTAGTTGAGAAAATCAAATTGGATACCATAAGGATGCATTTGTTGAGAAGCTGTATCTTTCTGTATTCAGTGCCTTGGATAGTACTCACCATAGAATTATTAACATATGGGTTCTTTTTAAGAAAAATTGGAAAGAGTAAGATGAACTAGGTAGCTATCAGAAATAATTTGATAAATGACAGGATAACAGCTACTTAGTAAAGTATTTGGCAATACCCTTTCCACTTCTGCAATCTAAAGTCATTTTTCATTTGTCATATTGTAGTATTTGGAAAATATCATGACAGCATATGATATTTGGTACATTATATGATATTTGATATATGAAAGTCAGCTGAAATATATATGTCAAAAATGTAAGGACAAAAAACCAAACTCCGCATGTTCTCACTCATAGGTGGGAATTGAACAATGAGAACACATGGACACAGGAAGGGGAACACCACACACCGGGGCCTGTTGTGGGGTGGGGCGAGGGGGGAGGGATAGCATTAGGAGATATACCTAATGTAAATGACGAGTTAATGGGTGCAGCACACCAACATGGCACATGTATACATATGTAACAAACCTGCACGTTGTGCACATGTACTCTAAAACTTCAAGTATGATAAAAAAATTATAAAGACAAAAAAATGTAAACCTTCTGTTTCAAGTAATATAGAAGATACAGGATGACAGACAATATCAAAATTGGAGAAACAAAATAACAACATATTAAATTTTTGATAAAATAGAACAAACTTTTATTACATTTAACAAAGAATTAGCAAAAGAGTAAAAATGTCTTGGGACGCACAAACAAAAATAAAGCAAAAACCATGGGTTGGAAACAAACAACCCACCTATTCTCACACTGAGGACTTCTGACAGCTCCTGTGAAACTGAAGATTCTGAAATGATAGATGCACTAAACAGAGGAGACAGGAAGGAAATTCGCTGGCTAATAGAAAGTTTGGAATGTAATCTTACGAGAATCCCATATACGGCATTAACTCCAGATGATCACAGTCATAATTGGGGGATAATTTAAATAAGCCTCACTATACAGTAAAGAATAGCAAAGAAAATTACCTGAATGCAACACTAGGTAGAGGATCTCACATACCCACAGAAATGAACATATGTTTGTAATCACTTAGTAGAAACCAACACATAGATGGTTAACATGAATAAGTTCATGGCAGTAAATATAAAAACTTATAAGAAATTAATATGTTCCAAAGAACAAATACAACTTACAAAAATTGTCTCAAGAAGAAACAGAGTGATTGCATTGCCCCAACACAGTTAATGCAACCTAATTAGAAATTTTTAGAAAAAACCTTCACAGAAAGTAATTCTGGTGCAAAATGCTTTGCAAGTGAGTTCTACAGAGTATTAAAGAAACATAATTCTAACAAAGAAGCTTGGAAAAGAGAAAAACCTCAACCCTCAGTCTCATTTTATGTGACATGCATAACCCTGATACCCAAATAATTGAAATAGATTAAAATAAAGAAAAAACGCATTAATTTCACTGGAAATAGAATTATAAGTATCATGAGTTAATTATTGAGCAATGCATAAAATTACTGTGAGAAACTATATAATATTAATAAACTGAATGGTTAATGTTAGAAAATATAGCATGTATGGCAAAGAAATTATTATTCCCATAAGTCTAGAAAATGTGATAGGTCAAAATTATTATTACCACTTAAAACTCTTATTAATTCCAAATAATAGGCAAACTTTTCATCTTATAAGAAGCATAAATAAAACACTAAACACCATGATAAATGATGAATTGTTAAAAGAATACTCTTTAGTATCAGGAAAACTTTAAGGAATTAAAGGTAGTACTACTTTTATTTAAAAATCATAAACATTGAAAGTTCCTATAATTATACAAGGGTAAAAAAATAAAGATACATATTTATTAAAAAAAAATATACAGAAGATTTAATAGACTATACAGGTAAATTTTTAAAATTTATCAAGTCATTTATAAGTTTGATATTTTAAAAATCCACATTAAATTAAAATTCACTTTTATAAAACAGTAATGATCAATAAGAAAATGAAGTTTTAAATTAATAAATTTTTAGATTTTAACAAATAGATCATAGGAAAAAGCTAATACAAATTGTGCAGTTTTTATTGAAGAATATTTACAAAATGTTGGAACACATTGAAAAATGTCTAGAGACATATGCTAGCTTGTGGATATGAATATTCAATATCGTGGATATGAAATTACAATTCCAAATCAATCTACAAATGTTTTAATGGCATTGAAATAATATATTACTAGAAAAACTGATTCTACTGTCTATATAAAGCTGTACTCTTTTCTCAGAACAGTGGATATTTTTGTCCAGTTTCATATTTGTTTTGGGTGCTGGCCTTTGCATTATTGAAAATTTGGATATTTGGCAGTATCCCTCGTCTCTCCCCAGCAGTCAACCTTCATGGCAACCAATCATGTCTCCAGACATTCCCAAATGTCCCACTGTCAGCAAAATGGCCCCAGTTGAGAATCATTGATGCAGAGAATGAAAGAATGGTAATAGCCAAGACTTGGAGAAAAATAGTGGGAGGCCTTGCTCTGTTCGATTACAGGTTATAATGCTAAGTTTCGGTGATTAAAACTTTAAGTATTATCTCTACAGTAATAGGAGGAATTCTTCATTACTAATGAAGTAAGTAGTTATTCCTATGAGAAACAATGAAGTTTCATTCCATACAATATGAAAAAATCAATAACACTTGTATAGAGAAATAGACGTAAAAGGCAAACTTATGAAATTTTTAAAAAGCAACATAAAATAATCTAAATTTAGGCAGGAAATAATTTCTTATATAAAGCAAAGAATTACAAGCTATGTGTAGATAATCAATAATGTTGACTTATTCAATACAGAATGGCCTTTATTTAAAAATGCATCATTGGAGTGGAAATATAGGCCACACTCTATGAGAATAGTATCTATAATGAATCAAATCTTTTTATTCAGAAAATGTAAACAGCATATATGAATCACTACAAACAACTCACTTTATCAAAAGATGGTTGAAAACATCAATAGTATTTCACAGAAGAAAGTTAAATAAACCATAGCCTATGAAAAAACAAAACAACAAAACAAAACAAAACAAAAAGCATAACCCATTGAATATTGGAAAAAAAACAACAAAAAAACGAACAAACAAAAAATGAGTAGCCCATTGAATATCAGAAAAAAAATTTAAATGTATAATAAAATTTATTTTACATTCAGCAAATTTATAATAATTGAAATCTATTAATATCAAGCATGTAAATATTAGAACAACTAGAAGTTTTCATCTCACCAATAGTGGGAGTGTAATTCCTACATTCCATTGTGTTTTATTGTTTTTGGTAATTCTAGTGAAGATGAATATGCACATTAGCGGTTATTCATTGGTATCATCAAGAAAACCACCTTCTGGGATACAAGGAAAGATTGCTTAGTGTGAGCAATGAATACCTATATATTTTTAGTGTGATTAATCTAAATAGATTAATTTTATTCAATTTATTTACAATGTATTTTACAATAAAAACGTTTTTAAAATTTAAAAAAGTATTGTCGATGTAATTGTTGTAGTACACCATCGCTATTAAAAATAAACAAATAAAGGATAAAAAAATCTTTTCTCATCCTAGAATCTTTTTAAACGCTCCACAGCATCAATGTGTTATTCTTGGTCTGAGATGTACACTTCTTTACGTAAATATGGTTTTTTTAACGTAATACTCAGCCAAGCTATCTGCTATCATCTGTTTATCCATCTTTTGGTTGTTTCACTTAATGTTATTTCACGTTTTAAAAAAAGGTTCTACTTGTTTGTTTCAGTTATTTTGAGATAGTGGACTGTAAGACATCCTATTCCAAAATGAGTTACAAATTCGATGTAAATATCCAACTAATATCAAGTTCTACTGACAGTTCACTGAGTTTAATTCACTATGTATACATAGTCAGTTACTAGTCTGCCATCACATTTTATAAAAACAGTTCTGACAAGTCTTCACATTTGTAGCAATTTAATAGAGCGATATGGAATGTAAATGAACTAGAAAATAATGCATTAGAAGCTCCACATATCTAAATTAGGATGGATACATTAATACTCTCATTATTGGTAACTGCCAGCATTTTTAGCTAGGTAATGACCTGTATGATTATGTTTTTATATAAACCAGAATGCTATCAAACTTAAAATGAAGACAAAGTATATTAAAACTAAGCATAAATACAAATATAACCGATATTCTTAAGAATATTAATTTTCAGTGGATTTTGACATTAAACTTATATTTCAAGTATTAAAACACATATTTCCCAGCACACTATGACTTTTACAATTTTATAAAATCAAATTTATTGTCTTCCCTTTGAATGTTCTTGAATTCTTTTGATTCTTAAAATGTCCTCTGGGTGCAGTGGCTAATGTACATAATCCTAGCACTTTGGGAGGCTAAGGCAGGAGGATCACATGAGGTCAGCAGTTCGAGGCCAGCCTGGGCAGCATAGTGAAACCCCATCTCTAAAAAATTAAAAAAAAAATAACTAGGCATGATGGCATGTGTTTGTAGTCCTAGCTACTTGAGAGGCTGAGATGGGAGGCTTGCTTAAGCCTAAGAGTTTGTTGTTACAATGAGCTATGATAGTGGACTACACAGCAGCCTGGATGACAGAGAGCGATCCTGTCTCTAAGAAATAAACAAATAAATAGAAGATAAAAATGCTCTTCTCATCCTAGAATCTTTTTATATGTTCCACAGTATCAATATGCTATTCTTGGTTTGTGGTATACACTTTTTTACATTAATTTTTTTTTAACTTAATGTTCAACCAAGCTATCTGCTTTATTTTATTTATCCACCCTTGGTTATTTCACTTAAATATAACATTTTGATTTTATAATATTTTATCCATTTTAATATTTTATAAAGCCATAATATTTTAATTGATCACTTATTAAAAATACAGGTGTCGGACACTGTTCTAGGCATTGAAGAAGAAACAACTTCTTGATCCCAACAATTGTGCATTCTAGGGGAAAACAAAAACTTAATGAAGAGAAAATACCAGAGATTATACATGTAGTTACTTTACATTAAGTAGTAAATGATACCCTGATTTAGAAGGTCATGTAATATCTTTGAGAGCATTATAAGCACACTTTAGCCAATCATGAAATTGATTTAGTGGGTCATGACCAACATTTTAAAATGTAGAATAAAATAGTGGACTATGGTAAAGAATAGCATAGCATGACATAACATAAGATACAAGGGAAAAATCAGGTACTGTATCCATGGAGTAAATGTTCTGAGAATTTGTTTTTTGCGATAAGTATGTATGAAACTGCATATATATGTATATGTGTATTTGCTTCTTTGTATACTAGATCAATATAAAATGCTTTCCTTACCATCAGTCCAGGGAAAAATAATCAAAAAGCACTGAGTTATTGTAAATGCCCTTTTATATAAATAGGGTTGAAATATAACAATTATTTAATAATTTCTACATATTATGTTCACTTCTAGGTGTTCCTCATTTAATTCTCACAACAAGAATATTATATTTTCTTAATATCATTTTCTTTTTACAGGGGAGGAAATCGAGGCACTGGACAGCTGAAGCACTTTCTTAAGTGAGGTTTCAAGATGACATGATATTTCAATATACACTCATTATTGTATACACATTTAAAACAGGGTTTGAAGAGTTATTTTTCACTATTGAGTGATAAAAGCATTCTTCTATTTTGCAAACTGTTTGGTTCTTTTTTCCTCAGTTCTTTATTCCCACGAAAATGCTGCAGTAATGTTTGAGGATAGAAGTACATGCACCTCTGACTATTTCTTTGGACATTTACTTGAATATATTTAATACCTCAGATGTATTTTGATAAAATAATGTCTAAAAAGATTGAAATTTATATACCAATCAACAGTACCCAAAAGGTTCTTGAAGATGGAGGTACTCTTGCTAGTGTACCCACTTTCTTTGACTAATCTAGAGATTTGAGCTTCTCTATGCTATTGGTTCTTTGCACAGCTCTTTGTGTTAATGTCTAAGTTCTCATCTCCACCCTTGTTCACAGAGAAGCTACTCAGATTTCCAAGTATGCAAACTTCCAGTGAACTTCTGTGAATTCCTTCTGACTTATTTTTGCCATATTATCTGATTACCTACAGAATGTCAGGTGTTTTCATTTGTTTTGCGATAGTTTGTTTTTGTTCAGTTTTTCCCATAGAGAGAAAATAAAACGAATGACTAGAGAGGTAAAATATTTGTTCATACTTGCAGTTGCCACACAGACAGGTCATGTCCACTGTGAACTCTGATTTTTTTCTGGCATACAAATACCCCATATAACGGAGTGCGACATATAGAGAATTAAGGTGATTAAAACTATTTCCCTATGTCTCTGAGACCATCAGATGGTCAGAGACATAGGGAAGATAGATTGTCCTTTGAAGTTACGTGTTTCTCATCCTAGGTAATTTTCAAGCTGACGCTTCTGTTTGGTTCAGCTACCAGTCTTAAAAATGAAATGAACTGGGCTGTGCTCCCTATTAACCCACAGATAGTGTATCCCAATAGAAGATTATGTGCAGAAGAATAGCAAGTCTGCTGGATGACTAGGGATTGTTTGAAAGTAATATTTTCTGGGAAGGGAGCAGATATTGCTGCTGGGTATAGGATATTTAGGATTTTGAGATCTAAATGAAGCTCTTTAAACTTCGTCGGAATATTATACCCCTGCAGAGTGCTGGGATGCCATCAGATATAATAGATGAAGAGCAAAGCTCAAGAACATGTGTTTAGCCCCTGTAAATCCTTCGACGACCTTGGGAGGTCAGCCCATGAGGCTGGGTGCCCAGTGTTGAAAGTTTAAGTTCTGTGGCATTTAACTGAGTAGAAGAATCATGAACAGTTTCTGATAATTAATTAGGCTGGGGCATAGAGCTGGGATTATCTGATAATCATTGGCTCATATGATAAACTTATTATATATAAATTTTGGCTTAGTATACAAGCCAAACTTATATGATAAACTTTGGCTTTGGAAGATGGCAGAAATATAGTGGCTTGGATGGGCTCAGGTAGATAGTGCTGCAGCACATGAGGTCAGCTGAGGCTGCAGGCATCTGGGCTTGCCTGGGAATAAACAGCCAAAATGGCTCATTCACATGGCTGGCAGTTGCTGCTGCTCTTTGCTGGGATTTCATCGGCGACAGTTTATTTGAGTGATACAGGTGGCCTTTCCCTTCAGCTTGGGCCTCTTAAAGCGTGGTGACTGCCATCAAAGAGAAAAAAAGTAGAAGATGCCAAAGTTTTCAAAGGTTGGCAGAGTACCAGCATGTCACTTTTGCTGTCTTCTAATAAACTTGATCCCCTAAAAGGGAGTGGAATATACATACAAGGAGAGAATAAATTGAATGCATTACCTATGGAGTCTTCTGACCACAAAAGCCTTTTATGTTAACCACATATTTATCATATCCAGCACCCTTTACTCCTTCAGTTAAAGACTCTATGGATCGGCCTGCACACTCGCTGACCTTTCCTTTGGCTGTGTGCCATCTGTTATAGTGAAATTTTTATTTCAGATATTACTGTTTTCAATTCTGGCATTTTCATTTGCTTTTCTTTTATAGTTTGTATTTGAGGAGATTTTCCATGTATTTATTATGATGTCCATTTTTTCTAAGTCCTTGAAACTGTAGTGATAGGTCCATTAAATTTCTATCTGCTAGTTTCAATTTGTGATATTTCTGTTTTTATATTGTTTCATATTACTGCTTCATAAACTGCTACAGTCTTGGTGACTTAAAACAACACGAATTTATTGTACAGATCTGTAGGTAAGGAGTCTGACACCACGGGGCTCACTGGACTAAAATGAAGGTGACTGCAGGACTGTGGGCTAGGGTTTTTCTAGTTTTTCTAGTCTTTCTAGTTTCTAGAGGCTGAATTTACTAAATTCTTGTTTTTGTATGATACAAGATATTCTTAACCCACACCATATTTTAATCAGGACTTCCGTTTTTAGGGTGTCAATAGGAGGTTTTGATTAATACCAACGTGCACTCTTTAACGTCTGCTTTTGGGTACTTATTTCTATTCATTTTGCCCATGATATTTTATGTTAATCCACTCCCAAAATCACCAGGTGCCCTGCAGATCGCTAACAGCATGCCTCGAACTTGCTCTGATAATTGGTGTCCTCAGAGAATCTTTTTCAATGTTTGAAAATATGCCCTTGCGCCGACATTTTTCCAAACCCCATCTATACGTTTCTCCATCTGTACTTCCGCCCACCTCATCTATCTCTATCACTCCAGCTCTTACACTGAAATACTTATTTCATAGGAAAATTCTATACTGGTAATATGTAAATATGGGTTTATAAGTCAGGTAGAAGTCTTATGTTGAGAATAAATACTTTTCTTTTTGAGGCTTTAAAATTGTTTGTCACTTCTACATACTTCAGAACAAAAAATAAATCACAGGAATATCCACAACAAATTTGTGTGTGTGTGTGTGTGTGTGTGTTTCTTGTGGCCTATAGTAGATTCAAGAATGTCACCTTTCTCCCAGAAAAGAAAAACATGAGGAATCTAAGAGTTCACTTATGCAACATCAGTTTCATTTATGCACATCCTACTCAAACAGTCAATCTCAGACATGTTCATCTATTTTTTTAATCCTTTAAGACAAGATTATGTGTGTGTGTGAGTTTTGTGTGTGTGTGTGCTTTGTCTATATATAAATGTGAATTCTTTGTTGTTGAACTTTGTGTGCATGAAAGAGAGAGAGAGAGAGAGAGAGAGAGAGAGAGAGTGTGTGTGTGTGTGTGTGTGTGTGTGTGTGTGTTAGGGATTTAGAAGGTATAAATTTTGGGTTTCTCCTAGAGGAAAAAAGGTGCAGTTCATTTCTCAACACTCAATTAGTTACCTTTCCTATTAATTCTACATTGAAAAGCCATGCTTATCTTGACTATTTAATTAATTTGTTCCTATTCATTGCTATATTTCTAGAATATAGAATATAGCACATAACATCATTTGTTGAGATAAATGATGAGTAATTAAATAGATATTTCTGGAAGAAATTTGACTTATGAAGAAATATTTGAAAGTATCAACTGTGTCAACAAAATGGTAAACTTTGAAAATAATCAAATTATTCTACATATTTCTTTATAATTTTCCAAGATCGGCGGTTTAATGTTATTACATTTATTACATTACAGACTCAAAGTTGGTAAACATCAATTTGACATGCATCGTTTTGCATCTTATCAAAGTGTATCTCCAACTAGTAAACATCAGTACAATCACACCAAATGACAACGTAAATGTTAAAGTTTTCTTTAAAAAGCAACAAAAAGAAACCCATGTAATAACACCAAATTTCACCTCTGGAAATTACTGGCATGCTTATTTTGCTTGCTTTTCCATTCTAAAGGGCCCATTTTCATTTCGCATAAAGCGCACATTTCCATGACTCGTTTTTATCACCTCTTAAAGTAAATATCTATGTTATGCGGCCTCTAGTTATGGCCAAGGAGCAGTGATGTGTAAACAAACTGTATATTTCAGGTGAGACAAAAATGTGAACTAGGTCATGCAGACAAGGCAAAATGACTCCGTGTTTAGAAATTGAACATAGAATTACTGTAGAAGCTTCATTAGGCAATTGTGCTACAGGAATAATATTATGCAGATAAGGTGACACAATATTATAAAACAGATTCTAGAATACTTTAGGGTGGTCTATTATCAACCAATTCCTTTTATTTCTGTAATTGAACTCACTCAAACAGCTGCTTTCATGGAACGAAGTAAATTAGTTGCTAGCCTAGTGCCATTTTATATATATACTTGTGCATATATATGCACATATATATGTGTAAATGTATATATATATTTATGTGCACATATATATGTGTAAATGTATATATATTTATATGTGTAAATGTATATATATTTATATGTGTAAATGTATATATATATTTATATGTGTAAATGTATATATATATTTATATGTGTAAATGTATATATATGCACATATATATGTGTAAATATATATATATATTCTTTTTGGTGTAGAAAAAACCTGCTTATATGACAGCCAAAAACTCAAAAAAAGAGAGAGATAAGGTTTTAATTCAGGTGATTTTTGTTGTTGGCTTGCCAGAAAATGACCATATATTTTGGCAGTGACCATAATAGTGTGGATCATAAACAAGCAGAATTAAGACAGAGTGCTAAGGGAAAGAATTCAGGCAGCACGTAGTTATCTAAATGAAAGGCACTGAAATGTGAAGCCAGCGGAGACTCAGCTGGAAGTAGGGGCAAAAGTACACTCACTGAATAGGACCTCTCCATAGCAGACAGCCAAGGCACCAATGAGGAATATATTTTGTCTGAGGCTATGAAGCAACAATAAGCCAAGATTCTAGATTTTCCTTCCCAAGTTATAACATGATTATTAATTAAAGTATTATTACTTTCATTTAGGCATTGATGAATGTAGTCTTAAAAACTTACTTACTTAATTCAACCTGCAGTATGTGTCAGAAACTACAAATATTTACTTTGAGTTTTTGATAATTGTAAAAGTTCACTATTATCAATATCATTTTTGCTGGAAGGAATTTAGGCCCAAACAGTTTAAGAAATTTGCAAAACATCAAACAGAGAATCATTTGGCAAAACCAAGCAACAAAAACACATTTTAGCTATAACACCTCATGTAATCAGAAAAGTGTGGAGGGGTATGTATCTGAGAAGTATAACCAGTGATCCTTGCCTTTTTGTGCCTTTTGTCATTATTCCTGTCTTTGTGCAACATCCATTTGTTATTTCTGTAGATTGGTTTTCTTCATGTAGACAAACTAGGGCACCAGTGGCTCCCGGACTCATATTTTCTAGTTTTTCTATTAGATAACAGGGGTGTTATTCTCTGCACTCCAGTTTAAATAATTCCATGAAAAAACTCCAACTGGCCTTTGATTTAGTCCATACACCCAACCCCTGACACTGTGACTAAGAAAGGGGGATTGTGGTTGTCCAATATGGATGGATGCCGAACTTAGTCCACACACTGTTATCAGGGAGGCAGTCATGTAGGAAGAGAGTGGTTGTATTAGTTTGCTAGGGCTACAGCAACAAACTACCAAAAACTGGCTAACTTAAACAACAGAAATGTATTGTCTCACAGTTCTGGAGGCTAGAAGTACAAAGCCAAGGTATTGGCAGGGTTGTTCCTTCTAAGAGCCGTGAGAGAAGAATCTACCCCAGGCCTCTTTCCTTGGCTTGCACAAGGTTGTCTTCTCCCTGTGTCTCTTCATGTGCCATTATTCCTGTGTTCATGTCTGTCTCAAAATTTCCCCTTTTCATAAGGATAACAGTAATCTCACTTTAACTTGATTACTTCTACTAAGACCCTATCTCCAAATAAGGTTGCATTCTGAGATACTAAAAGTGAGGACTTCAATAAATGAATTTAGGTGTAAGGGGTTGCAAAATTCAACCCATAACAGTGGTTCTTCTTTGAACAATATGGGTGAGGTTTTTCAAAAGAATACAAGATACAATTTCTTGATTACAAACTGCATCATTTCCTATGTATTAACTATGATGCCGATGCACCCTCAGTTGCTCCAGCCAAATGGTATGTAGTTAGAAAAGGTTGTATATCTAAGGTCTATACAAACTAGAGAACGAAAAATTTAGGGCCTCTTGACATTTTCTGCCTTTTGTCACTGTTTTTCTCTCTGTTATTTCAAATGGCTTTGTCTCTTCAAAGCTTATGCCATATCACAACATATTTGTTTTTCAAAATCACTAACAATAAATATAATTGTGTATATGCATTTTTTCAAAGTATAGAGAAAGATTTACCTAAAAGAGTTTGTTCCACCAGTATTGTTTACATTACAGGACAAATAAGGCACCTGCAGATGAGGGTGTTCCAATAGTGTTTAATTAATTTGCAGAATCAGCACTATGTTTTGGACGGATGGCCAAGTTAAATGAGTCTGCTATCACCAACCAGCCAGCATGAGAGAAACAGATCATTAAGTCTGTAATTTTCACAGGTAATAAAGATCTAAAAATAATCACTGAATGTTTTGCCCCATCCTATGATTATAGATTTAACCCCTAAAGATGCAAACTAAAACCATGATGCTAGCCAATACTTCGAGAGATGAGCATAAATATACTTCCAATATGCTATGAAATTCCATCTGAGTCAAGTAGTTATTAGTACATTAATGAGATAACCAGTTTTATTTTAGTGGTTGCAAAACTGGCTTTTTTGGTGTGATATTATAATGAACATATTTGTGATTAAATGACAACACAAAATTGGCAACACACTGAAATGGAATCAATCTGCCAATATAAAATGCCACTAGTTAATGCATAGAAAACAGATTTTACAGTCACATGCTACATAACAACATTTTGTTCAATGATGAACCACATATACAATGCTAGTCTAATAAGATTATAACATCATATTTTTACTGTATCTTTTTTATACTTACATATACAAATATTTACTTTGTGTTACAATTACCCACAGTATTCAATACAGTAACATGCTGTTCAGGTTTGTAGCTTAGGAACAATAGATTGTACCATAAAGCTTAGGTGTGTAGAGACTATCCATCTAGGTTTGTATAAGAACATTTTTATACCACGAAGTTTGCCGAATGAAATTTCCTAATAGTGCATTTCTAAGAAAGTATCCCCAATGCTGAGATGTGCATGACTGTATATAGTGAAATCAAATGGAAAGCCTAATGGTAGATAATTGATCTTCAGACATGTTTCAATAATATTCTGCAGTGAAACTTAAAGCAAAGCAGCACATGCAGGCCTGCTGGGGAACTGCAGGTGGACTGCCCTCTGTCTGGTTTTCATTCATTTTAAGGTGACTCTTGGAGAAAGGCATTAATATCAGGCTTTGCAAACACCAGCTGCAGACCCAAACTAGGAAACTGGTATGTTAGATACGTGTCAGGCCTCCTGGTTGCACATATAGCAATGGATCACTGCCAATAGAAGGTGGTTATGCCATTCTCCCCAGAGTCATTGGAGAACATGTTTCTGTATTCACACAGAGACATTTAGGATCATGAAATCTCATAATTAAAGTATCAATAATACGGATCTGAGTAGTTCCTCTTCCTGAGTATACATCATAGTCACCTGGAGAACTTCTGAAATATCTTTGGGTTCGTTAAGTGTGGACCGGGGCCCAGGAATGTGGGTGTTTAAAAATACTCTAAGTTGATCTGCCTTTTCTTCTTTCAACTTACCTCCACACCTATCTAGTGCTAGAATATTCTGGATGAATGCAGTCAGTATCTGCTCTGACGTAACTTTGAAGAAGGAAAGGATGGGGAAGGAAAACATTATATATTGTCTTATAAGATTCTTATCATTCCTGCCTTGTAGTTTTGTTACTCCACATCTCCTTGATGTCACTGACAACTTGATGTATTCTTCATCATCATTCCATATAAAATGCTCATTTTCAGACCATAGGGGAATACTCTTTATGGCAAATTGTATATGGCCAATTAGTTATCAGATTTCTGTTGATTTTTGCTATAACCAATCTATGGTTACAATTCAACTATGATTTGACAAGTAAAGTTACATCCTAATCTTGTCTTTTTCCAATACAACATGGTCATTGGCTCTTATATATGACCTACTAGTCAACTATTTTTAACCTTCATGCAAGTTGTATTTATTAAACTAAAACTTATTTCAACATCAGCATTAAATCAATCTCTGATTTGTAGCACTTGCTGATTTCCGTGTTGTAAATACTCCCACCATAGCTGATTGCAACATACAAATGTGACCTTAATGAATGAAGAGTTGGCAACGTGTTAGTTTCCTGGGGCTGTTGCAGCAAATTACCATAAACTGGGTGGCTAAAAACAAGAGGAATTTATTTTCTTACAGTTCTGAATAATAGTAGTTTAAAGTCAAGCTGTCAGCAGGATCATGCTCTCTCTGATGGCTGTAGGGGAATGTCCTTCCTTTACTCTTCCTGGCTTCTGAGGAATGTTAGCAAACACTGGAATTTCCTGGTTTGTAGATACATTAGTCCAATCTCTGCCTCCCTCATCATGTTACAAGTAGAAGAGATCCCAGTTACCCTGAGTTAGCGGTGGTATATCTGTACAGGTCTGCAGCAACTTCAGTCCTTTCTCCTCAGAAGAAAGAATTTGACTTAGGAGCATAAAGCAGAAAAAGATACCAAGGCAAGTTTCAACCAGGAGTGGAAGTTTATTTAAAAAGGCTTTAGAACAGGAAAGAATGGAAAGTTCACTTGGAAGAGACTCAAGAGGGTGCCTGAAGGTGAAAGAGGGAAGAGAGTGTTTACCCTTTATCTAAGGGCTTTCTAAACTCACCTCTTTCCCCATGATTCTTCCCTTTGAGTGGGCTTTCCACTTGCATGGTGCTCTCCTTACCCTTGGGAATTGAGCACACACAGTGTGTTTAGGAAGGGGTACACATGCCCATCTGAGGCTTTTTTCCCTTTTTCTGGTGAAGTGAATCCAGAACGTCATACTTTGCCATTTTTTTGTGTGCCATTTGGTGTGTGCAAACCCAGGCAGTTTCTTCTCCTTGGAGTCTGCATTCATTTAACACTAATGTTAATAGCTGTGGATCATCAGGAAATGGCCTCTCCCTGGCACTCTGGGTGGGCTGCCAAATTATCATTTTAAAGAGGTAGAGTGATAATTGTCAAACCATCACCTGACATTCCTAGTGGGTTGGGGAAGAGCCATCTCCTGCCCCGCTCATGACTATCTAATTACCTGTGACAATCACACAGCATTCTCCCTAACTGTATCTCTGACTAAATTGCCCTCATCTTATAAGACCACCAGACATTAAAGCAGAACCCACTCTAATCCTGTCTGGCCTTATCTGTATGACTTTATTATGTTCATAAAAACCCTAGAAATTCACATTCACAGGCTCTAGGTATTAGGACTTCAACATGTCTTTTGGGGAGGACAAAGAATGTTATTTTTATTTTACATAATTTTGTATTGATTCTGCCTATATAACAGATATTTGCTTCAATTTTGTTTTCCTTTAAAACAAACTGACCATGTTAATTCACTGAATCGGCAAATATGTAGCAAATATCTGTTATACAATAGGCACTTTTCAAGTCACTGGAAATATAAACAGGTCGTGAGTATATCATGTAATGACTTTTCTAATATCTGGGAATATCTCAGAAAATACCAAGAAATCCTTGCCCTCGGGGAGCTGACATTCTAGTAGAGAGACAGAAAATGATAGTTTAGTAGACATTCTAGACTTTGTAAAGTAGACATTCTTTAAAGTAGTGTTAAAGTGCTATTGATAACAGCAATTTTAGTCAGAAATATGGAGTTTTATTTTACTGTGGATGATCTCAAAAGGTCTTTCTCATGTGTTGATCCTTAAATAAAGACGTTAATGAAATGAGGAAGCAATGTGTATGTCTTGTAAAACTGAGTTGGAAGAGGGGGATTATTAAAAACAATGGATCTGATACATGGGCGCATTTGGCAAGTATCAGGAAGACACTTAGGCCAAAAAGAAAAAAGCTATTTGAAACATGATGTATGCAGTAGCAA
The DNA here is from genome assembly GCF_000001405.40 of Homo sapiens. Classification (NCBI taxonomy): domain Eukaryota; kingdom Metazoa; phylum Chordata; class Mammalia; order Primates; family Hominidae; genus Homo; species Homo sapiens. Next base: position 23,249,102 of record NC_000021.9, read on the forward strand.
ATATAGTGTCTGAAGTAATCAGGACTCATATCAAGTAGGACCCAATTTAAAGAATGGTAGGGACTTTAAAGATGGAAACTTTGGAAAAGTGAACTATTTCATAATAAATACTAAGGAAAACATAGATTGTAATTTTTAAAGCTTTTAAATCCAGAAGAGCATTAATTGATTATCATGTTAACTTTAAATTGTAAGACACATTAATCATTCATTAACTACTGACCACTTTAAATTAAAATGTCACAAAATATTAATATTCTAATTTTTGATGCATTGTATTAAACTTACTTACTTTTAACAGTGCATCCTTGCGCTCATTACCAAGCAAGGGAGAACAACACATATTTTGTTTAAAAATAACACAGGGGCAAAATAAAATACTTCTCAGTCTAGAACTAACATGTTTAAACCACTTCGATTTCATATAAGGACATTACTGCCATACTGAAAACTTGGTTCTTAAATTTTTACCTTTGGCATTGCATACCTTTTTAGCCAAGGTTAAGGTTATGCAACGGACATCCAATATAATTCCCTTGTCTTCACAGAAGGAAAGTAATAATGGTGACTGGGCTCTGAAGAGAAGGTCAAATGAGACACAACATAGATTTCTTTATGTTTTGTCCAGAGCTGTGCTTAATTTCAGAGAGTTTGTGTTTAAAAGTGGAAGATAATTCATGTAAAATATGTTTCATTATCATTTGTAGAAGCCAGGCATGTGTCCCTTAATAGTAAACGTTCCTAACATGTCAGAATATGAGTTCACATTGTCACAGCAAAGAGAGTAAGTTGCTCCCAAATATCTATGTGTCCTTCCTGTGGTTGGGTTGAGTCATATATTTATTTCTGACCAGTAGGCTATAAATTGAAGCAATGTGTGTCTGTTCCTGGGTGAGGCAGGTAAGAGCCCTGGAAGCCACTTATCCAGATACATAGCTTGAAGGTGGAACAGAACCACCCACCTTTATTAAACTCTGAATGAACAAAAATGGAAACATTTTATTTTTCATTTCTATGTGTTGATTCTGTAGCATGCCTAACATTATGCTGACTAGTATAGAAATTGGACCACCAGTAGAATGCTGCTGCAAAAATAAGGAAACCTAATTATAAGGTATCAACTTGGTAGTTGGGTGGGGGAAGGTAAAGAAAATAAGATCCAAGCGTAAAGAGATGAAGATCCATATGAGCAGTAGCAAAACATGCTGAAATGTTGCCTAAGATCACCTGGAAAGCAAATCCTATGCCTACTGAACATGCAGCTCTAGGGTAAGAAGTTAGAAAACATGATGTTAATAGTTTGTGAGCATGGCTAGGGCTGCATTTAGTAAGGTCTTACAAGAAGGTGACAAGCTCTAAAAATGATTGGTCAATTTGCCAGTGCCAACATAAAAACAAATGCAGTCCTAAAGAAATTTAATTTGTAAGGTTTATTGCAAGAGGCAGGAAAGAGACTATTGCAACAGAGGGGAGAAGACTCTTGCAATAAAGGAGAGTATTCCAACCATGAGATCTGCAAGCTTCTCAAAATTCAAGCAGAAAAGGTATTTTCTTTATGGGAAGGAAAATCAAGTCTAAAAAGAACTAAAGGTGCAGTTGGAAGATGATAAGGAAATGCTTTCCCTGAGGTCAGCAGATTATTTTTAAGGTGGGGCTGTATGCTTGCTCCAGCTGAACGGGGGGTCAATATTCAGAGTCTTTTGGGGAGGAAAGAATCTTAACTAACATTTGGTCAAGTCACTTAACAGGCATTTTGTTTTGATTAATCAGTGGGGACAAAAAAATTCCCCTAAACTCATATGAAGCAAAAACAGAAAATGTAGAGGTCTGTGTCTGTCCTTGCCATAAGTAAACAAGAGAGTCATCTGTAAGTGCAATAGTAAATCATGGGGGAAGGGCAGTTTTCTGCCACAAGCCTTTTCCACAACATGCAAGGGTGGGGGGATTTCTTTAACCATGACTGTTTTCCAGGTGCACGGGGATCAGATAAAGTTTAACATTGTCACAAGTAAAATTTGTGACACATTCAATGACTGATGGAAAAGTCAATTTCTGTTACATTTCAAAGACTTGGTGCAAAGAAGCCTAGTAAAATCTTTCAAAGAGTGGCATGGGTTAAATATGAAATTAATCATAATAAATTTCCAGAAACCTCCATTCATTGAGAGGGGTCATATGGGGCAGGAAAATGAAATTCCCCAGTAATAAAGATTTTAGAAACATGTCTCCCAAGAACTTTGGGTATGGTAATTAGCACATGAAAATGACAGAAATCAAATAGATAAACAGAGAAACTAAACTTTTATGGCAGTTTTGTTGGGAAAAAATTTAAGAGACTGGGGTAGAAAACTTTACCTATTTGGGATTTTTAAAGAAATGGTCTCTAAGCTTCCCCCTGTCAGAATTAGGCTGAGAAAACTGTACAACTGCAGGAAAGCACATATCCCAGTATCTACCTCAAATACGAACAAGTGTAGCTAATCCTGAGAACAAAAAAGTCAAGAGCCAGGAGAAGAAGGACCTCTGAGAAAAACAGACTATCAGATCTTAATCATGAACCGCATCTCAAACCTAGAATCCTTTAAAGTATCTTCCCAGTGACATTTAAGAATTCCTGAAGACCAGTCACTGACAGGATAGGACCTTGCTGTATCCTTTAGGGAAGGTATATGTGTGCTGCAGGCATGGAAGGAAATTAAACTGATGTGTGGCAGACAGGACAGATTACATGTCTTCTCTACTTTTCTTTTTCCTTACTATGGCAGCCCCCATAGTCTGTGCAGAAGATTTAACTACAGATGGACTAGGATACTCAATACATTCAGATTATATAAGTGTAAGGGATAAACTGTTATTTATTAAGCCACTTAGCCACATTTTAAATTTTCCTGTTGTTGTAACTTCAGCATAGCTAAACATTTCACTATTTAAGGTAAATTGTAAACCACATTTGCTAATATCGTCATAACTTCCAACTCCATCTGCATGATTTGTTTTCTAATTTCTGTTCTATAAACTTACATATAACATGTGCACACATTATGTGTATGCCTAGATCCATTCTTTGTATTATTTTTACACAAAGCAACATGCTACTCTCCTTAACAAATTGTCTATTTATAGTATTCTCCCTGCAATGATAACTATTTACCCTGATTTTTCCTCACATATGCAAAAGAAATACTGATTTTATACAGTGTTGTGGAAAGAATTCTTTTTAAAAAGACTCTTTGGCACACTATCAACTCCAAATTTGTAACCTACTCAGATTACTTACAAAGACCTTAAGTGTATTAGAGTTCAAATAAGCAAGAATTTTTCTTCTTCTTTTTTGTTTATTTTTACCTCATCTCAGGCTCTGTTTTCAAAGAATTTTGCTATATAATGTACTGTCAGAAATAAACTTACGGAGAAATTAGTTTTTGTTACTAAAATAAATATATTGTTACTCATTTAAATCTTGTTTTAGAAAGGCTGATCATTTTATTCTAATGTAATATATTGAATTATGTTATAGCAATAATGTGATATATGAAATCTATAGCATTATACACATAAACCCATAACAATCAAATTATAAACTAACTGGCTATTAATATTTTTATTAGAACATTCACAATGTAAATATTAATTTATATAGAAAGTACAAAATATTCTGTGCAAAAAACTTTACTGCTTCTAGACTAACATTTCTTACATATGCATATGGTTATATGGTCAAGTTATTAGATATGCAATGAAATTCATGGTATGTCTGGTTTCATCACATGCTGATAAATAAACGTTCTTACTTTTTGTGCAGTTTAATGTATATTAATGGATCTTCACACAGTCACTCTTAAATAATAATAATCATTACCCTTTACTATTAAGTAGCGTTTCCAAAGTTATAACCTCTCACAGGATGCCCTTTCTGAAGGATAATATCTGCATACTCAAAATATTTTCTTTCTTAAATGTCTAGATTTTGATCTGTCTTATGACACATATTATAAATCTGAAAAATGACAACAAAACAGCAATAATTTTAGTAACAGAATCCCTAATTCTATAATCTTTTCTCTACAATAGGTATACTTTTTAAAATTTTCAGTCGAACTAAAGAGCTTTACTAACTAATATATAAGTAGACATATATCATTCATCGGGGACTCCCCAGAAACCATAACTCTAAACATCTTTGAAAATCTAGAAATAGTAAAAAGTTCAATTTTCTATATCCTTACAATTCAAAGTGTGGTCCATAAAGTACATTAATATCCTCTAGTAATTTATTAGAAATGTTGAACGTTAGGCCCTTCTCAAGACCCACCAAATCAGAATTCGTATTTTAATAAGGTATCCATGCGGCTTCTGTAGCTTCATTAAAGTTGGGAAGACACTGCTCTTTACCCTACAGTAAAATGCTTGTTTATATTTTGATATAACTGAAAAGGAAAACAGTCATAATTAATATGATGCTAATATTTCATAAGTAAACTGATAAAAAGAAAAGAATGTTTATAGGACCTTAATGAAAAGGAACTCTTCTTCCCCCACTCTTTCTTCAACTCTTGTGAAGACTAACACATTCCTACTCATTGCACATTAATATACTTTGTAGAAATACACTACATGTTAACTTGAAGTTTCTGAGGTAATTGCTAACCTCCTATTTCCAAAGTGGAGTTTTCAGATTGGACAATAACTCTGAAAAAGGATTTATAATCGCTTACTAGGAATGAGAAATGGCAAGAAGAGATTTTCCTCTCTCTTAAGTTGGGTCCTTACATTTATAATGCACAAGGGAGAAGTAAGGTGCTGTTTATAATATTACAGGACTATATTGTGTACAATATGCTAATCATTCCATCACTTTTTTTCCTATCCAGATAAATCTAAATTTCGTTTTTTGTAAAGGCAATGATAAAAATATTTTCTATAGAAAACTTGAAGAAGCTGTTTACGTAAGGCAATTAAGAACTTGCCTAGATACAAATTCATTGAACTAAAAAATATGTTCTGATGGCCATTCAAGCTTGAAAACAGCAAAACATCAGTTTGCAGATCCAGAAAAGGGCCTTAGAGAGCAATAAGAGAAGATGAAAATCATCATTCTGAGCACATTAAAAAAATTAGCCCTGAGATAGCCCCTCTGTTTTGATACTCATTTATATCTTAAAAGTAGTTTTAAAATAGATTTATAGATAAATATTTGTGACAAAATTCAGGGAAAAAAAAGAAAAAAACGAATGAATAATACTTGATTTTCTGCAAGTAAATTTCAATTTATTTTTAAAAGTGCAGTCCTTTTAATGTTACTCATTTTAAATGGAGCAAAAAATGTCATTGTGACCATTAATTTCCTCATCTGTAATGTATGTTTGTGAATAATGAACCATATTTCCCCACTGTGTAAACTACACCACAGGGACTTAAAACACTTTCAGAAAGTTGTACAAACTCTTTTGGGTCACTAGGATACCACTTAGGAAATTAGCACTCATTACAGTAAATGATATCCTGGTGGCTTGGAAAGGTCGACACAGCTTTCCAAAAATTATAACTCCCTCAGAAAGTATAGCTCAATGGTGATTACATTATTTGTGCTGCATTTATCTTGATATTTTTAAATAAAGATTTTCTTGTGGTGTGGTAAACAAGAGAGTATTTTTGCTGCGTATGTAAAAAGGCTAACTAAAATATCTTTAAAGATATCTTTCATATGCTCTGTAAATAAATAAGAAATAGTTGATCTCTTATTTGAAATAAAAATTATTCTAATATGTTGTATAATAGATTACAAATAATATGCCTATTAGATCACAATTCTGTACTTTACCAATAGGCTTTAATTATTATTGATTATACATGTATATAGAAAGCAACAGATATTCGTAACTACTATTTAAAGGCATTAGGATGTGATTCATACATATTATTTCCACTATTATGAAAATATTTGGCATATATTTAAATGACAGAATCTGTGAGTTAAGGTATGTACAAATAGCTAACATTCATTGAGATATTAATAATGATTGCTAGGCAATCTTCTTTGTATCTTATGTATCTTAATTTAGTTTTTCTTCTTAACAATTTTCTGAAGTAGGGACGGATATATTATTATGTGCTTGGACATATAAGAATAGATAAGGATAATGATCATTTGAATGAATCAGTTAAATGTGTAGGTTCACACAGAAAATTAAATGCTAATTTCCATAGCCAAGTCTATCTTAAAATTTGCTTGGATTTTTCTATGCTATACTACAGAGAAGTAGATTACTCAGTTTTTAGGAGAATTGAGTATTCACAATGAATTCTATGATGCTCTGGAAATTTGCAAAATTAAAGTCAACTACAGTGCAAACTCACTGTAAATACATTGCTTGGAAGGAAGTCTTGTATAATCATCTTCACTTTTAATACATATAAGCCCTTCAAACACAGCAAGCCCCAAACCTGCTCCAAAGGTAATTTTCTATTGTTTAGCAATTGTTACAATTGTCCCTATCCAGAGAATATTTTTTTCTAATTTCTTTAACTCAGCCCACTTAAAGTCATTACTAAAATTTTCAACAACAATGCTGTATTCTACAAAAACACTATGGTTACCTTAGTCCAGGACACTAGTATCTCTCACTTGGATTACAGCAGTAATCACTTAACTGACCTCAGTGACAGCTTACTTCTGCCATCTCACTCCATTTCTCACATTTCAATCAAAGAGATCATTTAAGAATGCAAATCAATAACTGAATTCCCCTTTAAATACTAATGAGTGTATTTGCAATGTGTCTAAAATAGGATCAAAGTCTCTATTTCTTTCTTTGTTATTTTTAAACTACAACCCTTTACCCAGCCAAACTACCAAACAACTGTGCGGGGAGAGTAAATGCATCTTCAGACATACAGATTATCTAGAAAATGGCTTTGAAACACCTTTGCTTAGGGATTTCTAGATGATATGTACATCACAAATGAGAACATAAACTAAGAAAAAAGTGTAGTTGGCAAAGTGTCCAGCTGCTTGTTGCTTGTAGAAAGAAGCCAAAATAATAATGAGTTGTGATAGAAAGAGAGGAGCTTTATCAGCTGCACTAGCAAGGGAAAAAGAGGGAGGAATTATTTCCCAAAAATCTCCACTCCAATTTGTGGAGGGAAGGCAGGGGTTTTTAAAGAGAGAGGAGTTTGGAATGCAGGAGAGGAGGGGGGCTTGGATGCATCAGGTGGTGTGATCCACTCCAATGGCTTAATTTGACTTATTTTTCCATTTGGTGAAGAGGCCGACACCATCCTGGGCCCAGGCAGGTTACAAATTAATTGCAGTCAATCTTGCAGTTAATTTCTAACCCCTAGTGAGTTTTGGCCTTGACCGGAGGCAGAATTCTGGAGGTACCTGATCCATGTAAGGACCTAGCTCCTGATGTTTCTAAAGAAATATATGACCAGATAAGTGAGCATGGTGTGTGCTTAACACACATCCACATAAATGAATGTGCATAAGGCATGGGGGGGTAGAATGGGAAAAGAAAGGAAGTGGAGGTCCACAGCACATCCTGAGGCTATAGTTCAAGATGAAAGGAAACATATATTAAGTTTGTCTCAAAAGTTATATCTTGAGATTGAGGAGAAAGGAGAAAGAAGATAAAAAGTTTAAAAACATGGTTTGAAGCCAAGCTAGCTGTCCTGTTACAAAATGACAAAAGGACACATAAGATACAATGAATACTCCTTTTTATTCAATAAAGGGAAGAGACAAAGGGAATCTCCAGGATAATGAACAAAAGAAATAGTACGGCAGCTGTGCGCAGGATATGTGATATTGTCCATTAAAATAAGAGCAGGCTATATATCCTGGGAAATGTTTTATTGGTAAGATAAAATTTATATAATACCTAAGTATCTCAACACAGTAAATAAATTTGATGCAGTTCTTTGGAGAATTTGGAGTTGAAATGGTGACAAAAACATGCAAAGATAAACAAATGAAACAAAATAAGATAATTATTAATGCCACAAAAATATGTATTTTTAGGAAAATAAATATATTAGTAGTTTTCTACAAGGTTAAAATTTAAATAGTATTTAAACACTTATTGTAACATAAGTCTGGAATATTTATCTACCATAAATTTTATAAAACTTCTTTGAAAAGGTGATTAAATTGAAAGAATGTCTTGTATTGTATGTGAGAAATAAACCCTTATGAACACCAGGAAGTGACTGTTTTTCCTATTCTGATGTCCCAGTTTGGTATTTAGATCAAAAGAGCAATGATGGAATTATAGAAGCAAGGAAGTATTTCTTAACACTGATTTAGACTGCAATGGAGGAAAAAAAAGAGATACCAATAACTAAAGATTATGCCCTTACTTTCTCTAGTTTATACTTTCAAAGCAAAAATAAGCAAATAAGTAAATCAAAAAACTACTCTCCCCTACCAATCTTATATTTATTTTAAGCCCTCCAAAATTGCTACCAATCATAACGATGAAGATGTTCAGACTCATTGATTTTCATTCCTTAATATTATTGTATTAGCCAGGGTTCTCTGGAGAGACAGAACTAATAGGATATATATATACACACACACACACACACACACACACACACACACACACACACACATATACACACACACATATATATACACACACACACACACACACATATGTATATATATAAAGGGGAGTTTATTAAGTATTAACTCAAATGACCACAAGGTGCCACAGTAGGCTGTCAGCAAGCTGAGGAGCAAGGAGAGCCAGGATGAGTCCCAAAACTGAAGAACTTGGAGTCTGATGTTGCAGGGCGGGAAGGATCCAGCATGGGAGAAGAATGTAGGCTGGGAAGCTGGGCCAGTCTAGTCTTTTCATGTTTTTCTGCCTGAGTCATATTCTAGCCACACTGACAGCTGATTAGATGGTGCCTACCCAGATTAAGGGTGGGTCTGCCTTGCCCAACCCACTGACTCAAATGTTAATCTCCTTTGGCAACACCCTCACAGACACACCCAGAATCCATAGTTTTCACCCTTCAATCCAATTAAGTTGACACTCAGTATCAACCATCACAATTATTATTACTTTGCATGTGATTTTTATTATAATTTTATTATCATAAGACAAGGGATTCTCATATCATAAGAGAATACACATGAAACAGTTTTAGTTGGAGTTTGGTCTTTGCCAAAATCCAATTAAATATTTTAAGAAGATAGAACACTCAGTTGAACAAATAGCCAAGAAGGAATTTGAGGAGAGTAGGAATTTGATAGCACTTTTCTCATCTTTGCTCTACATTCTTGTATTTGATATAGTGAGGCAAGATGAAGTAGAAAACTTCCTAATTTCTGGATCCTCCATCAGGAAGGAATGAAAAGAATGAAACTTGTGTTTAACATTCTGGATTTTCCTGGAGAATGTTCAAGGAATTGGTTTCTGTTCTACCTGATATGGGCCATTGATGGTAATCATTGTATACCTTGGAAACCAAGTAGGAGGTCTGTAGTGCCATGGAGTATTAGGACAATGAGGAGTTGACAGTTTTTTCAGGTAGGCACTTGGGGGCAAAAGGAGTGTACAGTGCTTTCAAATTAGGAATGCAATAAAAATAAAAATGAAAGCTTTGAGGGCAAGCATCTTGAGAAAAATAAACAGTTAAAAGCATTGACATATAGAATAAAACCAGACTCACAAGTTCAGGAAAGACATATCCCAGAAAATTCTTGAGAGGTCTAAGAATCTCTAGCCAAGCTGACTAGTAAAGGTCTTCTCCTGCATGGAGGCAGTGCGTAAAGATTACAAGAGATTTTTATGCTTTTTTCAAATACATAAATCTCCATAAAGGTCACAAGGCATACCTAGAAATAGGGAAACATAGGATAACCAAAGAGACAAAATAAATCTCCAGAAAGCCACCCTCAAGAAACACAGATTTCTTAAGTACTCGACAAACAATTTAAACAACTTTCTTAAAGATGTTCAATAAACTAAAGGAGAACACAGATGGACAAGTCAACAAAATCAGCAAAATGAGGCAGGAACACAATTAGAATATTAACCAATAGGAACTATAAAGCAAAGAACCAAACAACTTTTAGAGCTGAAAAATACAATACCTAAATTGAAAAATTCAGTAGAGGGGTTCATCTATGGTCTTCACCAGGAAGAAGAAAGAATCAGCAAACTTGAAGACAGGTTATTCAAAATTACTGAGTCAGAGGAGCAAAAAGAAACAAAACAATGATAAAAGTAAAAAGAAACAATTGAAATTACTAAAATCAGAAATAAAAGAGAGGACATTACAATTGAAGCCACAGAAATAGAAAGCTTTATAAGAAAATACAGACCATGCACAATGTGAGGGTTTGGAGTTCTGAACCCCCACACAGTCGAAATTCTACATATAACTTCTGACTTACACCCAAATTTATTACTAACTTACTGTTGTTTGAAAGACTTACTAGTGACATAAACAGTCAATTAACATATATTTTGTATGTTACAAGTATCGTGTTATATTCTGACAATAACATTAGTTAGTTAAAAATGTAATTAAGGGAATTATAAGCAAGAGATGACATATTTATTATTCATAAAGTGAAAGTGAATAATTCTAAAGGTCTTTATCTTGTCTCACATTCAGTAGGCTGACGAGGAGGCAGAAGAGTGGTTGATCTTGCTGTGTCAAAGGTGACAGAGGAGGAATAACATCTGCATATTATCAGATCCATGTTGCACAAACCCATATTGTTCAATGGTCAACTGTACTATGGAAAAATGTACACGAATTTTGGGTGTACTATGAAAAATTGTATACCAAAAAATTGAATGAACTAGAAGAAATGAACATATTTCTAGAAACACACAACACACTGAGCCTGAATTGTGAAGAAATAAAAAATCTAAACAGACCTATAGTAAGGAGATTGAATCAGTAGTTAACAGTCTTCCAATAAATGAAAGCACAAGACCAGAAGCCTTCTTTGTAGATTTTTAACAAATATTTAAATAAGAGTTAACATCAACACTCCTCAAACCATAGTGACATTTTGAAGAAAGAATAATTTCATACTCATTTCATGAGGCTGACATAATCCTGATACCAAACCCCAGCAAACACACTACAAGAACAAAAACTTACAAATCAATACTCTTACTGCTTATTAATGCAAAAGTACCTAAGAAAATACTAACAAACTGAATCCAATATCACGGGGTTTATTTCCTGGAATACAAGGACAGTTAATTAGGAAACAATCAAAGGGAGCTGGCAAAAGATAAAAGAAATAAAAGGCAACTAAATTAAAAAGAAGGAAGTAAAATTGTATTTGTTCTCAGATGATATCTTATGTGTAGAAAACCTTGAAGATTCCACAAATAAATGTTTAGAAGTAATGAAAATATTTAGCAAGACTGCCTGACACAAAGTCAACATGCAAAAAATTAGTTGCATTTCTATACACTAACAATAAACAATTCACCCCCAAATTAAGAAATTAATTCCATTTACAATACTATCAAGAAGAATAAAATACTTTGGAATAACATTAACTTAGGTAGGAAAATACTGGTACATCAAAAACTATTTAAAAGGGAATTATTTAAATAAATTTTGAAACACAAATAAATCAAAAGTCACGCTGTGTTCATGAATTTGGAACACTTAATATTGTTAAGATGTCTATACTACCCAAACTGATCTACACACTCAATGCAACCTCTATCAAAGTCCCAATAGCATTTTTTCATTTATATGAAACCTTAAGGGACCTTGAATAGCCAGAAACATCTTGAAAAATAAGAGAAGTCTCACACTTTCTGATTTGAAACATTATAAAGCTATAGTAATCAAAACATTGTGGTACTGGCTTAAAGACAGACATATAGACCAATGCAATAGAAATGAAAGCCTAAATTTAAACCCTCCCAGATACAGTCAAATGATCTCCAATAAAGGAGTCAAAATGACTCAATGGGCAAAAGACAATCTTTTCAACAAACGGTGATGGGAAAACTAGATATCCATGTGTAAAATAATAAAGTTGAACACTTAGTTTACGCTACATACAAACAATAATTCAAAATGGATTAGAGACCTAAACCTAAGACCTCAATCTATAAATATCTTGGAAGAAAACATAGGGCGAAACTTCATGATATTGCATTTGGCTATGATTTCCTTAAAAAGGGCATCAAAAGTATAGTCAACAAAAGCAAAAATGGAGAAATAGGACTGATAAGGTTTGGCTGTGTCCCCCCTCCCCCACACCCCCGCAAATCTCATCTTGAATTGTAGCTTCCGTAATTCCCCTGTGTTGTAGGAGGGACCCGGTGTGAGATAATCGAATGATGAGGGAAGTTGGGCAGTTTCCCCTATACTGTTCTTGTGGTAGTGAATAAGTCTCATAACATCTGATGGTTCTATAAGGAGAAACTTAACTGGCTTGATTCTCAGTCTCTCTTTTCTGCCACCATGTAGAACATGCCTTTTGCCTTCCACCATGATTGTGAGACCTCATCAGCCATGTGGAACTATGAGTCCATTAAACCTCTTTTTTTTTTCATAAATTACCCAGTTTCAGATATGTCTTTATCAGCAGCATGAAAACAGATTAATACAAGGATTACATCAAATTCAAAATTTCTTTGAATCAAAAGACAAAATCACCACAGAAAAGGCAACCTAAATTAAGGAAAATAAAATTTGCAAATCATAGATCTGATGAAAGGTTAATATCTAGAATATATAAAGAACACTTATAATTTAATAACAACTAAAATAAATAACTTGATTAAAAAATGAGCTAAGAACTTGAATAGATATACCTTCAAAGAAGGTATACAACTGGCTAACAAACAGATGAGAAATGCTCAACATCACTGATCATTAAAGAAATCCAAAACAAGTTGACAATGGTACACCATCTTACACCTGTTAGATGGCTTTTTTCAAAACACATAGAAACAGAAAGTAGAATAGTGGTTGCCAGGATTTGGGAGGATTGGGAAATGTATTGTTGTTGCTGACTCAGTATAGAGGTCAGTTTTGCAAGATGAAAATAATTCTGGAAGTGTTATATAACATTGTTAATACACTTAACAATACTGAACTATGCACTTCAAAATGGTTAAGGTAGAAAAGTAAAGTAAAACATAGTTACTTTAAAATAATAGTAAATGGGAATTTGTACAGAAATAGTGAAGTAGCTGCCAAATTTCTTTTTCTGTAAAAATAAGAACACTGTCAAAATTATCAAAATTAATATTTTTAGAACTTTGAAATATAGGTAACAGTTTGTAACAATGTGTTGCAATTTAGTGCCGCAATCCCTAAACAGCTGAATTGGGAGATCTGTGGCTTTTTAATTTGCCCTTTCCCAGATACCTCTACCCACCTCTGCACTAACCATAAAAACTGAAAAATCACAGCCCCACAATCACAGTGAAAACCAACAGCTTAGCAATCGCTGGGTGAGGAGAAAATGGTACTGGCGATCCCTCAAAGCAACATTCTCAGAGAATTGTACAGATGCCCCTTAGACTGAGGTTATTCCTTGATAAGCCTATTGTAAGACAAAAGCATTCTAAGTCAAAAATGCATTTAATACACATAACCTACATCATATCTTACCCTAGCCTAACTTAAACGTGCTCAGAACACTTACATTAGCCTACAGTTGGGCAAAAGCATCTAACAGAAAACCTATTTTATAAAATGTTAAATATTTCATGTAACTTATTGAATATAGTACCAAAGATGAAAAACATAATGTGTTTATGGTTTCTTGAAGAAGGATTTCTACTGAATGAATATCTCTTTTGCATCATGATAAAGTCGAAAAATAGTAAGCTGAATCACTGTGAAAGTTAGAGACTGTTTGTAATTTTTTGACTACTCTGGCAACCCTCAATGCAAGGCTTGTCTTTATTTGACCTGGCTCAACTATTTTCCCAGTGTGAACAACCTATTCTGAAGAGTGTTGGTTAGAAACAATCAGTGCAATCATTGAACACTGTGGCTGCCTGAGACTGCAAAAACAGAGGGAAAATAAGAATTTGACTAAAAATACTTAAATGAAATGTCTGTAAGGGGTCTATAAAAAATGTTTGACACATTCCTGGGAATGCAGTAGGCAACAAGCTCATGTGCATCCCAAGGCTATGCACAGACCTAAGAGGGGACCTGAGAAGGCCCCAGGTTTTCACCTCTGACGGAGTTAGAGGCTCTGTACAAACAGGTATGGGAAGCTGCCTTCTTGAGCATGGAAGGTATTCCTCAACACAGACACTGAATTCAGTAGCAAACACCAGGACACATACCTGTTCTAAGGACTTAAGGAAATCTTGACGACAAGTTGGTTTACTATTAATTTAACTGACAAAGACTTCAGTGGCCCCTTATGACAAATAATACAGATTTTATATAATCATTTTAGAAAAAAGTCACGAAACAACAGTAATAATAACAACAACAAGAAACCACAAAATCTTTAAAGAAGGTAGAATGTGATTTATATACTTAGTGCATTGCAATATTTAAAATGCCAAGCTTTCCACAATAACAGCAACGAAAAACACATGGAAATAATAAAGAATGGCACACGCATTAGGAGAAATAAAACTATAGTCTCTAGAGAAGCTTCCTGGGGAAGCTCATTTATTAGACTGGGCTTTTATATCAAGTTATGAAATATATTCAAAGGACTAATGAAAAGAATGTTTAACAAACTAAATAAAAGTATGAGAACAATGTAACAAATAGCAATAGAGAGAGAGAGAGAGAATTTCTTGAAATAGAATCTGAAGTTGACAAAACAAATGTAAAGTGTAGAATGGTTCAATAGCTGATTTCTGTTCCAGAAACAATTAGTGAATTTGAAAATGGATCAACCAAGATTATTTATTCTGAAAAACAGAAATAAGAATGAGAGCCTGAGAAACCTGTGTGGCATCATCAAATGTACCAGCATATGGACAATGTGAGTACCAAATAAAAACAGAAAGAAAGAGGCAACAACATATGAAAGAATCTGTTGCTAAGAGACCAAACCTATGAGAAATACTGAAGGAAATCCTTCAGGTTGAAACGAAACATGGCTAGACTTTAGCTTAAATCCATACAACAAATGAAGCACACTGATAAAGGTAGGTACACAGGCATTTAAAAAAAACACAATGTATTTTTGTTTGTGACTCTTTTCTTCTTCTGTCTGATTTAAAACACAATTGCATAAATCAACAACAAAATTATGTTGACAGTGTTATAAGGTATAAATATGACATTTGGATGCAAATATAGCACAAAGAATAGGATAAAAAGGAGCTATATTAGAATAACTTTTTGTGTACTATTGAAATTAAGTAGGTATTAATCTGAGCTAGACTGTTTTAACATTAAGATGCTAATTGTAATTCCCTGGACAAGCAATAAGAAATATTTCAAAATATACATATCAGTTGAATATCAAGGGAATTAAAATAGTCCACTTGAAAATATGTACTAAACACAAAACAAGTCAATCATGGATGAATGAGGCAAAAATGGTACATGAAATTCATAACCAAAAAAATAAGTCATATAGACATATAATAAATAAATAGCAAGATATCAGGCATAATTACATTAAATGCAAAGGGAGTAAAGACTTTAAAGTTGTAGATCAGCAGAATGTACTTTGGAAGAATGGCCAACTTTATGTTGTCTACAAAAGGCACACTGTATGGAAAGTACAAAGAGGTTGGAAAAAAAGATGGGAAATACACGGCATTCAATTAGTAACCAATGAAAGTTGAAGTGGATATATTAATATCAGATAACATAAATTTTAATACCAAAAAAAGGTACTAGAGAAAAAAATAGTTGTTTTATTGCAATAAAAGTGTAGGTCTTTCAGGAAGGCAGAACACTTATATATGAACTTAAAAATAGAACACCAAAAGACATGATGACAAAAACCAAAAATTGAAATAAAAAGTAGACAAACAGTAATTATTGCAGACTGACAAACCCTTTCAATAATGGATATCACAACTAGGCATAAGATCAAATAATAATAGAAAATTTGAACAACCATTCCTAATAAACATCTACAGAACACTCCACCCAATGACATCAGAAAATGCATTCTTCTAAATTATATCTGGAATATTCTGCAGAAAGAACATATGTTAGGTGATGAAATAAGCTTCAATAAATAAGACTTCATCAAAATTGAATCTTTTTCCTTCAAAATAAAACACAATCAAGAATGTGAAAAAATATCTGGATAATGGGTGAAAGCATCTACAAATCATGTATCTGATAAGACAGAGGTCCCCAGCCCCAGAGCCATGGACCGGTGCTGGTCCATGACCTGTTAGGAAATGGGCTGTACAGCAGGAGGTGAGTAGCAGGTGAGCATTACTATCTGAGCTCCGCCTCCTGTCAGATCAGCAGTGGCCTTAGATTCTCATAGGACTACGAACTCTATTGTGAACGGCACATGTGAGGGACTAGGTTGCCTGTTCCTTAAGATAATCTAACTAATGCCTGACAATCTGAGGTGGAATAGTTTCTTCTGGAAACCATCCCCCTCCCCAATCCATGGAAAAATTGTCTTTCACTTAGCTGGTCCCTGGTGCCAAAATGTTTGGGCCCCACTGTGATAAGGAACTTGTATTCAGAATATATAAAGAACACAAAATTCAACTGTAAAAATACAAATAATATGATTAGAAGCATGAGCAAAATATTTGAATAGACATCTATTAAACAGAAAGAATGATTCTTTAGCCATCTCTCTCTGGTTCTTAAAAAATATGCTTCTACATCTCAGAGCCAGCAATGTTGTATCAAATTCTTTTCTCAACCAGAATGGCCTGAGTTCACTATCTGTGACATTTCTCTTATTCTCTTTCATTGCATTTCTCTGACCTTAGCCAGGGGGACTTCTCTATTTTTAAGAGCCCATGCTATTATATCGGACCCATATATATAATTCAAAATAATATTTTTGTCGTAATGTCTATAACCTTAATTGCATCTGCAAAGCCCCCTTTGCCATGTACCATAAAATATTTTCAAATTAAAAGGATTAGGCCACAGACATCTCTGGAGGGGTGGCATGCTGTCTACTACATATACCTCATTTATACACACACACACACACACACACACACACACACACAAATAAATACATACTGTGGGTTCTAAGAAGTCATCCAAAGAGCAAATCTTCCACTCCATCTTCTATTGAGATAATATTGTTCCATTTGAAAAAAAAAAAAAGATCTGTCTCCTGTCTAGGGGCAGCAGTTAATACTCCATTGTCCTATGCACGATAGTTTCTGTGGGGTCTGTTGGCAAGCTGAGAACTTCCACCCAGCCGTAAGGAAGATTAATAAAGCTGTGCAACTTTGTGCTAGTGAGTATTCTGAATTATACCTTCTCCAACTATTGTCAGCAGGCCTAAGAGGGAGCTGAGTCATCTAGCATCAGGGAGATTGAACAAGGCATCGAGAGTTCAAGCTAATCAGTATTCTACTCTCCACACACCTAGCGTCACTGGGGCCCAGAGATTACCTGAACTTCAGCTCCCACAGGGTAACAATGATAGTGAATGAGGCAGTGTGCATCAGGGCTACTGGGCACTTTGGTACCTTCCCCAAAAGCATGATGAGCAAGTCTTGGTGTGGAGCTGAGCCTTTATCACCCACTGCTATGAAGGAGGCAGAATAAGGTGGTGCAGGTCAGGCCCACTTGGCACTCTGCCTCACCTCTCCCCTTGTCAGCTCCATGAGGAGCCAAGCTTACGTCTCCGCCACATTTAAATAAGATGGTATATGTCAGCCATCTGACTACATTTTGCCTAATGTTTGTGGGGTAGTGGTAAAGTAAGCATGCACGCTCACTCAGAGCCAACAAGGTGGTATGAGTCAGTGCTGTGCTTTTTCCAGAACAGTATTGGTGGAGCTCAGCGGTAAGTTCAACATAAATACCTATGCAGCTGTGATGCCACACCTCAACTGGTGTACTGCAAACTTAAAAACATAAAGTACAATCCACAATGTGATGTATATATTTGTTATGTAACATAATCGTAAATACTCACTAAAGGAAATTCTCAAAATAGAAAGATTAATTGGAAAAAGGCTTGAACCATAGCAAGGAAAATAAGGAGATATGGGTTCTGGACAAGCTGGTACAGAGCAGTGTTTTCCTATCCTCCCTCAAGAAATAACCTATGAATCCTTGAAATAATGTGAGTGACAACCAAAGGAGCACTCTGTCAGGCAGGCAGAGGAAGGAAAAGTGGTCTGAGACCACGTAATTGGAGGAAAAGCAATCAAAGGGCATCATAAGCTTTCCCCAAAACCCAAAGAGGAGAAAGTGAGCCAGACTGGCATTTCCTGTTTCTCAAGTTAGCAGCAGAAGCCAGCCAGGCAATCTTGTTCTTCCCTGAGATCAAGGAGAACTCCATCTGACCATACCAGGCAAGCCTGAATCACTGGCAAGTGGGATCAGCCAAAAACTCTACCAACAATAAACCAATAGGAAAAATGTTGTCTTCTGTTGTCAAGTTTGAAATCTCTGTCTTTGGTCAGAGACACTGGGGTGGCTGAGATAATACAATAGGGATCCTGACATAGCAAATGCCTAGCCCAGGAAATACTTCCTACCCTGCACAAACAGATGAGGACACTATCACAACAAGCACCTCCCAGGAAACCTCTTCATCCACACGCCTTGAGATTATTCTCCCCCATGAAGAGACATAAGGTGGCCTGTTCTTGGGCCAGGTCTGTCATCAGATTAAATTAGACCTGTGTCAGCCCAGATCAACCTCAGTGGTATGAAATCAACCAAATAGACCAAAATAATATCTCAGAAAATTTAAGAACAAAACTATCATTTAAACTACATCCCCATCCCCACCCCTGCAAATAGGCTGGGATCTGCCTGATAAACCTACTAAGGGGACTGTCTCTTACGTTAAAAGATTTTAATAGAATCTAGAGCCTCTTAACATAATAGACAAAATGTGTGGGATGCATTTAAAAATCACTCAACATACTAAGAGCCAAGAATATCCCAATGAGAATGAAAAAATATGCTATCTCAGCAAAGAAATAAAAGTTATAAATAATAACATCAGAATGGATAAAATATGTTAGACTCATTCTTGTGAGTTTCTCAAATTTTTTGTTTATTTAAACAAATAATATAACATAATCTGTAGTTGTGTCATTATATATAGATGAAATACTTGAGATAATTATAATAACCAGGAGAGAAAAGGGACCTAATTCAAGTAAGTATTCTATAATTTACATGTGGTAAAATTTCAATAACTGTGATAACTTACGCATGTGTATTGTAATAGTTGAAACACCCTCTAAAAAACTATTCAGTGATATAGTAAAACAACAAAAACAGCAAACTTTAAATACATCGAGATAAAATTCTAAAAACAGTTGAAGTGACACATAGGAAGGTTTAAAAAAAATAAAAAGAGGTACTAGAAGTGGACCAAATAAAAAACAAATAATAAAATGGCACACTTAAGCCCTAACATGTTAATGGGTACTTTAAATGTCATAGCTTAAAATACACTAGTTCAAAGACAGAATAGCAGAGTGGAAAAAAAAATATTCCAAGTATATGCTGTCTACAAGAAAATAAATACAAACACAATGACATAGAAAAAGCTGACAGTAAAAGGGCAGAAAATGATATACCATGCCCACATTAGCTTTGAAGAGAATCAGGAATTGCCAAATAAATATCACATAAATTAGATTTCAGAACAAACTTACTAGAGACAAAAGTCATGTTACATCATGATAAGATGAACAATTCATCACGAAGATATAACACTCCTAAATGTTTATACAACAACAACAAAAAACCACAAAACACGTTTTAAATCACTTTAAGCAAAAACAGATGGAAATGAAAGGAGACATAGACTAATTTGCAATTATAATTGCGGACATCAACACTCCTCTCTCAGCAATTGATAGACCTACTAGACAGAGAATCAGCAAGAATAGAGAAGATTTGAACACCACAATCAACAGAATCTGATTGACATGGAACACTCCATCCAACATTACCAAAATTACTATTTTGTAAGCACCCATAGGAAATGAAGATAAACTATATCCTCAGTCAAAAAAACAAAACACAACAAAACAAAAAAACCTTGGCCGGGTGCCGTGGCTCACGCCTGTAATCCCAGCACTTTGGGAGACAGAGGTGGGCGGATCATGAGGTCAAGAGATTGAAACCATCCTGGTCAACGTGGTGAAACCCTGTCTCTACTGAAAATACAAAAATTAGCTGGGCGTGGTAGCATGAGCCTATAGTCCCAGCTACTCGGGAGGCTGAGGCAGAAGAATCACTTGAACCCGGGAGGCGGAGGTTGCAGTGAGCCGAGATCGCGCCACTACACTCCAGTCTGGCGACAGAGCAAGACTCTGTCTCAAAAACAAACAAAACAAACAAACAAACAAACAAAAAACACCTAAAAACAAACAAACTGAAACCCTTAACAGATTTAAAAGAATTGAAATCAGGCAGACTTTATATTTTCTGATCACAGTTTATTCAAACTTGAAACCAATAACAGAAAAACAGAAAGATAATTTCTCAACATTGGACATTAACAACACGTTTCTCAATAATATAATGGTCAAAGAGAAAATTTATACAAAAATAATATATAAAACTGAAGGAAAATGAAAATAAATCATCAAATATGTGGGAAGCTTCTAAAGTAATACTGACAGGGAAATTTATAGCACTCAGTGCTTACATTAGAAAAGGGAGAACATTTCAAATTAATAATCTGATTTCCTAGCTCAAGAAAATAGAATAAGCCAATCAAAATCCACTTAAAGCAGGTGAGAGAAAGAAGTAAGAAACATCAAAGCAAAAATCAATGACATGGAAAACAGAAAGATATAGAGAAAATCAACTGAAGATAATAAATGTGGCAAAAATCTGTTTAGAATGGTTACCAACAGCTTTTGCAGAAGTATAGCCCTTGAGCATCCTGACCAAAAACTCACACATTGTCCTTAAGCCTGAGAGCCCAGAATTTGTCAGGGCCAGATAAAACAGTGTTGTTCACATTTGGCTTGAGGAATATGGGAAACTGAATCCTTCATAGGCAAAATAATAGAAAAGGCAGAAGGGAGCTTTGGCGAGTAAAGGCAACCAGGGCTCAGAGTGTTTTTCTTCCTCACACTTACCATGAAAGTTAAATAAACAACAAAAGTCTCAACACATTGATCTGCAGAGGTTTACTGCCTACTCCTCAGGCTATCATGAATATAATTTTCTTCACATTATAATTTTATGGGATTATTAAATGGTAAATATGGTGGCAACAGGGAAGGAAATAAGCCAAATTTACTATTTAGCAATAGGATTCTTAAGCTCAGCATGTAGATTTATAATTAATTGCAAAACAGTTAAAATCATTGCCCTCTCCACTTGTTTTAGCATCATATTTTTTTAATGTTTTATTTTAAGGCATTTCTCAATTTAGTACTGTAAGTGAACATCTTGGTTCAGCATTTAGAGTGGAATTATTTTTTTGATGTTTATTAGCAATGTAGAGCAAATAAATTTTATTACATGCATGTTCTCAGTGATTAAATAAAATAGAAAATGCAAACTATGTAATTTTATACACGTAATGCATTTTTTCTCAATTTGTGTTTCACTTCAAAAATATAGTATTAAAAGAGAGTGGACATAATTAACCAGGTATGGGATATTAATATATGCCTTTAATAGGGATAACAGCTTTCCTAGAGTGGGATGATTACTTTTATAACCCAATTAAAATTTAAGAGTTAGTGTCCCTTCATTACTTAGATTGCATTTTCTTTTAGAATCCAGAAGTTTCATATATTTTGCTTTAAGGCTTATGCATGTGAAGTGCACATTTAAAAAATGGAGGCATAGTACTAGTGAATTAATTTCCATGTTATCAGATAAAATTAAACATTGTCTTTTGATTTATTTTAACCCTATAAAAGTGTATTATATCTCTGCTCATTGTTTGCTTTTTAAAAGGGAGAGGGGAAATAGTTACATGACCAAAGCCATGTCTATGTAAGAACAGATTTATCAGCCAAACTGGGTGAACTAAAACTGTGTTTGTCAAAATTTCCTTTATTTACTAAGCAAGATTTTGTAGCTTGGCAGGGAGTCAAGGAACTGTGCCATTTTTTACGAGTCATAAATATCAAAATTACTCAATTTGTCTTTCTGGATGTGGATTAACCTTTAATTATCAACCAGTTCCATTTTATTTCTGAAGAGTTAATTTAAATATTAATGTTTAAAAATACTTATTTTGGCTCATTTAACAATTAAACTGCATTGTTTCACAAAAAATTAATAGGAATTAATGACTCAGGCCAAATATGGATAAAATGTCACTTGGAAGCATGATGTCAAGTAGATGATAGATATTTGTAAAAAATCATTGATCCTAGATTTTAAGAAATATGTAGTTGTATTACTATGTATTACATCTCTAATGATAATAATCATAAAATACAAATTTGAAATATCCACCTACACACATGCTAACATATGCCCTAAGCCTACATAGTTGTGAAAGAAATCAAGATAATATTCAGTTTGAAATGAGTTTTCTCTAAATAAGTGGAAAACACTCAAATATTTTAACACATTTAAACTTTTAAAAGGTTCTCTTTTAAATATCTTTACATACAGTAGCCTGATAAAAATGAGATCTTAATTTTTTAAGATGTAGAGGGATGTATTAGAAAAAATGATTGCAGTTCTTCATTTCTCCCTCTCTTGTTGCCACTTGCAAGGCTGCTTTAAGCTCTTCCCATCAGGAGTTGTATCTATTTCACCATTTCTTTAGTGTAGGTTGTCCTTTGAATTTGGTTTGGTCAATGGAATGCAGAATTTTTCCAGTTGCTCATAACTCTGCCCCTATATGCAAACACACCTCCCCAGACTGCTGGTAGATGAGAGAGCATACAGGGAACTAACAGGCCAAGTTTAAAATACGGTCTCTCGCTGTCCCATAGCTAATATCAGCTACATGTGGATGAATTCTACTGAGATCTGAAGATCTAGCCAGCTGTTCCCCACCTTGATTGCTGATTGGCATGTTCAGGAACTTAAAAAAAAAGTGTTTTGTTTTAAGCAACTAAATTTGGAGTGGACTATTTCACAGAATCAGCTAACTGATAAAATTCTCTGCAAGAAATTTTAAAGTTTACATTTTGACATGTTACTTTCAATATTACCTTAAAATAACATAAACATTCTGAAACATCATGTGAAGCACATCAGACTGAATATTTCAAAAAAATACTACAATATAAATTGTTGATAAGCTTGCAAATTGTTTTAGAAAATGTAAACTTTTTGACTAAAAACACAAACTAGTTTGAATTCATTCTTTAGATATATAAGCTTTCTGCGTTCATTCTTTTTATCTCTACTGCATCATATTTTATTTCTTAATATTTCAGGATTTAAAATAATATCATCAATTATGTTCTTACATTTTTAAAATTTATTTTGGAAACCACGATTTAATGACCAAGTTTTTGTTGTTATTGTTGTGCTTCTCTGTTTCTATTTTGTACACACACAATCCACATGACTCTCTGTCATGACACTATAAGCCTCCTCCCTAATTTGGTTCCTCTAAATATAACTTTTCTTTTTTGATAATCGTTTTATTTATACTACAAGGTTTTCTTATCTCGCATGTGATGATTATCTATTAAAAAGAATTAATTACTGATGTGAGACATCAAAATAATAATAAATTACTTCATTATAAAAAGAGTGATATGTATAAGTAAAATCAGTTCTACATAATAGAGGTATATAATCAACATAACGAGAACCTAGATCCCAATGTGTTTATTAAGTTGTAAGATTCAAATCCCTGCAATTGGGAATTCACATTTTAGAAGTGACTATAAAATGCTCAACATATATATATATATATCCTCATCTAAATCTTCACTGGAAGATACATTAATTAGCTTTGTAATAATAACAATTTGTTTTGCTTTTGGGATGCCCATCGGGTTTTAATTTTTACATCCACAAACACGGCTTTTCAAAATTTTCTTTTTAGAATTACTTATTATTCAATGGAACTTTTTTGTTCACCTACACACAGCTGTCTAGGGACTGCCAAGGGCAATAAGCTGAGAATGTGCATTTTTATTTGTACTGGCATTACTCTCTAAAATATTGCTGTGAATCACAGGATAAACTCTTCTGTGACATACCAAATTAGCTTTACAGAGAAGACTCACTGGTGGCAGTATATGAAATAATAGTTCATTTAATAGACTTTTTAAATACATTCAATGTTCACCTAGAGATGTGTATTACTTACTCACAAACATTAGCATCCCCAATACAAAATGTCTTCTCAGCAAATACAAAAGATTACACCCAAAATACCAAAACATATGCTTTTTATCATCATGGTTGTTACTTTCTGATTTAGGTTCAGCCTTCTCTAGAGGCTATTAAAGGAAGCATACATTTTTGCTGACATTTTATCATGGCAATAAAATGAGATGGGAATCTATACTCAAAAGACCACTAAAATCAGTCAGCATGTTTACTGCAGAAAACAAGTTGCCAAACACTCTCGGATAATTCAGTAAAATATGACCAGATTTATGGATGAGTGTATTTTCGCACAACACTCTGAAGTTGTAGCATATTTTATAATATATGTCTATGATATCCATGAAAGATACCCTCAGTGAATATATTATTCTTCTAATATGCTTACACTAATGTGTGATAAATTATTCCCAGAAGGTCAAGAGAAATTGAATTTATTTTTAAATTTTTACTTATCAAATCACACAAAAACCCACACATATAAAACAATGTACTTGATTACATGCTTCCTGTTTATAAATCACATGTTTTTATTAGTAAGACTCATTATACCTGTCAATGTTAGTGTGGACTCTCATATGACCACTTTTATAAGTTCCTGGAAACAATACTTTTGATCCTATGTAACTAAAACCATCCACAGTAGACAAAAATATCACTTTGAAACACAGATTCATAAAAAAATAGTATATTGTGGACAGAGCTAAAATAGATATGTAGCAGGAGCACTGTACAAGTTTTAGCCAAGTGTGAACTATAAAATAATACTAATTAAAGTGCTGTTACTGCAATTGATTATAATTTTTTACAAGTATTCTGAAGAACAGGAGAAAATAAAGGCAATCTGAAAAGGAAAAATAATCTATGTTATCATTAATCGCCGTATTTATACAGTGCATTCCTTATAGCAAATGTCGAACACAGCGCTGCACAACCTAATAGGACAATTACCTGTGTCTTCAAGACTCCCTTATTGGCAGTCTACGTAGTCAAATTGAATCATGATGTTGTTTATTGAATGCCTACTATAGAAAAACAGTAACCTAGATTAAAGTAGCTCACTTCCTTGTGATGATGGAAATAGACATGATGAGATTAAAAAAAAAATTGGGGCCAGGTGCGGTGGCTTACACCTGTAATCCTAGCACTTTGGGAGGCCGAGGCAGGTGGATCACCTGAGGTCAGGAGTTTGAGACCAGCCTGGCCAACATAGTGTAACGACATGTCTACTTAAAATACAAAAAAAAATTAGCCGGGTATGTGGCGTGCACCTGTAATCTCAGCTACCCTAGAGGCTGAGGCAGGAGAATCACTGGAATGTGGGAGACAGAGGCTGCAGTGAGCCGAGATCACGCCACTGCACTCCAGCCTGGGTGACAGAGCAAGACCCCATCTCAAAAAAAAAAAAAAAAATGTACACAAGCTAAGGTGTTTTTGTTGCTGTTGTTGCTTTTAATTTTTTAGCAAAAAGAAAAAAAAACTCAGCTGTAGTAGCGTGAGTACTGAAACAAATCATTTTGTGAATAGTACAGAACATGCTGATAACCAATGCATCATGTCAAAAATGTAGAATTAGGTTCAGATGAAGAGTGGAGATGAAATGATTTTCAATTGTAATAGGAACATGGATGTATGTCTCAAGGTCCTATGTCTTACCTTGTACTCAAATCCTTACTTGGTTGGATTATACACACCCCCTTAAACTCTGTTGTAATCTAATTTGAATTTATTGATAATTATTTCTTTTTCTAATCACACACATGTGCACGTGCACACACACACACACACACACACACACACACACACACGCACATAAACAGGATCACCAGGGATACTCCTGGAGAAAAACCATGAAGAGGAACAAAGTATGGAAGAGGAAATGTGAATCCTCTACTTTCTTACCTGGAAAGGAGGCAGCCACTTTTTTGGAATGATATAATTAGGCTTTGTGTCCCCACCCAAATCTCATCTTGAATTGATTTCCCGTAATCCCCATATGTCAAGGGAGAGACCAGGTGGAGGTAACTGAATCATGACAGCAGTTTCCCCAGTGCTGTTCTCGTGATAGCAAGTGAGTTCTCAGGAAATCTGGTGGTTTTATAGGGGCTCTTCCCCCTTCACTCAGCACTCCTTCTTCCTACCACCTTGTACAGAATGTGCCTTGCCTCTCCTTCCTCTTCTACCATGATTGTAAGTTTCCTGAGGTCTTTCCCAGCCATACGGAACGATGAGTCAATTAAACTATTTTCCTTTATAAATTACCCAGTCTTGGGCCATTTTTATAACAGTGTGAAACAGACGTATACATGGGACATCCATTCCATCTCTAATTCCTTAACAATAAAATTACATATACTGTACAACTTTCATTCTTTCAGCATTTTAGGGTTATTTACTCTACAGTATGTAAGAAGATAGTTTGAATATTTTTCTATAATGATTGAAAGGAATATATTTCACTTAATCTTGTTTTTAGTTCTTATTTTAAAATGTTTTCCTTAGATTTTGTTTTTGTTTGCTAGTTTTTGAGAAGAATCATAGGTTAATTATTTTCAGTCTTTTTTCTTTCCTAACATACATATTAGGGGTATAAATGTCCTCTGAACATGGTTTGAGATACATCTCATAGGTGTTTAATATTAAATCTTTAATTATTATTCAGCTCAAACCATTCTCTATTTTAAATTTTTTTTATTATATTTTAATGTAAGTTAAACACACATGTGTGTGTGATTTCAACTTAATTGTACTGTGGTCAGGGAACATACTTTAGAAATTTATTTTAAGACCTAAACTCTTTTTGTTAAATTGCAAATGATATACAAACTTATACAAATATATACTTCACAGATTAGAAGTGCATAAAAATTGTAAGTATCCGAAAAGACTGGTTCCATGTTGACTTCCAGAAGTATCTCCAACTGAAAGTTAACTATTGACTTCCATCAGCCTGAGTTTTCCTGTAATTGAACTTTAAAGACTGAGAATCTACAATGGCACTCTTTTTTTATGTCTGACTTCCCATGCTAAAATTTGTATTTATTAGTTTTATCCAAATTGGGGTTCATAGTTTCTTCATTTCATTGCTTTATACTATTTCATTTTATGAATATAGTATATCTATAGGCATTTATTTTATTTTCTGGTACTGAATATTACTGACAATACTGCTTTAATATTCTTAAACATTTGTATGGTCCATTTAAGTATACATTGCTGTTGGGCATATACCCATGAGTGAAATAACTGAACTATAACGTATCCAAATGATGAACATAAATAGACAAACGATTTTCAATTTTGGTCAACTTTAGACTCCAAACTATATTGCAAGTGTATTCCAGTTTCTCTGCATGTTTGCCTAAACATAATATATTCATTTAATTATTTTGTACAAGTTTAGCCAATTTTATGTTATAGTATCACAAAGTGGTTTAAACTTGTATTTTCCTGGTGTCCGATAATGTACACCTTTGTGTAAGTTTGATTACTGGATAGCATCTTTTATTAAGAATCTATTCAAATATATTGCCCATTTTTTGTTGAGTTGTTTAATAATTGTCTTTGTCATATACAGAAATTATTTATATATGACACAATGAAAATATGTTGTTCTATACTAAGGGTTGCCTTTTCATTGATACTATGTTGTATTTTAATTAACATAAATTCATCATTTTAATATGGTCAAATTCACAAATCTTTATTTTATATTTGGTACTTTCTGCTTTTATCTTAAAACTATGTTGTTATATTATATGGGTATATAAATCTTTAAGCTATTCTGTATATTTATAATTTTATATTTTACATTTAAGTCTCAAATGCATTTGGAATTGATTTTTTGTATGATTTGAAATATGGATCCACATATTTTCATGTGGATTTCCAATGAACCCAACTTATTGAATCAACACCGCTTATTGAAAATAAAATACCAATGCAGGTTAACAGCACTTGGTTATAAATCATATAACTATATGAGTCAGTGTTTCTCAAGATACATTATTCTTTTTTATTGATATATTTTTCCACATTTATGTTAATATTACATTAAATATTGATTGCTTTAATGTAACTTGGTACATGATATAAAAGCTCTATTTATGTTTTTTCATATTGTGTTGCCATTTCTTGCATTTTTGCCTTTTCATATAAACCTCAGAAGCAACTTCTCATTTTTTACACTGATATACATACAACCCATGCTTACACATAAACACATATACACTTCTGAGATTTTTCATGGAATTGTTTTTAACTTGTAGATCAATTGACCAAAAACTGATATATTTAAAATGCTAAATATTCCATTTAGGAACAAGATACGTCTTTCAGTTTACTTAGACTTTCCTTTTTTTTTCTTTTGTAGAGAATGGTACTTAGATTGTCCTTAAATTATCTCGGAATATTTTATTTTGTTATATATGTCTTCCATGTTTTTCATTAGCATTATTCCTAATATTTTTGATGGGTCTTTTTTTTTTGGTGCTTTTGTTAGCAGTTTCATTGAGGTTTAAAGTCTATTTTATTGCCTCCGGTACATGGAGGCTTATCATCTTTTACATTGAATTTGTATCTAGAGAACTTGCTAAATTAACTTATTAATCCTCTCATTTTATCTTTTGATGCTTTTGAATTTTTTCACTGTATATATTATGTGCCAATTACAACAATTATTTCTTCTTCATTTCCAAATCTTATTACTTTTTTGTTTGTTTACTGAACTGGCTAGAAACATTAACAGAAGTTGAAGAGAAGTAGTGTTTTGATTCTGAACTTGTTTTGCTTCCAATCTTAGCAGAAAATGCCATTCTGAACATTTTGGATATGTTGGTTTAATGTTTTTTTTAAATCAAGTTAAGAACATTATTGATTCTCCATTGAGATTATCATATTTCTTCTTTATTACATTGATATACTGATATGCATTTATTGCTTTTGAAAGTTAAACCTTTTTAAAATCCTAGCATAAACTCAGTTCATCTTTGATATATTTTTCTGTGTAAGTAAATTTAATTGGCTTTTGTTTGGCTTAGCATATGTTTTTATATATATTATTGAGAGATGACAGCCTATACTATTCTCTTATAGAAAGTCTTTGTCAGAATTTAGACAAGAATATTCTAAGGCAATAGAATAATTCGAGATGTGATTTCATGACAGATTCTCTAGCACTGGAACCCATATATTTCAGGGAATCAGGAATTCTCTAAGAATAAGGGCTGAAGAACAAATGGAAGCAAGTATGTCATCACAACTGAAGGCTATATCCAGGCTGTTGTCACAAGGAAGCTCTGGAGTGCATACTGTACCACAGAGGAAAGAATTCTAGCAATTTCATGGAGAAGAGGGCAGCTGCAAATTTCATTAGCCAGGAATCACTGAAGTTGGTGAATGTCTATGCCAGTTGCTAGAGGAAACTCTGATGAGTTATTGCACCCAACACAGTCCGCACTTAAACCACAAAGATTCAATTGTTTCTCCCATTTGTTATACTCCATCTAGGCTCTGCCTTACCAAGATTCCATTTTATTACAATTTTCAGAAAAATTACAAAGGATGGCTTAATGGGACAAACCTTAATTCCTGTTGCTTCACTTGGTCCTGAATTCATAACTGATCATCACAATCTCCACTTTCCATTCTCCATACTTTAGTTTCCCCCCTTTCAGCTAAGCTTTATGCTGATCAAAAGTGGCTTGTCATATTGTTTGACTCAGGACATCATATCTGAAATCCTACTTGCCATATTCTCATCAGACCTTATTTGTTGTACTTGCTCATTTGCAGATGGGAATGGGCATGGGAATACCAAAAGTTGTTCTGAAGTGTTGCGATATATTTCTCTTTCTATTATATAACAAATGACCTAACTACATGTAGTGATTAGGGCCAGTTATCTTTGCCAATATGCTAACTCCTCAGTTCTTGCTTGTTTGGTGGCATGAATCACCCGAAGTCATCAGGTAGCAGATACATCTTTAAGTTTTTTCATGTATAATTTCTGATCTTGCTATTCATTGTTTTGGACATGGATGTATTTAAATATGATACAGCAATCCCCTTTTCTTCATGGTTGCACTTCAACTATTTCAATTACCTGCAGTCAACTATGGGCTGAGAAGATTAAATGAAAAATTTCAGAAATAAACAATTAATACATTTTAAATTGTGTATCATTTTGAGTAGCTTGATGAAATCTTGTGCCCTGTTGCACCATCTCATTTGGGACATGAACTGTCCTTTTGTCCAGAGTATCCATACTACCTGCCTGTTAGTCGTTTAGTAACTGTTATCATTATCCGATTGATTTTCCTGGTATCACATCACTTAAGTTTAAGTAGCTCTTATGTTACTTAGTAATGACTGCAAAACACGAGTTGTGATGCGGGCAATTTGGATACAACAAAAAGAAGCCATTAAGTTTGTTCGTTAGTTAACAGGTGAAAGCTCTCAAGTTATTAAGGATAAAAATGCTAGTATATATATATATGGTTTGGAACTATACTGCGGATTTTGGATCATATCCGCCATGGATAAGGGAGGAATACTATAATCAGGTTTGTTTTAAATTCCATGTCTAATGACTTCGTTATCTAGATCACCTGTAGAGCTGTTTTTATTGTAGGAGTTTTCCTTGGTTTTAATCTTTTGATTTGTTTTTCATGTTAATACTGAAATTTTTAAAAATTGCATATTGTACTTCCTATATGAAAATTTTACTATGTATTTTTATTTTTATTTTCCTTTTCCTTTAGGAAGAATTAGTTTGTTCCCTGACAGAGTTAGAGTAAGGGCAAATTACTTGTCTCTATAAACAACTCAGATGTTTTGAGCCGGTGTTGTAGGGGTTATCTTTTTCTGGTTTTGCATTTTATTATAGGACATAGTGCTTAATAAGTCTAAACTGAATGCATGATTTTTTTGCTGTCATTTCTCCTCATCTGTCCAGCAGTCTAATTTTACCTCTGCTGCAAAGTAAGATTATTGAAAGCTTTTAGCTTTTTAGTCACTTAGCAATAGCTTTCTGATTGACTTCTTGGATCCTCATCCCCATGCTTTGTAGAATTTACCAATGGCCTAGAGTAGTAAAGCACTCGAAATTCTAAGAACGCTTCCCTGGGTCATTCTTCTCCTCCAGGACTCCTAGCCTTCACATTCTGGGTGTGCTATTACTTCTGAAAACAAATATTTACCTCCTCCCATAATCATATCTCAAACTCAAAGTTTCTGCTTTCCACTAAGCCTTTATGCCTTATCCTGAGATTTAGGGAAAGCAATGTCCAACATAAAAGAGCAGTATAATCTGGCCCCCTGCAATTTGTTTATGTTCTCTCTATCATCTTGTAGCCTCAAGTTCTATTTACTTGGTGCTCTTTGATACTCAGTACCAGATGCTTTTGGCACTTCTTCAGTTTTATGAATGTGTTTTTCTGACTCATGTTACTCAATGGTAACCAGTTGGGCAATACCACTTTATAAGATTTCAATGCAATGAAGTCCTTTGGAACTTAATGGGTCAAAATAGGACTTTTTTGGGTGAGTATTTGAATAAACAAGACTATTTCTATAATTACTATAAGCTGGTTTTCACATAATTAAATCCTGGATTCTTCCCACATATTAGTCTAGTAGAATTAGACTTTATCTCATTAATTATCATTTTAACATTACATATCACGTTAGAGTATATAAATACATAATTGGAAGTTTCATTTAAACAGCAAACTCTAGGCTGCTATAATATTAATTTTTTTAAGAAACAGAAAGTAATCAAAAAGTAAATCTTTTGCTTTACATCGCTATTATGGGTAGAATTATGTGCTCCTCAAAAGTTGTTTAAGTACCCCCAAAGGATTATAAATAATTCTACTAGAATGACACATGCACACATATGTTTATTGCAGCACTATTTACAATAGCAAAGACTTGGAACCAACCCAAATGCCCATCAATAATAGACTGGATAAAGAAAATGTGGCACATATGCACCATGGAATACTATGCAGCCATAAAAAGGAATGACTTCATGTCCTTTCCAAGAACGTGGATGAAGCTGGAAACCATCATTCTCAGCGAACTAGCACAGGAACAGAAAACCAAACACTGCCTATTCTCACTCGTAAGTGGGAGTTGAACAATGAGAACACATGGACACAGGAAGGGGAACATCACACACTGGGGCCTGTCAGGGAGTGGGGGTTAAGGGGAGTGATAGCATTAGGACAAATACCCAATTCATGCGGGGCTTAAAACCTAGATGATTGTTGATGGGTGCAGCCAATCACCGTGGCACATGTATACCTATGTAACAAATCTGCACATTCTGCACATGTATCCTAGAAGTGATAAGAACAGATACTACACTTGATCTCAGCCAAAAGGCCGAGAATTGATAAAGCATATATATATACTTTTGAGTATCTATCTATCTATCTATCTATCTATCTATCTATCTATCTATCCCTCAATGGAGGGGTCAATATTTTCCAGCTATGTATATATAGTTGTTTAAATCCTAACCCTAAGTACCTGTGAATGTGACCTTACTGGGGAATAGGATCTTTGCAATGAGCAACTTAAAATGACGTCATTAGAGTGGGCCCTACTTTAGTACGAATGATGTCCTTTTATAAAAAGAAAATTTAGACACAGAGACAAACACAAATAGAAGAAAAATGATATAAAACACAGACAGAAAACCATCTAGAAGCCAAGGAATGCCTCAAGGCACACAAAACTTGGAGGGAGGCATGGAACAGAATTTCCCTGGCAGCCCACAGAAGGAACCAGTCCTGGCCATGCCTTGATTTTGAAATTCTTGCCTCCAGAACTGTGACTCAATTTGTGTTTAATTCACCCAGTTTATGATATTATGTTATTACAGGCCCCCAAAATTAATATTATAGATAACCACCTGGAAGCTGTAATCTCTATACCTAAACCCAAGACAGACTATTACAAATCTCTGGACCTCTTCCCTTCAGGATTCATGAAAAGTAAATCATTAATTGGTCTATGTATCAGCTTACAAGTACAGGTTTTTTAGTAGTTTATGATAAAATACTGGAGCTTTAAGTTTATGTCTTTAAAACATGGAAACAAATATAGGAAGTACTAAGAGAGTTAAGAACTTTTAAATGTTAAGGGGCTTTGAAGAAGTTTGTAGAAATAGAAATAACATATCATTAGAAGTATATAAATATAATATAAATATATTAATTAGAGCTAGAAGTAAGATTAGTAGACTAGCCTTCTTTATCAACCAAAAAATAAAAGTTCTATTCTTTTCATGAAGACATAACAAAATATTCTTTTTGATTATTTTATTTTTTTTAGTTTCTTAGCATATTAAAATGTATTTATATATTAGCCATCCTCTATAATCTCATGTGTGGATATATTTAAGGAGATTTTTTAACCCAGACTTAATATAATATAATTTATTTTATTCTAGTATTATTTTAGCTTTGTTTTTTATATACAAATATTTGGTCTATGCATTTTATTTTAATGTGAAGAACTGCATAGTTTTCTGAAAATGTTTACAAATGCTATAACTACTATCTCAGAGCACTCTTTACATTTGAGATTTCTCAATGGAGGGGTCAATATTTTCCTAACACAGGTGAGAAAAAAAGAATGAGTATCATCAAATAAATTTCCATGTTCATGTAGATTTTATGGCAGATATTAGACTCAAATGCAGTACTAGATGGCTCCAAACTACACAGTAATCTCAAGTTTGGTACAGTAGAAAGAATTAGTGTTAAAATATCTCCTTAGCTTTCCAAGAAAGTCAGGCTGACCATATGATTTTGCAAGCCATCAGATTATCAGTTATTTTGGCATTAAATTATGTTTCCAGTTATGCATATGTAACTTCCAAGGTCCTTGACATTAGGAGTTAAATTATAACTGCTATAAATAAATAATATGAAACAAATGCTTTTCATTTTCCAATTAAATTTGAATATATAATAAGGATTTCAAGTACCAGTGATTTTAATAACTGATTAAATTTATCTCCCTGTTAGAAGAAACCACTATACCCATTCATTATATCCCAATTTCCTTTGAACATGTCTAGATGGTCAAGATGATTTAGCCAGAGGAAAAAACAATTAATAAATATTTTGGGCAAAATAAAAAAACAAACCCCCCACAGCAATGTGATGATGCCCCAGAGATAAGGATTCAAGAAGAATTTAGGGCAGGCAAGAATGGCAGGTCTGGGAGTCAGATGCAGGGGTTATTTAATGCAAAGCTGAAAGAGTTACAGAGGCCATAGAATTTAAATCTATGTCGGCCATGCACAGTGCTGACCATTGTGAGGGGCACATAATATTTTGTCATTGTAGACGAAAAGGATAAGTCGTAATTTGCTTAGCTGATGTGATGCCACACTGGATCATTACAAGGTCTTTAATTTTCAGCTATTAAAAAGCACTGGATCTTCTGCAATCTTGTTACATTTGCTGGAAGTTGAAACATTGAATAATATTCTAATTTATTTCTTATTAATTGTGTCCCCAGTTTGAATATGTAGTTTATAAGACTCTCAAAATTACAAACAGTGTTGCATATGTGTCTCTGCAAACTACTTGATAGTTTCCAAGGTATATATGTGTGTGTGTGTATGTGTGTGTGTGTATATGTGAGTGTATATATATGTGTATATATGTATATATGTGTGTATATATGTATATATGTGTGTATATATGTGTGTATACACGTATGTATACATATGTATACATATGTGTGTATACACGTATGTATACATATGTATATATACACATATATATGTATACATATGTATATATACACATATATATGTATACATATGCATATATGTGTGTATATGTATATATACACATATATATGTATACATATGCATATATGTGTGTATATGTATATATACGTATATATATGTATACACACACACACACACACACACACACACATATATACACACAGAGACACTTTTTTTGTTTTTTTTTTGAGACAGAGTCTAACTCCATTGCCCAGGCTGGAGTGCAGTGGCACGATCTCGGCTCACTGCAACCTCTACCTCCCGGGTTCAAGTGACTCTCCTGCCTCAGCCTCCTGAGTAGCTGGGACTACAGGCACATGCCACCACGCCCGGCTAATTTTTGTATTTTCATTAGAGATGGGGTTTCACCATGTTGGTCAGGCTGGTCTCGAACTTCTGACCTCGTGATCTGCCTGCCTCAGCCTCCCAAAGTGCTACGATTACAGGCATGAGCCACCATGCCAGGCTGAATAAAGTTACATTTCTGTGAGAAAATTGTTTTACTTTACAACTTTCATCAAAATTATATGAATAATCTTGTTCATAAAATCTATATTACAATTTGATTTTCAAAATGTGTTTGGGCCATGAAGTATTTATTTTTGCTTTTGTGACTTGATGGTTTATCACATCTTTCTAGTCATATCAAGTTACTTTTTCTATATGTTTGTTAGCATTCTTACCATAGAAAGCACATTAATTGGCAGTTTATCACATACATAAAAATATTCTTTTGATTTTTTTAGTCTCTTAGAATATTAAAATATATTTATACATTAAGCATCCTTCTATAATCTCATGTTTGGATGTTACATTTTAGCAGGTTTAGTTAACCCAGACTTTACGTAATGTAATTTATTTTATCCAAATACTATTATAGCTTTGTTACTTATATGCAAATATTTGATCCTTCTGTGCATTTTGTTACAATGTGATGAATTCTATAGTTCTCTGAAAATTTTTACATATGCAATAGCTACTATATTAGAGGACTTATTTATAATGCCTTTAACTCCTAGTAACTGATATATCATTATCTTCATTATCACAAAATATTCAGGAGTTGGTCTTTTGATAAAAACAAATTTCTGGTCATCTTTCTGCCCAATAGATAATACATTTTTTTCCTTAATCATATTTTGTTGTTTCTAAATTTTCACTAGACAATGTACACTACATGGAATAATAACTAAATTAATTAAGAAAACAGTGTATTAGTTTGTTTTCAGGCTGCTGATAAAGACATACCTAAGAGTGGGTAATTTATAAAGAAAAAGAGGTTTCATGGTCTCACAGTTTTACGTGGTTGGGGAGGCCTCACGATCATGGCAGAAGAGAAAAACACATCTTACATGGTGGCATACAAGAGAGAATGAGAGCCAAGCAAAAGGGGAAACCCCTTATAAAACCATCAGGTCTCATGAGACTTAGTCACTACCACAAGAACAGTATGGGGGAAGCCACCCATACGATTCAATTATCTCCCACCTGGTTCCTCCCTCAACACATGGGAATTATGGGAGCTACAATTCAAGATGAGATTTGGGTGGGGACATAGCCAAACCATATCAAGCAGTATTAACAGAATGAGAGATAAAAGAGATACACAAACCATGAAAAAAGCACCCTGCAGCACATAAACTTATACGTGTATGTTTTTGTGTTTATCATCCCTTCTAAATTGTATACTCTTTAAGTGTTGAAATGTTGTCTTTTTCAATATTGTAGTTCGAGCATATAAGATAATGCTTGGTACATAATATGAACCTAATAAACATTTATTGAATAAAATAATTTAAAAATATTTAAATAAATTTATGAACATTACAAATAACAGGCAGTGAAGGAAAGAGAGATTACAGGGAAGAAGCTGTATAATTCTAATAATAACATAAATATCAGTAACTGAATACCTTTTAAGCACGACGACCTATAGTTTGCATTTTACCTACTGAGTTCCTTCAAAGTGCAATGCATGTGCTTTTCATTTTAAATAATATATACATAGAATTCATATTTTTTATGTATTTATCACAACATTAATATTTATTATCATCTTCAATGCACAGTTGCTAAAACTACCACTTGAAAAAAAAAGCTTGTTAAGATTAAATGATTAGTAAATGGTAATCATTTACTAATCATAAAATTAAGTTTATATTTTCAAATCCTCTATAGCTAATTTACCCTGAATATCTCAATATGCAATTTAAATTGTTGGGCAAAACCCAACTTATCCCACTAGTCTACTTCCAATGAGAAAAAAAAAAAAACAATTATTTAGCCATTCATGACACCTAAATCATCAGCAAACTAGTGATGTGTGATAAATAATTATTTGTGAGTGGATTATGAAGTCAAACTGGCTTTGGTTCCATTTCTTTTCTCCCATGCTGTGGGCTAATTCAAGTAGTATATTCTTTTTTCATTTTTGCCACAAACAATTGTTCCAAACTGAATGGATTACAAGAACAAAAGAGTATTATCCTATAATTTTGTTGGTTGGAAATATGATCCCAGTCTCACTGAGCTAAAATTAAGGCATGGGTAGGGCTGCCTTATTATCTAGCAGCTACAGAGAATAATCTGTTTCTTTGTCTTTTTCACTTTCTAGAGACAACTTGTATTCCTTGGTTCATTACTCCATTCCTTTATCTTTAAAGCCATTAATGACAAGGTGATTCCATTTCATTCTGTCATCTTTCTGGTTCTCCGCAGCTAGGAAAGCTATTCATGTAACTCATAGCTTGACATAACTTTCTTTCCTTGCCCAGTAATAAAAGTTAATGCCTGCATGGACATCATTGGCAATATGCAGAAAAGGTGCATGACAAGTCTTTATTCATGGAAGTTAAGCAGTTAAATCCATTGCTTAGATCTGGAGAAATTTTTAAGTTGGCGCTTATACCTGATAATAAAACATTTTAGTTTGGGGAAAATATGGCTTTTTCTTGGTTAGAACCTACCATAAAAGAAGAATAATCATGATCAGATGAACATAAAAAGAAGTTATTGGTTGGTGGTGCTCACTGCTGGAAATAATAAGCAATATCTGTCCAAGGCTATGAAGTAGAGAAATGAGGAGACGTTCGTTCAACAAGGCTGCAACAGCCACTCAAAGAATTCTTTTGTTCGTAGCAGCAGATGGGAACGCACACAGTCCTGAGTGCATAAGCAATGTTTATTTGGGGCGATTAGAATACTTGGTGGCAGTTAGAGAGATACTTTTATATGTACTGGAATTCCCTTTTGGGCAAATGAGGTCAATTAGAATAATTTAAGTTACAGTCAAACATGGAGTATGAAATGTAATCTATTACACTGAGGGGGAATAGGTTAGATGCTTCCAAATGTGCAGGGATTTTTTTTTTCATAATGATCAGACTCAGGTTTAGCATGGATATTCTGTACATTAAATATGCTTGGAAAATCCTGCCATAGTGACCAGAGTTATTGCTGAGTAAATGCATATGGGGAGATTTATTTGACACCTTTAAGTCCTGAAACTCAAATGATATTATCACGGAAGTAGAGGATGAAGAGTAGACAGATTATCTGAGCCATACAAATGACAAAACACAGCATCCCTTAGGTCGTCATGCAAAAGTAATGATATGGTTTGGCTGTGTTGCCATCCAAATCTCATCTCGAATTGTAGCTCCCATAATTTCCACCTGTTGGAAGAGGAACCTGGTGGGAGATAATTGAATCATGGGGATGGTTTCCCCCATACTGTTCTTGTGGTAGTTAATAAGTCTCACAAGATCTGATGGTTTTATAAGGGGTTTCCCCTTTTGCTTGACTCTCATTCTCTCTTGTCTGCTGCCATGCTAGGTCGTGCCTTTCGCCTTCTGCCATGATCATGAGGCCTCCCCATCTACATGGAACTGTGAGCCTATTAAACCTCTTTTTCTTTAAAAATGACCCAGTCTCAGGTATGTCTTTATCAGCAGCATGAAAATGGACTAATAGAGTAAATTGGTACAGTTAGAGTGGAGTGCTGTTGTAAAGATGCTTGAAAATGTGGAAGTGACTTTGGAATTGTGTAACAGGCAGAGGTTCAAACAGTTTGCACAGCTCAGAAGAAAAACAGGAAAATGTGAAAAAGTTTGGAACTTCTTAGTCTCGTTGAATGGCTTTGATCAAAATGCTGATAATGATATGGACAATAAAATCCAGGTTGAGGTGGTCTCAGATGGATATAAGGAACTTGTTGGGAACTGGAGTAAAGATGACTCTTGCTATATTTTAGCAGAGACTGGCAGCATTTTGCCCCTGTCCTAGAGATTTGTGGAACTTTGAACTTGAGGGAGATGATTTAGGGTATCTGGGAGAAGAAATTTCTAAGCAGCAAAACACTCAAGAGGTGACTTCAGAGTTATTAAAAGCATTCAGTTTTAAAGGGGAAATAAAGCATAAATGTTCAGAAATTTGCAGTCTGATAATGTGATATAAAAGAAAAATCCATTTTCAGAGGAGAAATTCAAGCTGGCTGAAGAAATTTACGTAAGTAACAAGGAGCCAAATGTTAATCACCAGGACAATGGTGGAAACGTCTTCAGGGCATGACAGAGAGCTTTGCTGCAGCCCCTCCTATCACAGGCCCAGAGGCCTAGGAGGAAAAAAAAAATGGTTTCCTTGGCCAGGCCCACGGTCCCACTGCTGTGTACAGCCTCAGGATATAGGACCCTGTATCCCATCTGCTTCAGCTCCAGCCATTTCTAAAATGGGCCAAGGTACAGCTCAGGCTGTTGCTTCAGAGGGTGCAAGCCCCAAACCTTGCCAGGTTCCATGTGGTGTTGAGCCTGTGGGTGCACAGAAGTCAAGAATTGAGGATTGGGAACCACCATCTAAATCTCTGAGGATATTGGAAAAAGCTGGATGTCCAGGCAGAAGTTTGCTCTAGGGGTGTTGTCCTCATGGAGAACCTCTGCTAGAGCATTGCAGAAGGGAAATGTGGGTTTCAAGCCCCCACACAGAGTCCCCACTGGGGCATTGCCTAGTGGAGCCATGAGAAGAGGACCCTCATCATCCAGACCCCAGAATGGTAGGTAGATCCCCAGCTTGCACCGTGCACCTGGAAAAGCCATAGACACTCAACACCAGCCTTTGAGAGCAGCCAAGAGGGAGGCTGTACACTACAAAGTCACAGGGCTGGAGCTGCTCTAGATCCTGGGAACCCATCCCTTGTATCAGTGTGACCTGGATATAAGACATGGAGTCAAAGAAGATTATTTTGGAACTTTAAGATTTGACTGCCCTGCTGGATTTTGGACTTTCATGGGACCTGTATCTCCTTCATTTTGGCCAATTTCTCTCATTTGGAATGGCTGTATTTACCCAATGCCTGTACCCCAGTTGTATCTAGGAAGTAACTAACTTGCTTTTGATTTTACAAGCTCATAGGCAAAAGGGACTTGCCTTGTCTCAGATGAGATTTTGGAGTATAGACTTTTGAGTTAATGCTGAAATGAGTTAAGACTTTGGGGGACTGTTGGGAAGGAATGATTGGTTTTGAAATGTAAGACCATGAGATTTGGGAGGGGCCGGGGTGGAATGATATGGTTTGGCTGTGTCCTGACCCATATCCCATCTTAAATTATCTTGAATTGTAGCTCTCACAATTCCCACATGCAATGGGAGGGACCCAGTGGGAGATAGTGGAATCATGGCAGTAATTTCAACCTTACTGTTCTCAGGGTAGTGAATAAATCTCATGAGATCTGATGGTTCTGTAAGGAATTTCCCCTTTTACTTAGCTCTCATTTTCTCTTGTCTGCCACCATGTAAGATGTGCCTTTCACCTTCTGGCATGATTGTGAGCCTCCCCGCCTAGTGGAACTGTGAGTCCAATAAACCTCTTTTTCTTTATAAATTACCCAGTTTCATGTATGTCTTTATCAGCAATGTAAATTTGCAAAAGGAACCTCATAGATTTGATCTTCTCAGTAGAGGTCCATGGGCTTTATAATTAAAGACTTAGAGAAATACTTGCAAAACATATACTTGATAAGATATGGGTATTCAAAATATACAAAGAACTCCTAAAAGGCAAACAGTAAGAAAGCAAACAACCTAAGTAAAATTGGGCAACAGATTTGAACAGACACCTCATGAAAGAAGATATATAGATTGTAAATAAGCATATGAAAAGATGCTCAACATCATGTGTTATTAGGGAATTGCAAATTAAAATGGCAATGAGATTCCACAATACACATACTAGAATAGCAAAAATCCCAATGTCAATGTCAGATGTTGATAAGAATGTGGAAGAATAGGAATTCTCATTCATTGTTAGTGAAAATGCAAAATGCTACAGCCAGTTTAAAGACAGTTTGACAGTTTTTGACAAAACTAAACATACTCTGACTATAGCACCCAATAATCATTTTCCTTCAAATTTAGTAAAACTATCAGAAAACCTATTTTCACAAAATACCTGCACATAAATATTAATAACAGTTTCATACAAAATTGTTAAAGTTTGAAGCTATAGATATTCTTCAGTAAATGAGTTGGATAAACAGTGGCCTATTCACACCATGGAACCTTATTCAGCAATAAAAATAAATGAGCTATCAAGTCATTAAAAGGCATAGCTTACCATGGCTCATGCCTGTAAACTCAGCACTGTGGGAGGCCAAGGCGGGTGGATCACCTGAACTCTGGAGTTTGAGACAAGCCTGGCCAACATGATGAAACCCTGTCTCCACTAAAAATACAAAAATTAGCTGGGCGTGGTGGTGGATGCCTATAATCCCAGCTACTCAGGAGGCTGGGGCCAGAGAATCACTTGAACCCAGGAGGTAGAGGTTGCAGTGAGCCGAGATGGCACCATTGCACTCCAGCCTGGGTGACAAGAGCGAAACTCTGTCTCAAAAAAAAAAAAAAAAAAAGGCATAGGAGAGGCTTAAATATATATTGCTAAGTGAAAGAAGCCAATCCGAAAATGCTACACTGGATGATACCAGCTATATGACATTCACTATAGGACATTCTAGAAAAGGTTAAACTATGAAGATAATAAAAATATCAATGGTTGCCAGGTGTTCAGAGTGAGGAAGGGAGGGATGAATAAGAGGAAAAAAGGAGATTTTTAGGGGAGTAAGACTATTCTTGATGACAATGTAATGGTGGACACATGCCATTATTCATTTGACAGAACTCATAGAAGATGCAACAAAAAGAGTGAAGTGTAATGTAAACTATGGTTTTTAATTGAAATGAAGTAGCAATATTAGCTTATCTGTTGAGTATGTACTGGACTATGAATATGTACTAGACTAATTCAAGATCTTATGTTTATAATAGGAGAAACTGGGGGAAGCTTGAAGATGTGTATGGGAATTCTACTTTCTTCTACTTTCTGTTCAACTTTTCTGTGAAACAAAAGTACTCAAATTAAGTTTATTAATTTAAAAAAGACAAAGCATTACTATAACTATCAGCATAGTTGAAGAGATATGTGTCCTTTTAAAAATTCTTTAATTTTTAATTTTTGTGTATCCACATATATATGTATATGTATATATGTGTATGTGTATATATGGGGTATAGGACACATTCTGATACAGGCATAGGATGCATAATAATCACATCAGGGTAAATGGGGTAACCAGTACCTTGAACATTTATCTTTTTTTGTACTATAAACAATCCTATTATAATCTTTTATTTATTTTAAAATGTACAATAAACTATTGATGACTGCAGTCATGCTGTTATGCTATCAAATATTAGATGTTATTCATTCTATCTAATTATATTTTTGTACTCGTTAACCATCATCATTTCCTACCACCCCCACCACTAGGCTTCCCAGCCTCTGGTAACCATTATTCTACTCTCTATCTCTGTGAGTTCAATTGTTTTACTTTTAGCTTTCACAAATGAGTGAGAACACATGAAGTTTGTCTTTCTGTGCCTGGCTTATTTTACTTAACATATGACTTCCAGTCCATAGGAGATGGATGTCTTTAAAATTCATAGCTTAAACAAAAGTTATCTGTAAAGAGTATCTTTGATTTTGAAAATGTTTACATTTATGACAGTATATGTGATCATAGGTTACAATAAATGAAAAATATTCATAAAATACTGGGCAAGAAAATTTTAGCAGATACAACATGATAGCATACAGAGAGGATCACGTGACTAAAAAATGGAAGTGGCAAAACTTATCAGTGCTGTGTTTGCTTAAAAACATTAAATGACTTTGACAGAATTTTAGCTTTATTGCAATATCGTGTTATTTAATATTTTTTTTTTTTTGGAGACAGAGCCTTGCTCTGTCATCCAGGCTGGAGTGCAGTGCCAAAATCTCAGCTCGCTGCAACCTCCACCTCCCAGGTTCAAGTGATTCTCCTGCCTCAGCCTCCTGAGTAAATCCCTTCTGGGTTTACAGGCATGCGCCACCATGCCCGACTAATTTTTGTATTTTCAGTAGAGACGGGGTTTCACCATGTTGGTCAGGCTGGTCTTGATCTCCTGACCTCGTGATCCGCCCACCTCGGCCTCCCAAAGTGCTGGGATTACAGGTATGAGCCACCATACCTTGCCCTTATTTAATAATCTAAGGTACTGGTATTTTTGTCTCATAACAATAATCTTATTTTATTGTAAAATAAATTACATAATATATGTGACAAATTAATGTTTTTGTATTTATTCCCTTTTCACCAGCAGTTGATGCTTCATATATTTCAGCCATAGTATCTAGAACTCAGTATTGAATATGTGTTCATCCATCCCTTCAACTCCATATTCAGGAGCCATGTTTGAGTGCTGTATCTATCTATAGCATCTATCACAATAACTGATGCAGGGTAGATGTGGAACAGGAAATTTGAAATCTAAAACTATTGCTGAAACTTTATTTATTTATTTTTAAAAAGATGCACCATGAAGTTCAATATGTCATAGAAACATAGAATCTTGTATAGTAAGAACTTTGACTTTTTGAAGTCCTAGGCTGATCATGATTCTCCTCAGTAAGCAACAACGTTGACATCCAGGTAATTACCGAAGTCTAGAACAAGAAGATGAGATGGATGGGAAAGATGTTAGTTAAATGGTCTATCCTAGGTAGGATAAATAAGAATCTCAGTCTATTTCATATTATGCTTGGGTTTTTAATTGAAAAATAAACATAAAGTCTCTTTT
This sequence comes from Homo sapiens, assembly GCF_000001405.40. Classification (NCBI taxonomy): domain Eukaryota; kingdom Metazoa; phylum Chordata; class Mammalia; order Primates; family Hominidae; genus Homo; species Homo sapiens. The sequence continues at coordinate 23,293,491 of NC_000021.9, forward strand.
TAAATTTCCTTGAAATGCAACATTTAATTAAAAATATGCGAACCTTTATAAATGTTATTTAATTCATAGACTATGTTTATGTTAGAAAATGGGATTTGTTAACATGTTACACATTAATTTCATTAACCCCATTCATCATGATATAAATTGTTTCAGTTGTTTCCTAAAGAGAAACTCATATTTGATGTCTATTTTCTTTTATTTTTTTCTTTTCAATGGTATAAAAAAAGTTACATAGTGACTTTACCAATTTTAAATTCAAACCGAATACAAATTCTGGTTACATCAACATTAATGATCAATTATAATTAATTAAATGAGAAAAATCAATGAATGGTGGCCATTAGTAAGCCAGTATCATTTTCAGTGTCTATTTTGAATTTTATTCCAGTTCCAACTGATATGGTTTTAGAAGTAAGTCCTTGATGACTCTATAGATCCTTAACTCTGATGACTTTATTTTTCTTAGTAGGAAGAATATGGCTTATAAAGAACTATGATTTATACTTTAATTGTAAATTCCACTTGCTCTGTTTATGGCGTTTTATTTTGGGTCAGGATAGTTCTCTATTCCATGACCTATTACCATTTAGTTTGTATTGCTGGCAAACAGTTTCCTATTTATAACACAAAACTATTTACTCCCTGGGGAGTGTTGACTCTCAGTTAAATTAACCACCGCTAAAGCAATTACCATTTTAAGGAGCCAAATCCCTTTTGAACAATTCCAATTATATTTGGAATCGAGCACCACAGGTTTTTAAACAATTATGTACAACATTGCCATGTATCCACAGTCTCCAAAAAATTAATTGACTAATAAATTAGGTAATTATTCATTTATAATATTTGATAATGCTGCTTTTTCCTTAGGAAACCATGGCTTCTTAATAAAGACTCTTAAATGCCAGATGGACATCTGGGAGTGCCTTTATCTTATATTAGCCAACTCATTCTGTAATATTTAAGTCTCTTTCCTTAATACTCAAAAGCTTATTTCTTAACCCTATACTCCAGTTTATTTTTGACTGACTCCCTTGGTGACTTGGCCATAGTAAAACTTGAGGTCCTTGGTTTGTTAATTCAGCTATTGTCTCCATGATGTCTTTTTACTTTGCTTTCTATCTCTTCATTACTCCTGCTTAACATTTGAGTCAATGCACTAGTTTTTCTGAAATATAATCCACAGCCATGCAATATATCAATGTGATTATCTCTTTCATATTTCCTTTTTCATGACTGTATTTCTAATTTTCCTGAAGTACATCCCTACTGTTCCATTGAGGGGATAGTGATGGAAGAATTAAAATAGATATCTCAGGACAAAGTAGAATAAAATTTTAATATTTGAATCTAATATTTAATATAAATTTGTAAATCTACAATTAAAAATGTGTTTAAGAGTTAGGCCTATCTGCAGAGAAAAGGTGTTTAATTTTTTTTATTCTCCTCCTTTTGAAACATGTGATTGAATAAACCAGGTTATACAGCTATACTAAAAGTCAGAAGTCAGGAAATCGATAAACTCAATAGTGTCTGCTTGTTTCTACCGAATGATAAAAAGAATTCTGGAAAGAAAGTAAAGGCGTATTTCAAGGTTTATGTTTTCTTCCTTCAAAGGCCTAACCAGCAATGATTTCCAGAAAGGATAAAATTTTGCAGAGACAAGAGTGTAGAAAGACATGGTAGAGAAATAGCCCACCGTGGACCCGAGGGTTCAACCATGCTCTAGGATAACAAGAAATAGACAGAGATTCAAAAAATGTAGTGTCTCTAGCACTTGAGGGACCCTGAGGAGCAGTAAGCCCTGCCCATCTTCAGCCATGGAGATAAAGAAAACTAACACTGTTTGCAAACCTGCTTACCCTAGAGAAAAGGTATCACTCAGAAAGCATATGGAAAGAATGCTGCAGTTGATTGTCCCCTCATCTTCTTCTGCTTGGAGGGAGAGAATAAGGAAAGACAAGAGGCCCATAAATTCATCAAAGGGGTTATTCTAAATGTCCTAATTTTCTGCCCAGAGTAAAATTACAAAGCAATTATGCAAAACTTGCAGTGCCTCTCTTCTGCAGTTTCTTTATTTTCCCTTTTCATTTTCTAAAGTAAAAGTTTGAATACCCTTTGAGCCGTCTTATTTTCTCAGTGTTTCACGGCATTACCGTTGCCTATGTGAATACACGATATTATAGACAATGATTATATTGATCTCAATGGCAATAAAGTTTTAAAAGGTGAATTTTCTAAAATGCAATGGAATTTAGTTTATTAAAAAGAACTTTCATAATCCATTTCTCATATTATATATGTTTGGGACTTGTGGAAAATCACGTGTTATAATTATTCAAAAATATGTAGCAAAATACACATTGGGATTTTGTTGGCTATGTCTATAACATTATCAACCTTTATAATGTTAAATAAGCTCAGCTATTCTTAGAAAACCATACAAAAATGTAGAGCTTAATTTGTTAATACAAGATGAATACCTTTGTAATAACAACTTGGGACAAAAAATAGAAAACTCTACTCTGCCTAGCAGCCCAGAAGGCCTTCATGTGCCTCCTCCAATGTCTGTCCCCTTAGTCTCTCTAAAAGTAACAGCTATTCTGAAATTATGGTAATCACTTCTCTTGTTTCCACATGGTTTTGTCATCCAAATGTGCATCTCTGAACACTATAGCTTAGTTTTCTTTAAAAAACACGTGCCAAGGCACGTGAATCACCTAAGGTCAGAAGTTCTAGACCAGCCTGGCCAACATGGTAAAACACTGTCTGTACTAAAAATACAAAATTTAGTCGGGCAAGTGGTGGGTGCCTGTAGTCCCAGCTACTCAGGAGGCTCAGGCAGGAGAATTGCCTAAACCCTGGAAGCAGAGGTTGCAGTGAGCCAAGATGGCACCACTGAACCCCATCCTGGGTGAGAGAATGAGACTCCATCTCAAAAAAACAAAAGTCTCTTAAAGCTGCAGATCTCCATACTTTCTTTCTCCCTTGAAGGACAGTGGTTGTTTGATTTGTTTAGACTCACACTGTCTTGAATTTGCTGATTGTTCACTCATAGAGCAATTTGACATGTTCCTCTGCCCTCTGTATTACCTTTAATCTGTCAGCTGGTCCCAGAAGTTTAGTAAGGTTACAGGTGATGTTTTCTTTCTCCAGGAGACACACATCAGGAGACACATATGAGTGTGTGTGTGTGTGTGTGTGTGTTTCGCTTAAAAAAATATTAGCAGCTGTTGTCAGATAGATCCCGTTATTTACTTGGGTTGTAGAGTAATATTTGAAGTCAGTGTGCTTTTATTTATTGGAGGAAATAGTCTTATAAAGAAGCAGTTTGATTTTCCAGGGGTACATTCATGTAGAGAAATAGATTTAATGTATGGTTATTTCTTATTATTGTTTCTATTTTAAAAACAAACTGTTTATTCTGATTTCCTCAGAAGGAGACAAGATATTTTTCAATCACCTTAAAATCATGGATTTAAATGTACACTATAGATTTAAATCCATGATCATACTTGTCCTTATTGAAGTGAATATTGTCTGTTTTTGTCCAGGGAGTCTACTATTTGATTGGCACAGAACTACATTGTCGTTGGTAACTTTCTTATTGCTTGCTGTTTTCAGAAGCAAAAGAAACTATTTTTTTTTTCATTTTCTGACCCATACATAAAGGCAAATATTTCTCCAAGAAGCCTCCATTACATAAGTGGAAAATAGTATCGCTAGATTACAATCTGGTCTGGGTGTTAAGGATGCATATTGATTCCAGACTTGGTCATTTAGGTCTATTTGGTACACAAGGCAGAATAAAGGGATTATTGCTTGATAGGTAGGTAGGTAGGTAGGTAGGTAGGTAGATAGATAGATAGATAGAAGATAGATAGATAGATAGATAGATAGATAGATAGATAGATAGATGATAGATGAGACAAGACAAGACAGACTATGAATAAATTAATCATACTGCTGTTTCTAACTCAAAGATTCAGGACACATGCTTTTGACTTAATTCTTCCATGTAGCATCTATAATATTATATCAAGTATCTTCTATCTTTACACATTGCCTCATTTATCGTTCATATTCCATCTGAATTTGTACCATATTGTATGTCTATTATCTTGTTCTTCCACATAAAAAATCCTGGTTTTCAAAAGCACAGAATATGAAGAAAATAAAATATAATTACTGATGTGCTTTTTTCCACATTACATATATAGTTTTAGATTAGTTATATTAATTAATCACAATTAATTCTCACTGCTGGGAAAATAAAATCTTATTTTGAAGGTGTTGATGTCCACTGCTTTTATTTTCCTTTGTTAAGCTCACTAGTTTCCTCTGGAATCTGAGTTCTATTGAGAGGATCTTGAACAATTGTTGAGTTATAGCTTGCTCTATGTCAAATTAATATATTCAACTGAATTTTATAGAATTAATTATCTGAACACTCTAGTTTTCTAAAGATGAAAGAAAATTTGATACTTTAAAATATTTCTTCACAAATAAATTTTGAATTTGTTAGAAAAAAGACATTAAGGCTTTTCACCATGGCTCACAGCTGTAATCCCAGCACTTTGGGAGGCCAAGGCACGTGAATCACCTAAGGTCAGAAGTTCTAGACCAGCCTGGCCAATATGGTGAAACACTGTCTGTACTAAAAATACAAAATTTAGTTGGGCAAGTGGTGGGTGCCTGTAGTCCCAGCTACTTGACGGCTGAGGCAGGAGAATTGCTTGAACCCAGGAAGCAGAGTTTGCAGTGAGCCAAGATGGTGCCACTGAACTCCATCCTGGGTGGGAGAGTGAGACTCCATCTCAAAAAAAAAAAAAAAAAAGACATTAATATATTAATATTAATGTAAAGTTTAACTAAATTATTTTTAAAATTTGTAGAAAAGAATCTAGAATATTCACTAATTAAAGTAAAAATTCATTTAAACAATTTCCCTAAATCCAAATCCTGTTTAAATTCTAGGGAATAATGATTATATAGGTCTGTTCAAATTTCAATTTTCTACATAGGCATATACAGTCTTCTCTATTTTTTAAATCATCTACTCGACAAATATCAATTTAATTAAGGATTTATTATAGACATATTTATAAAGCAAGTATAGAAATTTAGTAAATTAAATCAGTAAATACTTAGCAATTTTATCGGTGAATTCGAAAATGCACCATCAAGCTAGGCGCGGTGGCTCAGGCCTGTAATCCCAACATTTTGGGAGGCCGAGGCAGGTGGATTGACTGAGCTCAGGAATTTGAGCATAGCCTGGGCAACATGGCGAAACCCCATCTCTACTAAAAATACAAAAATTTAGCCAGGCATGGAGCACCCTGTAATCCCATCAACTCAGGAGGCTGAGGCAGGAGAATCGTTTGAACCCAGGAGGTAGAGGTTGCAGTGAGCTGAGATTGTGTCACTGTACTCCAGCCTGGGCAACAAAGAAAGATTCCATCTCAAAAACAAACAAACAAACAAACAAACCAAAAAAAAAAGTACTATCCGAAATAAATAAATATTCACCTACTACCACTGAAAGATGGCACCTTAAACCAAGAAACAAAAGGAGCTACTTGGACTGTAAGTAAAACATTGCACATAAGGCAGGGGTCCCCAACCCCTGGGCTGCAGACTGGTATGGGTTTGTGGCCTGTTAGGTACCTGGCTGCACAGCAGGAGGTGAGCAGCAGGTGAGCCAGCATTATGGCCCAAGCTCCGCCTCCTGTCAGATCAGCAGGATCACTAGATTGTCATAGGAGCACAAACCCCATTGTGAACTGAGCATGCGAGGGATCTAGGTTGCTAGTTCCTTATGGCAATCTAATGCCTGATGATCTGAGGTGGGACATTTTCATGCTGAAGCCATCCCTCCACTCCTTCTGTCCCACGGAAAAAACTGTCTTCCATGAAACCAGTATCTGGTACCAAAAAGGTTGAGGACCACTGACATAAGGGATGTAGAATAGTTCCCAGACCCTCTAAAAGCTTGTTTTTACATATGTACAAAACTTCAGGTCATTCAATTTCTGAATCATTTCTTATTTTCTCCAAGTCAATGATTATGTTCACTCTGTATTTTGTCAGTATGTTGACACTCACCTTCATGCTGCCTTTTAAAATTGTGCTACTAGTGTCCTGAGATTCTGCAGTTCACTCATACTGTCTCATATGCATACCTTCCATTCTTCATTTTACCTTTTTCATTTGTTATCCCTGCCATATAAAGAGTAGTAACATTGTCAATCACATAGGTGATGGTGTTGTACATACAGGAAATGGTTCAATCCTGGTTCTTGATGTGACAGGACAATAAACAAATCCCTGGCACAACTACGGAATGTGATTAATTAAAAGGAAGTACAGAAAAATAGATGTAAAAAAAGAGCTAATAGTTATTTAAAATCTGAAATAAGAATTTAAGACAAAAAATGATGGCCAAAAAAAAAAAAAGAGGAAGCGCAGTGATTAACATCTCAAAACAGTAGATACTGGAAAGCCTAGGGCACCTGGGGTTGCCAAAGAATAAGAAGTATGAAGTCCGTTTAAGCAAGACAGTGCTTTCCTTTAAAAAACAAAGTCTGTGTTTCAGCTATAATTTGAATGAGACAGAAACATGTATTGTTATTGGGTAAGGAGAGATCAATAATTTGATGATGTTTATAACAGTTGACTGAGAAGCCGATGATATAATTTTCCCAGAACCCTTTGTTCCAAGTGATTGAAATTTTGTCATATCCTGTAACTTGAGCTCCTATCTATCACCAAGAGGATTCTCTTTTTGTGTCAGTGTGATTGAGGTATAATCCCTACACAATATAATTGAATGTTTTAGCATATTCAGAGAGACATGAAATCATCACGACAATCAATTTTTAAATATTTGTGAAACAATTTAGGAAATCACTCCGAAAGGAATTTCATGCCCATTATCATCCCCTTATTTCACACCAAATCTTCTTAACACTAGGCCACAACTAATTTATTTTCTTTATCTATAGATTGTCTATACTGCGCATTTTATATAAATATAATCTTACAGTCTGTGGTCTTTTGTGACTATCTTTATTTGCTTAGCATTATGTTTGCAAGGTTCATTCATACCATGTCCATTCCACAACTAATTTACTTTCTTTATCTATAGGTTGTCTATACTGCATATTTCACATAAATATAATCATACACTCTGTGGTCTTTTGTGACTATCTTCATTCACTTAGCGTTCTGTTTGCAAAGTTCATTCATACCTCTTCATTCACAGCATCCATTTGTACCATGTTTTGGTACTTGATTCCTATTTATTACCAAGCAATATTTTATATTTTGACGAACTTAAAGACTGTTTTACAAAATGTGTTAACTATTTTATATGAGAGTTTCAGTTTCTCCACAATTTCACCAACATTTTCCATCTTACTGGGTGTGAAATTATAGCTCATTGTGGTTTTGATTTGCATTTTTCTGATGACTAATGATGTTCAGCATCTTTTTACTTTCTTACTGGCTATTTGTATACCTTCTTTGGAGAAATGGTTATTCAGATTTCCTTACCTATTTTTACACTGGGTTGCTTCTCTTTTTCTTATTGAATATATTATATATTCTACATTAAGTCCCTCATCAGATAAATAATTTTTAAAAATATTTTGTACTATTCTGTGAGTGGTCTTTATCCTTTCTCCTTGGTGTCCATTGAAACACATTTTCAGGAAATTTAGATGAAGTCCAATTTATTTCCTTTTCTTGTTGCTTGCAATTTTGGTGTTCCATCTAAGAAAGTTTTAATCAAAGTTCATAATTTATTTCTGTATTTTCTTATAAAAGCTTGATAACTTAAGTTCTTACATTTAGGCGTTTATCTATTTTAAGGATTTTTAAAATAAAAGATAAAAACGTAGTCCAACCTGATTCATTTAAAGTAGATATCCAGTGGCCCCAGAACAATATGTTAGGCAAACTCTTCTTTCCCCCATTCAACTGTCTTGCCATCACTTTTGACAATAGACTCCAAATGTGAGGGTTAAATAATGCACACTCAATTAAATTCCATTTATAGATAGGTCTATCTTATAGCTGGTTGCAGTGGCTCATGCCTGTAATCCCAGCACTTTAGGAGGCTGAGGCGGGTGGAACACCTGAGGTCAGGGGTTTGAGACCAGCCTAGCCAACATGGGGAAATCCCATCTCTACTAAAAATACAAAAATTAGCTAGGCATGGTGGCATACGACTGTAGTCCCAGCTACTCAGGAGGCTGAGGTATGAGAATCAAATTGCTGGAACCCAGGAGGCAGAGGTTGCAGTGAGCCAAGATCGTGCCAATATACTCCAACCTGGGTAACAGTGAGACTCCATCTCAAAAAAAGATATGTCTGTCTTATGCTAGCACCACATAGTCTTGTTTACAGTAGCTTTGCAGGAAGCTTTCAACATTTTTTTTCTTTTTTTTCAAGATTGTTTTGGTTATTTAGTGTCTCTTCAATTTCCACATATATTTTAGAATCAGCTTGTCAATGTCTACAAAAAAAAAAAAAAAAACGAAGTTGGAATTTTGATAGGGTTTACTTTGAAGCCACAGAGCAATTTGGGGACCATTGCCATTTTAACAATGTTAATTCTTACAATCTATGCTCATAGAACGTTTTTCTATTAATTAGATTTCTACAATATCTTTCAGATTTTTCTGTAGTTCTTTTTTTTTTTTTTTTTTTTTTTGAGACGGAGTCTCGCTCTGTCGCCCAGGCTGGAGTGCAGTGGCGGGATCTCGGCTCACTGCAAGCTCCGCCTCCCGGGTTCACGCCATTCTCCTGCCTCAGCCTCCCAAGTAGCTGGGACTACAGGCCTACAGGCGCCCGCCACTACGCCCGGCTAATTTTTTGTATTTTTAGTAGAGACGGGGTTTCACCGTTTTAGCCGGGATGGTCTCGATCTCCTGTAGTTCTTGTTGTAAAGTTTACACCTAAGTAATTCACCCCTTTTGATACTCTTGCAAATTGAACTGTTTGCTTTATTTTATTTTTGCATTGTTCATTGCTATTGTATAGAAACAAAAAATTGCTTTTTATATATTGATATTTTTGCACGGATTTCTTAGGATTTTCTATGTACATGACCATGTCATCTGCAAATGAAATAGTTTTATTTCTTTATCAATCCGGATGAATTTATTAAAATTATCTTGCCTAATTTCCCAAATAGGGCCTCCATGTTGAACATAAGTGGTGGCAAGGGTGATCTGTTGCTAATCTCAGTGGATGATATTCAGTGTTTTACAATGATCTTCGACAGCTCTGGCTGTTAAATTATCATAGTCTGTATGGCCTAAACAAACAAAATACTTATGATTATGGGGGAGGCTGGGATATCCAAGATCAAGTTGCTGGCAGGTCTAGCAACCTGCCACTGGGAAGCCCTGCTTCCCAGTTTTCAGATGGCCACCTTCTTATAGTATCTTCACCAAAGATAGGGCAGAGAGAGCAAGCAAGCTCTCTACCTTCTCATATAAGGGCACTAATCCCACCATGAAGGCGCCACTGTCATGACCTGATTATGTCACAAAGACCCCGGGGCAAATATTACCACTGTGAGGAGTACAGTTTTAGCATGTGAATTTTGGAAGAACACAAACATTTAGTACAGAGTGACTATTAAGTATGTTATTAACTATGGAGTTTTTGTAGGCATTTTTTAACACATTGAGAAAGTTTCCTCTATTCCTACTTTTGTTGAGAAGTTTTTATGATGACAAGGCATTACATTTTATCCAATGACTTTTCTGTGTGTATTGAGATGACTGATTTGTTCTGCCAATTTAAATCCATTGTTGATTCTCTCTAGGATTTTTTTTATTTCAGTTATTAAATTTTTCAACAGGAGAATTACTGTCTTGTTCTTTTTTTTGTAATTTCTGTCCCCTTACTGGTATTCCATATTTAATAAGGCATCATAATAGTACTCTTCTTTAGTTTCTTAAAGATGGTTTTCTTTAGTTTTTAACATATTTATGTCTATTTAGAAGTCTTTGTTAAGTCTGACATCTGAGCTCTCTCAAAGTTTCTGCTGATTTTTTTTTTCCTATGTTTGGTTCACACTGTTTTGTTTCTATGTATGTCACAATTTCTTTTCAAAACTGGACATTTTATATAGCATTATAGCAGCTCCATATACTAAAGTCCCCTTTCCTCCAAATGCTTGTTTTTTCATATATTTGTTTAAGTGACTTGCCTTTATTAATGGTAAACTCTATTTCCTCTACTTTGTGGGGTTCTGGTTCACCCCTCAGAAAACTCACCCCTGAGCCTATGAACAGTGATTCTGAGATGACAGTGTTTATGGAAGGGCTCTCTTTGAGCATCTCTTCCCTCTATAATGCCGTCTGCTTCTGATGGTACCACAGCTGGCAATTTGGCTTCATTCATTGCTGGATGGTTGCTGTATTTTTGGAAAATGCTCTTTTTCCTTGGTATGTTCTGTAAACTAGCTGGTCTGCAGCTTATTTTACTATTTTCCCAGAGCTACCAGCCTCCTCTTAGTTGCTCACCCCCAAAATCAATATGATGTAATATAAAGGCTCACATTGGGGTATAAAGAAAGCCAGTTCTTTCGGGGAGAGCTTTTGAGCCTTCCCTTATGGTCTGTCTCTCACATGACACCAAATATCCAAGCCAGTTCTTCATAGCTGTCAGTGGAGACAGTTGGCTGCTTTTCTGAGTGGCATCTTACTTTATAAGCAGGATACAGTCCAGTTATGGTGACCCCTGGTCTTTTCATCTTGATCCTCCTAGCATGAAACATGACTTTATCAATGAGCTAGAGCAAGGGCAATTGAAGTTCTATTATTTCCTGCCCATAGAAACTTTTTCCTTTGACAGGGACTGCATAGTGAAATGGAAACCCTGGCCTCTTGATCACACTTTCCTGGAGTTTAGTCCCCTCTGCAATATGTACCTGGGAGTCATAAGAAATGCCAGTTACAAAAACTTCCTGTACAGATATCCTAGCACTCAACTGGAAACCGGGGAGAGTCACAATTCTGTCTTTCCAGCCATATGTAACTGAAATGGAGATCTTTTCACCCTGAGCCAGGGGTGATGGGAAAGGGAGCTGGTCATGGCTCAATGTTTAGCCTTTTCTTGGTCTTCAAGATTTCATAGACATTCTTAAATACATGTTTCTTTCAATGAAGTTTGCCCTTAGGACAATTCACAGCTACATTAGGTACTTTTTAAATAATACTTTTGACCATCCGTGGTTATTTCATTGAAGAAAATCTATAGAGCACCTCAGCCATCATTCCAGAAGTGACTATCCTCCTCAGTAATGGTTCTTATTCTAATTTTAAATATCATTGATGTAGAACATTCTATTTCACTATTCCTTCATTTTATTATTATGGGAAATTATATACAGTTCTCCAGATTTTTAAAGCCTTGCTAACATGTTTTAAGTCACACAAATATTCTTCTGTGGGAAAATGACAGTAATTTAGTGTGCAACAATTATATAGAACTATTTTTCAAACTTATAAACGAAGTGAAATTCTAAATAAAATCATTTATCAAACACAAAAATTTGAGCCAGAATAAGGAATGTAAATTACAATTTAAACACAGATTATAAACTATCTTACTTTTAAAATGTTAAAATTCCTAACTTGTTTGAAAAATTTGTGCCTGCCTAATATTTGAGAATAATGTTAATAATGTGATTGACAAGAACTAAATTCCTTGTAATTACTGAAAATGTGAGAATACACCATGGAATTTAATCAATCTCTCCTGCAAAAATTTAACAAATAAAATTTCAGTATTAAGTAATGAAAACAATTGCCTTCTTGGTATGTGGTTCACTAAGAAGTTTTGACCATAACTATAAACAACAATATCACAGGCATAAAAGTTGGAGTCACTTCAAAGAGATTTTCACAAAAAAGTAACTAGAAGCCTGCTAATGTTTTCTATCAAGCAGGTTTCTTGAGTTGCTAAAATAAAAGTTAATGTTATCATTAAATAAATATTTATACCATAATATGTGTTATAAAAACTTTTGAATGAAGTTTCTAAAGCAAAATGGTGCCTAAATAAATCAGTGATTGATGTTAATGAACAAAAGTAAAAATCGATAACATTGTAATGTATAGGAATAAATTAAATTACAGAAGTAACCTATTTCAGTTGCTACATGAATTATGTAATACAATGTTATAATAAATAATCTGTGCTACATGCTGTAACATGAATGCCAATATCATATGTTGATACTCCTCCTCTTCTCAAAGGGCAATTTTTCTGAGACAGAATAGTCAGGATCTCATCACTCTCAAGTTAAATAAAAAATGAAAGGGAAGTCTTTAGTTCTATTTCATCCAAATTTGCTTTGCTCATTTTTATTTTGGGAGATTCATCTATATTTTCGAATGTAGAAAAAGTTTGTTTATTGTCTTAGTAAAGAAATTATACCCCTGTTTTTAACTACATCATAGTATATATTTACTAATTTCTACTCTTACTGTTATTTCTAGCTTTGTGTTATATATATTTAATTATATCCACACAAACATATATATTTAACTACTTCTATTTACATAAATATTTAATTTGCATTTTCTTTACGACTAACACAATTGAACACATTGTCATATGCTTATGAAAAACTTAGGTAGTCTTGTAAATTGACTCTTAGAGAAATTTCTCATTGTTAAGTTTTCTGTCTTTCTATGTGTTCTGGAAACAACTCCCTTTTTAGATATATGTATTGAAATTATCTTCTATCATTCTACTGGCTGTATTTTACTCTATTTATGATGTCTTTTTATGAACATATTCTTAATTTAAATGCAGTCTTATTTATCCATTTTCCCTCATAGTTAGCACTTTTTCAGTCTAATTTTAAAATATTTGCTTATGTCAACAGCATAAATATATTTGCCTGTATGTAATTCTAAACACGTTATTTGTTTTCTTTTCATATTTAGGTCAAAATCTATCTGAAATTGATTTTATGCATGCAGTAAGCTAGAGGTTAACATGATTTAGTTTTCTATGTAAATATTCTGTTGATCCAACAGAATTTATTGAAATGTGTTTTTTTTTTTCACCCATAGCATGTCAGTGTCAAACATGTTATAAACCTGGAAACAATTAATGTGTAAGCTATTTCTAGAGTCTCCCATTCGTTTATTCATCTATTATTGTACCAATAACACATTGTATTAGTTGATATAGCTTTATTATATGTCTCAACATCAGGTAGTTTAAATCTTGCAAGTTGTTCTTTACACAGATTGCTTTGGCTATTTGCTCTTTGAAACTTCATATAAATTATATATCCACTTGTCAGTTTTGATTAAACTTTCTAGAATATGATTGGGATTGCAATGGATACATATATAACTCAGAGGTGATAAAATATATAGTTAAGTTCTAAAGGTATTCTAAATAAGAGAGGGATTATGACAACTCATAACAGTTGCTTCTTTTATAAGTTTGCCTTTATATCATTGCATAGGGTTTTGCATAACTAACAAGAACAGAAAGAACATCATCAAATAAATAAGACCAACAAAGGATGAGAATAATGAATTCATGTCACTAGGAAAAATGGCCTGAGTATCTTAAATGGATGTTAAGAAAACTTTATTGAGTGGCTTTACTGATATATCAATAAAAGAGAGAATACTGAAGCAGGGCTGGTTTGAGTCGGGGGGGGGATCAAATTTTTTTAAATACCAGCAGTAAAATGAATAATACAACAAATATGCTTAGTCAGGAGAAATGTGATATGTAATTACATATCTAAATTTTCATCTAAATTTTGTCACACATTTTGCAGAAAAGATTTTGAATAAAAAATTTTATATTTGTATTTACTCTTCATTTGCATTGGTGTTAGATAATTTGTAATTTCCACTAAGAAGCCTGTGTGTGTGCCTAGTACACTAGACACATAAACTATCATAGATCTCTGCATTGCAATTATCTGTTAAGTAGTCTGTATATTTTATTATATTCTAACTTTTCTTTGGGAAAAAAAGTTATACTCATTGTTTCATCCTTAGTGCTTGAAATATTGCTAGGCATATGATAATAGCAATAGCAAATAAGATCTAACATTCATGGAGTGCTTACATTTTCAAATTACAATTTTGTTAATATGATGCCTTTAAAGACCACTAATGTGATCTTCAAGTAGAATGCCATTGACATGCTCTAAAGTTACACCATTTTAAAAAGTGAGGAAATGGAAATATCAAATATTGTTTCTTTTAATAAAAATTGGTAATACCATTAGTAACTTTTATAATCTATTACTGCTTTTCTTTTTTGCAAACTCATTCCATTTTTATATGGGATATATGTGATATAAGTAAGAAAGTTCTGATGGGAATATTAGTTAATTTGAGCATGTTCAGTCTGAATATTCTGTAAGTTTCATCAGTTTTTTCTTTATCAATGATATAAACAAAAATTCTCATTTTTAGTCATTTTTAATACACATACAAAATCTCCATTTCAGATTTGTTCCAATAATTTAGCACATTCTACCGCAATATGGGGCAAGTTTGGCAGAGAGTAGTTTAAGGGTGTAAAAGAAGGAGGTGAAAGGAATGAAAATGTTTTGCATTAGAGGAGAGGGCATAGGGTAAAGAGCATCACACAAATAGAGGACCTGCAAGAACAAAGAAGCATGAGGGCATCAGTGATAGAAAGAGCAGAGAGAAGAGGAAAGTAAAGTGAAAATAAGAGAGAAATAATTCACTTACAAAATTGCTTAGGACTGAATCTTAGATTTCTGCCATACCTGAGATAAAAGAGGGGAGAGGCAACTCTTTTATCTCCATAAATAATCTCTACAACACCAAATATCTAATCCTGGGAGAGGAATTCATGCCTTTATTAATTTACAGTAATATTTCATACATTTAACTTTGAAAGAAGCTATTTTGCAGTTCAATGTGATATTTAAGTAGAGGTAAACTTTTTATTACAGTGAATGATAACTGAACTTCAGAAAAAAATAATTTGTAATATCATTGCAACTTTTACATTTTGTGAAACATTTTAATAACCAAGCATTTTATGGTAAAAGTAATCTCATGAGCTATGAATGAAAACATTCAAGTTGTAAAGTTACTTGGATTATGGAAATCTTATGAGAATATGTAGCTTGCATATGGCAGACCATGACTCAGAACTTGCATTTCCAACTGTGGAACTTACTTTCTACTTCATAAAATTAAAATCTGGTATTTTTTTTCTCCTATAAAAATATAAAAAGTTATTTTATCTTATTTTTAAAGAGTTGGCATGATAAATTTAAAAGCTTGAATAAAAACAAATCAATAATTTTTTTCAGTTCCATAAAATGCTGAGACAGGATTTTTTTTTTAGTTATGTTGAGATAAAAATCAAATAATAAAGAATTAAAAAAAGGTTGCAATAAAGAAAAAAAGAATGGAGAAGACACAAGAAATGCTGACTATACATCTTGGATAGATGCCATTAGCTCTTCTATTCTCTGTTGCTCTTAAATGCTGACTGTGTAAACTGAGGAATTTGATATAGGAGAAATTATTTTAAACAGTCTTCCATTTTAACACGTGGCAAACCTATAGTATGTTTTCATTTTGAATATCTAATATAATTCTAATTATAATCATTAACCCTTATGAAATTAAAATAAATTATATTACCATTAAAATACATTCTTTCAAAAATAACTTCTTCATACTACGTATTTTAGTAGTGCTTACTAGTTCTTTAATAGGACCTCATGGTTTAAATTGTAAAAGGTCTCAAAATTTTAATACAGTCCCAAATTTTAAATGCATTTTGAAAACAAAAGGAAAAAACATAGCTCGAATATTGGAAAGTTATGGGCTGTAAAGTTATTTAAAATATTCAGAAAAACAAAGGTAAATTGTATATATTTATATTTACAAAAAATTTATGTTTTCTATGAATAACAAACACATATTGGTCATCAAACATAGGAGAAACCTGTACAAGGAAATCAAATTGTATCTGACAGATAAAATCAAGTTTTGGAAACCATCCATGGATCATGTGAAATTCATTAATATGTCTCCATTTCAAATGATACTTCATCTATGATACAGGCTTTATTGTCTGAAATAGTCTCATGGAGTCAACGTTATTACTAGTCTCTCAATGATCATATGAAAATTCTTTAATAATTCATTACTTTCTATTTTTAAATCAGTTTATTTGGGATATCTGTAATAAGAATTTCTTCAGAAGTTGAATAAAATAAGTCTCTTTAACTCTTTACATTTGAAAAGTTCTGCAGACAGGCAATATGTAATTAGTAATAAGCATATGTTCGAGGACAGAGTTTCACCCAGAAGAAAAAAGTAGCAGCAGACAACAACAACAAAAAATTCATATGCAAATGTATTTGCGGAGAGACACTTCACATATGAAAAAACCTTTGGGCACAGTTAAACTCCAAATATGATAATGATGATAGCAAAGATGTTCTATTTTCCTTACCATCTTTTCATTTGAATAAAATGTTCAAATTTCAGACTCATACATTTCTTCAGGCATGAGATAACTATTCTGTAAGAGGCGATGACCCCTTTATATTCTTCAGATAGTCATGTTTCTCATCAAGTAATGCTAAAAGAAGATTGCTTCTCTACTCTCTCAATTAAAATCAATAAACGTGCTTCCTGGAGGATCTTCCTTTCTAATTCTCTACCCTGCTAAAAACAGGCTATGAGAGTATATCTTTCATACATAGCATATCAAAAAAAAACTCAGAGATTTTTTTCATCTTTTGCTGCTTACTGCTTTACCATCTTAAAAGTGTTAAAAATAACAAAAGAGAAAACTCAGAGCTTAGTCTTGGAAATAGAGGAATATTTGTGTTATTTCATATAGTTGTAATTTAGTGAGATGCCATTTTTCTCTTATTTTTTTCCATTCATTCAAGACATATTTATGGAGAACCCTTTCACGAGGCAGGAATATATAATCACTGGGTAGTCAAAGCAACTTCAATTCTTTGAAGGTCTTGCTGCCTAGATGGTAAAATAATGAAAATAGTGTAGAATTTTTGATGCAATGGCAGCAGTAAGCCATTGTAGAGACTTGAGTTCTGATTTCCATATTATCCTTTAAATATAAATAAAACTTAAGGTACAACAAATGTCATTTTATATTAGATTTATTGATCAGAATTTGAGTGCCTTTTAAAAACTACGAGTTCTCCTCCATTTTCAACATGGAAACATCCATTAAGTTGTTGAGGTCTTTTTTAATACTTCTTTCCACTCATATTTTTGTTACCATGACCTCTCAACTGGATTATTTAAATTACTTCATTTTTTCCTCTAATTCACTCCTTTTGTTTCTGCCTCCGATTATTTCAATCTCACAGCTAGATTTAACATTTTAGAGCAGTGCTTTCCGTTAAAATCTCTGTGATGATAAAAATCTTCTACATCTGCACTATACAATATGGTAACCACATATTGTTATGGAGCCCTGGACATGTAGCTAATGCAACTGAGGGCATAATTTCACTTATATTCGATTTTAATAAATGTAAAAGTAAATAGCTAATTTTGCTAGTAGCTAATGTATTGAATGGCACTACTGCAGAACAAAAATCTAATTATTTCTATTCCTGCTCATAAGTCTTCTACTCCTCTCAGTGTGATGTCAAACTCTTCAACATGAATGAAAATCAATATCAATATTGATCTTTGCTTATTTGCTAATCTCATATATACTCCTTCTCCCTTCATTCCATGAAATCTATTGGGTAGTTAGACTTAATTAGTTTAGTATATTTGACCATACACTTTTCTATCACTTAATGATATACATGTCATTCTCTCTACGTATATGGTTCCACTTTTATCACAATAGAACGGTAGGGCCAGAAATTGGATACTGTAGAGTGGAAAAATTTCAATGATTTATGAAGATGAGAAGAAACTCACTGTATTAGTTTTCTGTGGATTACAAGCAAGTCACACATTTTGAATGTACTCAAGGAAAACTATGCTAAAGAGACTGCCAGTGAACCACTTTAGCTCATTCTAGTTCACATTCTGCTCTCCGGTCCCAATGTTTCACAATCAAATGCAAAATATATTCACCTCATCCCCAAATTCCCAAAAGTCTTATTTTATTTCAGCATCAGTACAAGGTTAAAAATTCAATCGTCTACATCTGGTCCAGTTATATATAGATGATGCTCCTGGTTGTAATTTATTAAGTACAGCTCACGGGGTACAATTCCTCTCTATTGTGAACCTGTGAAGTAAAACAGCCAAATTGGCTACCAAAACACATCCAGCATACAATTGTGGAACAAGAATAGGATGCCAACTACAGACATTGCAGGTCAAAAGGTAAGAAATACAAGGTAAAGGAAGGGTCACTGGTCCATGACAGGTTTGAAATACAGCTGTGCTAACTCTACCTGTATTTCCTTGATTAGATTTCAGTTCTTAGGAAAAATATTGTTCATGGCTTTCAGCTATGTTCTTTACATTTTTAGTTCCAGTCATCAAATAGTCCTTCCTTTTTTATAAAATTTAGCACATGTTTATATCTTAGTTTTATCAGTCACATTCCTTCCAATCTGTAGAGTTTTTGGTGTCTGGAAATGTCCTTTAATTATGTATACTCTCTTTCCTTTTGGTCCAAGCTAGTGGTGTTTGTACTGAACTGAATTTCTAAGGAAGTCTATGAGTCCTCCATAGACTTCCCTGGAATTTACTCCATTAGACAAAATGTTATGGCCGCAGATCATTCTGAGATAATTTTTCTGTACCTTGGCCTATTGCTGGGATAGCTGAGGGACACCACCCTTAAATTACCTACAGACTCTCTAATTTGATTAAGACGATCTGTAAGTCACACCCTTAATGTTTTGAAAGTCCCTTTGTGCAATTGACTACCCTGATCTTTCGATCTTTCTGAGGTTTTAGGAAAACAGTGTACAGGCATACGATCTTGCCCTCATTCTTTTCTCTAAAGTATGCTTTCCTGATAATGAGTGAATCTCTGAATTTTAATGTATTTTGCTATTTGGAGTAGCTAATAATTTCAAAATCATCCAATCCCGATCCCTTTTTTTAAAGCAAGTCTTTCTTCTATTTCTTACTTCTTGCACTTTGAGCAGAAAGAAGTAATCAAGCCCCAACTTCAATATTTTGTTTGAAAATCTCCTTAGCTGTATGACTAAATTAATTACTTACAAGTTCTACTTTCCTCATAAGTGCAAGTGAAAAATTTTGTAAATATTCTGCCACTACATGGCACAAATATTTCTTCCCCCAGTTTCAATAACATGTTGATTTCCTTCCAAGCTCTCAGCAGCAGCACTTTAGCATTCAAATCTCTGCTAACAGTCTGTTCATGGTGATTTAAACTTTCTGTCTTGCTCTTCCAGATTGTTCTAGTCTTGACCCCCTGCCTGGTCCCAAAGCCACTCTCACATTTTAGACGTCTCTTCCAGCAGCACCCTACTCTCAGATACCAACATCTGCATTACTTTTTTATTGGTTAGGAGCAAGTTCCGGGTTTTACCCACCGGAATTATACAAGGGAATTATACAAAGGTTTGATTCATCAGGGGTTACTTTAGGAAGTGTCTACCATAGCTATGTTCATGTTTATATCAATCCCAATGAAAGACATGTTAGTGGGAATATATTTGAGAAATAGATAGTATCAAAAAATTATACTGCACATTACCATTCTCACACATGTGTGAAGGACATAAACAATGAGAAGAAATTATGCTAATCTGTTCACTGGAGCACTTGATGCACAAAGTAAGGATCATATAAACTCTGACGTGCTTTGCAATGTTTGATGGTAAACAGCCAATTGCTTTTTAATTTATAAAAGGATTTTATACTAATATAAAAGTAATTTATCTTTATGGAGCTTATCAACCTTAGCAAATACTGATTTTTTTTTCTGTACAATGAAGTAAAAATAAAGGGAAGAAAATTACTTCTATGTAAATGTAGAATATGTTGTAAAATATTCTTTGAGGATAAGATATTTTGAGTTAAATTCAGTTATTTAAATATTCACAGAACATCTATTATGGGCCAATTACTGTGCTAAAGAAAACGTGTTGTTTGAGTTATAGCATTATCTTCTAGAATCTGATAGTCAAATCAAGGAAATGTGAAAAACTATAATATTACGAGTAAGAAAAATGTTACAAATTAGGCAAGCAAAAAATGTAGTGGGCATGGGACCAGAATTAGAAAGCAAAACACATTCTTTCTCTTCTGTAAAAAAAATTAAAAAAAATGCTTTTTGTGGAAATAGAAACTGCCTGATATAATTAAGACCCACAGGAACTGCATGAGTACTTGAGCGAAGCAACTTCTCAGAGGTAATAAAGCTCCATTAAATCACTTACCCGAGACTTCTGAGAGGGCACTTAACAGGGAATGAGTCTATAACATGTATGTATGTATGTATGTATGTATGTATGTATCTATCTATCTATCTATCTATCTATCTATCTATCTATCTATCATCTATCTGTCTGTCTAGCTATCCATCCATTCATCAGCTGTCATATTTCTAACGATCTATCATGTATCCATCTGTCATCTATCTATCGATCGATCTGTTATCTATCTATGATATGGATTGTATAATTGCTAGGTAATTCATCCAAAAAAAATCTTCTAGAATAGACTATCTCTTCTTAAAATAAAATCAATATATGGAGAAACCATATTCTAGGTCTTATCAGCTGTACTTTTATTTGTTTGCTTATAATCCAATAGCATTTTGTTGAGCAGAAAGGCCATACAGAATCCACTCCAACTTATATTGTGGTGGAGAGGATCAGGAAGAAAGAAAATTGGAAAGGGGCCAAAATGTCAGAGAAAGGAAAATGGATGCTGAAAATAGAAGCTTGATTTCATTCAAGTCCCAAAACAAATTTTACATTGTAAACGTAAAAGCATACAATTTCTTGACATTAGTAAAATACCAGACTATTCAATATGTTTTTCATGTATTGTTTTTTAAATATCACATTAACACTGTTTAATACATACTACTTTTATTATCCTCATTTTATAAAGAAAGAAATAGAGGCTTACAGAGTTTAAATAATTTGTTAAAGGTTGTACATCAGGGAAAAGACGAAGTAGACCTTCAATTCACCCGATTTGGCTACTTAAAGCTCATTACAGAGTATATCTTTTAGATGCAGACCAAGATTAATTGGATTCTTTGTTATACTATCTCTGGAAGAGGGTCTAGAATTTTAATCGGCATCAAGATATGATTGATTCTCTGTAGTAGATAACTTTGGCTTCAAATAAAAAGCCAGAAAACAGTAGAGCTTACCAGAACCATTATCATTAAAAATGAACTTCAGCATTTACCCAAGTGCCACCCTATACTTAGAATTTACCCAAGGCCCCCTTATACTTTAGTTCAGGGGAAAAAAGTTTATTGTATTGACTACCTAAAAAAGGATATAAAAGTATAAAAATACATTTGTTTAAAACACATATTTGAAATGTATTATACTGATGTTCTAAGGGATTGTAAACTATTTTTGACACCAAAAATTTCAAATAAAATGCATACATATATTTTTTAGAAATAAATACAATATATATAAATCCTAAGTCTACAAGTATTATAAATACTTAAATTGAAACAAGCAATGAAATTTCTGTAAAAAACAAAACCTGCTTTTAATTAGAACATTTTATTAGTGCAAAATTAATCAGAACTAAGAAAATTTTTGAGATTAAAACATATTTAATTCTATTTGACAAACATACCATTCAGGAATAATTATTTTTCTGCAGATATTCATTTATTTGTTCATTTGGGAATGATTTAGGACATACTTATATAAAAAGGTCTACCTGATCTAATCCACGTTAGTCAGTTATGTAATTAGTCTTCCATTGCAAAATAGATTTTGATGTACATACCAGGGTTTTGTCTATAATTTGTATTACATTCTTTAGCTCCAATTGAAAATAGTAATGCATATCATAAAAAGATGTATAGGCTATAAATGCATTTTTATTGTTCTCACTCCAAAAATTTTCTACTACAAATCATCAAAATATTATTGTGTTCTACTTCCTTGTATATATATATTATTTTTTGGTAAACATTGACAATTCAAAGGAAAACTCCCTAACATAGTACTGTGTTATATATTTTAGAAATGATCATTTCAATTTATGGGTTAAAAATGGTGCTCTGTATGAGTAGACAGACAATTTAGCCA
Source organism: Homo sapiens (assembly GCF_000001405.40). Taxonomy (NCBI): domain Eukaryota; kingdom Metazoa; phylum Chordata; class Mammalia; order Primates; family Hominidae; genus Homo; species Homo sapiens. The sequence goes on from NC_000021.9 coordinate 23,315,770, forward strand.
GATATATTATATGTCTGTATTTGGCAACTACATGTAAATTGAAGGTTTACAATTATATGTTTTATTATTTGGTCCATAATAATATTCATATTTACACCAAGTTTTGGGTATTTTCTTCCCAGGACTTATCAATATTAATAATTCAATGCATATTTAGTTAATTGAAAGTAAATATAAACCACAGTGTTATTTTTTACTATTGTTTACAGAAATAACAAAATTTGAAAATATATAAAATGTGAAAGTTTTCTATATGAAATATATTTTGTCATAAATTACTAAATAAATACTAATACAACATTTAAGTTGAATTATTACTGGGCTAGTCCAATGTATAGCTTACTTGTACTGACAATATGCAACACATGATGGGCAGTTCCAGCTTTGCGGTCACTTGTATCCCATTTTCAGATATTTCCCCTCTTCCAGGACACTGTAGCACTACTGACACCATTTAACCAATATGTATAATTATCTGCTGCAGGTGACATGGCCTTGCTTCAGAACTAGGGTATTATATTATAGGATGGCTAAGTTTGCCATAAACCTCATGCAACATCTTTTCCTACTACAGATAACTCTAATATTGTGGGATTTGCTGGGTCACATGGCCCAAGAGCCAAGCCATGTGCACCACACTGTTGACCTTCTGCTGAGCCCTTTCTTGATCTGGGTGTCAATGAAACTAACAGCCTGCCATCTGAGCAGTAGGTTGAGATGTGGAATATGCTATCTCCAGGACTTGAAAATTCCTACCAGGTGTTATGCTTTCTTAGAAAGTGGAGGTATGCAGTGCAAGTATTTTTTCTTTATTCTGCAATAAATAAACCAGCATGCTCTGGATAACTAGATTCTTGAAACTATTGAAGTGCTGGGCAAGTGAATATTTATAAGTTTATCTCCAGATTTGGGAGGAACTTCCATCTTATAAAGGTCTCTCATGTGTTTGCCACATCTTCCTTTTATGAACCTATGATAATGTCAAAAATACAATGGACCAATATAATGTTCTGTAGAATGTCCAGATGGCTTCAGATCCCTTTGGTCTATATTAAGACAGAGGGCAGAGAAATTATCATAGCCTTTCTGCTAAACTGTTACCATTTTTGTTATCTTTTTGTTACACACCACATACACACCACAGTGTTTGGAGGCTATTAATCTGGACTAGAAGATGACACATTAGAACCTACAGCTGCAACATGGACTCGCAAGCTTAATTAATTGAAAATCTGATGGAAACAAGCAATGTTGCATGTTTAAGTCAGTTGCACATTCCCCTGGGCTGTGATATTGCTTTCAGTTTACTCTCCTGGACAGGATAGGTAAAAGGCAATTCTATAGTCTTACGCTTGGCCATGTCTACTCCACAGACCTCAAAATTATGTGGTCTAATTATCAAGCTTGTCCATTGCAACTGTGCATTATATATATCTATGCTATGCTATCCTATACCATATTATATTATATTATATTATACATTAAAGTATATCTATTATATATATGCTATATTATATAGTATATAGTATATTACACACACATATATGTATCTATACACACACACACACACACACACACAGAGCCCACATTGTATATATATTGAGTATCACTTATCAAAAATGCTTGGGACCAGAAGTGTTTGTTACATTTTGGATTTTTTCAGATTTTGGAATATTTGCGTATACATAATAAGATGTCTTGGGAATGGGATTCAAGTCTAAACACAAAATCCAGTTATGTTTTACATACACATTATACACAAAGCCTAAGTGTAATTTTATGCAATAGTTTAAATATTTTGTGCATAAAACAAAGTTTTGACTGCAACGTGTCATATGAACTCAGGTGTGGAATTTTCCATTTCTCGCACATCATGTTGGTGCTCAAAAAGTTTTGTATTTTGGAGCATTTTCAATTTGGGAGCATTTTGGATTTCAGATTTTCCATTAGAGGTGTGTGCATGTATACACGTACATATACACGTGTGCGTGTGTGCATACATACACACACAAGTACATATATAAATGTATAATTGCAATGGACAAGCTTGATAATATCCACATATCTGTATCCTATCTATAATATGTATGTGTGCATACACATTTGAAGTGGAAAATGTTCCCTTGTCCCCCTCGTAGGGCTTGCGATAGGGGTGTGGCTCGCTTCTTTAGTGCCCCGCTGCTGAGACCTCCAGGGTAGCACACAGATGGGCAGGCTGTGGGGCTCCCATCCCACGGCATTGTCTAGGGGTGAATGTTTGCAGCTCCTGAACGCCCAGTGGGCGTGTGTTACTGTGTGCTCTTTTAGTTTGCTGTCTATAGGTGGCTTGTGTTAACCAGCTCAATTAGACCCTCTACCTTGTCACAAGGACAGAGGGCTTTCTGTATCCTGAGTTCTTGCCCTGTTGTACGGGAAGAATCAGATCACTCGTGGGCTTGGAGAATGAGTGCAAGGTTTTATTGAGTGGAGGTAGCTCTCAGAAGATGAGGGAGCCAGAAGGGAGATGGTTTTCCCCTGGAGTCGCACAGCTTGGCGGCCTGGGCTCTCTCCTGACTGCCCTAGTTGTTCTGCCAGCGCCTTTTGGTACTTTCCTCTCCGAGTCCAGCTGCCCGTGTGTTCCTCCGCCGATGTGTTCCTCTTGCCATCCAGCTGCCTGTGTGTCTGCCTGCTAGAGCCTCAGGGTTTTTATAGGCACAGGATGGGGGTGTGGCAGGCCAGGGTGGTCTTTGGAAATGCAACATTTGGCCAGGAAAACAAAAAAATGCCTGTCCTCACCTAGGTCCGTGGGGGTGGAGGCCTAGCCAGGGACCATGCCCTTCTCTACCCAGCACTTCCCTGCCCCCTTCCATATCATTTAAAGGAACCATGCCCTTCCCAGCACTTCCCTTCCACATCACAATTAGGGTTGGATTCATTTATAACCTGGCATCCATATGCCCCAACTCTAAAAGATGCCGTGATAACACTCAGGTTCCTCAGTATCAGTGACTATTTACACTCTACGTCTAATAGTCACTGAAAGATTTGTGTTCTTCAATGGGTTAAATGGCTTAGGATCTTTGGAGAAGAAGGGACGGACTCATTACCAAACAGATTTGACATTCTGCTGCAGGTTCCTTTCTTAGGAAGACTTGGCCTTCATCCAGTCGTGTGGTTCTGAATCTTAACACTGCGTAAACCTCAGCACCTGGACAAGGGGCTGTGACATTTTATTAGAATGACTTCCCCAGGCTCGTGATCGTTCATTCTAGATTTCTTTTGTTTGCAACGATTGAGCAATACCCTTTTTGGTTGCCCATTGATATTGCCCCTCAGAATAATGTTGTAATAGCCATTCCCATTGCTCTTGCTGATTATATACATACCCTCCTGTTTGCAATACTTTGTAGCCTCCCATTGCATTAATGTGTCTGCTTTTTTCTTCATGGTTAAGTATTAACATGTGGCCTCTATTACTGCAGAATTTTATCATTACTTTTCTCTTAGGAATTCCAGTTCTGTAACAGTATCTCTAATGGGCCGTCATGTCCTACAGAGGACAGCCAATGCTGAACTTTTAAATGAGTTATTTTAATTGAGTAATAAAAAATCAGACAAAACTACACTTTATGTTTGGAAAATCACTGAGTGGGGATACAAAGAGAAAATTAAAGAGAAATATTCTTTGTGGAGAAAAATTGGAAAATGTGCCTGATGTATTTAAGAAATAGCAAAAAGGACAATGTAGCTGGCATGAACAATCAAAAGAGTAGTAGGCATTGATGCTATACATACATATATATATATGTATATAGGTACACAAATACATATATTTATGTACATATGTTTCTGTGCATATATAAAGATATCTTTCTGAATCCAGATGCAATATAAAATTAAAGCTCTTACAATTGCTTTCAAAGTTCAACAAGGTCTATACAGACATAAATACATATATTAAAAAGTATATATACACACACATTTCTCATACAATAAATTTGTATTTTATATATAATATTGTATATTACAAGAAATTAACATATTATTACATGTTATGTATTTATTATATATTATTATAAATGTATATGTTCCTGATAGTATACATATTATGTAAAAATATATATACTATGAGAAAAAATATATATGTAGACATTGTGAGAGCTTGAGAGCCATTGTAGGAACTTTGATTTTATGTTACATGAAGTGTAGAACAGTTCTAGAATTTTGATAAGGTAACTAACATCACTCTTTTAAAAATATTCTTGTCTCTTATTTTGAGATTATACTGTAGGAAATGATGTGTGGATGTATTAACGTTAATTAAGAACCGAATACAGAAATAAATGAGAAATAACAGAATGTAACTTGGATGATAACCTTGGAGTGGATGATTAATCGTCAATAGTTGATTTGATGTCAATAAAAATAATAGGAATAGTAGCTCTATCCCCAAGATATAAAGTCTGAGAAAAGATTGGATGAGACACAACAATTGACTCTTAGGTATGATTTTTTTCCCTTTTTTTATGGATCCTGAATTTGAAAAACAAAACAAAGCAAAAAGCAACAAAGAATATTATTGGAACAATTAGGAAAGTTGAAATATGCACTGTATGTTACATAACACCATTGAATTAAGATTCAATTTCCTGAATCAGATATTTATTTCATGGTTACATATGATGAATGCCCTTGTTCTTAGGAGATGTTTGATGAAGCATTTCACAATGAAGTGCCACGGTATCTTTAATGAATTCTTAAATGCGTCAGCAAAAAATAAATAAATAAAATGGATGAGAAGAAAAGGTCAGTACTATTTAGAAACAGAGAAAAATAGAGCAGATGAAATTCACTCTTAGATTGAATTTATGCTGCAGGAGAAACAGCATTCAAGAAAAATGATAATGTTTTCAACTGAGCAATACAGAATAAAGTTTCCATCAATAAGATGTAAAAGGATGTGGGAGGAGATAGGTGTTGAAGGAAGAACAGTACTAGTGTGGTTTTGGAAAATTTAAGTTAAAGCTGCTGATTAAACACTGAATTAGTGACAATAAGTATGTAGTTATTTTTATTTTTTTACTTTTTAAAAGATACATGTGCAGTTTCTCACATGGATGCATTGTGTAATGGTACCATTTAGGCTGCTAGTATACCCATCACCAAGTTAGTGAACACTGTTCCTAATAGGTAATTTTCAACTTGTATTCCCATCTCATACTCTCCTGCCTTTTGGAGTCCTTGGCATTTATTTTTTCCATCTTCATGTCCCTGTGTATCAATTGCTTAGGTCCCCATAATAAGTGAGAACATGTAGTATTTGATTTTCTGTTTCTAAGTTATTTCACTTAGGATAATGGCCTCCAGCTCCATCCATGTTGCTACAGAGGATACAATTTTATTCTTTTTATTGCTGCATAGTATTCTATGATGTATATTTACCACATTTTCTTTATTTAATCAGCCGTTGATGGACACGTAGGTTGATTCCATGTCTTTGCTACTGTGAATAGTGTTGAGATTATGTATGGATGTAGGTGTCTCTTTTATATAATGATTTCTTTTGGGTAGATAGTAGTGGGATTGCTGGGTTGAATGGTTGTTATACTTTTAGTTATTTAAGGAATCTTTGTAGTTACTTCTGGAAGTTTGTAGTGAAGGTAAGTGTTCACAATTAAAAACAAAGATTTGGATATCATTTACGTAGTGATGTTATTTTAGCACAGGCTGCATGAAACCATAAACAGCTTAGAAGAAAACGAAAACACAAGAATAAAAACTATTTCCTCAGCTATGATGGTCATTTCTAATTGTAGAAATGAGGTAATAAAAGAAAATTTATGCTCATTTCTAATATTTTAATGACAGTATATTCAACTGTCATTTGTAAAATTTTTTATAAAGCCAAATATCTCTTTCCCATAAATGGAGCAGTAGATACGAAATGATAATGAATATTTCAAAATTATTAGGGCATTCAGTCAATATTCGAAACTGAGAATAGATATATCAAAACACAAATTAACACACCTATTTTCAGTTTCACCTCACACTATTTCTCTTATAACCACAGATATTAGCTATAAAATGAAAATACCCTGAGTGAATCATGGCCCCAATTCCTACTAAGCATGTGGAATGTTTGATATAACTAGTGTATTATTTTTGATTACTGTTTTGAAACTTACCAATATTAGCAAAAATATTGGAAGTCATGGTTAAACGCAATGATTACTATAAACACATATACACATGAGTAAATAGTAATGTATATAGATTATCCTATTTATAAAGTGTATCTGGTTACTAACGCTTCCCAATTAAAGATGCTAAGAAATATTTATTGAACACTCATTATAAGCTACATTTTATTCTTGATATTTTAGTTTGAAATATGTCCAAGACATGTTTTCTACCTTTGAAAATCTTACAATCTAGGACGGGAAGCACATACCTCACTAAAAATATCCATATACTAAATACAGTAATAAGAATATTCAAAGTCCTACAAAAATACAAGAAGAACATTTTATTCATTAGAATCGTTTATTCATTAGAATCATACATTGCATTCAATTGTTATGTCTCATCCATTATGTAAATGAATAAGAAGGGTAAAATCCTGCCCCTGTCAGAGACCTTGTGAATATACATTTGTGAATAGTAACTTCATTTCTATTACCCTTACGTTTTAAGTTGTAGCGTTATTTCGAGAGGAATGAATACAAGCATTGAGCAATCAGCCGAACGCATGGGTAATCCTTTAAGTTCTGAAATCAAGACTCAGGGGCGAGGGCCCTGCTGGAGTTCTATAGAACAGCAACGTGTGTACATACCACCAGTGGCTGAATGACCTAGAGGGGTTCATGTACAGTTTTCTTTGCAGAATTCTCAGAGGGTTTTCAGCAAAGTTGTAACAACTATGTAACCCAGACCTACATCTCCCCCTTTCTAGTAGATTCAAAGAAATCTCTATAATCAGTTCCTTGAAATTGGAAGTGAGTCCACTGTGAGAAAATTGATGAATGTTTGTTTACCTGCTGGGTGTAAAAATGGAAAAATATCAACCTAAGGAAGTATTTGTTTTAATCTTGTGTTGTGCTTGATGATTATGCAGCAACTGGAAACGGGCTATAGGGCAAGAAATCAGGAGGCAGCCACACACTCAGAAGTTCAGTGCTGGCCAACAGATATTTATTTGCTGCCAAAAGATTTCTGCTCACCAGAAAGCAGGGTAGTTCCAGGATATTTATATACCCTACAGCTGCAGCATGGTTTATAACTCAAATACTGGAGAATCTCCACATCTCTGTATCTCAGGGATACAAATAGAAACATGTTAAAGGAGGATGCTTTTGGACTTTATCCTTTTTAAATTATGGCTTAAGCACAAAAATGTTACAAAAAAATGTTTGGGGGTGTGACAAGGAGATTGGGGGCTACTGCACACTTATTAAGTTATGAGACTTCAAGTATTCCAGAAAGCTTCATGTTTATTATAAGCCTATTGGCGTATGTTATGAAAAAGTTACATACTCTGTTTAAATATTGTATAACTCAGTTCTATCTTATTGTTACATATTCAAACATAGAAAGGAAAGTGTCTTTCAAGAGGTCAAAGAAAACAAAAACTTCAAGAGGTCAAAGAAAACAAAAATGTTAACTTAGAAAAGTAGACCACCAATTCTAGGGCAAGAAAAGTTACAAGCTTGAGTATGCTGCAGGTGGGTTTTCAATGTATATGGAAGTAGTTTCCATGTCTCAAGCAATGAAAATAAATATAATTTAAAATAGACAGAGGTTTCACATGGCAGGGAGAAATTGAGTCCATCGAAACCATAAAAAGTGCAAACAGAAGATAAAAGGAATGTACGTGTGTCTAAGAGAACTGTGCCATTCAGCAGCCACTAAAACACCACCACTTAGGAACAAGGCAGAATGTAAATTCCACATGGGCATAGAGATTTGTTCATTGCTATGTCAGTAGCACTTAAAATAGTATGTGGCTTACATGTTGCTAAGTACATATTTGTGGAATATTTGAATTAATGAAGAAAGATGGGATGAGTGTTTACAGAGGAACATAAAAAAGAAACATTTTAATAATATAAAAAAGCTTTGTCTATTTGAAAGTAAATTAAACATAAATACCAAGTTGAGTCTAGGGACATGTTAGATAAGGTGCTTAAAGTTTGTTTGAGGTGCTGCTGAATCCCCCATCACCATCTATCTGGGCAGAGACACAGAATTCACAATTACTCTGGACCTATGTTTCCTTACCTTAGTGCAAACCATTCTATCGAACTGCTATTTTTATAACAATATCTTCTGTTTCTCTTAAAACTTACTGTGTATTTCATTCACTTAGAGTTTGGTTAACTAACTAATTAGATATAAACCATTATCACTATGTTGATATGACTGACATTTAAAAATGTAATTGGCTCTCCCTGGTTTATATGTCCACAAACGATTTGATATAAAGATGGATAGATGAATGATTAATGATAGATAGAAAGATAAATTGATATAGATAGATAAATGATAGATATAAACATATAAGTAGACTCAAATATTTAGGGGTCTTCAAACTTGCAAAACTGAAATGAAGAATAAAGCTATCTCCAGCCCTCTAGGAGGCTATTTAGGAATAGCTTTATTAAAAGTTATTTTCAGATATTTTTATACTGAATTTATATCCATAGACACATAAAAAGTGATACTATGCTAATATTGATAGTAATGTAAAGTTCAAGTCTTTTCAGATCATTTTTACTCTGCATAATGAGCCTAGAATAAAAGAGAAACTCCAGAGTTAAAATGGATGTAAAGTTCTAGATCATAGTAAGATTAAAATACTTTTCCTATAATAGGCCATTATGCCAAGGGAATGGTCTTACTTATTGTTGCATAAGTGTCTTGAAAAGGACTTATGGCTATATTTCCTCTAGGGATTTCATCATTTCAGATTACAAAAATTCATTAATCTCCAAAGTCCTAAATATTGTCATTTTTGTAAATAAGTACTCACAGAGCATCCCAGATACAATGTCATAGCTTGACCAGAAATTAGTAGTCGTTTATATCTTTTTATTCTTACCCATTTAGTGGATCAATGAGAAAGTTCAGTGCCAAGAGATCAGCCATGTCAACAATGGCCCTAGAGTTAAGGGGGTTTCTCTCAGAATTATAACACCTACTTTCTAAATTTGGACCAGTATCTTTTCCATTCTAATAGTGGTTTTCAAACTTCTCTAAGACCACCAGAAAAAGAAATTAGTGGGATCAGCATTCTGGAGCTTCTGAGCCCTCTGGCCCTGGTTCCGCTGGACATATTTTATTCTATCCCATATCTAGCTTTTATGATAAATTTTGCTAAGAAAAGGTTTATCTTACTAAAATCTTCAAAAATCTTATATACTGGTAATATGGTTTGGCTGTGTCCCCACCCACAACTTATCTTGAATTGTAATTCCCAAGTGTTGTAGGAAGGACCCAGTAGGAGGTGATTGAATCATGGGGGTGAGTATTTCCTGTGCTGTTCTTGTGATAGTAAATAAGTCTCATGAAATTAGATGGCTTTATAAAGGGCATTTCCCCTGCGCACACCGTCTTGCCTGCCACCATGTAAGATGTGCCTTTGCTCCTCCTTTGCCTTCCACTATAATATTGAGGCCCCTTCAGCCATGTGGAACAGTAAGTACGTTATGTTAAACATCTTTCTCTTTATGAATTACCCAGTCTCAGGTATTTCTTCAGAGCAGTATGAAAATTGATTAATACAAGTAAAAAACAAATATTAAGTAAAATGAATAGTACTTAATATAATTCCTCCTTTTAAGACAGAAAACACCCCCTCAAGATGGATGCATAGAGGAAACTAAATAATATCCCTAAAAATGGTGGCAAAAATGTTTCTTGTTAACTATTAGAGTGAATCCTGAATATTTGACTCTAAAATTCTGTTTTTCATCAGTAAAAGAGATCAGTAGATTATATCAATTGGAAAAGATTTCACGAGAAAGCACATTGGAAAATAATCTCAGGTGGTAGTGGCAGTCCAGATGAATATAAACCAAAAACATTGTAGTTGAGCTTCCAATGCAAAGAAGAAAGTAGCTGGTAAGGAGACTCCAAGCACTGTTTAAAAATTAAGCAAGAAAGAAGGTGTGAAACAAATGAGATCAAAAGTCTGTGAATATAAATAATTTAAGTGTCATGAGAAGAAACATGTTTTGTGTGATCTAGTGTTTCACTAGGGTTATGGATAACATAGGAAATGTATCACAAATCATACTTTTTATTTCCAGATGGTTTGGCTTCTGATTCCTTGTGTAAATCATTTCCAAAATCTCTAGACCAGATTCCTACACCAAACACAAGCCTACCAGTTGTTCATTTGGTCCCTCATCCTTACTTAGTGGCTAATGCAGAACTACATAATCTATGGAAAGCATAGTCTACTCTCTATGACTCGATACTCATCCAAATTGTACCCGCTTGTTATTTTCACACAAGATGAAGCACAAGGTTCTATCTCCTTTAGAAATGGTTGTTCTAATTCAAGTCCACTTGCTTATGGGATTCTATAATATCATTCATTAGCCCAGTCTCTGGACAAGGATTCAGGAATCCTTAGGGCCATCGAATATTTTAATTGTGATATTAACTCATATAACTTCAGATAATTTATCAGTTATTTTTCTTAAAATAACTTATTTTTCCTGAGTATAAAATTTCATTGAAGAATTCCACCTGCAGCCATGACAAAGTCATTCGCACTAGATTGGTTACCGTAAATGTTAACTATAAAAACATATGAGGAAATTATTTTTAGAGATTGAACAAGTTTCACTAGATTGTACTCTTTGTCAAAAGTATCTACTTGACATGAACCCCATGGTTATTCCTCAGTAGATATGGCATTCTCCCTGTCGGTCCTTTAGAGCTGAAAGCAGAGATATAAACCCCAAATGGATGACCACTTTGCTGAGTTTAGGAGGCTGCTGCAGCTGATGGAATTTGTAGGGCAGAACATGTAGGGGAGGGATAGCAGTGGGTGATATACCTAATGCTAGATGACGAGTTAGTGGGTGCAGCACACCAGCATGGCACATGTATACGTATGTAACTAACCTGCACAATGTGCACATGTACCCTAAAACTTAAAGTATAATAATTAAAAAAATAAAAAAAAAATAAGAAGACGGAGCTGCATGAAGTGATAGGGTAGGATCCCAGGCTCTTCACAGAATATATGAGGGGTTCCTGGTTAAAGTAGGAACTATGTCTGCAGAGTTGGAGACTCTAAAGGGATATAGGTATGCTAAAATTTTCCTCAGCTCCATGAAAATGTTTCATTGTAAAGGAAACACAACAGCAGGGTTACCCACAGCAGCTCCAGCACATCCGTTACACAGAGGCAGCTGAAGCAATGCGTTGCTGTTGTGTCCTAGATATTTAAGAATAATCTAAGACAAATATACCAACAAGAAAAAGGAAGTAGGAATAAGCCACATAATACATGTTAAATGACTAAAGAAGATATTTACAAATAGATAGCAATGCATCAGAATTATGAGACAATATGGTTAAATGGTATTAAAATTTATGAAATAGTGCATAGGATAAACAAGAATAAATCAATTATCAGAGAACATAATTGGAATGAGAGATGTTTTCCACAACAAAAACATTCAAAAAATATAATTTTTTTTTTAAAAAATATGAGCTACGGAGTTGATTTTAAAGCTCTATGTAATGTTCCAGACTGAGTTAGGCAGAATTTTAACAATTACCCCAACACTCCACTCCATGGTCTATACCACCTGTCCAATGTTCTACCCTTGAATATCGATGGATCTGTGATTTAATAAGATATGGCCACATTATATGAGAAAGGTAAAGGAATTTGCAAATGTAATTGAGATTTCTAAAACAGTTAGCTTCCAGGTTTTATCAAATGGTGATTATTTGGGGTGAGGCAAACCCAGTGGGTTGGAAGAAGAAGCATATTCCCTTTGTAGCATTTTAGAGAGGGATGTGGCAAGAAACTGGGAGTGGCCTCTAGCAGCTGAGTACTTCAGTTCTATACTTAAGGGACTGCTGCCGAAAATGACTTATCTTGAAAGAGGACAGAGACTCAGACAAGACTGCAGATCTGGCTGACACTTTGATTTCAGCCTGGTGAGATCCTGAGTCAACCCTGTGCAGGTTCCTGGCCTCCTGTCAGTCAGACAGCTCTCCATGGAAAATGTTCCTCCACATGACTCAACTATTCTGGTATCCTCATATTCTTATATCGGAGCAGATCTGCACCAAGGAGAAGCAAGGCACAATCTAATCACCATTCAAGCAAAGTTTCTATGAGAAAACAGGAAGCATGCCAGAAGCTGCACCAACAGAATATTTCCCAGTTTAACATTTTAAATATATCTCCTCCACAGAATATATTATTGGAGCTTTTTAAAATAAACTGAGATATCCAAAAGAATCATGTTACAAAGTTCAATTTTGCTAATATTCAAATCTAGTCCTTTGTAGAAAGACATTCAAAAACTCAAGTTACACTAAAAAAAAATGCATCAGAGCAGAAAAACAATTTATACCTAGATGTGAAAAAATTGTAACAAAGAATTTATAAGAAAGACAGTCTTTTGGGAAAATTGAAAAATCATAGAGTCAAATAAAAATTATAAAAACGGCAAAGTAAACAAACCATGAGATACCGTTTCCACAGAGCAGAATAGAAAAAATGACTACAACCTGAAAGTATATACTTTCACACATATACAATATAAGTATGTCAATCACAGCTGTTTCAAATACTGAAAAGTCAGAACAATTCCCTAATACAGGTGATTACTATAGGAGAATCATTAAACATTGGAATTAATACATTCATGGAAAGACAGGCAAGCATGTGTAGACAAACTAATAGAAAAAAATTTCCCCAAACATTGTTAATTGACAAAACAAGTCACTACAAAGTAAATTAAATGTAATTCAAAATAAAACATAAAAACCAAGTCTACTATGAGTATAAATATTTTGGAACTATATAAAAATAATGAAGCAGCAAATTATTCATAATTGTTAACTCTGAAAGACAGGGGTTTTTTTTGTTTGTTTTTGTTGCTGTTATTGTTTTTGAGACAGAGTCTCTCTCTGTCGCCCAGGCTGGAGTGCAGCTGCGTGATCTCAGCTCACTGCAACCTCTGCCTCCTGGGTTCAAGAGATTCCCCCGCGTCAGCCTCCCAAGTAACTGGGACTACAGGCGCCCACCACCACGCCCGGCTAATTTCTTGTATTTTAGTAGAGATGGGTTTTCACCATGTTGGCCAGGATGGTCTCAATCTCCTGACCTGGTGATCTGCCCACCTCAGCCTCCCAAAGTGCAGAGATTACAGACTTAAGCCCCTGCGCCTGGCCAAAGATGTGTGTTTTAATTCAGAATACTTCTTGATATATGCTTGGATCTTTTTCAACAAAATGCACTCCTATGTTACTTGAGTAAATTACAAAATTAAAATAATCTAGACATTTAAATTTGAAAATGTGCTTTTCAGCCATTTTGGAGATCAAATACTGTCAAATTGAAGTTCCTTTGCAAATGAAAAACAACAATAAACTCAAATGATATCATAATGGGTGAAATAAAGCAATGTGGCCTGACAATTGTCATCGTTAACATTTATAGTTTCTTGTAAGAGTTGTGCTTATTTACCAGATAAACAAGACAAATTTAAATAAATATGAAATAAATTATGCATATTGTAATTGTTGAGCTGATTTGGAGTTTTATGCCAATATTATCTATGTATTTATCTTACTGTATTATGAATCCTCATATTGATTACAACTACTTGAAGCAGGCCAGCTTCTTTATATTGGAGGTCTGTTAGTATAGGATTCGACAGGAAAATAATTATTATTAATTAACATACAAATAAAATATCAGAGGATGAAGTATCAAATCAGAAGACACAGTACTCAGATGTCAGTTGTCAAACAAACCTGGGAGGCTGATAATCACAGTTGAATTAAACAAGGAAGAGAAGGTGAAGTAAACGTTGTTAACCACAAACCAAAAGAATGCAGTGTAGGAATCCTGCTGACCAAGAGCCTGGGGATATTGGAAGAGAAACCAAGGCATAGGAAAACTGGGCAATACGACAAAATACAATCCCCAAATCTTAAAGAGCGAGGCATAAACAGAGTCCTAGTAATCCATACCAATAGAGACAAGAAGTCCTGGCTGGGCGTGGTGCCTCATGCCTGTAATCCCAGCACTTTGGGAGGCTGAGGCGGGAGGATCACGAGGTCAGGAAATAGAGACCATCCTGGCTAACGCGGTGAAACCCCATGTCTACTAAAAATACAAAAAAATTAGCCGGCGTGGTGGCGGGCGCCTGTAGTCTCAGCTACTAGGGAGGCTGAGGCAGGAGAATGGCGTGAACCCGGGAGGCGGAGCTTGCGGTGAGCCGAGATCGCACCACTGCACTCCAGCCTGGGCTACAGAGCAAGACTCGTAAAAAAATAAAAAAAATAAAAAAGTCCTATGTTGTCCATGTGGCCATTAACAGCAACAGAAGACAGTGTGTTGGTCACTCATTCCAGAGCAGTTGTTATCTGTTCCGTCCTGAACTTGTGTTCGCTTCTTGTGAGGACTCTCATAGATGATGGTTGTTTGGTGGAAGGTGGCTTGCAGTAGATTTCTGTGATTTCTGGCTTTTCAATTTTTTAAACTTTCATTTTAGATTTGGGGGTACATGTGAAGGTTTGCTACATAGGTAAACACATGTCACAGGGTTTTTCTACTGTTAGGCACTGGGCTTAATACCTGGCTGATGGGATTCCTGGCCTTTTAAAGTAGAAGCAGCAGCAGCTGATATTTCCTGAGAGTTTTGATCCTTGATCACTTGTGTCTTCTCTACAACATTGCCTACCAGAGCTTGGACCTGTAGGCCAGGTTCTAAATATGCTTTAAAAAAGAGTAAAAAAGTACCCATTTCTGTTTTTTCACAAACATATACATACGCACATGTGCGTGCACACACAAACACACACACACCCACACACGCTTAGTGGAGAGAGCAAAAGAGAGAGAGCAAAAATAATCATTAATAAATTGCATTAGTTAAAAAAAAATTCTTTCTATATTTCCACAGTACAAATCGTTAAATGAGTACTGGGAATGCTTTCTCACTTGCTAACATTAAAATTATGAAGGTATTTTAGAACTTTAAGAGCAAGACATTTTAGAAAATAATTTTCAGAATTCTCCAGTATTCTCCATACATAGTAAACTCGTTAAATATATTGAGTAAATAATTGTTTCAAGATATAAATACTTATATTATTTTGTTGTTGTAGTTTTCTCTTTTTGTAAGCCTATTAGTCAGAATAAAATCACCTTACATCCAGTTCTTCAAATTTTAGAATTGAGAATATTTAGTGGCGTTCCAGTGCAGCGTTGAAATGTGCGTTGAAATTTAAGCTTTCTCAAAAAGAAGGAAATAACGATTTTCTCATCTATATATATCCCTTAAGTAGGAGATACCTCATTTGAGTAGCAAATTCTGAAGAAATACTGAATGTAAAATGCTATTTGTTAAATATGGAGAAACTGGACCCTGATAGGGAAAGTCTTATTTAAAACTTCAAAAATTTCAGCAGTATTGACAGTGAAAGATATGAGCTAGACAGAATGTAAAATGGTAATCAACTAAAACACTTCAGGCTGCAAGCTGTGGCTTCAGAACAAGTTCAAACTGCTTTTCAAACTCTACATTGGCTTTTACTATATGTGCCCTCAGCGCCTCAAACTATCTGAGCATCTGATAAGAAATAGAAGCACTAAGTTGGTCTGTCCTGATTCTTGTGTACAATTTTTTTGTCAGGGAAAATAGCAACCAATCTTGTACACCCAGATTTGTGTTCCTTCTTCCGTGTAATCAAACTCAGAAAGTCAACTAAATAAACAGACGCCTTATTTTCTTTACATATTATTTACTTCTACATTAAAATAATACTTCTTCATTTAAAAATGTTTCCCTGATCTTTGTAAAAGATTAAAATTTTAACTAAACTATAG
The DNA here is from genome assembly GCF_000001405.40 of Homo sapiens. Lineage (NCBI taxonomy): Eukaryota > Metazoa > Chordata > Mammalia > Primates > Hominidae > Homo > Homo sapiens. Next base: position 23,331,845 of record NC_000021.9, read on the forward strand.
ATCAACTGAAGCCCAAAATACAAGTGAGTAAGGAATACAGCCACCTATATTGAGGAGAAAAAGAAAATGGGTGATGCTGAATATTGCAAAGTGCAAATTGGCAGTGTACTCTCCATTATCTTTGTTAATGGGGCAACGTGGTGGCCCAGTCATCTGGGCCATCTATAGTAAGTCCTCTAATGGTTTATTTCCTTTAGCCTGTGATATATTATTTTATTTTGTTCCTGTGTATGTATTCCTTTAATTATATTTTAACACTACATTATTAAAATAAATGTGCATTCCTTGAACACACACTGGGCATTGAGGAAGAAAGTCTGTATGTGAAAGGCTGTTGAATAGAAAGTGGAGGATATTCCACCACTAAAATTTTATTATTTTAATCCAGAATACAGATAATCAACTCTTGAATAAATATAAGATAATGGCATTACTTAATTGATGCATTTGTATATTGAATGACTTTATATGAACTGAGAAGACGTATTTTGAATCTTATAAATGCCCTTCATGGCTTTCGATGAAACTAGATTAGAAAGAAGGCACATCAACTGTAGCAGAATATATTTCACATACGAACACAGAAACACATGGATAAACAAAAATAATGAATAGCTCGCAGTAGTAAAAAAAAATACTATGTCTTCAAAACACTTAAGGGTATACACATAGGCAGAGAAATGGAAACAGAATCAGTAGTAGAAGTAAAGAAGAGCTAAATCACTCAGTCTTGTATGCCATTTAAGATGTGTGAACTTTACAATAAAGTAATAGAATATAGAGTAAATTATAGTTCAGTTAAGAATCATCAACGAATTTTCATTCCAAATAGTCAAAGTATGATCAGTAACCCAATATTAATATTGTCTCAAATATCTCCTCTAAACTTATTTAGTAACTGCAAATGAACTTAAAAAAGTATTAACTAAGGAATAGAGTAACTGTACAATTATTTAACTATATGATCAAAATTAAAATGACAAGTAAGACTGAGGGGATCTTGTGCCTCTGGAGGTGTTACACTAAAAGAACAAAGTATCATTTATAAAATATTGTAGCCAAAAATTAATAACAAACTTAATCACGAGAAAACATTAGAAAATCCAAAATTAAGAAAAAGAGTTTTGTTTGTATTTTTCAAAAATGTCACACGTATGAAAGACAAATGATAAGAACACTTTTCAGATTAAAAAAATACTGAAGAGAATGACAACTAAATTTAGCAAAGGATACTAGACATGAACGGGTGCTGGGATAAACAATTACTTTAAAGGACATTCTTATTATTATAAAGCAAGTGACATATTTAAAATAGAACTTTCAATGATTAGATGCTAACATTGAATCAAATATACATTTACTGACTTTTAAAATTATACTGTTATAAAAGAAAATATTATTCTCAGAAAATACACAGCGAAGGCTGAGGGGTGACGATGCATGATGCATGCACTCTGCTCTAAAAGTTTTCATAACAAATAATATGGAGGAGGAAAGAGAAAGAGAATGATAAAGCAACTCAGGCACAGATGTTAAAATCTTGGAGAAAACAGTATATGGAAAATTTCACAATTTCTTTGCAAAATCTCCGTAAATTTAAAATTATTTCACAATAAAATATTTTAAATATTCTGAACAACAAACATAAAAGTTTTCTTCAAAGAGTTAAAATGTTATGATTTTATTTATTTATTATTTATTTATTTATTGAGAGAGAGTCTCGCTCTGTTTCCAGGCTGGAGTGCAGTGGTGCAATCTTGGCTCATTGCAACCTCCATCTTCTGGGTTCAAGTGGTTCTTCTGCCTCAGCCTCCTGAGTAGCTGGAATTACAGGTACCTGCCACCATGCCCGGTTAATTTTTGTATTTTTAGTAGAGATGTACTTTTACCATGTTGGCCGGGCTGGTCTCAAACTCCTGACCTCAGGTGATCCGCCCGCCTTGGCTTCCCAAAGTGCTGAGATTACAAGTGTGAGCCAACACGCAAGGCCAAAATGTGATTATTTTAAAATATTACCCTGGGTGTAGTGAGGAGGACAAATTAGAAGAGTTTTTATCTGATTACAGGCAGACCAGTTGTGAAGGTCTAGTAGTTATTTAGGCGAGTGATGACTGTGTCTTTTCATACTTCATTGAGAGCAGTGATGGATAGAGGCAGAAGAAAGAACTTGGTGATATACAAGCAATTGAAAAAGGGGGAGGGTTGTAAAGAAGGTATTGTGTAGATGGTACAATCAATGCAGTAGGGATCCAAGAAGGAATTAGGTTAGCTTGGAATGTGAAATGCCTATAGAACTATTACATGATAATATCTAATAGCCATTTACGTATACTGATTTGTAACTCAGGGGACAAATAATAGTGGAAATATAGTTTGAGGTTCATATTTTGTCACCAAGAGCACGCTTTATTCTGTGATAAACATTAGAGTTTTAGCATTTGTCCATGGAAAAAGTGGGAAGCAAATGATTATGGAAGACAAACAAAAGAAGAATTTCAAGAAGGAAGAGGTATTCAGATTTGTTATAAACACGGCAAAAGTCAGGTAAGATCAATACATTACTTTGCTAGGATTGTTGTAAAGAAGTATGACAAACTGAATTGCTTAAACAATAGAAACTTAGCATTTCACAGTTCTGGAGGCTCAATGTCCAAGATCAAGGCATTGTCAAAAGGGTTGGTTCCTTTTAAGGGGGTCAAAGAAAGCTCAGTGTCAGGTCTATCTCCTGGGCTTACTGATATCCATCTTCTTCCTTGCCTCTTCACATCCTCCTCCATCCATGGGTATTTGGGTTCAAATTTTCTCTTTCTATAAGAACACCAGTCATGCTGGACTAGGCACCCAACCTACTCTGGTATGAACTCATCTCAAATCATTACATCTGCAATGAACTTATTTACAAATAAATTCACTCTGCAAAGTACTGGAGATTAGAACATCAACCTGTGAATTTGGGGGATACAATCCAACTCATAAAAATCAGAAATAAAATATTTTTTGGGTTGACCAAGGAGGGTGATATGGTTTGTCTCTGTGTCCCCACACAAATCTCATGTTGAATTGTGATCCTGAGTGTTGGAAGAGAGGCCTGGTGGGAGGTGATTGAATCTTGGGGGTGGTTTCTAATGGTTTAGTGCCAATCCCCTAGTGCTGTTTCATAATAGAGTTCTCATGAGATCTAGTTGTTTAAATGTGTGTAGTGCTTCGTCTTCACTCTCTCTCTCTCCTGCTCTACCATGTGAAGATTGTGCCTGCTTCTCCTCTGCTTTCTGCCATGACTGTAAGTTTCCTGAAGCCTTCCCAGCCATGCCTCCCACCTGTGGAACTGTAAGTAAATTAAACCCTTTTTTCTTTATAAATTACCTAGTCTCAGGTAGTTCTTTATAGCAGTGTGAGAATGGACTAATGCAGAACATTGGTACCGGAGAAGTGGGCCATTGCTATGAAGATACCTGAAAATGTGGAAGCAACTTTGGAACTGGGTAATGGGCTGAGTCTGGAACAGTTTGGAGGGATCAGAAGAAGACAGGAAGATGAGGGAAAGTTTGCAACTTCTAGAGACTTGTTGAATGGCTGTGACCAAATTGCTGATAGCGATACGAACAGTGAAGTCCAGGCTGAGGTGGTCTCATATGGAAACAAGAAACTTATTGGGAACTGGAGTAAAGGTTACTTTTGCTGTGCTTTAGCAAAGAGACTGGTGGCATTGTGCCCATGCTCTAAAGATCTGTGGAACTTTGAACTAGAGAGAGATAATTTAGGGTATCTGGCAGAAGAAATTTCCAAGCAACAAAGTTTTCAGGAGGCTGCCTGGCTGCTTCTAACAGTGTGTACTCATATGCATTTGCAAAGAGAGTTTCTGAAACTGGAAATTATACTTAAAAGGGAAGCAGAGCATAAAAGCTTACAAATTTGCAGCCTGATCATGTGGTAGAAAAGGAAATCCTATTTTCAGGGGAGCAATTAAAACTGGCAGAAAAAATTTGCAAAAGTAAAGAGGAACTGAATGTTAATAGCAAGACAATGGGGAAAATGCCTCCAAAGCATTTCAGAGACCTTCCTGGAAGCCCCTCCCATCACAGGCCTAAAGGACTAGGAGAGAAAAATGGTTTTGTGGGGGCAGGCCCAGGGCCCTGCTGCTCTGTGCATCCTCAGGACATGGCACCTTGCATTCCGGTGACTCCATCTCTAGCCATGCCTTAGCTTGAGCCAAGGTACAGCTCAGGCTGTTGCTTCAGGGGTGCATACCCTAAGACTTGGTGGCTTCCATGTGGTGTTGGGCCTGCAGGTGCACAGAATGCAAGAGTTGAGGTTTGGGAGCCTCTGCCTAGATTTCAGAGTTTGTATGGAAATACCTGAATGTCAAAGCAGAAGTCTGCTACAGGAGAAAAGCCATCATGAAGAATCTCTACCTGGGCAGTAAAAAGGGGAAATATGGGACCGTAGCCCCCACACAGAGTCCCACTAGGGCACTGCCTAGTGGAGCTGTGCAAAGAGGACCACCATACTGTAGACTCCAGAATGGTAGATCCACTGACAGCTTGCACCATACTCCTGGAAAAACCACAGACACTCAATGCCAGCCTCTGAGAGCTGCCATGGTGGCTGTACCCTACAGAGCCGCTGGGGCAGGGCTGCCCAAGGTCTTGGGAGCCCACCTCTTCCATCCTTCCATCATCGTGGCCTGCATGTGAGACATGGAGTCAAAGGAGGTTATTCTGGAGCTTTAAAATTTAATGACTGCCCTGCTGGGTTTCGGACTTGCATGGGGCCTGTGACCCCTTTGGTTTGGCCAACGTCTCCCTTGTGGAATGGGAGTATTTACCCAATGCCTGTATCTCCATTTTGTCTTGGAAGTAACTAAGTTGTTTTTTATTTTATAGGCTCATAGGTGCAAGGGTCTTGCCTTGTCTCAGATGAGACTTTGGACTGTGGACCTTTGAGGTACTACTGGAATGACTGAAGACAATGGGGGATGGTTTGGAAAATGTGCTTGTGTTTTGAGATGTGAGGTGAACATGAGATTTGTGAGGGCCCAAAGGTGGAATGATATGGTTTGACTCTGTGTCCCCACCCACATCTCACGCTGAATTATGATTCTGAGTGTTGGAATCGGGGCCTGGTGGGAGGCGATGGATCAGGTGTGTGGTTTCTAATGGTTTAGCACCTTCCCACCAGTGCTGCCTTCTAACAGAGTTCTCACAAGATCTGGTTATTTCAAGCATATAGTACTTTACTCTTCTCTCTCTCTCTCTCTGTCTTTCTCTCTTTTCTCTGCCATGCGAAGATTGTGCTTGCTTTTCCTTTGCCTTCTGTCATGATTGTAAGTTTTCTGGGGCCTCCCCAGCCATGCTTTTTATATAGCCTGCAGAACCATGAACCAATTAATCTTCTTTTCTTTATAAATTACCAAGTCTCAGGTAGTTATTTATAGCAATATGAGAACGGACTAATACAGAGGGCTTAACTGAAGTTCAAGTAAGAAGTTAACTGCATGTTAAGAGAAGCAATGAGGAAACTCCAGCCATCAGGGTTGAGAAGAAAAAGTGAGGTGAGGGAATGAGGGCTACCAGCCATGTGGTGAGTTCCAGAAGTATGGCTGCTGTGGAAAAGACAAAGACCTAGAGAAACTTAATTTTTAAATTATGGAATGTAAAAGTAAAACAGAAGCTTGAATTCTTAAATTTCAGAATTTTCTTAAATTCTGAAAAGAAGCTTAAATTCTAAAAGAAGTCTCTAAGGCCAAATTACGAAAAACAGATAGTGAAGGTATTAAAAGAAAAAGAAATTTATAAGAAATTGGTTATCCATGAGCCCACGGGACTCAGAGAAGTCCAGGACCACCAATCCCATAGTAACAAGGAGATAGGGATAACAAATAACTTGTATCTTTACATATCTGTAGGTATTTTAAGTGAAAAAATGGGACATTATTCTGCAAACAATTCACATGTAAATAACATTGCTATGCATGTAAATTATATAGATGTTATTATATTTTTATTATTATGGGTAGCACTATAACATCTTGTATTATTAGGTACACTTTGTAATTCTTACTGGGAAATAACCAATTTAGAGAATGAGTTATTTTTCTGGAGTCTGAATAGTGAAAGAAAATTTGATGCAATGTGTTGGATCACGTCCAAAGCTAGATATCAATAAATTTTATCATAGATTTTGCCCTTGCATTGGATAATTCAGTTTTCTTATTTCTGAAATGCATAAACTAACCCCACCTTTATTAGGTGCATATAATCCTATGTAAATCAAACAAGATTAAGAAGACTTGTAATTCTGCATTCAAAAGTTAAACGTATCTAATCCCAGCACTTTCTGAGGCTGAAGCGGGTGGATCACGAGGTCAGGAGATCGAGACCATCCTGGCTAACACGGTGAAACCCCGTCTCTATTAAAAAAAAATGCAAAAAGAATTAGCCGGGCATGGTGGTGGGCACCTGCACTCCCAGCTACTCGGGAGGCTGAGGCAGGAGAATGGCGTGAACCCTGGAGGTAGAGATTGCAGTGAGCCAAGATTTCGCCACTGCACTCCAGGCTGCGAGACAGAGCGAGACTCAGTCTCAAAAAACAAAAAACAAAAACAAACAAAAAAGTTAAAAGTATCTCTAAAAGGTACTTTCAAAATCTATTTTTATTGTTCCATAATGAAAATAAAATGAATTTTCAAAAAATTTGGTCATAAACTTTTCACAATATAATACTAGCTATATTCATTCTGTATTTCCTTTACAGTAGAAAACTTTCTCTGGGATATGGATACCTGACACTTTTTTGTTGAGCATCAACATGAGTTTTTCTAACCACAGATTTCTAGATACATACCTGATACCCTGAACTTCACAAGAAATCGGCAATCATTAATGATCCAGCTAAAGTAAGTGACTAAATTCCTATGGGAAAATATAACTTTTTTAAAAATTAAATTTAGTTAGCTGAAAAATGTCAAGCACAATTAAAATTGACATTTTATTTTATTGAGTATCATATATTTTAATGAGCTTGGGTCCTAAAATGGTTTTATCAACTCCTCTAGTTCTTTAATTCTGGCATTCACATTTATCTAGAACACAAATCAACAAGCATGATCAAAACAAAACAAAACTCTGCACTTGTTACTCAGATCAGCTAAACAAATATGGTAAAGTAATCGATTTGAGATTTGCAAAAACTAAGTTCTTTGAGGTAGGTAAAATTTTAAATCTATTTACTAAAAGGATCATGTGTGGAGAATAATCTAATATATTTTGTTTTTTCTAAACATCTTCTATTATTTTTATTATTACTATAATTATATTTTAGTTTGGCACGCCCTGACCTCCTTGCTGTCAACCACAGAAACCAAATATTAAATGCAACCTATTACCCTAAATAGGCAACCTAATATTATTATTATTATTATTACCATGATTATATTTTAGTTTAGCATTCCCTGGCCTCCTTGCTGTCAACCACAGAAACTAAATATTAAACTCAACCTATTACCCTAAATGGACAGCCTATTATACCTAAATACAGCCTAAATTACCTCTACATGCTTTTGAAGAGTCCATAACGTTGCTAGTTGTTATCTTTAATATCTTAACAACAAAATAGTGAAGATAAAAATCTCAATGAATGTTCTTCATTTCACCCTCACCTGCTTTTGCTGGGACCTGGTTGTCCCCAGTTCCTCACTTCCATAATTTTTACATTTGTGTCAGCTATTCCTTTATTTTAAAGAGTATACTCAGGATTCATCCTTAAGAAAACACATCATTTCCCAAGCTCACATCTTCTGGTAAAGATACAGATCTACCTCTCATTTTCCCTTTTAGACTCTGCAGGTCTCTACAGTCATGGCTTTAAGGATTATCAAAGCCTCCTAATAATCACATCCTATATTCTAAACACTGATATTCCTCTAATGTCCTGTGCCATTAATCACATTATACAGCCCCTTCCATTTTATCCTCAGAACAGGGTTTCAGATAACCTAGATTCTCCTTTCTGACTCTTGTACTATCTAATCATAAGTCTCAGGACATATCAGTTAGTGATTTTTGTCTTCAATTTTCTCAGTAGTGAATTGAAGGATAGGTTTCATTTCTCATTCTTCTTGGGCAACAGAGTTACATAATGGGAAAATTACTGACACTGGAGCCACTCTGAAGTGGGTACAAATTCTTTCAGACAATTTATTACTATGTGAACATGATGAATTTACAGAATCACTCAGAAGCTGAGATTTCTCACTTATGGTAAAAGAATATCAATTCTTCAGATTTTGCAGCATACACTTTCTACTGTTGTGCTATGAGGCAAAAATAAAAGACCAGAAAGTTTTATAATGTTAATCTTAATCTCTTAGATAAGCATCATCTAACCGTAACTGTGCATTAGGCCTTTATTTTCAGCTGAGTGCTTGATCACCCAGGATGTCCAGTGTAGTAAACATACCAGAGTTTATCTATATCCGTTTGTCCTTTTCTCCAGGCACGAAAAAGTTATACATGCTGCCCTCCTTGTGTAGGAAAGGGTCATGTGGCTAATTTGAACAAGCAATTGTAAATGCAAGCAGCATACATTACTCACAGTTTGAAGAACTAAACTGCCAGTATGAGAATCTCCAGCATTTTGTGTGGGTGTGTGCTGTCCAGAAAAGGCAGCACCAGATGACACATGGTTATGGCAAGGTGCAGCCTTTCTAATTTGATTCCTAAGTTGTCCTGTCGAACACAATTGCTTGGAGAAAGGCTCAACTTTCTGTGAACTTTCTATGAGAAACAGAGAGAGAGAAATCCTTGTATTAAGGCAAGATTGAAACTCACACACACACACAAAAATTCTAAGATATTCATTTTATTCAGTCAGCAGGATGCTACCCCATTATTAGATAGCAGATTTTGGAGAATCTCAGTACCAAACACCTATTGAAATGTAATTTGAAAAATGTCTTAAAACTACAGAAACAATAATATTTCAAAAATAAAATGATTGTATTTCTTGAGCGAATGTTATTGTTTGCCATTATTCTCTCAGGCATCACATTCAGATAAAGACACAAACATTTCCATTCCTTAGCCAACTTCCCACTATGATCCCAGGACCTCCTCCCTCCAAGACCTTTCTAAGTGTGCTGTCTTCTTCTCTCTCTCAGGTACAAAATGGTATTTTTAAGTAAACAACACTGAGTTTTTAATTACTTAATTCTACTTTGTGTACTCAAAGAGTTAATAAAAATTGCTTGAATTTTTATTTTAGTGGAAGTGTAAGCAACAAATAGCCAATTTGGATTTTCACACAGTCAAAACTCTGTCTTCTGCTTCTACCTATATTTTGTTATAACAATTTTTGTATTTCACAGACATGTAAATAAAACTGCAAATTTCAATCAATTTACCTTTCTGAAAATAGTGACTTCTATTTATATGTGTGTATATGTATGCATAAGTATATCTAATACATACATTATTAGATATTTTAATATACATTATCTCATTTGAGAGCAAATGTATTTTTATGGTGGCAAATGATTCTAAGATGACATTTAACCCATACATTCAAATACAGCTGTGCTTAATTTTATAATCAAACAGGTTTTGTAATATAGAAGATGATTTTTTAGAAATCCCTAAAGAAATTGATAGACATTTGTATTTCCTGTTTTCTTTGAAGGAGGGATTTACACAACATTTTTAAAAGCTCCAGTGCTTATAAATATCCCCTGTAAAACAAATTATAGTTTAAATCCATTATGGTTTCTATGTAAAAGGAACTCAGTTTGGTTAAAAACATAAAATTTTCTTCACTTATGTAAATTCTGAATTTTATATTTTATTAACATAATTAAGCTTTGGGGGTGACAGTATCCTTTAACGGAATTCAGCATATAATATATTGCTCTTTATTTTCAGAAAAGAATTAAGTAGGAAATTATGATGAATACATGAATTATAGACAACAGCCCAGTTTAAAGTGATTTTACACTCAGAGATCTGAACCATTCTAATTCTAAGGTGGAAGAAAGACCAAACATAAAAGATTTTCACATTCCTTTTAAAAAACCTCCACTGTAGACCATTGTATGTAATGATTCTTCAGCCAAAGGCAATTTTCTTCTCAAGGTACAAAGTCTAATTAGGTATTAAGTCATAATCATGTGTTTTCAGGATTTAGTTTCATAAATTAAGTCTTTTCTAGACTCCAAACTGGGCAGGAGGAAATAAGTTCATGCAGGAGAAAGAAGGAAAGGAGAGAAAAATAAATGTATATGCAGGATGCAATTATTTCTCTTTACAATATGGACATTCATTACTAACAGAATTAAAATAGTGCACTTGGATATTCTGGGGAGCCCAATATGATGGTCATTGCCAACTTCCTCAGGAATTACTAATCAATAGTTTTCAGGTGGTATCCTTTGGAATGTAACAAACTCACCTGATGTTATTACTTTTGTGTAATTTCCCTGCCAATGATATTTCTTTTCTGGAGTGTCTGAAGTAAAAATTCTGTTCAGCTCCTACTTATAGTTTGCTCTAATAATTTTTATACTCCATAGACAGGTCAATGGAACCGCAAATTTAAATCAATTTGTCTCTCTGAAAATAGTGATTTATATTTATTCATATATATGTATATGAGCATGTCTAGTGCATACTCATATACATTATCTCAGTTGAGAGCAAATGTATTTGTATTTGCTGCTGGCAAATGATTCTAAAATGACATTTAACCCATATACTCAAAAATGGTTTTGCACAAGTTTGTCACCAAGTAGTAATCATAGTACAGAAGATGGTGGAATTCTCAACAAGAAGAAAGCTAACGCTGTCAGGCAATGTGTTGGCAGAATTGGTGAAAATCTATCATTAAATTAAATACCATTGACTTTATATCGAGAAATGTTGCCATGCACATCCTTAACTCATTAAACAATGCAGTGTTGGAAAGAAGAGAAAATAATATATCCCTTTCCTATTGTCACCCTCATTACAGAGAAAAACTTAGAGATGTTATTTATCAGAAAAATAAGCAATTATTTTCTATGATGAAATTGGCTGTTTTTGAAATCATTCTGTAAGTGAAATGTGAAGAGAGGGTCTCATACAATTCTTTGGAATAATGTTATATGGAGAGCTATATATTTTTAAATATATCATTGTGTCAAAAGATTAGCATGGAGTATTGAAACTATTGTGATCTCACATGATTATCATAGGAATATAATGAAAAAAATAGTGAAGACCTGGGAGAATTGACCAGCAACTAAGGAGGAAAACAGCAGAGCAAATAGAAGCGTATATACCCATAATACAATTTTAATAATTGCAAATGTATTTTTTAAATAAGAAATTAAAAAAACACATCAGGACAATGAAGGTCTTGTAGAAGTCTGACAAAAATAACTTTCTAAAATACATGCTAAGAGAAACAAAAAATAATTTAAGAAAACCTCTTGCTAGGCATAATAGTATTTATCTTCTGAGAAACAGAAAGTCATAAAAACAGCATAAAATAAAATAGAAACAATAATGAAAAAAGTTAAATGAAATAAAAATAATGACCAATGTTTTAGAAAAGACAAAATTGAGAATGATAAACTTCTTATGAAACTACTATGCTAAAGTAAACAAATCTATGATTAGAGACAAATCTATGACCTAATGTCATCAAACATTAAAGGATATAGACTTTGGTAACTTGCCTGTTGGATACCATGAACACTGCTGAAATAAAAACACATTTAGAATGCCAGATGAACTGTTACATAGGTAATTGTTAATTCATAGTTGACTTTAGATATGTACAAGGTAATATCACTAACAATAATTTCAGAATATTACATAATATTGAAAATGAGAAACAACCTAATTTGTACATTAACACAAGAGAATAGAAACTAAAATGGAGTATGCCTAAAGACTGGAGTAGTATGAGTATATAAATAAAAAATTAAATTAAATACATAAATATATATAAATATAACACACGCTTATATGCACAACGCTATATAAATTTATTATAGTTATAAGAGTATAAATAGTATTATATACTGTTTAGCAATACTAAGTAAGTAAAAAGGCAAACGGATGTATAATTGTGATTAATTTGGGGAAATAATGAGAGAAAGGGAAAGCGATTGAGAGGTGTGGATAAAAATGTCACGTGCAATGTTCCATTTCTCAACCTTTTTAAATATTAAGTTCTTTTTTTTTTTTTTTTTTTTTTTCTGAGAGGGAGTCTCGCTCTGTCGCCCAGGCTGGAGTGCAGTGGCGTGATCTGGGCTCACTGCAAGCTCCGTCTCCCGCGTTCACGCCATTCTCCTGCCTCAGCCTCCCGAGTAGCTGGGATTACAGGCGCCCGCCACAACTCCCGGCTAATTTTTTGTATTTTTAGTAGAGAAGGGGTTTCACCGTGTTAGCCAGGATGGTCTCGATCTCCTGACCCCGTGATCCGCCCGCCTCGGCCTCCTAAAGTGCTGGGATTACAGGTGTCGGCCACTGCGCCCGGCCAAATATTAAATACTTATAATGATAAAAGTTTATTTCTGGATTCTCTATTCTGTTCCATTGGTCTATGTGCCTATTTTTATACCAGTGCCACACTGAAACTGAAATGAAAAAATAAAAAAAGGTAAGTGGCTAAGAGAAATCTGTAACAGAGAAAACTAACAAAATTGATGTTTGACATCTTTGAAAATATGAAAAAATTAGTGATATGGTTACGCTTTGTGTACCTGCCCAAACCTCATCTTGAATTGCAATCCCCATAATCCCCCTGTATCAAGAGAGAGACCAGGTGGAGGTAATTGGCTCACAGGGATGGCTTCCTCCATGCTGTTCTCAGGATGGTGAGTGAGTTCTCACAAGATCTGATGGTTTTATGAGGGGTTCTTCCCACCTTCACTGGGCACTTCTCCTTCCTGCTGGCCTGTGAAGAAGATGCCTTGCTTCCCCTTTGCCTTCCACCATGATTGTAAGTTTCCTGAAGCCTCCCCAGCCATGCTGAGCTGTGAGTCAATTAAAACTCTTTCCTTTATAGATTACCCGGTCGCAGGCAGTTCTTTATAGAAGTATTAAAATGGACTAATAAAATTATCAACTTATTTTTATTTACATATTTACAATTCTACTATTATTTAAAAGCACTGTGTGAACAGAAGCTTTCTCAGCCAACAAAAATAGAAACTAATGCACTGCTAATTTTACAGATTCATATAAATGAATCTGAGTGTCACAAAAGTCATTTTGAAACAAATCTATAAGATTATTGATGCCCAGGTATAGGAATTTCCTTCCTTAAGTTTTGGCAAGGAAAAATTTCTTACTGAGTTCAATGTTTTGTTTCTTTGTCTTGTCAGCTAAGCCATGAGCCCTAAATGTTTTTGTGCTTTACTTCCAACAATACATAGTTATGCAAGCTACAACATGAATATTCTGTTTATGTGTAGAAATAAGAAGATAAAATAAATATTTTGTTTAAAGAAAATTTCTGCTGAAATTACATAAGCCTGAGACGTATGTCTTTCTTTCAGCACCATAGTACTCTAGCTTAAATGGTAAAAACAATTTCTGTACCACGGAACCTGTGATTTCCTTAAAGAAGTTGTATAACAAAATAGGAGATTTTGCATTTAATTCTAGTTTGTATTAATCTTAATGAAAACAGAGCAACCGCTTTGCTGCATGGTAAATTTGGGGAAGCCGAAGCAAGGAGATTGCGTGAGCCCAGGATCGTTGCCATCAGCCTGAGTAACATGGTGAAAACCCATCTCTACTGAAAACACAATTAGCCAGGCCAAGTGGCGTGGGCTTGTAGTCCCAGCTCTTCTGGAGACTGAGGTGGAGGGATCAGTGGGAGGTAGAGGTTGCAGTAAGCTGAGATTGTGGCACTGCCCTCCAGCCTAGGCAACAGAGAGATCTTGTCACAATAATAATAATAAATAAATACTAATTAAAAGATGAAAATATAGGAAAGAAAAATCCTTACCTGCAAAGGTAGATATATTGTCAAATTGGTAATATTCTAATACTGTAATAGGGGTATGTAAATCACATATCTCTATTATAAAGGTTAAAAGACAAAACTGTTACAAATAACTATATCTACGATAATTTGCTGAGATATACAAGGCAAAATGTGTACAAGATATATAAGATGTAGATTGTGACATCAAAAACATAAAATGGGAGGATGTCTTTGATAAAGGTTAGTTGTTACAGCCTAAAATGGACTGCTATGATCACCAAGAAAAAACCTATAGTAGATACACAAAAGATAAAGAGAAGAGAATCAGAGCATGTCATTAACATAAATCATCAAATCACAAAGGAAGACAGCAAGCATGGAAAAAAGGAATAACAGATCTAAAGAACACCCAGGGAACATATAATACAAGACAGTGGTAAGTCCTTACCAATTAATAATTACTGTGAATATAAATCTATTAAATTCACTAATTAAAAGACAGAGTGGCTTAATAGATAAAAGACCCAGCTATATGCTGCCTGAAAATAAAATATAAAAATCTAAATATGGATCTATTTTGTTTTCTGCAGATACTCCTACTGGCTCAACAATAATCAGAATGGCCAAAATAGCACAAAGAAAGCTCTGTTAAAAACCACAAAAATTAAACATTATTTCAACATGAAAACACACCACCCCCCATACCACACTTCATGTTTTAACATTAGATTCAGCAATAGCATTGCAGTTTAATATGTTCTACAGTTTGCTCTGTTAGTGTAGTGTAACACTATTCATTTTTTTGTGTGTGTGGGAGCATGACAGCGGACAAAATAACTTATTGCAAAGCCCTCATCTCTAAGAAGTCTATTATCTCAGTCTCATTGCTAACTTGTGATGATAGCACTTAAAACGTGGATGTTAAGATCAACTCATTCCATTTAGTCCCTAAAATGACGGCAAGTCATATTTCAAGAGTAGAATTTTGAAGTATTTCTGTAATGAAACAGAAATATCCATAAGCTAAACTACACATTTACTTCAGAAGTTAAACCTCATGTAAAATAGATGAACATACGCACATGTAAGTACATTATTTTTTCCTACTTTGATACTGTTAATTGCCCCATAAACATAATTTATATAATAAAATGCAGTGTAGAGTTACTGGAGGTGGTTGAAGGAATGAAAGTGTTTAAAATTATCTTTAAAAACTCTTCACATGGTATTGGGCTCAACAGTGTACAGATCACATTAGAGGGAAGTGATCTATATGTTTTGACAATGTATGATATAAATCATGCTCTGTTATAAAAGCTGTGCCTTAAACGATATAATGTTGTCTAAAAAATGGTACTTGTGACTTTCCTGTTTAATACTGTTCAAAGTTACCAACAGTAAGATCTACAGTTCTTACTAGAGCATTTAGAGGCAAGTAAGTCCAGTTGGCTAATCTAACTAGGTTCATTTCCTGAGTTGTTTTCTGGGTTTCAGCAACACAGATCCTTCTTCATGACCTCAAAGTTTCGTTTATATCTTTCTTCCAGCTTATCAAACATACCGTTTAACTTCCAAGGAAACACTTTTCCATCTCCTTCCCTTTGATTTTTCTCTCTTGATTCTTCAAAATAACTTCCGGCCTCTAATTACATTGCATTTTCCTATAGAAACTAACATTGCTTCACTGTCCAGACCAGTCTCTTTAGTTTTTTTATACAGGTCTTATTTTAAATGTTTGTTTTTTCACTTGTTTCTTTGGAATTTTTATTTCCAGGCAAGAATGTAAACTGCATGAAGGCAAGCATCATGTAAAAATAACTCCTTCTTGATTTTCCAAATCCCAACGTGCTATTTGATATATAGCAGTAACTCAATAAGTATCTTTTGATTTGATGAATAAATGAGAAAAGTTAACATAAAATGTATAACAATAATAATACTGTGGAGATAGTCTTCTAAGATAGGCTTCTGTGATTTTCACCTCCTAGGATTCATGACCTTGTGTATTTACTACTCCCTTTCAAGCTGGCTGCACCTATTGAGTTACTTCTAATGAACAGAATATGGCAAAAATGATGGTGTTTTACTTCCATGCTTAAGCTATACACACACATATATATATATATATATATATATAGTTTATCTAAATACAGAGTTTATATGTAAAATGTAGATGTATTGTTTTGTATACACACACATATATATACACACAATATACAAATATGTATCTATAGTGTGTATATATACATACACAATATAAAAAACAGTGCGTGTGTGTGTGTGTGTGTGTGTGTATACACAGGACTGACAAACTCTTTTGCTGTTTTGTTGAAGCAAACTTCCATGTTAAAACAAGCTGCTCATGTAACATAAATAAGGCTGACCTATGTTCAGCAGCCAAAAATATTATAAATATTATTTAAAAATCAAAACTCTGATGTCCTCAGTCCAACACCTCCTGAGTAAGTAAATCCTGCCAACAGACACATGTGCGAACTTAGGGGTTACTTCCTCCCTATTTGCACCTTCAGATGCAACCCCAGCCCTGACCCCCACCTTGATCGCAGCCTTGAAACAGAGGACACAGCTAAGCCACAATTGGTCTCACAACCTACAGAAACTCTGAGATAATAAAAGTGCATTATTTTTAGTCTTTACATTTTTGGATATTATTCTGTGCTGTTTTAGGTAACAGATAGATTTTGGCTGTTGGAGAGTCTGCAAGGGAGCAAGTTTGACTATTATGAAGAAAACATTACAGTAGAAAAGGTATAGAAAGAAAAATAAAGATTGGAGAAGATGAATCTGTGCAAAAAAGGCCAGGTAATTTTTGCTTGTGATTATCCATTCCCTATGTCATGCAGCTTTATATTTCTTGAACTTAAAGATCAATAACATTTTCTAGTCTGTGACACATAAATTTCTGCTTTCTTGAGCTAGTCTTGCTAGGTTATTATTTATTAAGATCAAATTTAAAAATTACTAAAACAATGGGCATCATTATACAATTGAAAAAACAGGCAATGTTTAAGTAACTAATTAAGGGAAAGAACATAAAACGTGGGTACTTAGGATGTGTGATCCTTGACGGTTAAGATATAAGTTTGGAGAAATTCAGAAGCAGAAAAAGTATTTAAGGGGAAAAAAGAAGCATGATAGTGAACACATGAAATTTAGAGTGACGAGGGAGTGGTTCTTGGTGAGGAGACAAGGAAGTCAGTGTAATTATTTAACTTACAGGATAAATAAAATCAATGCAGTGGTAATTTGGTTGATTAAGCATCATTTTCCATTTTAATGTTCTATGTATCTCAAATTATCTATGTATTAGTTAGACTCATTTGCATGAATGGGAAGAAATCTCAAAATGACTTAGCTTAAAAATAAAGGAACAAGAACTTTCTAAGACATTGAACTTAGTATCAAACAATTTTACTAAAATGAAGCTGAGAGACAGAAGTGGGCATCAGGGACACTGTAACTCGAGGCTTGAGTAATCAGAACCATATCTCGGGCATCGTCTCTCTGAGTTTCTTCTCATATTAGTTTGATTTTAACTGCAGACGTTCTCCATGGGGTAGGAAATGCATCTACCAACAAGATTATAATTTTGTATCCCATACCTTCTGACATTGCTAGTAAGAGTATTATGTACTCAAACTCAAGTCAAAATGCCATGACAGACACATATTGACCCAGACTGAGGTGTGTACATATATATATACATATATATATACACACATATATAATATAAATATATATTTATAATTATATAAATATATAACATATTTATAATTATATGAATATATAACATATTTATAATTATAGGAATATATAACATATTTATAATTATAGAAATATATAGCATATTTATAATTATAGAAATATATAACATATTTATAATTATAGAAATATATAGCATATTTATAATTATAGAAATATATAACATATTTATAATTATAGAAATATATAACATATTTATAATTATAGAAATATATAGCATATTTATAATTATAGAAATATATAACATATTTATAATTATAGAAATATATAGCATATTTATAATTATAGAAATATATAACATATTTATAATTATAGAAATATATAACATATTTATAATTATAGAAATATATAACATATTTATAATTATAGAAATATATAATATATTTATAATTATAGAAATATATCTAATATATATTTATAATTATAGAAATATATCTAATATATATTTATAATTATATGAATATATCATATATATTTATAATTATATGAATATATCTAATATATATTTATAATTATAGAAATATATCTAATATATATTTATAATTATATGAATATATCATATATATTTATAATTATATGAATATATCTAATATATATTTATAATTATATGAATATATCTAATATATATTTATAATTATATGAATATATCTAATATATATTTATAGTTATATGAATATATCTAATATATATTTATAGTTATATGAATATATCTAATATATATTTATAGTTATATGAATATATCTAATATATATTTGTAGTTATATGAATATATCTAATATATATTTGTAGTTATATGAATATATCTAATATATATTTGTAGTTATATGAATATATCTAATATATATTTGTAGTTATATGAATATATCTAATATATATTTGTAGTTATATGAATATATCTAATATATATTTGTAGTTATATGAATATATCTAATATATATTTATAGTTATATGAATATATCTAATATATATTTATAGTTATATGAATATATCTAATATACATATAATTTAAATATATAATACATATAATTATATAAATATATATAATATATATATTTTTTGAGACAGAGTCTCACTCTGTCACTAGGCTGGAGTGTAGTGGTGATCTCGGCTCACTGCAACCTCTGCCTCCCAGGTTCAAGTGATTCTCCTGCCTCAGCCTCCTGAGTAGCTGGGACTACAGCCTCACGCCACCATGCCCAGCTAATTTTTGTATTTTTACTAGAGATGGGGTTTCACCATGTTGGCCAGGATGGTCTCTATCTCTTGACCTCGTGATCCACCCGCCTTGGCCTCCCAAAGTGCTGGGATTACAGGTGTGAGACACCACGCCTGGCTGGTTTACATATTTTGACCAGTTAGCTGTCCCATTATGTGAACACAACACTGGTGATGGCCATGTGGACTGAGGACATGAAAGTTCATACAAATGGGGAGTTCTGTGTTAGAAATAACACTAAAAGCATAGGCAACAAA
This sequence comes from Homo sapiens, assembly GCF_000001405.40. Lineage (NCBI taxonomy): Eukaryota > Metazoa > Chordata > Mammalia > Primates > Hominidae > Homo > Homo sapiens. The sequence goes on from NC_000021.9 coordinate 23,351,072, forward strand.
AGGTAAAACATAGATGAATTGGACTTTATCAGACTTTCATGTTTCAAAAAACACTATCAAGAAGGTGAAAAGACAACCTATACAATAGAATAAAATATTTGTAAATCATATTAGACTCATATATGCACTTTGGGAGAGAGAACCAGGCAGGAAGGCTGCTTGAGGCCAGGAGTTAAGAGACCATCCTGGGCAGCATAGTGAGACCCCGTCTCTAAAAAAAAAAATAAAAATAAAATGAAAAATTTTAAAAACCACATTGTCATTTAGTGACTTAATATGACAAATGTATGCTTATTTGTTTTGTAGCACTCCTTTTCATTTTCAATTATACCCTCTCATTAATGTTAAATTGTATTATTACCTAACTTAATAATTAAGACTGAAGTTATGCACACTTATTGGCAATTAATATTGTATATCAAGCCACAGGTGTGCTTGGAAAAATATATATTGCTTTCAAATTCATAAGTAATACGTCTTATATTTTCAGGTCCTCTAGTTTTAGCTTACACTTTTATTGTTGAACATGTGTCAACAAATACCTAGTAAGAATATACTTAAATTTTCTAGTTATCCAATTTTGAAATTATTGTTTATTTCATCTCATTACTCTAAATATAGAGTAAAAACAAAATACATAGCGTCGCATTGAACAGTTCTAAGAAATAACTATCATTTTGATTTGCTTCTTTTTTTTCCCTTAGGATAAAACAAAAAGGACAATTTATATCTTGAATTGCCCTCAAAATAATCTTAATCTGAGAAGTAAAATGATTAAATGTTTAAAGAAAAACAAAAAGTATTATACAGAATATTTAATCTGACTTGATAAACACTATGAAGAACATTCATATACTTCAATAAGTAATGCTTATTTATTTGGAGCATAAAAAATAATCAGTGATATTAGTACGAGAATTTCAATGGACACCAAAAATCTGACAAAATGTTTATCCTCTTTTGTGAGGTAAACAACCAAATGTATTTTAAGAATCTGAGAAAAAGGAATGGAACCTGTGTAAATGGCTTATGAATTGGTCTTGTACATTAAATGCCACCCAATTGCTTGCACTGCTCATTCCAAAGGCATTGAAGAGTTTCATTCCTATCAGAAATAATAGAAGTTGGTGTAGCCAGGGAGGAAAATGAAACCCCAGATGACTGAGTCGGCTGCAGAATGAAAGTTACAATCTGATTCTTCTTATTGTTTTCCTAGAAAGAAATTGGTACAGGTCACTGGCATACTAGAAATTTCTAGAAAAGGTTGGATATTTGGAGTGAAAATATATAAATGAGTGCAACTCATGATTATTTGGAGAGGAAAATAAACTATTATAAAAAATTACAATTAAATCCACATTATACATATCACAGCCTTATATTTTTGGTTCTTTATTCTTAAGCTCCATACATAAAATGTTTTAAGATGCAGAAATAATTATTACATTACTTTTTATTTAATTACATATTGTTTTTCAATAAGATACAAATATAATCCTATTTTTGTTATCAAGATATTTAAAATGTGTTTTTTGTTTTGCTTTTTAGTTTCCTCCTCTGACAAAATTAAACACTGTGGGGAAAGAAGCAGTTATTCTCCATTTTTCCCTTGTGCTTAGATATGGTGCTGGGCATATATTTCTTTCCAGTTAATAGGATGAGAAAATGTTATGGCAGTGACAACTTTTTATTTTGTGACCAAAAATTACCTACCAACAGAAAGCTATACTGTGTCCCTAAATTATAATTTATTTGAGGAATAGGAAGATGTTGGTATGAAGAGAAATTCTAATTAGTGAATGTAATTGAATGTGATTAATCTATATTAATTTCAGCATCCAGAATAAGCCATTGTTTAATTAACTTCTTATACATATAAGTTAAATTTTATTACATTAATTGTAATTACAAAAATATACATGTAAATAACTACATAGGAATAAATCGCAATCAAAACAAAGTTTTTTTTTCAAAAATTTCTTTTATGAGTCACAGAAAGTCAAGACAAGCCAGTAGGATTTAAAGAAAGTCTCATGTTGAAATTTTTATAAATTGACATACAGAAAGGTTGTGTCTCATCACTGGTATGCTAGTAAAATTTAACTGTCTTTCTGAGGAAACAAAACCTATTATTGTAATATTTGCTGATTTTGTGATACAACTATTTCCACTGTTGACAATTTCAAACTCTCAAGATGGCACCACTGATAAGGGAGTTGGGAAATAATGTCCATGGTGGTCTTTTGTAAGCCAATGCACGCCAGTAGCTCCAGCACGCCTTGTTACTGATGATTATTTTATTATGATGAAATGATAACAATTGATTCAATTAGGGATTAGCTACATAGAGTTGTTAAATACAAGATAACCACAAAGTAGAATAAGAATAAATCTCTGATGACCCAAGCATAACGCTAATACATAGAAAATCAGAAACACAGTATCAATGTTAATTAATTCCAAAGATCACTCAGAAAACAAAGTGTCACTCACAGGCTTTGATTCCCAATTATATACAGATAATTGGAGCTCAGTGTACAATTATATGTAAAGTTGGGTACAACAATTAAATAGTCGGCTGTGTAAAAATAAAATACATCATCAAAATTAACTGAAGATTAGTTAGAAAAATAAGTATATTAACAGAGTTTGAAAACACTAAACAAGCTACAGAAATTCTCTCTCAAAAATGGTCAATGCTTTTAAAATTATAAAAAATAGATTATTAAGTTTCAAAATGTAGAAATGAATTACTGCCATGATCTTTCATTATCTGACCCTTTCCTTCCTGTCCAGACTCTCCCCTAGCAGACTCCCTTACGACACCTCTAGCCATGTACCCTCTTGGCTCTGCCATATACCCTCCTGGCTCATCTTATAATGTGTCAAATTCTGCTCTGCCATGTACCCTCTTGGCTCTTCTTACAATGTGTTGACTTCCTTTGAATTTCAGCAATTTGAGCCTTCTTGCAGTTGTTACCAAAATACCAGGAGTTCAGTCTAGGTCCTGCTGTTCACTGCACAGAAAACCAATGACTGAGAGGATGAGCATTGCCAAAAAAGAAGGCTTTAATCAGGTGATGCAGCTGAGGAGATGAGAGATCAGTCTCGAACCCATCTTCCTGACTGAATACAATTAGGGGTTTATATAGCAGGGAAGAAATGTAACTGTGTGGGGAACGCAGGGAGGATAAGGAACAATCATGATGAATGAGGGTCCTGGCATCTCATCATCTGAATGCAATAATCTGGTTAGTTTCAGGTTTTTGTATACTTTTTTAGAGGCCTTTGGGATCCTTTCCTGGGGAAGGAACTCAGATAAAACAAACGTAAGTTTCAAGCTTAAAGCCCAGAAGGGTCAATTTCTATGTTCATCCAACAGAAATGTGTATGAAAAAACTGGGTGGGTTTAATAGTGTTTTGGTATCCACACTTCTATCATTGAGACACTATTCACCTTCTCTTACACCTCACCTATATTAATGTACTCCAAAGCACTTATTTTTCTGAAATTGTATTATTTACTTTTTGGGCAGATATTCATAATGTGTCTCACTTAATAATCGTAAGTTCCATGAAAGCAAGTGAATTAGTTTTTATTACTCTTATTATTATTGTTGTTGTGTAAGGAACTATTACAAACAGTGGCTTAGAACAATGAAAATTTATTATCTCAGTTTCCTTGAGTAGGGATTCTGGGCAGGGTTCTCTGCTTATAGTCTCAACCAAGCTAAAATAAAAATGTCAGCCGAGCTATGATCTCATCAGAGAGTCTCAGCATTCAGTTCTAAGCTCACTGTGTTTTAGCAGAATCCACTTCCTTATGTTAGTGAATGAACCAAACATAGGTCGGCCTCCGTGGTCCAGCAAAGCGAAATACTGACATCCAAACTGCACCACAACAATCAGGCATTTATTGCAGGGCACCAAGCAAGGACAATCAGGCAGCTCATGTTTAAGACCCAGACTCCCGGCTGGCTTACAAGAAAGGGTTTTCAAAGCCGGGGGAAATTTTCAGGAGTGCAGAAGTTACAGTCTAAATTAATACACGGAGTTTATACATTGGTTTGGCCTAAGAAAAGGTGTGACATATTGAAGCAGAAGCTTACAGGTCTTAGGCAAATTTGAAGATTTTCTGATTTGCAATTGGTTAAGGAAAAGAAGCTTTGTTTAAAAATTTGGGGTCAGCAGAAAAAGGGTTAGCTCTGGCTTGTGGATGTGACTTCCTCCAGGCCCCTCAGGAAGAACAGTAGAAAAAAGAATTGTGATCAGAGCTCAATCCTCAGTTCTCCCTTATCTGAGGTCTACATGTCAACAGGTCTTTTTGTTGGGGGTCCAGGTTTCTGAAAAACAATTCAAGGGCATATGTTAAGATATTATCTTTAGTTTCTATAAGGAAATAACCTCCCACGATTCTAACTTCCTTTGCTATTTTTTTTTTTTTTTTTTGAGACAGAGTCTTGCTCTTCTTGCCCAGGCTGGAGTGCAATGGCACCATCTCGGCTCACTGCAACCCCCACCTCTTGGGTTCAAGCAATTCTCCTGCCTCAGCCTTCCGAGTAGCTGGGATTACAAGTGCCCACCACCACTCTCAGCTAATTTTTGAATTTTTAGTAGAGACGGGGTTTCACCATGTTTGCCAGGCTGGTCTCAAACTCCTGATCTCAGGTGATTCACCTGCCTCAGCCTCCCAAAGTGCTGGGATTACAGGCGTGAGCCACTGCACCTGGCATGCTTTGCTGTTTTTTAAGCTACTATTCCTCTATGTTTATCAAGTTGCTCATTTACTTTGCAGAGCTAGCTAGATGCCTGGAATTTCCCTTGATGGAACTAAAGATTTTTCTTTATTTTCATGCTGGGGGGACTGCAGCCCTCTAAGACAGTTTTTTGCTCCATATCACTTGCAGTTAAAGGACAGTGGTTCCTGGTTTCTCATTAGTTGTCAACTGGAGCCATACTCAGATCCTGGAGCCCACTCACCATTCTATGCAACAAGGCGCTCTCCAGAGGTGGGATTTTGCTTCAAGGCCAGGTGGATACTCTCTGTAGTCTGCTAATACAGAATCTTATACAGTCATGCATTGCTTAACTTAATGATGAGGATATGGTCTGAGAAATGCATTGTTAGGTGATTTTATAATGCAAACATTGTAGAGTATACTCAAACAAATTTAGATGGGCTAACATACTATGCACCTAGGCTATATGGTAAAGCTTATTGCTTGTAAGTTACTGTATTAAATACCGTTACTGTATTGAATACTGCAGACAATTGTAACACCGTGGTAAGTATTTGTATATCTAAACACAGAAAAGGTACAATAAAGTTATGGTATTATAATCTTAAAAGACCACCATTGTATATGTGGTCAATGGTTGACCAAAACGTTGCTATGCCATGCATGACTGTACAAGGTAATGTAATCATTGAATTGACCATCTGTAATATAATTAAAATATATTTGCTTTGTCTCTGATTCCTGGCAAAGAGATCCTAAAACCCTTGGAATTTCCTGAGTGAGAACAGTATGTTTTGCATGTTAATGAGATGACTCTTTGAAATAAGGGCTAGATAACTTCAGGATGGGGGCTGGAGTCATCAGTTCAAGAATGTGAAAAACCAACCCAGAGATTAGAGGGTTAGAAATTGTTTTCTTTTTGTTTTGTTTTGTTCTCTTCTCGCTCTCTCTTTTTTTTATATACATATATTTTTATTTTTTAGTCAAATGGAGTCTCTCTCTGTTTTCCAGGCAGGAGTGCAATGCTGCAATCATAGCTCACTGTAGCTTCAAACTTCTCAGCTCAAGTGATCCTCTTACCTCAGCCCCCTAAGTAGCTGAGACTACAGGGGCACACTCAGCTAATTTCTGTATTCTTCTTTTTCTTTCTTTCTTTCTTTTTTTTTTTTTTTTGAGATGAGGTTTCACTATGTTGTCAGACTGGACTTGAACTCCTAGTAACCACAAGTGATACTTCCACCTCAGCTTCCTGAGTCTCTAGGATTATAGGCATGAGCCAGGGCACCAAGCTCAAGGGTTAGATTATACCTACTTGAAACTATGAAACTTGTCATGAAACCACGAAAAAAAACAAAAACAAAACTCTAAATAGAAAGATTTGGGTAAGCATGCAGGTTGGTGAACACATTTACCTGCTGGGAGTCTGACACACTCCAGCTACCCTGGGGAGTGAAGCTTCTGTGTGCTCAGGACCCTTCTGGATGTCACCTTATGTACCACATTATTAGTTTGTTTATTTGCATCTTTTAGAGTAAAGCTGTAATTATTATAGTGCCTTTCTAAGTTTTGTGTGTTAATCAAACAAATTGTCAAATCTGAGTTCAGGTTTTGAAAACACCCAAATTTGCAGTAGGCCTGGAAGAAGTACGGGTTCCTTGGAATTCCTACTTGCCGCATCTAAGCTGTTGGAAGTCTTGTGGAACTGAGCTTTTAACTAGTAGGGTCTATGCTAACTCTGGGTAGTTAATGGCAGAATTGAATTCCATTGTAATATACTCGATTTATGTCAACATTTGGAAAAGTGGATGTTATATGAGAAAACCAAGCACAATCTCATCACTTTTGCTATATAAAGTAACCAAATCAAAGGGGTGAATATTCTTTCATGTCTTTGGGTCTCACCCACAGCTTATGGGAATTTGATTTTACCGAGCTTATACAACAGATTGAGGGGTAGCATAAAAACTACCTTAGAGTTCTTCCAACCACAGCAATGATGTCAGGTACCTAGTGTCTAAAATAATACTTGACATATGTCCAGTATTGATTTGCTTCTTGACAGTTAAGTTTTTTCATTGGGTTTACTGTGTATACAAGCTAAAAACTTATTTCAAAAGATTTAAAATATTGAAGTCATTTTAATGTTAAATAATAGAAGTAGCCAATATCCATTTTTTCTTTTTTTCAGACGAAGTCTCACTCTGTCACTCAGGCTGGAGTGCAGTGGTGTGATCACAGCTCACTGCAACCTCCACCTCCTAGGTTCAAGCTATTCTCCTGCCTCAGCCGCCAGAATGGCTGGGATGAGAGGTGCTACTAGGAATGCTTGTTCCCCAGTGCCGTAAAGAAATAACACTTGAACATACATTTAATTTCCTCAGCAAAGCCCTTTTTTTTTTTTTTTTTTTTTTTTTTTGCTTTCTGTAGACAGGGTACACTTGCCAGCAGTTTTGCCACGAGAGTACACCAAACAAAGGAGACAGGGTCGTTTATAACCTGACACGTCAACCCTACTGCTGTATCCAGTTTCCATTGGCTGGAACGGGACCTCACATTCTGTATTTGTCCTGATTGGCTAGCAACTTAGAACTTTTAGAAGAGGCAAAGGCAGAGGAGAACAAAGGAAGGAGGAAGTAACTTGTGGAATGCTGAGAAAGGTAAAAACACCTTCACATAAGGAAGAGGAACAAGCTATGACCTAATACTTGCTTGGACCAGTATAAGCATGCCAGGGCAGATATTTAGGGGAAATTGTGGGAGCTAAGAACATAAAGCACATTGATTTCTTTATTATGGCTAGCACATATTTAAGAATATTAGCACAGGTCTTTGAATAAATTTGCTTCAAAGAGAAGTTACTAATTATTCCTAATTAGATGGGGAGGAAAGTCTTTGAAGAGGAACCTCTACTTTACTTTTTATAGTGCCTATCACCGCACCTGGGTAATTTTTGTATTTTTAGTAGAGATGCACTTTCACCACGCTGGCCAGGCTGTTCTCGAATTCCTGACCTCAAGTGATCCACCCACCTCGGTCTCCCAAAGTTCTGGGATTATAAGCATGAGCCACCATGCCTGGCCAATGTCCATGTTTAGATTGATAAAGTCCTTCCTCTATGTCACATTTTAGACGTTGGTTCTATAAAGGTGATAAAAGAATCATCTAGCTGTTTATGAAATCATTTTGGAATTTTATAGTTGAGAAATGCTTTGTTTCTATAAGCTGTCAACTTGTAAACATAAGGACCAGAAAATATCATGGATAAATTTCAAATGCCTATTTTCTGTATGTATTAGTTTGTTCTCACACTTTCAATAACGACATACCAGAGACTGGATAATTTATAAAGGAAAGGTTTAATTGACTCAGAGTTCAGCATGGCTGAGGAAGCCTCAGGAAACTTACACTCATGGCAGAAAGGGAAGCAAACATGTCCTTCTTCACATGGTGGCAGGAGAGAGAAGAATGAGTGCCCAGTGAAGGGGGAAGCCCCTTATAAAACCATCAGATCTCGTGAGAACTTACTATCATGAGAACAGAATGGGGGAAACTGCCTCCATGATTCAATTATTTCAATCTGGTCCTCCCACAAAATGTGGAGAAAATGGGAACTACAGTTCCAGGTGAGATTTGGGTGGGGACACAGCCAAACCATATAATTCTGCCCTGGACATGCCCAAATCTCATGTCCTCACATTTCAAAAGATAATTACACCCTTCTAACACTCCCCCAACGTCTTAACTCATTCCAGCATTAACTCAGAAGTCCAAATCCAAAATTTCATCTGAGACAGAGCAAGTCCCTTCTTCCTATGAGCTTGCAAAATCAAAAGCAAGTTAGTTACTTTCTAGATACAATGAGGGTACAGGCATTTGGTAAATACACCCATCCCAAATGGGAGAAGTTGGTCAAAACAAAGGGGCTACAGGACCCATAAAGTTCCAAAATCCAATAGGGCAGTCATTAACCATTAAAGGTCAAAATGATCTCCTTTGACACCATGTCTCACATCTAAGGCATGCTGATGCAAGAGGTGGGCTCCCACAGCCTTGGGCTGTTCTGCTTCTGTGGCTTTGCAGGGTCCAGCACCACTCCAGGCTGCTTTCATAGCTGACATTGAGTGTCAGCAGCTTTTTGAGGTGCATGGTGAGAGCTGTCAGTTGATCTACCATTCTGGGGTCTAAAAGACGGTGGCCCTCTTCTCACAGCTCCACTAGGCGTTCCTCACTGGGGAAACTTTATGGGGACTCCAACCTAACATTTCCCTTCCACACTGCCCTGGCAGAGGTTCTCCATGGGGGCCCTGTACCTGCAGCAAATCTCTGCCTGAACATCCAGGCATTTCCATATATCCTCTGAAATCTAGGCAGAGGTTCCCAAATCTCAATTCTTGTATTCTGCACACCCACAGGCTCAATAACATGTGGAAGCTGCCAAGGATTGGAGCTTGCACCCTCTGAAGTAACAGCCTGAGCTGTACCTTGGCCCCTTTTAGCCATGACTGGAGCTGAAGCAGCGGGGGTGCAGGGCACCATATCCTGAGGCTGCATAGAGAAGAGAGCCCTCCAAAACAGTTTTCTCTCCTAGGCCTTTGGGCCTGTGATGGAGGGACTGCCATGAAGGTCTCTTACACACCCTGGAAACATTTTCCCCATTGTCTTGGTGATTAATATTTGACTCCTAAGTATTTATGCAGATTTCTGCAGCAGGCTTGAATTTCTGTCAAGAAAAAATGGGTTTTTCTTTTCTATTACATTGTCAGGCTGCAACTTTTTCAAACTCTTATGCTCTGCTTTCTCTTGAACACTTTGCTGCTTAGAAACTTATTCCACCAGATACCCCAAATCATCTCTCTCAAGTTTAAAGTTCCACAGATCTCTGGGGCAAGGGCAAAATGCTGTCAGTCCCTTTGCATAGCAAGAGTGACTTTTACTCCAGTTCCCCACAAGTTCCCCATCTCCATCTGAGACTGCCTCAGCCTGGATTTCATTGCCCGTATCACTATCAGCGTTTTGGTCAAAGCCATTCAACAAGTTTCTAGGAAATTCCAAAGTTTCCCACATCTTCCTGTCTTCTGAGCCCTCCAAGTCTCTGGGAATTTCCATACTTCCCCACATTTTCCTGTCTTTTTCTGAGGCCTCCAAACTGTTCCAGCCTCTGCCCGTTACCCAGTTCCAAATTTACCTCCACATTTTTGAGTATCTTTATAGTAGCACCCCATTCTTGGTAACAATGTACTGTATTAGGCCATTCTCTTGGTGCTTAAAAACATACTTGAGACTGGGCAATTTATAAAGGGTAGAAGTTTAATTGACTCACACTTCCACATGGTTAGGGAAGCCACAGGAAACTTACAATTATGGTGGATGGGGAAACAAACATGTCCTTCTTCACATGGTGGCAGGAGAGAGAAGAATGAGTACCCAGTGAAGCAGGAAGCCCCTTATAAAGCCATCAGGTCTCATGAGAACTAACTCACTATCATGAGAACAGGATGGGGAAAACTGCTCTGATTATTTAATTATTTTCACCTGGTCCCTCCCATAACACGTGGGGATAATAGGAACCATAACTCAAGATGAGATTTGGGTGGGGACACAGCCAAACCATATCACTATACTACGCAAATTCTCCTCTTCTAGTTATTGTTGTATTTCAAAGACCTCAGAAAGTCTATGGGTTGGAAGGTGTGTCATTTTGTTTTCCTTTTTAAGGTAAATCAAACAGCTACTGAGGCACTATTTACCTGAAATGGAGCAGCCTTTGCATGCAGTCTCAACTTCAAAGTTAACAAAGAAATATAAATTTTAAAAGCCCTCAAAGATGGATATTTAACTATTAAATAAACATGTTTAATAGTTATCATGGGGGAAAATTCACATTATGTATTATATGTGTAATACATAAACACACACACTATATATAATTTCCTTTTTATTGTCATTATTTTCTGGTCAAGCAATCTTCTATCCTCTTTTTAAAACACCACAAGGTAATGATTGATAATTTGGGAGAGAACACCACTGAGTGTTTTTCAGGTTGTGAATCAGCTTTAAACCTAAGGTACTACTCTGAACACGTGGCCACTGACCCTGGGGCTTAACCATAACTCAACTTTTGCTGAGCTTCAAACACTAGTTCTAGTGACAAATGGAACAAATTCTACAAACTGCTTCACACAAATAATGCTTTTGGATTGCTTGTTGTGCTCACTTGCAGAGCTGAGAGAACCATTTTTCTTCTAATCCTTATGGACAAAAATGCATTAGTCTTTCCACTTCTAATCCAATCCGTGCCATATTTTCTCTTGTGAGTAAATGGTTTTGTGGAGTCTCTGTTGGTCGTTATAACCCCTGCCTTATGAAAGCTTCTGTTCTATTCAGAACTTCTTTATTCTTCTGTAACCTTCAATATAGCACTTTGTCTGTCTGTAAATAACAGTTAGATAGTTCAGGATAAAGATGTCTTAATCTTATCATTACTTGACTTTATATAGCTATGTAAACAAAATGTAATATGTGCATAACTATATATAAAACATAAAATTTCAAGGATGTTAAAAACAGATATAATATGTAAATAAAATAAATATCATAATTTTTAAGAAGAAACATAGTATATGCTTTAAAGATGGACTACTAGGCAATTTGACTCCTGCCTGTGTCCATACACTTAACAGTTATAAAATGTATCCTCACTGAAAACCTTCACTTAGCACTGCATTTATCAAACCCTATGTACTTTCAAAATTTATACCAATTAACACCCTACAAAATAGTTATTACTATTAATGTCATTTTACAGATGAAAAAGCTGAGATACTGAGTGACTTTAAACATAAGCTATAACATCATAAAATTTCAATTTCTCCATTTGCATAGAATATGTGTGTTTAACAAAACTTTTCAATATATCTATATTTTACATGACATTTTAAAATTCGTGGAAAGCAAGTTCTAATAAATTACAATGTGCATAATATTGTCTTGATCATGGTTTGTGCTCAAAGTAAGTGGTTATTTAAGGAATTCAAGTAGAAAATGTATAGCTGTGTTTAAGGACTGTGAAAGATTAGAAAGTTTTTACCCTACGAGAAATCTAAGTAGGTATCTTTTCAAAATTGTATGAATTACAGTAGAAGATAAAAGACTCCTGAATCAGATACAAAGAAGAGTTTTTTATTATCAACAATCAGCATAGCTAGAGTACTGGCATTTCTGCACCAGTTTCTGAGACCCAGTTTTCACAGGGTAATGTGAAGAGGGATAGTTAAACCTGCATAAGCGGTAAGCTTCCTTACTGCAGAAAAATCCCGAGTTTATGTATGCCCATTATTTTTAACTGTTCAGTTAGAATGTTTATTTTTTGCTCTTCAAAAGTAGATACTCTATATTTTCTAAGGCTCTTATACAAACACTTTTAAAAACACAGTTTGGAAAAAGGTACAAATGTGTCCTCATTTGTAAGATAATGCATAAATGTAAGAAACCACCAAGAATTTGCTCCCTAACATTCTTTTTAAAATTATTTACCCTATACTGCACTGATTTGGGTAGTGCATATTTTTTAGACAGCCAAATATTTTTATTAGTTTTCAAAGTAGATGTCTCCTAGTCACTACCTACCTGTGAACCCGTCTCTACAGTAGTAGAAGTATGAATGGTACATCTATTCAAACAAGAGAAATTACATAAAAAACTACATTGGTTGGATATCTTGTGTGTCATTCTCCAGGTCCCATGCTGGTTTTAAGCATAACCATATCAGCTTAATATAAAACCATGGACTTCCTAAAATTAGAGAACTTAAAACAACGGAGATGAAGCTACATGAAAGAGACCCTGGATTATTAACCATGTGGAGCTTTAATGAAGGTTCGATAGAAAACAACTATTGGTAAAAGCCTAAGTCAACAGGATTGATACACAGGTTGTTTACATAAGCTATGTCTACTGTATATCAATCCATTGTCTTGAAAACATTATACTCAAATGAATTTAGTTGAAAGAATATACTTATAAGTTTGTCATCGTTAAGGAAACCAACAACAGATGGCACAACACCCAGAGACTAGTACCCGTGTTAATCCACTACTCCCCTTAGGTCTAGAGTATCAAAATAAATGAGGTAGATAACATTGCAGCCCTGTATTTTTCATCTTTCATGGTTTCACCACCTTTTCCTATGTTACTAGGCAGTTCATCTTAATAGAAAAGTAGGGTCTACCTTCCAGGCCTTTGATTTTTAGTTTGGCCATGTGATTTGCTTTGACCAGTTGTTAGCCCATGTGATGCATGCAGAAATCCAACAACACATTTGAGTGTTTGAACTTCCAGATTTGCTCTTCTGCCATCACTGTGAGAGTATTCCTGAGCCAGCCAGCTGGAGGGAAAAACAGGAGGAGCAGGGCTGAGTCGCACCAGTCATATACGTGTGGCCATCTTGTATCATCTTTAATGCTATTTCATCTAAGTCTGAAAGTGGAGAAGTCTTGAGAAAAGGTAATGGTGCAAAGAGAGATAAGAAACATGGAAACTGAGGGAATCTAAAAAGGTAAACAAGAATTTTGTCCCAATAGAGATTCTTAGTTAAAGACAATTTGTATATTTATGTCCAATATTTTCTCCCATATTGTCATTACTGAAAAATTCTGTATCATATCTTAGATTCGAATATTCAACTGTTTTTGCTTCAATCTTTGAAAAATGGCATGCCATTAATTGGTCAATTCAAGTTCTTCACTTAAGGAAAGTAGAAAACAGAGAAAGTGATTTACAACTTAGTTACAATCACAATCACAAGATGACAGGATCAATCAGCTGATTCTGTCATCTTATCCTGGGTGGTAGCACTTTTCCTGTGAGGTCATTATCTTGGAATCAACAGTATCTATTTCTGAATTCCAAAGAATAAGATAATTAAATGTACATTTAATTCAAATAAAAGACAAACTGTTTTTCAATCATTGTTTAGTAAACTAAGTTTCTTTGAATGAACTATGGTTTATTTTTGTTGAAATATGTACAAAGGTTAAATATGTGATGTTTCCATATTAATCACCTATTATTTTGTAACTTTTCTATTATAAGAAATAAGGTCTTGCTATTAGTTGTCTATGCATTTGAAGTCTATGCAACTTCCTTCTTTAATATTGGACAGGCCGGGCGCAGTGGCTCACGTCTGCAATCCCAGCACTTTTGGAGGCCAAGGCGCGAGGTCAGGAGTTCAAGACCAGCCTGGCCAACACAGTGAAACCCCATCTCTACTAAAAATACAAAAAATTAGCCGGGTATGGTAGCGGGTACCTGTAATCCCAGCTACTCAGGAGGCTGAGGCAGGAGAATAGCTTGAACTGAGAGGCGGAGGTGGCAGTGAGCCGAGATCGCGCCACTGCACTCCAGCCTCGGCAACAGTGCGAGACTCCGTCTCAAAAAACAAAACAAAAAAATACTGGACAAAAGATAATGTACAATAGCAGTCCCTTGATCTCATTTTTTAAATAAAAAATGGAAGATTGTAGCTTAGCTAGGGAAACAGTATAATTGCAAGGTAGCAAGTGTGTCAGCTCAGCCTTCACATTCTCTGGTCATAGAATACAGATTGCCAAATTTTACATTTAATCTGGGAATGTACCTTGAACAATTGTGAACAACTATCTGTGAACGTGTCTTGCAGACAAACCCCTTTATTCAAGGGAAACTAGTCTACTGGCCTGTGTCCATAATTTGATTGATTTTGCTCCTCTGTTTCTCCAGACCTACACAGATGTTCTATTTCTTCACTGTTTAAAAGTCTTTTTTGTTGGACTCCACATTTCTGTGATTGTAATGGGAAATACAGCTGTCTTCTGGTTCAACCCCTCAGACTCTAATCATAGTTTTAATGATGAAAATATAAGTAACCAAATTACATATATAGGTAACCAAATGGTTACCAACATGTAACCATTATTGGTGCTATTGTGAAAATCACATGTCAAAATAATTTACTTTCACTTCAAAATACTCCATAGACAGAGTAATTTGAAAAGTAAGTCTATTTTGTTATAATGAGTCAGCCACAAATAATGAGTTAGCTTAGCACTAAAAAATGGGATAATCTTGATTACATTCCTTCCATAGTGTAGTGTATGCATCTGTATGTATATTGTTCGTTTTCTTCATACTTTTTGTGTCATAAGCACAAGGGACAATAGGAATTTGATGACTTCATGACCTGATCTAAGCCATTATGATTATATTGAGCCATGCCTTGCAAAAATTAATGTTGAAAAATGAGATCATTTATGAGATGAAACTACGATGTAGCTTTGAAAATATAAAGCAATTTTATAAGTTCAGTATAGTTTTTAAAAAGTAATCTTACACTCAAGAGATCTGAATCTTTCTAATTGTAAAGTGAGTAAAGGAGCAAAAATAAAACATGTTCACATTCTTTTGAAGAAACCTCCACAATAGACCACTGTATGTAATGATTCCTTAGCCAAAGGCAAATTTCTTCGAATTTCTTCCTTTGGCCTCTACAATATACATAACACATACACATTGCCAGATTTTAAAAAAATTAGAAAGGATTAAAGGAATTAAATAATTAAGTTATTTAAATATATAAATATAGCAACAAAGGCTATCATATCATTATAAACTGAATATTATAAAATGAATATTAAAAGTTAACACAGTTCCTTTTTATTTTAAAGTCACAAGACACATACCTAGATAACATGTGCATCAAAAGAAATTCAAGATGAAATTTATAACTCTCAAAAGTAATGAAAACCATGATGGTTTATGATAAAACTATTGGTAAAAGCCAAATTTCACTCAGTTTATAAACTAAAGTGTCTTCATAATCAAACAGAAAAATTAAAGTAGTTTTATATTCAAATTAAGATGTTAGAGAAAAAAATTCCCAATTAGCTATAAGTAATTTAGAAAATTTAAGTGAAGATTTAAAGTAAAATTAATAGATTAGAGAAATGAAGGTTAAAATATCTATGAATGCCATATTTGCCATATTTTGAGCACCCAGTAATTGTTTCTGGTTCCTAATGAAATAAGAGAGTTCCCTGACCCCCTTGCAGGACTTGTGACAAAGGTGTGGCTCCTTTGCTTGTCTGTCATTTACTCAAACCCCTTACAGAAGGGGGAGCATGCAGAGGGGCAGGTGCAGGAGACAGGGAGCAAGCTTCTGGGCTCTGGCCCCACTATAGCATCTAGGGGTGTATTACAATTAATGCCCTTTTAGCAGTTTTGCTGTCCGAGGATGGCTAGGAATTAAACCTGCTCAGTGGAGAGTCCGGGTGACAGCCTTAACATCCTGCCCTCTTGGTACCGGGGTCCTTGTCTGGCATCCAGGAAGAATCAAGTCACTCGGACTTGAAGGATGGTGAATGCGAGGATTTTATTGAGTGGTGGAAGTGGCTCTCAGTGGGATGGATGGGGAGCTGGAGAGGAGATGGAGTGGGAAGATGATCTTGCCTGGAGTTCAGTCATCCCACAGCTGAGCTCCTCTCCAACCGTCCCCAGCCGGACTCCTCCCTACGTTCAGACACTCCTCCTCTTCTCTCCTTCTCTGGTGTGCTGCTCTGCCACTCTGCTGCTCCTCTACTCCTCTGTTTGTGGAGCTTGGGGTTTATATGGGCACAGGATAAGGGTGTGGCGGGCCAGAACTGTCTTGGAAAAGGCAATATTTGAGCGTGAAAACAGGAATGTCTGTTCCCATTTAGGGCCACGGGTTTCCAAGCTTGATGGTGGGGTTTTTCCTGGGCACCACCCTTTTCTACCCAGTATTTCCCTGCATCCTGTCTGTATCACTACCATTTCCTTTTGGTTTTTCTCCTTTGTGTGTGTGTGTGTGTGTGTGTGTGTGTGTGTGTGTCTCCATGTTTATTCTTTCCTTTTGTCCTAATTTTTTCCTTTTTCTAATCATGCAAACTCCTGGAAAATTACTTAAAATTGTAATTCAGGGATGTGTCAAAATAATAAAAAAAATTAACAATGTAGTTTGAGGATGAAAGTGTCAGTGATGAGAATGAAAGTTCTGTAAGCACCGAAATTATTTAAAATGAATGAGGAAATTCAAGTATAATATGTAATTAAGATTATTACCATCTCACTGAAAGCGTTTGTAATATGTAATTATCAAAAAATTAAGAATAGTTACTGGGAAAAAATACAGAGCATTACAGAGAAAAAAAATACAAGATGCACATACCCTAAATTTACACAATAGAAAAATGAAAAGAAGAAATTCTACAAAATCTAAAAAAGAAAAAATGTTTGGGCTTTAATTCATGGAAACAAAAGTAAATAAAGAACACTTTCGTGTTGTATTAGTCTTCTAGTGTTTCATAACAGATTGTCACAAAGCTAATGGCTTAAAACATGCATAGTTTTTTAAACTTCCATTTCCATTTCACGATCAAAAACAAGAGGTCCTCTTTGCAGTCCTCTAAATAGACTCTCTTACAGCATGGTGAGCTTACTTCCCCAAAGGTAAAGAGGAAGAGTGTCTCTGGTACAAGAGGTAGCTTTGTGCATAGATACTGTAACCTAAGCACAGGAGCGACACCAATCTCCTTCACAGTATTCTATTATTAGAAACAAGTCACAGACTCCTTCCACATTGAAGGGCAAGGACTTATACAGACCTTGAATATGGGGACAACTCTAAGGTCTATCCAATATACCTAGTAAATAAATACCCTTGGATTGGGTTAAACAATCCACTACTATAAAATTTTCTGAGGATTGACAAAGAAATAGTATTTAAATAAAAGAAGAAAAATGTGTTCTGATATTGTGTTAGTAAAATAGCATTAAACACAAAAGGCATAAAAAGGGGGCAAAAATCACGAAGCAGGCTACACACTGTGAGACTGAACTGGTTGTTAGAAAAATAGAAGAATGTCAGAAATAAAACAGGGTTCATTTTAACTCATGAATTTGAATCTCCATTTATATGTCACTTCCTAAATATTGTATCTTGTATCACTTGATCCCCTAGCTTTTCTATACTTTCTAGTTCTTCTTTTTGATATGTCCATTATACATATAATTAGTTGATTAATATTTGTATTCTAGCCTTAACTGCAGTTCCATGACAGGAGGTATTCAAACAGTCACTATTATCCAGAAATATATCTAGTATGTAACAAAAGCTTAATAAATCTTTAGCAAATTAAAATTAAAACAGGCTGGGCGCAGTGGCTTACGCCTGTAATCCCAGCAGTTCGGGAGGCCAAGGACAGCAGATCACAAGGTCAGGAGTTCAAGACCAGCCCGGCCAATATGATGAAACCCTGTCTCTACTAAAAATACAAAAATTAGCCAGGCGTGGTGGCCGGTGCCTGTAGTCCCAGCTACTTGGGAGGCTGAGGCAGAAGAATCACTTGAACCCAGGAGGCGGAAGTGGTAGTGGGCCAAGATCACGCCACTGCACTCCAGCCTGGGTGACAAAGGTAGACTCAGTCTGGGGAAAAAAAAATTAAACAGATTACAGAATAAAATACAGTGACAGGAAATAATTAGAATATCAAAAAATAAGCTATTGAGAGTCTTCTTCTTAATAAACTTAGTACTAATGAAAATAAATATTATTGCTATAAGTAGAATTTCAGACATTTTTAGTTTAATAAATATAAGAAAAC
Organism: Homo sapiens; assembly: GCF_000001405.40. Classification (NCBI taxonomy): domain Eukaryota; kingdom Metazoa; phylum Chordata; class Mammalia; order Primates; family Hominidae; genus Homo; species Homo sapiens. Next base: position 23,369,463 of record NC_000021.9, read on the forward strand.
AAAAGAATTTGAACTATTTCAGGAGAGTTTGATTAAAGCTATTATATTAAAGTTAGGCTGGAAATTTCAGATGTTCAAACATGTATTTTTTCTTTAATCAAGGCTATCTAGCTGCATCTACTCTATTCAATATATATTTGCACATTCTTAAGATATCTTCAATTAAGCTTATAAAAATATGAATTTACATATGCAGCATGATTTACTTTTCAGGATTGATCTTTTAAAATTTGTACAAATTTAATATCTTATAAATATTGCAATTTTTTCGAACACTGCCAAAATATAATTGATATCATGAAATATTCATTTAAATTACTCAAATATGTCAACAGGCAAAAATACATTTAGTAACCACTACATGTATAGAGAATAAAAATTCCAGTTTGGATGTGATGTTATATGTCAGTATGTAAACCCATGCTTTAAATAGACCATTTTGTTCTTTAAAAAAATTATCTGGGCCGGGCGCGGTGGCTCACGCCTGTAATCCCAGCACTTTGGGAGGCCGAGGCGGGCGGATCACGAGGTCAGGAGATCGAGACCATCCCGGCTAAAACGGTGAAACCCCGTCTCTACTAAAAATACAAAAAATTAGCCGGGCGTAGTGGCGGGCGCCTGTAGTCCCAGCTACTCGGGAGGCTGAGGCAGGAGAATGGCGTGAACCCGGGAGGCGGAGCTTGCAGTGAGCCGAGATTGCGCCACTGCACTCCAGCCTGGGCGACAGAGCGAGACTCCGTCTCAAAAAAAAAAAAAAAAAAAAAAAAAATTATCTGTAGTTTTCTCTGTGGAACCGATAATATTAGAGATAATTTCTCATAACAGGAAAAAGGGGAGGAAGTAAAAAGGAAGAAAAGAAGGACGGAAGAAATTAAGGAAAACAAAAGGGAAAAAAGAGATAACAAAAGAAAGAAAAAACACAAGTATCCTACACAAGTATACAGCTCATTGTACTCTAGTGAGATGAATGAATTATAGATACAATAACATAATAATAATTTTTGGTGTTTATTTGAAAAGCAAATGCTGCCTTTCTCTATATCAGCTTATGTTGGATATCTTATTATCCTAATCAAAAGTCAGTATAACAGAAGAGTAGAAAGGACTACTGAAATGTGACTGAGATAAAAATTATTTAAATGTAAATAAATAATAATTAGGGTGTAGTGAATGAAGAATGAGGTGAATGAAGAAAGGAGCATTAAAAAGAATAAATATGGGCCAGGCACGGTGGTTCACGCCTGTAATCCCAGCACCTTGGGAGGCTGAGGCGGGCGGATCACAAGGTTAGGAGATCGAGACCATCCTGGCTAACATGATGAAACCCCGTCTCTATTAAAAATACAAAAAAAATAGCCGGGCGTGGTGGCGGGCACCTGTAGTCCCAGCTACTTGGGAGGCTGAGGCAGGAGAATGGCGTGAACCCGGGAGGCGGAGCTTGCGGTGAACTGAGATCGCACCAGTGCCCTCCAGCCTGGGCGACAGAGCGAGACTCTGCCTCAAAAATAAATAAATAAATAAATAAATAATAAAAAATAAAGAATGAAATATGATGAATATAACTCGTTGAAATATAACTCGAATTCTCAAATAGAGTTAATATAGCAAAAAAGTCAAAATACAATAGCATGCATAATAGTTTCAAATTAAGACTAAGTTGATTGAAGACAGTGAAAGAAATGTGGAGAGCAGTAAGAGAAATTAAAGAATAAGAGAAATAAAGCATGAGGGAAATGAAAGCACAGATCATGAAGGAAGAAATGAAAAGGGAAGTAAAATACAGCAATGACAATAAAAATATTAATGAAGAAAATATGGGTATGTCATAATGGAAAAAAAATTAGAAAGAACAATCTGAAAAGTATTGATGCCTCTGTAAGGAAGCGTGAAATGGGGAGTTGGAATATTGTAAACGTCTTTTTATCTCCTTCTTGTTACCTAGGCTGAGTGTTGCAGAGTCCTAACTGAGGGCAGTTGGCTTCCCCAAGAAAGTGAGACACCTTGGAAAGGCTGACTCTGACCTGCAGTGACCATATATCAGTTCCATATGACAGAATGTCTCCTTCCAATGGATGTTGATCACCTTGTCACCTGTTGCCTAAATGACCTTGTCTATTGTCCATTATTTTGATGTATCCAGAGGGGCAACAAATCACTCTCCTAGCTGCACAATCATTCTCCTGGTAAATGTATTAGGCTTACCAAAGAAACGTACAAAATCCCATCTGAGAATGGTCAGTTTTCCAAGCTGAACTACATCATGAAGTAAACCTCAAGATCAAGAAAGTGATCGAAATTACTTTTTTTTTTTTTTTTTTTTTTTTTTGAGACGGAGTCTCCCTCTGTTGCCCAGGCTGGAGTGCTGTGGCGCGGTCTTAGCTAACTGCAAGCTCCGCCTCCTGGATTCACGCCATTCTCCTGCCTCAGCCTCCCAACTCCGCTGATATTACCACAGGTCTTGATATAACTCAGCCTTTGGAGGCATCACTCAGGATGGTAACAGACATGGCTAGCCTTGGAGATACTTCTCATTTTAAAATCGCTTGCCAGCTTTTGGAATGGAACTTATACCATCAGCTCTCCTGACTCTCAGGTCTTCAGAACAGGCTAGAACTATACATTGTTTCTCTAGCTTGTCAACTGCAGATCCTGGGAATTCTCAGCCTCCATAATCATATGAGCCAATGCTTTATCACGAATAAATGCATGTGTGTGTTTGTGTATATATATATTTATTTATATCCTACTAGTTATATTTCTTTGGAGAACCCTAATATATGCTAATATATTATGGATGCCAAAAGACTTCTTTCAAGGCATGTTATGTTCAAATATAAATAAAAAATCTTTAAATATACCTTTACCTTTGATATCTTGGGAAGTTCCTTAGATCAGAAGATGTTTTCTTGAAAGTCAAAGTAATTACACATCTTGCAAATGCTAGATCATGGTTGATGCGTCAGTCTGGATAAAGAAACTTGCTTGTCTGTTATTACCAAAATAAATAAATAAATAAATAAAAACCTCAGCATCTTCTGTCAGGTTATAAATGTCACCTTGTGATAACATTGCCTGTTCCTTTGCAGGCACCCTTCTGCATTTATACATTGTTTCACACACAATACAAAATGGCATAGGCCTGATTGGATTATCAGCTCATATAAAATAAAATAATATTTTTTACTATATATAGTTAATACAATATATTAATAACTAGCACTTCTTTTGTGTTTCTTTTTTCTTTGTCCCTTTAATGTGCTGAAGTGATTAAAAATATTATTACAATGTGTCATCAACTTTATAAGAATTACTTATAATCCTAGGCCTCAAATTTTCCTTTTCTGTATGACAATTTCCATGTAAAAATCCCAAATATAATTGTAGGACAAACTTCATTAAACAATACAATAAATATTCAGAATGATTCAATAGTCAAATCTCATAACAACACAGAAACTTTACCATACATTTTACCTCTGACTTACATAATTCACACTGATAACACCACCAAATGTCATTGGAACAGCTGAACTGGAACACAGAAAATGCTTCCTTTTGTGTAAAAATGCCCTTTTCTCTTGCACCATTTTAATCCGTTCAGTTCATTAAGTTAGTCAGCAGCCTATAAAAAGAGGTTGGGGTAAGTTATTCCAGAAGGAGGGAGTAATATCAGTTCCCTGCAATACCACATTCAGTAATTATCAATGGTCATTACTATCTAAAGTAGAACTGACTCAATCAAGTAAATATGGTCATATTGAATACTGATATACAGGGCTGGAAAACCATGAATGAAATTGCTAATGGGATTTCTCAATCGCTGTCATTGTGCACTAATGTAGAAATCAATAACTGATTTATTTTATCATCTTACCTTTTATAATCCTCAGTGTTACCTCACAGAATTCTGTTTAGATAAATCTTATTGTAGACTTAAATAACATATCTAAAATTTGAGTATGATTTTAAATATTCTTTCTAATTTTCATTTCACATATACAATATAAATTTAACAATTTCTCAAAATCCTTAATAAGAAAATGTTGACACATCATATGTTATAATAAATTATGTAATTACTTCTAATATCTCATTTATTCAAATGAAAAGTTTACCCTAAATGTGGTCAATAGAATCATGGTTCTGTGATTATGTGTTTCTGTAAAGGAAAAAAAAAGTTTTTCTAATTCCATATTTTGAAGAAGTATTCATGGATGCCACAATATAATATTTGAAATTTGATTTGAAATAATCATCGGGGCATTGAAGTGACATAAAGCACAATTTCAATAAATTGATACTTTCTGAAGGGGTTAAAGAGGTTCACATATAATTTATCTATTTTATAGATATTTTGCCATCACTTCATAATAAAAGCAAAAACAAACAAAACAAAAATGATGTGGTTAGTTTACCATCCAGTAAAGAAACATTATTTCTCAGCTAATGTCTCAAACTACAAGATATTGACATTAAATAATAAAATTTTATACATCTATTTTTCCATTTTATTAGTAGCAAACTTTTTGTTAAAAATCTTTAAAAAGGCAATATAAGCAAGTGCATAAATATATATGCTCTCCATGTAGCAATTTGTCACTAAAATGTATCTTCCTAGTAGAATATATGTTCAAAATTAAAATACTCTTTTGTTTTCACCTTTTTAACCCTGTTTTGAAAATGAGTTATGTAAAGGTAACTGGAATGGCTAAACTGTGTCCCCAGCATTTGTATGTTGAAATCCTCACCTCTAGTATATTAGAATGTGACTGTATTTGAAGATACGGCCTTTAAAGAGGTAATTAAGTTATAATAGGGTCATTAGGGTGGGCGCTAATATAATAAGTCTGGTTTCCATACAAGAGGAGGAGATTAGGACACAGACAGCGAAACATCAGAAGTGCACACACAGATTATCTGATTACACAGTGAAGTCTGCCCTCTGCAAGCCAAGGAGAGAGGTCTCAGGCGAAACCAAATTTGTCACCATCTTGATCTTAGACTTTCAGCCTGCAGAACAATGAGAAAATCAATTTCTGTTGTTTAAGCCACACAACCTGGGGTATTTCATTATGACATTTAGAGCAAACAAGCACAGTAACTTTTCCTAATTTTTTTTTCTCCTTCACATAATCAACTTTTCTATTAATATGTGTAGTTGTCTGCTAGGACTGCCATAACAAAATACCTGAGACTAGGTGATGTAAATAACAGAAATTTATTTTTTTACAGTTCTTGAGGCTGGAAGTCAAAGTTAAGGTATCAGCAGGTTTATTTTCTCCTGAGGTCTCTCTTCTTGAATTGCAGAAGGCATCTGCCAGATGTGTCCTCAGAGGGTCTTTTGTTTGTGTGCGCATCTCTGGTGTCTCTTTCTCTTCCTATAAAAACACTAGTAATATTGAATCAGGGCCTCACCCTTAGGACCTCATTTAAGTTTAGTTACCTTGTTAAAGGCCATATATCTAAATATAGTCACTTTAGGTTAGGGCTTCAACTTATGAATTTGGGAGTCAGCACAATTGAATCCACAAAATATGCATATGAAATGGGTGCTTTATATGTTTATTTGATTATAAACATACATTTTTGTATTCAGGAAATGAGAGAGGGTCAAAAATTTGCATAAAATGCCTGATTATTACTATTCCTCCAAAATCTTTTTACTGTATTATGAGTAACCATTCTGTAGATAGACTTCATTCTACTGTCATTTCAAAATGCAGTGCCAGCTTTTTTAACTCTCCCTCAACATAATATCTGCCTTTTATAAGATTCAAAACCATTAATATCATGCCTTTATTATATGATGGATTATTTTGTAGCCCCTCTTTCTGACAGTATCCCCCCCCAACTCACTATGAACATTTTTGTTTTTTAACTGTAAAAAAAAATCAAGCATGAATTTTATTGAAAAGTGCCTCCCATTTGAGTCTCATGGGCTGTGAAATATAGTTTGGATACAAGGACGAAGATAAATAGTTTTCATTTTTAGCCTACAGAAAATAATTTGTTCTGCTCTGGGAACTAGTAAATCTAAAAATCACCCTGACATAAATTCTCTCTTCTTTTAATAACGACCATTTAAGTGGATGGGTGAATTCCTTTGGACTCCATGTGATTTATCAGAACAAATCTTATTAAAAATGTAATTGTTCAGACAATAATATTAGTCATTCATTTAGGATTAAACACTGTATCTAGGACAGGCTTTTAAAATGAAAACAAAATGTAAACATCATTCATAAATAATTGCTGAATCTTGAATATTTATTCTCTCAATTATTATTATGTATATTTCTTTGTTCTTTAATTTTAAACTGAGAGAATATGTTTAATTACTCTGTGGAAAGGTAGGCCTATAAATTTTTAGTGTTGAAGCCTTCTTATTATACCCTATAATTGGCTTGTTTAGTTTAAAATTGATGTGAAAATAAGATGCTGCCACGACAGGTGTGTATTAAAAGTGAAATGACTGGTATCCTTGCATTATTAACATTAACTATACTGATCTAATCATATTACTAATTCTTACACATATTTTTACTTATTTATTTTACAACAATATGTTCAAATCATAAAGACATAGTTAATATGACTATATTTAGGAAAATACACTAATATAACTTTTAATCATAAAGTTTTGAGTTTTTAATGACTTTAGTTAATGCTTCCATCATCTCTCAATTTGACCACTGCAAAACTTTATGAGATCCACATATATATGTCAGTAATCAACTTTGCCGCCAGAACATATTTTTAAATAAATATCTGATTATGTTGCTGTCTAATATAAAACTAGTTTTTACTTTTCGTAAAACAATAAAAATGAACTTCATCTGCCTACCCTTCATCAGGCATTCCCTCTGCCTTTCTACACTTCTCTTTAACCTGCCATTTTAAGTTACTCCCATTAACCTCAGTGTCTTTGCACAGCTGATTACTAACAGAACATCTACGTGTACTTTTTCCATTCGTATCTTAATATTTTCATTCCAGATATAATCTGTACAGATTGTATATTGTAATATAAATGTCAATTATTCAGAGACATTTTGAGACATTTTATTTCTTTCCCCCAAACTTCCAGGAACCTCATAGTTCTCTCTTCCTTTATAATATTATATTCAAATAAATGTTTAATGTCTATATCTTCCCTAGCTTTTAATTTCTATGAACATAAGGAGTAAGTCTTTTTGTTCACATTATATTCCACATACATAAAAATTCTAAAAATGGGAGGTCAAGGCAGGTGGATCGTTTGAGCTCAGGAGTCTCAGACCAGCCTGGGCAATGTAATAAAACCCCATCTCTGCAAAAGTACAAAAGAAATTAGCCAGGCATGTTGGCGTGCACCTGTAGTCCCAGCTACTTGAGAAGCTGAGGTGGGAGGATCACCCAAGCCTGGGAGCTCAAGACTGAGGTGAGCCGAGCCATAATCATGCCACTGCACTCCAGCACAGGTGACAGACTAAGACCTTGTCTAAAAAAAAAATCTTAAAATATTAGTTACTCAGTGAATGTTTATTAAACAAATGAATAAAAGCAAGAGAAGAGGATACTTTGGAAACAGCAGACTAAGTGTTTCCAAGATCGGCTCCTCCATAAAATTAATGTAATGAGAACATTAGCAAAACATTGAAAACAAATTTAAAACAAACTGTTTTCAAGACTCTAAAATTAACTAAAAATTTGCAAAATTTCAGGAGCACTTATTCAAGAAAAATAGTGAATGTCAATGAGAACAGTGAGCTTTTTGGTAGCTTACATTGCCTCATTTCCATCCCACTCCTCATAGCGGTACCCTCAAAAGTCAATAACCTCAGACTGGCACGGAGGCTCACACCTGTAATCCCAGCACTTTGGGAGTCAGAGGCGGGAGAATCACAAGGTGAGGAGATGGAGACAATCTTGGCTAACATGGTGAAACCCTGTCTCTATTAAAAATACAAAAATTAGCTGGGTGTGCTGGCGCACACCTGTAATCTCAGCTACTTGGGCTGCAACAGGAGAATCAATTGAACCTGGGATGCAGAGGTTGCAGTGAGCCGAGATCATGCCTCTGCAATCCAGCCTGGCCACAGAGTGAGACCCCACATCAAAAATAATAATAATAATAATTCCCTCACAACCAATGTACTTGTAAAAACCACCACTGTAGTACCACTTAGAGGGGTCCAACAAGTTTGGAGCTCCTAAAAGCCCCATGTCCAGAAAATTCTCTTTATCTGACTAGACTCACAGTCCTATCAATACAAATAGCCATAAACCCAGGCTGATATGGTTTGGCTCTGTGTCCCCACCCAAATTTCATCTTGAATTGTAATAATCCCCATGTGACTAGGGCAGGACCAGGTTGAGATAATTGAATCATTGGGGCAGTTTCCCCCATGCTGATCTCATGATAGTGAATGAGTTCCCATGAGATCTGATGGTTTTATAAGGGGCTAGCCCCGTCATTCAGCACTCATTCTCTCTCCTGCTGCCCTGTCAAGAGGCACCTTCTGCCGTGATTATAAGTTTCCTGAGACCTTCCCAGCCATACAGAACTGTGAGTCAATTAAACCTCATTTCTTTATAAATTACCCAGTCTTGGGCAATTCTTTATAGCAGTGTGAGCACAGATTAATACAGTAAATTGTACCAAGGGAGTGGGGCACTGCTATAAGGATATCTGAAAATCAGGAAGCAACTTTGCAACTACAAAATGGGCAGAGGTTGGAACAGGTTGGACGGCTCAGAAGAAGATAAAAAAAAGTGGGAAGATTTGGAACTTCATAGAGACTTGGAGGGCTCCAAAGACAGGAAGATATAGAAAAGTTTGGTACTTCCTAGAGACTTATTGAGTGGCTTTCACTAAAATGCTGATAATGATATGGACAATGAAGTCTAGGCTGAGGTGGTCTTACATGGAGATGAGGAACTTGTTGGGAACTAGAGTAAAAGTCACTTTTGCTATGCTTAAGCAAAGTGACTCATGGCTTTTTGCCCCTGCCCTTGAGATCTATGGAACTCTGAACTTGAGAGAGAGATGATTTAGGGTATCTGGGAGAAGAAATTTCGAAGCAGCAAAGCATTCAAGAGGTGACAGAGCATAAAAGTTTGGAAAATTTGTACCTTGACAATGTGGTAGAAAAGAAAATCTCATTTTCTGGGGAGAAATTCAAGCTAACTACAGAAATTTCATAAGTAATGAGGAGCAAAATGCCCATTGCCAAAACAATGGGGAAAATGTCCCAGGGCATGTCAGAGACCTCCGTGGTAGTGCCTCCCATCACAGGCCAAGAGGCCCAGGAGGGAAAAATGGTTTCCTGGGCAAGGTCCAGAGCCCCCTGCTGTGTGCAGCCACAGGACTTGGTGCCCTGTGTCCCAGCCACTTCAGCATGGCTAAAAGGGGCCAAGGTACAGCTCAGCCCATTGCTTCCGAGGGTGCAAGCCCCAAGCCTTGTCAGCGTCCATGTGGTATTGATCCTGGGGGTGCACAGAAGTCAAGAATTGAGGCTTAGGAATCTCCTCCTAGATTTCAGAGGATGTATGGAAACACCTGGATGTCCAGGCAGAAGTTTACTGCAGGATAGGGCTCTCATAGATAACCTCTGCTAGGGCAATGTGGAAGGGAAGTGTGGGGTTGGAGTCCCACTATAAAGTCTTCATTGGGACACTGCCTAGTGGAGTTGTGAGAGGAGGGTCACAGTCCTCCAGACCCAGAATGGTAGATAAACTGACCCCTTGCACTGTGTGCCTAGAAAAGCCACAGATACTCAATGACAGCCTGTGAAATCAGCCTGGAGTGGTGCTATATACTGTAAAGCCACAGAGACAGAGCTCTCCAAGGCCATGGGAGCCTATCTCTTGCATCGGTGCAGCCTGGATGTGAGATATAGAGCCAACGGAGACCATTTTGAAGCTTTAAGATTTGGCTGCCCTACTGGATTTTGGACTTGCATGGAGTCTGTAGCCCTTTTGTTTTGTCCAATTTCTCCCATTTGAAATGGGTGTATTTACTCAATGTCTGTACCACCATTGTATCTAGCAAGTAACTAACTTGCTTTTGATTTTACAGGCTTATAGGCAGAAGGGACTTGCCTTGTCTCAGATGAGACTTTGAACTCGGACTTTTGGGTTAATGCTGCAATGATTAATACTTTGGGGAACTGTTAGAAGCACATGATTGTGTTTTGAAATGTGAGGACATGAGATTTGGGAAGGGCCAGGTGCAGAATAGCATGGTTGGGCTCTGTGAGAAGAGGGTCACAGTCCTCCAGAACCCAAATCTCACATTGAATTGTAATAATCCCCATGGTCAAGGTGGGATCAGGTGAAGATAATTGAATAATTGGGGTATTTTCCCCCATGCTGTTCTTATCATGATAGTGAGTGAATTTCCATGAGATCTGATGGTTTTATAAGTGGCTTTCCCCTTCACTTGGCACTCATTCTCTGATTTTAGGTTTCCTGAGGCTTCCCCAGCCATGAAGAACTTTGAGTCAATCAAATCTCTTTTCTTTATAAATTACCAAGTCTTGGGTATTTCCTCATAGCAGATTGAGAACAGACTAAAAGCAGGCTTTTGTCAAAAATAATTAAGTAGCAATTGTTTAAATTTGAAGCTTCCTGAGGCACCAACACATGCAATACAAGCTAAAGGTTAATCAAATGACTAAAAGCACAGTGTGGACAATAAGATGTCCATAGAGGGCTTTAAAAAGTTCTGACATATTTCAGGGAATCTAGAAGTTCACACCCATTTGTAGGGCTGTGCCAATCCAAGAGAAGACCAAAGGAGTGCTAAATATCTGACTTCTGGCTAACTAACATTTATGTCTGCGTAAGTAAGAACTGAGGGCTAAAACAAAGACAAACACTGACATAGAGTTGAAGGTATGCCTTAACACACACACACAGAGTACCCCGGCAAAATCTGGTGGATTTACTGGTTCAAGACATTTGAGAAAACCTCTGCTCACTCATTACCTAACCACTAAGTTAATCAAGAAAAGACTTCAGTGGCCACACACAACAAAGCATACAGAGTTTATGGTCCAGGAAAAATCACCAAACAAACAGCAGCAGAAACAACACGTAGCAACAAATCCTAGGGGGGAAAATGGTAATCTGCTTCCCATATAAGCACAAATATTTTATAGATGTTCAGCTTTCAACAAAAGCTATAAGACACGTAAAAAAGAAAAAAAATATGAAAGTAATGCCCACATGCAGGAAATAAAGAAAAATATTTAATAGAAACTGTTCCCTTGGGCTTGGACAAAAATAATGAATAAAATCAAAAAGAAAAAAAACAAAAATTGTTTTCAATGAAACCCAGACATTGGAATTACTAGAAAATGTTTTTAAGTCAGCTATCATAACTATATTAACAGAATAAAGAAAAACCATACCCAAAAAATTAAAATATAAAAACAATATCTCACTAAAAAGAAAATACTTAGACATAAAAATTGTAAATGCACACAAAACTGAAATTCTGGCATGGAAACATACAATAACTAAAATTTAAAAATTCACTATAGTGGAATAACAAAATACTACACATGGCAAAAGAAAGAATCAGTGAGCTTAAAGATAGGTCAATTGAGATTATTCATTCTGAAAAATAGAAAAAATGAATGAATAAAAATAACCAGAGATTTATAGACCTATGAGACACCATTAAGCATGCCAACATAAGCATAAAGGGAGTTCCAGAAGGAGAAGAAATACAGAATATGTAGTTTTTCATGGCTATTATTTATACAGACTTGGTGGCTTAAAAACAACAGAAATTTGTTCTCTCCCACTTTTAAAGATCAAAGGTCTGAAATAATTTCACTAAAGTGAAATCAATATGTCAGCAGGAAAACACTCCCTGTGGAGGCTCCAGAAGATAATCAATTCCTCCCTCTTGCTGCTTCTCGTGGTTTCTGGCATTCTTTGAGTTCTAACTACATCACTTTAATCTCTGCCTCCATTATTCTATTTCTTCCTCCTCTTCTGGTTCTATCAACTCTCCCTCTGCCTCTCTCTTATAAGGATACTCGTCCTTGCATTTAATACCCACCTCTATAATCTAGGATAACATTCCATATCAAGGTCCTTAATTGTATCCACAAGTGCTCTCTTTTCCTTACAAGATAACATTTAAAAGTTTCAGGGAGGATGACCTAATTTTGGGTGTATGTTATTCAGCCAACTACACAGCGAAAGAGGAAGAATGAACATTTGAAGAAATATTGATTGAAAACTTTCTAATCTTGATGAAAATGTTAATTTATAAGTACATGAAGCTTAAGAAATTTTAAGTAGTATAAACTTAAAGATATATAACACCTATTCTCCACTTATTAAACAAATGAAAGCCAAAAAACAGAGAATCTTCAAAGTATTAAGAGGGTAGTGACTTATCATATACAATTGTCCCTTGACAATATTAATAGCAGACCTTGCAAAAGAAATCAAGAAGGCCAGAACATTATATTCAAAGTGATAAAAAAAAGACTGCCAATCAAGAGTTCTATATGAAACAAATAACCCTTCACAAGTGAATAGATAATAAAAAACAGAGGATCTATCATTAGCACACCTGACCTACAGGGGATACTAAAAGAAGTCATTAAGTATGAAATAAAAGGTACTAGAGAGCAACTCAAATTTGTACAAAAAACAGTAAGAACTGATAAAGATATCATTTTTATGGGGTTGTAATGTATACAAATGAAATTTTCTTGATAATTAATCACAAAGGAGAGGGTGATAATGATGTTATACTGGAATACAGTTTAGTACACTATTAAAATTAAGTTGATATTTATCCAAGCTAAATTGCTTTAAATTAAGATGTTAATCCCCAGGATCACATCTAAGAAAATTACTAAAACAAATATAGTAAACGACATCCTAATAAAATTTAAGAGATACCTTAGAAAATAACTATTTAATCCAAAGAAGATAATGATAGAGAAATACAGGAATATAAAATACCTCAGTCATGTAAGAATCTAATAGCAAAATGTCAGGCATAAATTCTACATTATTGGTAATTACGTTACATGTAAACAAAGTGAATGTACATATTGTCTGCAAGATTTAGAGACACAATAAGTAGAAAGTACTTATGTACTTTCTAATGGAAAAAAAACATGTCATATAACCAGTAATCAGAAGAGTGATTGATTAGTTATAACAATGAGAAAAAGACTTTCAGACAAAAATTGTTCTTAGAGAAAAAATTGGACATTTTTTACTGATAAAAGTGTAAAACTATTAGAAGAATGTAACAATTATAAATATATATGCACCTAACAACAATGTTCTAAATTACATTTAAAAACTACAGAATTAATGAGAGAAATATACAATCTCAACCATAATATTTAGACTTAAATATTCTACTATTGACAATACATAGAACAAGGAGACAAAAAATCAACACAAATTGGAGGCTCGAATGACACACAAAAAATCAACCAATTCTAACCAATATCTATGGAATGTACTGTGCAACAACAGCAGAATACACATTTTTTCCATTGTCCATAAAATATTTTCTTGGAGAGACTATATGTTCAGATATAAAATAAACCTCAAAATATTTGAATGGCTTAAATCATACAAAATATATTATCGACACGTAATAGAATAAAATTAACAATTAATAACAAAAGTACATTTGGAAAATTTAACAAATAGTGTGGTGCTCTCCTAAATAACCAATTTAAAAAAGAAAAAAATCACAAGGGAGATTATCAGATGAATAAATACAAAATCACAATATACCAAAAGTGAAGGCATGCAGCTATAGGAGTACCAATGGAAAAATATATAGCTGTAAATAACCATATTAAATGAAAAAAGAAAAGATCTCAAATCAATAACCTGAATTACCACCTTAATAAACTAGAAAAAGCACAAAAAATGTAACCCAAAGTAGGCAGAAGAAGAAAATAATAAAGCTTACAGTGGAAGTAGATTATTAATAAAGGATAGGAGAAATTAGCAATTATCAAAAGTTTTTTTCCTGAAAAAGTCAACCAGGATGACAAGACTTTATCTGGACTGATCAGATAAAGAGCATGATGGAGAAAGTATGCAAAACATTTAAATAAGCAATAAGAAAATTATAAGAAAATACTATAAAAAACTATATCCCATTAAAGTAGACAAATTCCTAAGAAAGCATAAGCTATCAAAAGTCATTTAAGAAGGAATAGAAAATTCAAATAAATATGCAATAAGTAAGGATACTGAATTAGTAATCAATTTTCAACCAATGGAATCCCATGCCTAGCCAGCTTCAAAGATGAATTCCATCGAACTTTTAAACATAAATAAACATCAATTCTCCACAAACTTAACTGAATATAGAAGAGAATTGACTACTTTGTAACTCATTTTATGAGGCCAAAATTACTCTGTTGCCTAAACCAGACAGGCTTCACAAGAAATGAAAATTACACAACACATTTATGGATACACACTCCCAAATTATCAAGAAAAAACTAGCAAATCAAACTCGGCAATATATGAAAAGAATCGTGCCCTGTGACCACAAATTATACTAAGAATGCAATGTTAATTTAACATTTAAAAATCAATGAGTGTAATACCTTATGTTAATAGAATAAAGGAGAAAAATCATATGATCATCTCTGTATTTAAAAACAATATTGGACAAAAACCAACAATATTTGCACAGTATTTATTAGAAATGACAAATGAGTTCAATAAGGCTGTAGCCACATGATCTATATACAAAAATAAATTGCTTTACTATATTCTAGCAATTAACAATCCAAAATAAAATTAAGAATACAATTTCATTTCTGTGAAAAATGTCATTAGAATTTTGAAAGGAATTGCATTGACTCTGCAGATCACTGTGGGTATTTTGGACGTTTTACAGTTGAAAAAAAATAAAACACTTGGGAGTAAATTTTACAAGTCTTGTGGGTGTAAGACTTGTAAACTGAGAACCACAAAATATTACTGAAAATATTAAAGCAGACTTAAATATATGAAAAGTAATCCGTGTTTATGTATCAGAAAAAAATTTGTTAAAATGGCAGTAGTTCCCAAATTAATATGCCAAAATTCTTACCAAAATTCCAGTATCTTTTTTTGTTGTTGTTCCATAAATGTGTGTGTGTGTTTGTATTAGTCAGGGTTCTCTAGAGGGACAGAATAGGAAATATGTATATGTGAAAGGGATTTTATTAAGGAGAATTGACTCACATGATCACAAGGTGAAGTCCCACTACAGGCTGTCTGCAAGTTGAAGAGCAAGGAAGCCAGTAGCGGCTCAGTCCAAGTCCCAAAACCTCAAAAGTAGGAAAATGGTCAGTGCAGCCTTCAGTCTGTGGCCAAAGGCCCAAGAGCCCCTTGCAAACCGCTGGTGTAAGTTCAAAGAGTGCAAAGGACAAAGAACCTGGGGTCTGATGTTTAAAGGCAGGAAGCATCCAGCACAGGAGAAACACAAAAGCAGGAAGACCCCCCACTCTGCTTCTTCCACCTTCTGCCTGCTTTTTCTAGCCAGCTGGTGGCCTATTGGATGGTGCCCACCCACATTGTGAATGCGTCTTTCTGAGTGTGGGTTTTCCTCTCCGAGTCCACTGACTCAAATGTTAATCCCTTCTGGCAACACCCAGAAACAATATTTTGCATCCTTCAATCCAAACAAGTTAACACTTAATATTAATTACACTTAATGTGTAATGATATAAAACCTTCCATTTAAGGTCAGTTAATTTTTAACAAGGGTATCAAAGCATTTTGGTAGGGAAAAAAAGTATCTTTTCAAAAAATTGTGCTGTGAAAACTGGGTATCACATGGAAAAGAATAAAGTTGTAATCCTATCTCAAATCATATATAAATTTAACTCTCAATATTTCAAAGAATTAAATCTAAGGGTGAAAACACTAAATCTTTTACAAGACATGTAGCAGTAAGTGTTTACATCTTTAGTTAGGCAATTGCTACTTAGATGAGACATAAAAGGTGTACGCAGCAAAATATTTATTAAACATAATTCAATTTCTCTTAAAATATGAACAAATTACTTCACGTTCCACATTTAACTTCTGCACCATTTTGAGAAGGATTTTTTTTTTTAATCCCAGGTTAGTATATCAAGATACTTAAAATTTTGCCTATGAAGAAACATGGTAAACACTTCCACAATCAAAAACAATGGAATCTTCAGCAAAAGATTAGTCTATTTAACGTAAACAAAAACTATTTTATGGGTCTAAATAAAAGAGAAATTGAAATAAAGAAAAATATTCATCTTGTAAGTATTATTAATTTTTATTTTTTATCAGTTTTTATTCTACTGAAGAATATGGATTGTCTTGTTTTAGGAAACATCTTAGGACGACTCCTTTAATCATTTTTATTTTTTAATCCTTCTCTATCAGTGAGATACCTGACTTTCAAATAGTTGTTCTGGGATTCCTCCTAACTCCCAAGTAACTCCTTAGGGAATATCCTCAATGATCAGATGGTAAAAGGGGAGGCTATGACCAGGAAATATTCTGGGTTTTCTACCTACACTCAAATGAGAACATCTGTCCTTTATCAGCTTCGAAAATATTTGAAAACATGTAGTAGCATAAAGTACTTTCATATGAATAATTTAGGATGGGATAAAATACAGACGGCAAGTTTTTCAGCTTCGTGAATCAGGAAACCATAACATGAGTATACATCTTTATTTTATTGTCGAAACATAGCTAATGTTGTCTACTTTTGTTTGTTTGTAATTTGATTCTTTACCAGACTAGATCTTTTTCCTCTCAGTTATAAGGAGGCTTCATGTGCATACATCTCTGGATCTGCAAGAACAGAACTTTAGTGTTTGAATTCATTTTAGCAATCCTAATCTCAGATCCAACTTTCATGTTGATGCCTTTAGAAATAAATAAACTTTTCATTTCTCAAGTACAGAAGAGTCCAGTTTTCTTCATACATTGAATGTGATGGACAATATGGGCTGAAGAGTTTGCCAGAGGAAGAAACATGTTTGGTCTCGGAATTAACATGTATAATATTACAGAACACTCTACATTATCCATTAAATCAAAATCATTGTGATATCATCCTGACCCAAATGGAATATTGGGAAGGTTCTGTTTCAGAACTAATTTTTCTGAGGAGTTTTATTGACTAATCGGATCATCCATTGCTTTGTTCCCTTACTGGAATGGATAAAAAGCTATAAAGCATCATTTTTCTAGGAAATTATTGGAAATGAATTGATCTATTGCTTCTAGACAAGAAAATCATGTTAATCTAAAACAAAATGTGCTTTTCAATGGAGATGATCCAAAGAGAAATTAAGATGATTAATTCAAGGCAAGAACAAGTCTGATGGCTGATTAGACTACTGGCTGAATGTAGTGAAAAACTTCTTGATAATCATTAAGTGATAGGAGCAACATGGACCATGTTTGATCACAGAAATATAGAAGATGGCATCAGAAGCTACAAGGATATCTACTATCCTTTGTTCATCCCAGTATCTGGCTTAGTTTATCAAGATTTTGTACAAATGTTCTGTTAGAGTACCTACTTAAACACTTATAAAATGGCAAGAGTCATCACTAGCAGCTAGAATCTAGATAGCTTTATTTGATAATTTATTTATAAGGATTTAAGAATCAGTTCATTCGGCCGAGCGCCGTGGCTCACGCCTCTAATCCCAGCACTTCAGGAGGCTGACGTGGGCGGACCATGAGGTCAGGAGATCGAGACCATCCTGGCTAACACGGTGAAACCCCGTCTCTACTAAAAATACAAAAAATTAGCCGGGTATGGTGGCGGGTGGCTGTAGTCCCCGCTACTTGGGAGTCTGAGGCAGGAGAATGGTGTGAACCCGGGAGGCGGAGCTTGCAGTGAGCCGAGATCACACCACTGCACTCCAGCCTGGGCCACAGAGCGGGACTCCATCTCAAAAAAAAAAAAAAAAGGATCAGTTCATTCTAAACTTTGTACTGACAAATTGGAATGATTCTCAAACCAAGTACCAGGAAACTGAGACGACATAAAATTTTTCTAGAAAGTGAAAGTTACTGCTGAGTCTAAAATTTCACCTACTCCAATTCTGAACTTATATGCCAGCCACAGTTTCCAGTTATTTCTACATCGAATTGGATATTTTTTTTTACTCTCAGTGACTTCAGAACAGAAGACTTCTTATGATTCATCACATAGGTTAATATATGTTAGCATTGTTTCATCTGACCATATCATGCATCAATTAAAACAGTAGGCAATATTACATACTGAACGATTTAAATGATAGTCATTTTTTAAGTTTTATGCTTTTGTTTCTATGTTGGATATTTTCCTTTTGTATTATAATTTTTTTCCCAGTTAGAAACAATGGTTTTAACTTTTATTTTTAAAAATTCAAATTTTCAATCAATAGTAGGTAAATTCCAGTTGAAAAATCAAACAATGCCTAAACTTTATTTCATGTATATTCCTAATAGAATATTAAGTATAGATAATTAGTGAATAGGAGCTGTGGTATTAACGTGGACACAACTAGGCTGTTGAGATCCTGCCTGTTATTTATTTGTAAATAAACAATTAAAACCTGCTAGTACTGTCGAAAATTTTCCATTTTTTTCCCCCTTGGTCATGGGGAACAAAATTTTTAGAAAATCAACTCCTACAACATAAAAAACCAATAGAGAAACCAAACAAAAATGTATTATATTGACCAGGATTTATGTAGGAGTGCAGTGGTAGATAAACTTTCAACCACATTATCAAAACAAAAAGGTAAAAAAAAAAAAAAATAGCATGATCTTATTAGATGCAGAAAAAAATCTAAAATCTAAAATAAAAAATGTAGCATCTGTCCATTAATATAAACCTTCTCAAACAAGAAAAGAGCAGGGATACTCTCTCAAAGACTATTTACAGACAGAAACACAAACAATGTGAGGAGTAAATAAAACACATTAATAAAAAATATTGAATGCTTATCATTTGGGATCATAGATTAAACAAAGATGACTGCTATAACACTTTTATTTATTATGGTACTGAAACTCAAAACCATTGCATTATATCAAGAAAATATAAGGTTAAGTAGTATTATATAAGGAGGAAATATTCGAATTTTGATGGAAAAAAATAAACTTTTATTTTTCAAAATAATTTGATTACCTGCATAGAACACAAAAGGTTTTCTGAAAAACAGCAATACAAATAAACAAGGTATCTAAACTCAATTTGCTTAGTTTAGGCCTGAAAAAAGAACCTCAATTACATTTGTATATCTGTCAGTAAAATTAAAAAATATAATTAAAATATATTAAAGTTAAACATGTAAACAGAAACAAGGATATTTAGATATGAATATAACAATGATATAAAATTTACCCAGAGAAAATTTTAATTCTCAATGAAGATTATTAGAAAAGATCTAGTTATGTAAAGATAATTTGCTTATGGGTGTGAAAGACCCATTACTGTAAAGGTATCAATTCTCTGTTAATTGATAAATTGAATGCAATTTAAAAATTTTTACATGGTGTTTACTTATAAAGAACATTGACAAGCTGAACCTGAAGGTTATAGAAAAGCAAAATAATAATGCTACCAAGACACTCCTGAGGAAGAGTAAGCAGGGTGGCCTGTCATTCTAGTTATCAATCTATTATAAAAACTGCAGTGATTAAAATACTGTGTCATGAACATCATCATTTTAAAAAAGATCTAAGATAGTTATTAGTGAACCCAGAAATTCAATATTACTTAGGTTATGTGAGAAGTAGAGTGTGTTTCAAAAGCCTAATTCTAACGTTGGCATAATAAATTCATATTCCAATGCAGCAGTAAGGAGTTGATGCCACCTTTCAGCTGCTGGAACAATGTCAGTGGATGCCTGCTAAAATTCAAATCTTAAATAAGGTCAAATGTTTCACCACATACTATCAAAATGTCAAGATTTTAATTGAAAGTTACTCATTATAGCAAGAATCTATAAGATCTCATGTTAAATAAAATGAGAAAATCAACAGATACTAAAACTAAGATGACAGAAATATTTAAATGATCACAAAAGAAATTTAACACAGCCATTATTAACTGTTTCAACAAGCAATTACAAATACATTTGAAACAAATGGAAAGAAAAAGAAAGTATGGCACAGAAATAGAAAGACACATAAAAAAATAGAAGATTAAAAATGTGGAAACTTTAAAACTGAAAAATTCAGTAGACAAAATAAAAATATATGTAAGTGTACTTGTATACTGAATATTGCAATATTAAAAAAAATATAAATAAATAGCACCACAAAGTTTATACATTGGAAGAATTATGGTGAAGATGTAAATTCTACCCAAATTGAGAGAAATGTTCATTGCAATTCCTCTGAAAATGCCTGTAATACTTTTCCAGACAAAAGTTAGTATTGTAAAAGTTTTATTGTAAAAGTTATATAGAAATAAGAGGAAATGAAAATAGCTAAAGCAACACTATAGATAATAAAATGAGTAGACTCACTCTAGTCAATACGAAAACTTAAATATGTAGCTACTATACTCATGACGGTATGGTTTTGAGAGGTAGAGATACAACAAAGATAAACAAAACAGAATGGAGTACCCAGAAATAACTTCCAAACAAGGACAGCCACCCGAGTTTTCATAAAGGTACAAAACAATTCCTGGAGTAAGGATGGTACTTTTAACGAAGGTGCTGAAGCCACTGGCAATTTATAAGGGAAATAAAAAACCACACCCTACATTAATATTACATAAAAATCAATCATAGACTTAAATATTAAATATGCCTTGGTTCAAGGGATAGAAAGTCACAGTAAGGATGGCAATGCCAGTGGAACCAAGCTGCTTGAGGCTCTGGACTGCATCCTACCACAAACTTGTCCAACTGACAAGCCCTTGGTGGTATTGGTACTTTTCCTGTTGGCCAAGTGGAGACTGGTGTTCTCAAACCTGGTATGCTGGTCACCTTTGCTCCGGTCAGTGTTACAACTGAAGTAAAATCTGTCGAAATGCACCATGAAGCTTTGAGTGAAGCTCTTCCTAGGGACAATGTGGGCCTCAATATCAAGAAAGTGTCTGTCAAGGATGCTCGTCCTGGCAACGTTGCTGGTGACAGAAAAAACGACCCACCAGTGGAAGCAGCTGGTTTCACCGCTCAGGTGCTTATCCTGAACCATCCGGGCCAGTTCAGCACTGGCTATGCCCCTGTGCTGGATTGCCACACAGCTCACATTGCATGCAACTTTGCTGAGCTGAAGGAAAAGATTGATATCTGTTCTGGTAAAAAGCTGGAAGATGACCCTAAATTCTTGAAGTCTGGTGATGCTGCCATCGTTGATATGGTTCTTGGCGAGCACATGTGTGTTGAGAGCTTCTCAGACTATCCACCTCTGGGTCACTTTGCTGTTCATGATATGAGACAGACAGTTGCCATGGGTGTCATCAAAGCATTGGACAAGAAGGCTGCTGGAGCTGGCAAGGTCACCAAGTCTGCACAGAAAGCTCAGAAGGATAAATGAATATTATGCGTAATACCTGCCACCCCGGTCTTAATCAGTGCTGGAAGAACAGCCTCAGAACTGTTTGTTTCAATTGGCCATTTAAGTTCAGTAGTAAAAGACTGGTTAATGATAACGATGCATCGTGAAACCTTCAGAAGGAAAGGAGAATGTTTTGTGGACCACTTTGGTTTTCTTTTTTGGGTGTGGCAGGTTTAAAGTATTAGTTTTTAAAATCAGTACTTTTTAATGGAAACAATTTGACCAAAAATTTATCACAGAATTTTGAGACCCATTAAAAAAGTTTAATGAGAAAAAATTTACTATTAGACTTTTAGGATATAACATAGGGAAAAACCTTTACAATCTACAGTTTTTTAAAAAGTTTTTATATATAACACCAGGAACAAGATCAGTTAATAAAAAAAGATAAATTGACTTCATCAAAATTAAAATATTTTTGTGCGTGCATTATTTTGTAAAGAGAATGAAAAGACAAGCTACAGACGGAGAAAGTATTGTAAAAGCACATATCCAAAAAAGGACTTATATCTGGAATATGTAAAGAACTCTCAAAATGCAACAATAAAAAATCCAATTACAAAATGTCCAAAGATACATAGAGGCATTTCACTGAAAACAACATTCGTATGATAAATAAGCACATCAAAAGATATCCAACATCACTAGCAATTAGGGAAATGCAAATTAAGACTACAAAGTGATATTACTACACACCTATTAGAACAGCAAAAATTTTAAAAAATTGACGTGACAATACCAAATGTTGGTGAGGATACAAAGAAACTGAATCCCTGATATACTGTTGGTAGAAATGTAAAATGGAACAGCCGCTTTTAGCAGTAGCTTAAAAAGTGGTTTGGAAATTTTGTAAAAAAACTAAACATATGCTTATCATATGATCCAGCAATTGCACTCCTAGCCATTTAAGCCAGGGAGCTGAAAATGTGTGTCTATGCAAATATCTCTACACAAATATTTATAGTACCTTTATTTATAACAGCACCAAACTGGAAACAACCAAAGTGCTCCCTTATGGACAAGTGCTTAAATAAACTTGGTACATCCATATAATAGAGTATGATTTAGCAACAAATAGTAACCGACTGCTGATGCAATCAACAGCTTGAATGAATCTTGAGGCTATCACGCTGACTGAAAACAGCTAATCTTAAAAAGGTCACATAGTATGTAAAACTTCTTACATAACCATAAAAAGTGGCCAAATCATAGAAAAGAAAAAACAAATTAGTGGTTGCTGAAAGGTAGAGTTAGGGCCTATGAGAAGATGGTGAACGGGACTGTAAAGAAATAGCACGAGGGGAATGTTCATGATAATGGGAGAGTTCTATGGCTTGACTGTGGTGATGTTTACACCAGCCTACACGTGTGATTGCACCATGTAGAGCTACACTCATACATTGTACCAATGTTCGCTGATAGTCATTGTTGATTTTATTTTTGTGTACTTGATATGCCATCTATACATTATTTTGCTTGACTTCCAAGCAACAACGTGGTGAAATTAACACTGTGGATATAATTTATAGAAAAATAATTTAGGTTACTGCTTTTACAATTCTATAGTTACCACTGCTATTGGACCAAAGGCCTAGTAAAAAAAAAATAAGGTGAAGTATACAGCTATGAAATATGAAGAACCTCCTTACCTGGTAGGAGGTGGGCTGTTGATTGCTGACATGGTCTTCTACAAGTCTAATGTAACTTAAGGCAGTAGCTCCTTCACTGATTGCCATTCTTTACTGTCTGAACTAATTCTATTCAAATGCGGGCAGGTTTGTATAACAATGGCAACAGAAATCCAGATAAAGTCACGTGTTGTCTTTTCTGTTTTATGTCTTCCTTTGCACTGCTTTTTGGCTAATAAAGCTATAAACCAAATGAGAGTAACCTTGAAATATGTCTTCATCATCCACGCCAGTTTTTACCTTTGGAATCCAGTCCATTATTAATACAATTCTTATGCTCATTAAATACGGTTACTTTGTACCTAGAATATTCTGGAATATCTCCCTTTAGACCATGAATCTGTGGTTTTGAGAATTAATTTAAAACATTTTCAAAAACCTTTGAATCTGTAAAAGAACAATTTTCAAATTGGAAGGTGCATGAGGTAGCAGAAAGATTGAGGAGCAGAGATCATCAGAATTCTTCATTCCAAGCCTCCTTCAGTGATTTGCTATTTGACCTCAGGCAATTTACTTATTTACACGGAGTTATCATTTTTCTAAATCAATAACTGGCATTTGGAAATTATACCTAATTATCTTAAAGAGAGTTTTTTTCCACAATAAAAAGACACATTGAAAACTTTAAAAAGAGTAATAATTAGCACAGGTTAAATCAAGGGAAGGTTTGCTGTCATTTGTCTGATATTGAAACAGCAGGAGATAAAAAGTGGGTGTCAAAATACAAAGAAAAAATTAAGACCAATAATTTTGAGTTATCTTTTCAAATTTGGTTAATTCAAAAGGAAGAATTACAATGGTATCTTGATTATTTTGTGAATTTTACAAACAAGTTCAACTTGCTCCCATATCAGTTGCTATTTATGGTGCAAAACAAAAGTGTGAAATGTTATTTTGCAGGTGAAGGACGGAGCACTTTAGTGTGGCTCCATGACATTGTATTCTTATTGCCGAAAGCCTTCATGAGAATTTGATGATGTTAAATTGTTACCTTCTTACTCTAGCTATTGACTTGAATTGATATTTGATCTCTTTATAAAGAAGAAAATAAAGTATAACTTTAAAATCGTATTTTGTTTTGAAATCTAACACACTCCTTGAAATCTAACACACTCACACAACAGAAATGGATTCATGAGTGACATACATTATTCAGCTATCAAACAATCACCAACAGTCACCTCAAGATAAGCTTAATAGGTCATTGCAGTTACCTTTATAATATTAGAAACATTTAGTAAAGAATATTAACTAGGTGACCCAAAATATACTGTCTTTTTTGGTTTCTTCTGCAATATATGACTAATTCATTGTAATGTTATCTTACCATGGCAATAATTTTTTATGCATGCCCCTTAGTCATATTCCTGATACTGTTTAAAATTAATAATTTTCTTTCTTGTCTATAGAATATTCAGTTTTTCATTGTTCACTTAAAATTTAATTTTTTTTCTCCAGAACAACAGAAAACCTATTTTGGGAAAATAGATATTTCTTATTGTATTTGATTTAGCTTCAGAATTAAATAATATGTTATAATCAAAGTGATTTCGAAGGCTAAGGAGGTATTATGGAAAGTGCTCTGGAAAGCTTACTAGAAACAAATGTTCTCAATGAACTAAAGATGAAGAGGATGGATGATCCCATAGCAGCACACTGTGATAATTTTTAACTGACTTTGTGAGTAATCTATTCTGAACCACACATAAAAGAAAAGAATAAAGCATTTTGTTCCCTACTTTTGTCATTCCTCGGTTAATGTTTTTTACAGAGAGAAAATGCAAATCAAAGTTACCTAGGTTTTTTGTATTGCAGCTGTCTTTAAATTAATTTTTTAAAATATCTTCACACACTTACCTATAAAACTATAGAAAAATAATAGGGTTAGATGGATAATGGGTAAATGAGATAATTATAAATTATCTTTAATAATGAACCAATACTGCCATCTATCGCTTCCAACACAAGTCCATTACACATTAAATTAATGTGCAATAGAATGAGGATATATGCCTTTAAGTCATTTTATATAGCTGAAATATCACAAATTTGATAGGCTAAAGTTACACTTCAGAATGTATTAGGTTATATACAGCACATATTTGTTACATTACATTGATTATATTTATTATCTTTTAGGACATAGCTTCCATTTATCAGAATTTATACCCTTTCTACAAAGTTTTATATCCTCTATATATGGTGTGAGTGTAGGGTCATACTAAGTGTCGGATGTTTGAATCCTGAGTAGAAACTATGGGTGTTGTATATAAATGGTATTCAGCTAAAAAATTAAATAAAGCAATCTGCATATATGTAATTTATGCAACCATACTGAGAATTTCCATGCTCAGTTTTATACAAAACTTGCTGTAAGAAACGAAAGTGAAAAAAAAGTCCAAAATCCTTCTTCCAAGAAGATATTCTTTCAGCAATTCTCCAACTTGCAGTATTGCTCTGGGCTTCATTTTGCCTCATATTTTAGTCTACCAGAAGCAAGTGATTATATGTAAAGTGAATCTGGCTTTCAGAGATCTACTTACCTGCCTGGACCCATTCATAATAAAGTCATAAATGCAAGAAAATAATTGAATGACATCCCGAATATGTTAAACAACAACAAAAGGCAATGAAACAGCAATCCAGAATTCTATACCAGCAAAAACCTTCTTTAAAAAAAGAAAGTGAATTTGAGACATTTTTGAAAGACATGGTGGCTCACACCTGTAGTACAAGCACTTTGGGAGGTCAAGGCAAGAGGATCATTTGAGGTCAGGAGCTCAAGATCAGCCTGGGCAACATTGGGAGACCTAATCTCTATAAATAATTTTAAAAAATAGCCAGGCATGGTAATGCACACCTGTGGTCCCACTGTTGGAGATGCTGAGGTAGGAGAATCACCTGAGCCAGGGAGTTTGAGGCTGCGGTGAGCCATGATTGCACCACTGCACTCCAGACTGGGCAACAGAGTAAGACCTCATCTCAAAGACAAGAAGAAAAATAAAAAGAAACACTCAGAAGATTTACTCTACAGGAAATACTAAGGAAGGAAAATGATCCAAATTGAAATATATTACAGCAAGAAGGATGTGCATCAGAAAGGAAAATTTTAACAGGTGACTGTTTAAGTACCAATTGTAACTATATCATGTAGGAATTTTTCCATTGGTGTTATTATGGTTTAATGTATATCCAATAAATTTCACCAGTTTTAGTTTACAGTTTCATGAGTTTTGGCAAATGAGTGCAGTCAGATAATCACCACAATAATCAACAATATACACCAGTTCCATCATTGGAGAGATTTCTCTAAATGTCCTTTGTGGCTGTGGCCAGCCTCTTCATTAACCCAGCATTCATTGTTTCAGGCCCCAATAATTTTACAGAGACCATATAAATAAAATCACATGTTACAAAAGATTTGGGTATCACTTATTTATGCATTATGATGTTGTGTATATCAATAGTTTGTACTTTTTGTCATTTAGTAGTATTCTATTGTAAGCAAATACCATTTTTTGTTTGTTTGTTTGTTTTTATTTCTCAGTTGAGGTACATTTGTTTTGCTTCCAGTATTGGTATATTAAAAATAAATATGGTATAAATATTCTGATATAGGTTTCTTAGTAAGCTTAGTATTTTGTTTCACTTGGAGAGGTATCTAGGAGTGGGATTATAGAGTCATATCGCAAGTGTATGCTTGATGCTCTAAGAAGACTTCCAAATTACTTTTCAAAATAACTGTAACATTCTGCATATTCAGTAATAGTGCATGAGAATTTCTGAACTTTGTGTTCCTATCAACACTTCTCATTGTGAATTTGTTTGTTTAGACGTTTTAATAGGGGTCTTTTGATACATTTGTCCAGTTTTTCTTTTGGGATACCTTATGACAAATGATGTTGAACATCTATTCTTGTACTTATTTGCCATCTGCATATCTTATCTGATGAAGTACTTGTTCAGATTTTTTTTTTTTTGAGATGGAGTCTCACACCGTCCCCGAGGCTGGAGTGCAATGCTGCAATCTTGGCTCACTGTAACCTCCATCTCCCAGGTTCAAGCAATCCTCCTGCCTCAGCCTCCTGAGTAGCTGGGACTACAGGCATGTGCCACCACTCCCAGCTATTTTTTTGTATTTTTAGTAGAGATGGGGTTTCACTATGTTGGCCAGACTGGTCTCGAACTCCTGACCTCCTGATCCACACACCTCAGCCTCACAAAGTGCTGGGATTACAGGCGTGAGCCACCGTGCTCGGCCCAGATTTTTATCCATTGTTTAAATGGGTTGTTTGTTTTCATATTGCTTGCAGGTTTTAGTTTTTGTTTTTTATTCTGGATACAGATCCTTTATATAATTTGCAAATATTTCTTCCCAAAATGTAGTTTCCCCCTCCTTTCTCCTAACACTATATTTCAGATAACAGAAGTTTTAAATTTTTATAAAGACCAATTTATCAATTTCTTTCTCTTATAATATATGCTTTTGGTATCATGTCTAAGGAATCATTGCTTATGCCAAGGTCCCAAAGACTTTCTTGTATGCTTAATTCTACAAGATTTTAAGCTTAAAAATATTGTCTTACATTAGGTCTAAAATTGGTTTCAAGTTTTTTATAGGAAGTGAGGTATAAATGAGGTATATATGGGGTATAAAAAGAGGCTGTTGTATATATGTATATATAGATTAAAACATATCTTTATATATACAAATATAAAAACATTTGTGTGTATATAAGTTGCATATAAATATATAACTATATATACAAATATGTATAATCAACATGTATTTATTATAGAATATGTTATAAATGACATATTGTATATGTTGTATATATAGTTAATATATTTATATAACTTTTATATAATTATAATGTTATATATTTAAATAACTTTTATATAATTATATGTTATATGTTGACTTATAGTTATATATAATTATATAAATGTTAAATATGTAGCTATATGTGAATATACAACATATACAATATTTCACATATAACATATATTCTATAATAAAAATATCCCTTTATATATATGGTTATCCATTAGTTTCAGCACAATTTGTTGAAACATTTTGTTTTTTATGCTTAATTATTTTTGCATATTTGTTGAAAATCACTGACTATATTTAGCATTTCTATTGCTTGACTCGCTCTTCTCTTCTACAAA
Organism: Homo sapiens; assembly: GCF_000001405.40. Lineage (NCBI taxonomy): Eukaryota > Metazoa > Chordata > Mammalia > Primates > Hominidae > Homo > Homo sapiens. Next base: position 23,397,878 of record NC_000021.9, read on the forward strand.
TTTGCATGTCCATAAATTCTTCAATATCATGCTATCTTGGTTACTGTAGTTTTGCAATCTGATAATGATTTGTCTTGAAGTCAGAAAATGTAAGAAACCTAACTTTGTTCTTCATCTTCATCTGTGTTTCTACCTGAAATTTAAAATCAGCTTCTCCAACACTAAAAATATCCTTCTAGTACTTTTTTTGTTGGTTTTTTAGTTGCGGTGATTTTGTAGATGACATTGAGAATTGACATCTTAATAATAATGATGTCTGCTAATCAACAAACATGAAATATTTTGTTTTATAGTTTACAACATAGACATTGCACATATGTTGGAAGATTTACACCTAAAAGTATTTTATGAGTTTTGTAGTGCAATTGTATGTGCTACTTAATTTTTGAATTTGTTCAAGCTTCTCCTCCTGAAAATGGTCTCTGTTTTTCTTTGTCTCTGTCTATGTTATTTGTCATAAAGAAGGGAACTATAAGACACAGACTTAAAACCCTTAGAAGCACGTTGCTCAAGCTGGGCCCAGAGACTGTTGAGTTTTGGATTCACATCACATAGGTGTTGGTTTAGACAAACTGTGCTGTGAGTCCCTGAGAAACAATAGTGGATGAAGTTCCCCTTTGTCCTTTTGTATGACTTGAGAGCTTGGCTTTTGTGACCAAGTGAGAACACCCTCTCTTAGTCCCTGCCAGCAAGACGGGTTATTGTCAGCCTACATCATGTGGCCAGTCTAAGATTTCTGACCCAGAAATCTTCATACAAGGTGTTGGGGAAAGGATTAGAGAGCCAGCCTTGTCTCCAAGTCCTCTATAGAGCAGGGTCATTTTTACAACCAGTGTTAGTTAATCTATGGTAGAATTTTGATTACAGAAGCAATAAACACAATCACAGAATATTTTTTCTTGTGTTGTTGTTCTAAAAATGTTATACCTAACTCAGAGCAAAATTACCCCCCTGGTTCCCTTTCTGACTTCATTTCCCATCACTGCCACCCCCTGCTCTCTCCACACCTCCCATGCTGGCCTCATCCTTATGGTTTTTCCACAATAAGGGTAATTAGTTTTAGGTGCTTCCACCTCCTCATCTGTCTGGCTCCAACATTCTCCCCTTAGATCCTGTACCATATGCTCTCTTTTTTCCTTATGGCCACTGTTCAAATGTCACCACAGCAGATAATCTTTCCTTGATTACTCCGCTTAAAGTACATTCTCACCCCAGCAGCTCTGTTTCCTGCTTTAAAGCACCCATCCAAGATGACATATATATTTAACAATTGCAACCTACAGCTGGAATACAAGTTCCAAGAGGAAATAATTTTGTTTTGTTCACCAATTTACCTTCAACACCAATTTGTAAATTTGTGGTCCTAGTAAACATTTAAGAGTTCAGTTAGACTAATCCAGCTGTAAAATAGTTTCAGTGGTGATATGTAATTTTTTACTATGCACTTCTATTATCTACAGTGATAGCAAAATGCTATTTTGACAATGCAACATTAAAATTTTGCAAGCCTGTTCAGAACATATCAATTGCATAAACATGAGAATTAATTTTATTACATTTAATATTTTACATTTAATATTTTATAGTTTTAGTTGCAACACTGTTTTAGTGTCTTTTTTGCTCTACAATTTATTAATAAATAATTTAAAGTAGGATTTTCATAATATATTTTTAAACACATATTTTGTTTTACTATTTAAGAGAAAAGTTAAAAAAAGGACAAAACAAAACAAGCATGGCATATATTTACTATTCGTTTTCTTTCAACTCCCTAACACATTTGCATTGTATTAAATGAAATACATGATTTCTATAAAGCCATCTGATATTATTATAGGAGGGAGCTAGATGATAAGAGACAAGTACTTAATGTTTTACAATCTTACAAAATATTCATTTAATGACCGTTATGTATAACACTGTCAACCTGGATATTTAGACCATTCACCCCACATACCCTGTTTATCTCTGCTAAGCATCACATCCCCTAAACTGAGCTAGTTAAGTGCTACATAATAAGTACATCTTTGCAAAAGCTGTTAAAAGGAGCATAAAACCAAAATCAAACCCCAAACTTAGTGGGAGACACAAGTACTGGAAAAGCAGAAAACATGGGTTTTATTATTTAATACACAGAGACCTATCAGCACTACATCAGAACTTTGAATTTCAAGAGGAGAGAAATCGTCTTCTTTTGTGTAATTTGTTTCTGCATGTATTAGTTTGTTCTCATGCTCTTAATAAAGACATATCCTGAAACTGAGTAATTTACAAAGGAAAAAGGTTTAATTGACTAACAGTTCCACAAAGCTGGGGAGGCCTTACAATTAAGACAGAAAGCGATTGAGGAGCAAAGTCACGTCTTACATGGTGGCAGGCAAGAGAGCTTGTGGAGGGGAACTCTCCTTTATGAAACCATCAGATTTCGTAAGGCTTATTCACTATCAGGAGAACAGCACAGGAAAGACCCATCACCATGATTCAGTTACCTCCCGTGTGGTCCCTCCATGACACGTGGGAATTACAGGAGCTACAATTCAAGATGAGATTTGGGTTGGGGACACAGCCAAACCATATCACTGCAGAGAGCCAATTTCTATTTTTTCCATGTATTCTATTTTTCTCATATGGTTGGGTTTGGAATAGTAATAAAAACAATATATATATCTAGATCATAAAACATGCTCTATGTAAAATTATTTACAGACTCATAAGACATGCAAAACTTTTAACTCACATACAAAAGACACAAATATGGTGATTCAGTGACCACTATAAATATATTTATGTAAGCATGGTTATGATAGATACGTAGACAAAATAATAAAAGGTAAATTGGAGTATACAAATCATTAACAGATGCCAGGCTCGGTGGCTCACACTTGTAATCCCAGCACTTTGGGAGGCTGAGGCGGGCAGATCATGAGGTCAGGAGACCGCGACCATACTTGCTAACATGGTAAAACCCTGTCTCTACTAAAAATACAAAAAATTAGCCAGGTGTGGTGGCATGTGCCTGTAGTCCCAGCTACTTGGGAGGCTGAGGCAGGAGAATCGCTTGAACCCAGGAGGCGGAGGTTGCAGTGAGCCAGTATCATGCCACTGCACTGCAACCTGGGTGTCAGAGTATGACTCTGTCTCAAAAAAAAAAAAAAGAAAAGAATTTATTAGACGAATATAGGAAAACCATAATTAATAAAATGTACTTCTTATTTACAAGGTTTTAGATTCATTGCCCGATAGTTTAGTATTTGTTAATCTGGTAAAATACATAATTGGGTATGGGTGAAGCAGCTATAAAAGAGACTCCCCAAACACAATATTTTAATCTAGTTTTATCTCTCACTTAACAATATGGCTGATCTGGTGGGCTTGATGGTGTCAGAAACGAAGTCTCCATCCATTTTTGAGTTTTGCCATTCCCACATTCCCACATGCTATTGCTTGGTGACATCCAGCCATGAGGTTAAAATTAAAAAAAAAAAAAAAAAAAAAAAGAAAGAGAGGGAAAACTCATATTCTTTGAAGTAAATTATTCTGCAAATATTCTGCTTATATTTCATTGGCCCAAACTTAGTCGCATCATGCCACCTTGAGGTCATCTGAAGTACTAGGCTGAGAAGAAAATAATTTGCATGACTTAATATTTGCTATTGGTTAGCTCCCACACCTGACCCAGAAATCTTCATACAAGGTGTTGCGGAAAGGATTAGAGAGCCAGCTTTGTCTCCAAGTCCTCTATAGAGCAGGGTCATTTTTACAACTAGTATTAGTTCATCTATGGTAGAACTTTGATTACAGAAGCAATAAACACAATCACACAATATTTTTTCTCGTGTTGTTGCTTTTTCCATCCAGTTCTAGTAAATTTTCAAGCTCAATTTGCACATGCTTTGTCTTTCAAAATATCCCAGGGCAGCACTTTGGGAGGCCGAGGTGGGCGGATCTCGAGGTCAGAAGATCGAGACCATCCTGGCTAACATGGTGAAACCCTGTCTCTACTAAAAACACACAAAAAAATTAGCCGGGTGTGGTAGCGGGCGCCTGTAGTCCCAGCTACTAGGGAGGCTGAGGCAGGAGAATGGCGTGAACCCGGGAGGTGGAGCTTACAGTGAGCCGAGATCGCGCCACTGCACACCTGCCTGGGCGACAGAGCGAAACTCCGTCTCAAATATATATATACACATATATATATATATATATATATATATATATACACACACATATATATATATATGTATATATATATGTGTATATATATATACATATATATATATATACATATATATATATATATATATGTATATATATCCCAAGGAACATTCTTACCATAACTTAACAAGGATCTGAGTAATATCTAAGTCCTTTTTCCTACCTAATCTTTAATCTACTAGTGGGGATGTCATTTAGATTTTGGATTGTTTATTGTTTTTTGGTTTTGTTTTTGTAGTATGTTAACACATGTTTGTACCAATATTTCTCTTGGATATAATAATTAATAGGTGACTTCAGCAAGGAACTCCAAAATCAGAGTTCATGTTTTCCTTCTGTAATAATCTAAATAGTTTTTTTTAAAGGCAAACATCAAAATGTTGAGGTGTTGAAGACCCAGGTTCCCCCCATGTCTAGCTGTACTATCCCTAGGATGGATTACCTGTTTAGATGAGGATACCTAGCCACTAAGCCAACATTCCAGCTTTTAATAAAGGAGAAAAAGAGAAGGATGACACATCTTTCTTACTAAGGGCCAGCCTACGGTGACATACATCTCCTCTCCTCAATCGTTGCCTAGATGCTAGCAGTATATCCACCCTAACTGTAATAAACATTGGACAGCTGTGAACAGCTATGAAACATGAGAAAAATCATATTGTTATGAAATAAAGGAGTAAAGGTATTAAAGGTACAACAAAAAGCTAAGGAATGTACAGAGTTTTAATAAGTCAAAATTTAAATAAGAGACTAGCTTGAATCAAAATGAATTTTAAATCCAATAGGCTATATTGTTAGTCTTCACCATGGGAACAAGGACACCACTAACAAACTACAGATCACTTTAATTTTCTTGAAAACCATTTGCAAATTAAATTCAGAGGAAAATGGTTACTTAAATATATAATTGACTTGTATTTTAGGGAATCAGATTTGGCATTTGACTATATATGTGCACAAACATAAAGTATGGCACACAACAAAAGAGTATGATAAAAATCGGAACTGAAGCAAATGAACTGCTGTATCTATAATTGAGTTTGCCTAAGAAATCTTCCACTCACTCTTCTTCTATAGCAAGGCCCTTTTTAATATCCTGCAACAGCTGATTGCCTGATTAATGTCCCATAAAATGCATAACTTGCTATTATGAATGACCTGGATTTTGGCAGGAAAAAGGATAGACAATATTATAAGTGAAACACGAGCTATAAATTATCTTTTGCTAGCATTGAATGCAATTTTAGACTTGCAAACATTCATAACCAAAACCTTTCCTTTTGAGTGTTTCAAAAGGATTTTTTCATAGTTTAAGCATGGATCAGAATGTGCTGTTTATAATGGACTCTGAAAGATTACATTTGCTTGATAAAACAGTGACACAATAGAGAGTGTTTCACTTTTCACTTACTGAAACAAGTGTTTGACACATGGTAAACATTCTATACGCATTAGCTATTGTATCTTACAATATCTGTTAAACAGAATCAGGTTATTTTCTAAAAGGATAGAATTAGATCATACTTTCTACTTGACATGAATTACTTATAAAATAATTTTAATGTCTATCTTGCCACGGTTGTAAAAGTTTTATTTATTTAAGCAAATTAAGCAAAAAAAGCTTACCTTCTGCTATGTAGCTTTCAGTGTAATTAATATAGTCATTGACTCACAATAGTGAATTTAGAATTTTCAAAAAAGACATTTCGTTTAGTGAGAAGTGATGCGGCTTCTCTGGAACCTGACTACCTCAGTTAGAATTCTGGCTCATCCTCTCACTAATGGTGTGAACTTGGTCATGTTAATACGTATTTCTGTGTCTTCTTTCCTTGTTGGGAAAATGGGAATATAATTAGTAAATACCTCCTTGTGATAGTGCATATAATGTATTTAGAAGAGAGTTTTGTACAGAATAAGAGTTCAATTAAGTGAAGCCAACTATTATCGTTACTTATTGTTGTTTCCGTTACTATTATTTCCTTAAAGATTTATCAAAACAATAAACAAAAGGAAAACATGAAAACATGCCTCTTTAAGTCTAGTAATAACTTTATGCAATTTATTTTTACTTCCGAGAAAATAAAATATTCCCCCTAAATGTACTTCTTATTAGTCAAAGTCTATCTGTTTAAAATCAAAGTCTTGGCAAACTTGATGTGACAGTTGCCTAACTTGTCAAAACTATTTACTTTTCTTTTTCCTTTTTTTTTTTTTTTTATTGAGCGTATAAATGTGACAGAGGGAGCAGGCATGAGAAAGTAGATCATGTATCATTTCCTAAAAAGGAGAGTAATCATAAAATAACAACATTCCCTCCAAAAAGGAAAAGGGCTATTGTTGTCATGACAGACCAATGGAGATTATATGAAAAACCATTTCTTGGCCAGGTGCGGTGCCTCACGCCTGTAATCCTAGCACTTTGGGAGGCCAAGGCGGGCAGATTGCCTGAGCTCAGAAGTTCGAGACCAGCCTGGGCAACACAGTGAAACCCTGTCTCTACCAAAATACAAAAAATTAGCCAGGCGTGGTGGCACATGCCTGTAGTCCCAGCTACTTGAGAGGCTGAGGCAGAGAATCGCTTGAACCTAGGAGGCAGAGGCTGCAGTGAGCTGAGATCATGTCACTGCACTCCAGCCTGGGTGACAGAGAGAGACTCCGTCTCCAACAAACAAACAAACAAACAAACAAACAAAACAAACAAACAAAAAACCAAAGCCAAAACAAACAAACAAACAAAAAACATTTCTCCATTCAATATGTAAACATATCACCCTGAATCTCCTTTCTCACTTGTGAAAACTGACATTCGGGTCTCTGTGATGTTTTCACAAAGTATGTGACAGTGGTAGACACAGTTGTACTGCCAAATTGGCCAAAGAGTTTTGTTTTGTCTTTTGACAAATTCTTGCTCTGTCACCCAGGCTGAAGTGCAGTGTGCAGTCTCAGCTTCCACAACTTCTGCCTCCTGAGTTCAAGCAATTCTCGTGTCTCAGCCTCCCAAGTAGATGGGATTACAGGTGTATGCCCCCATGCCTGGCTAATTTTCCCGTATTTTTAGTAGAGACAGGGTTTCACCATGTTGGCCAGGCTGGTCTCAAACTCCTGGCCAAATGATTCAGCCGCCAGAGCCTCCCAAAGTGTGGGAATTACATGTATGAGCCACTGTGGCTGGCTCCAAAGAGAGTTTTTAACAACAGTAGTAAAATATCTGTTGACATTTTTAAGAAGTGAGGCAATATTTTTTTTCTATTATTCCCCTTAAGTATTAAGAGTACATTAAAAAATCTTTTTGCTGCATTACTATACTTAGCCAGATAATTATTTAATAATAATAGCCATAGTTTCTTGAAGAAAAAAATTCTATTCTCTTCACTTAGCTGCATCTTTATATTTTAACAACAAATAACAAGTGTATAAAGCTTACCAACTTCTCTATATGAAATAACGAAAAACATATTTTTCTCCTAGTTAATCTACTTAATACATGATTATATATTGCAATATGGAGAAAATAAAAATCTAATATTTATAACAATCACATCACATAAAGTCAACTTTAATCCATGAGTTGTCAACATCATGACCAAAATTATGTTAATATATTATTGTAGAATATTGCAACTCAATAAGAAATTATAAGTGCATTGATTTTCCTTCTTACGAGGGAAAGATTAGGGCACTATCAATCAACAGTTCTTAGTTTTTGTATTATTTTCACCCTTACAATTTAAGACAACATTTTTCTGAGCTAAATGGAGTCAAAATAATACTAAACTCATTTATATAAACCTTTCATATTAGAGTTTCTTGTGGGAAAATACATGTTAACTTTAGCATTCAGGCATAAAAAAATAGAAAATAAAAAAGACACTCAAAATATATATTTACTTATCCCATTTAAACAGGTTACTACAAATATTTTCCTTTATTACTGAAAATGTAAAAATGTTAATTTTCACAATTAAATTATATGTCTCCTTATATTATTATAGATTTTTTCCTATCACATAAAGTGAACTTCAGTTTATTGTATATTTGTTGATTGATAAAGCCCTCAGGAAATATGCTTTATAAGGCATTCTGTATTAAAACTCAAGTCTTCATAAAAACAGAGAGAGATTATATTTCTATGGTCAACTTGACTGTGATCCGTAAATCTACAGAAGAATGTAAGAAGGAAATTACTCTTGTGTTCTTTTGAATTTGCTTTAATTTACCACATTTTCTAATTAGAACAATGTAGCTCAATATTTTGTTTATTGTCATATCTGCCAGAAATCTCAGACCAAAATAATGCTCAAATTGAACAAATCATCATTTTTAAAATATTGCTCTTTTTGGTTTTTGTTATTTTTGTTGTTGTCTTGCTTCTATTTTATAGGGGTATTTCTGTTTCAAATGTGTGTGCCATCAGAAGCCCATTTTGGAAGAATGAATGTATTCAGAGTAATATATACACATGTATAAATACATTCAGGCACACATATATACGTATGCATACATATTTGTGTATGTATGTATACATATATATTAAGAGATTAGATAGATGATTAGATACATATATTAATATTGATGTTACAGATTAGACATAAGAAAACTTTTTCCTGCAAAGGACTATATGTATTTTATTTTATTATTTATTTATTTATTTGAGACAGGGTCTCAGTCTTATGCCCAGGCTGGAGTGCAGTGATGTTATCTCGGCTCACTGCAGCTTCCGCCTCCCAGGCTCAGGTGATTCTCTTGCCTCAGCCTCCAGAGTACAGGTGTGTGCCCGGCTGTAACTACACACCTGGCTAATTTTTGTACTTTTTCAGTAGAGATGGGGTTTTGCCATGTTGGTCTGTCTGGTCTCAAGTTCCTGGCCTCATTGATCTGCCTGCCTTGAGCTCCCGAAGTGTTGAGATTACAGGCATGAGCCACCATTCCTGACCAGCTATATGTATTTTAAATGGCTTGTGGATTTGTCATAACTGCTCAACTTTGCCACTGTAATAGGTAAGCAATCATGGATAATGTGTAAACAAAAGAGCATGGCGGTGTTTCAGTAAAGCTTTATTTATGAAAACAGGCAGCAAGCCAGATTTGGCCTAGAGGATGTTGTTTGCAGACCCGGATATAAATGATAGATTGAGTTACATAATGGATAGGGATATATAACAGATCCTATGTACTCATAAAATACTATCCTTATTAATATACATTCATCTTCTATTCTGATCTTTCTCATATTTTATGTTTGCCAAAACATAAAATAACTATATATTCAAATCCAGTGAACGGTGGTATGAATTCTCATTACTTATAGGGGCTACATTAATCTCTTCATGAAACTAAAACATATCCTGTGTAATTGAATAATATTCATATTTATTTATTTTATTCATTTTTTTATTCTAAAGCCTTTACTTTGAGACATGAAGAAAAAATTGTACAGGTACACATGGAAAAGACATGATCACTGCTGAGTGAAAACGATCTAACCAAAAAGTCTGAATGCCTGTCAGCTGATGTTGAAGCTGAAATTCTGGGGGTATAACATGCTGGAGGGCTGAAGGCAATGGATAATTAGAATTCCTCTCCTTCCTTCTCACCCTCTTCTTCAACAGAATCCACACTAACCACTTCATAATCCTTCTTAAGGACAACCATGTCCTGGTGGGCCTCGGAAAACTCTCCTTCCTCCACCCGTTCACCCACGGAATACTGAACAAAGGAACTTGGCATACATCAGGTAAAACTTGCGGTCCAGGTGAGCCCACACCTCAGCAATGGCTGTGATGTTGCTCAGTATGCACACAGCTCTCTGTCCTTTGGCTGGGTCTCCAACAGGTACCACAGTGGGAAGTTGGTAACTAATGCCAACCTTGAAGCTAGAGGGACAGCAATCCACAAACTGGATGCTGCATTTGTTTTTGATGGTGTCAGTGGCAGCACTGAAGTCTTTGGGAACCACGTCACCAGGGTACAATAGGCTGCAAGTTATGTATTTACCATGGTGTGGATCACATCTTACCATCTGGTTGGCTGGCTCAAAATAAGCATTGGTGATCTCTACTACAGAAAACCGTTCATGGTAGGCTTTTTCAGCAGAGATGACAGGGGCACACATGGCCAGAGGGAAGTGGATGTGGGTATATGGCACTAGATTGGTCTGGAATTCTGTCAGATCAATATTCAGGGCTCCATCAAATCTGAGGGAAGCAGTGATAGAGGACACAATATGGCCAATGAGATGGTTAAGGTTAGTGTAGTTTGGACACTCAATATTGAGCTTTCCAAAAGTCATCCAAATCACTTTTGGAAAACTGATTAAATGATAGAAAGGGTCAAGGTGATTTTTCAACCTTTCCTATATGAACTATATCATTGGATAACCAAATGGTAGATGTCATAGATGGCCTCACTGTCTACTATGAAGGCACAATCTGAGTGCTCCAGGGTGGTGTGGGTGGTGAGAATGGAGTCGTAGAGCTCAACTACTGCTGTGGAAACTTGGAGGATGGGGGGTTGCTGAGTAAATGGAGAACTGCAGCTTGGACTTCTTGTTATAATCAACAGAAAGACATACCATCAGCAGGGAGTTGAACCCAGAACCAGTCTGTTCACCAAAACTGTGGAAAACTAAGAAGCCCTAAAGACCTGTGCACTGATCAGCCAGCTTGTGAACTCAGTCCAAGATGAGGTCAACGATCTCCTTGTCAATGATGTAGTGGCCTCATGCATAGCCATTGGCAGCATCTTCCTTGGCTGGGATGAGCTTCTCAGGGTGGAAGAGGTGGCTAGTAGGTGTCAGGGTAAACTGTGTTAATAACTGTGGGTTCCAGATCTACAAACATGGTCCTGGGCACATGCTTTTCAGTGCCTGTCTCACTGAAGAAGGTGTTAAAGGAGTCATCTCCCCCTCAAATTGTCTTGTCTTGTCACTTGGCATCTGGCCATGGTGCTGGATGCCATGTTCCAGGCAGTAGAGTTACCAGCTGGAGCTGCCAGTCTGGACACCAGGCTGGCCAATGTGGATGGAGATGCACTCACACATAGTGGCTAAGAGTTAGGAGGCTAAAGCGACAGGAGCAGATAACGGGTCCAATGACCGATCCCAACAAGCTAAGAGTCAAGGTAAGTAATGCACTCAGTAATATTTATATTTAAACATCCCCTTTAGAATTTGCACATAAAAATGATCAAGGTAAAACTAATGTGAAGTTAAATAAGTCTAGCTATAAAAGATTATGATTAAGACAAAATGTTGAAGTCATGAAATGTATATGAAAAATACAACTGTAGTTGGAAGTAATATAACGTTCTGGTAGTTTTGAAGGGGATCACAAGGAAATCTGGTGTCAACTGTCATGAGGTTTGAACTATTGCTTATTGCTAGCCTTTCAGTTGCTCCAAGAAGGCATTGACATATCATTTTAACCTTTACATAATGGTGACAAAACTTGGGTATTAAGTTTTGAAATGTCATCTTAAACTAATTAATTTATGGCTGTCAGTAGCAGTGGACACATAATGTAACATACTGTTTAAATGTAGTAAAAAGATGACAATGAATAGGTGTTTCTCTTTCATAAATACAATGAAAATGTATAAACTTCCATACTATTTCAATGAATTTATTATTAACTTTATTTCCAAACATTACACTGTATGGTACATTATAGTTTGTTAATACCCATTTTTGTATCAGTTTTCTTTTTTTCATAAATGATTTTTTCCTTCAACTCTGTCTCTATATTTTTCGATAACCTTTTCTTTCTTATCATTGTCTTAATTTTAAAAGGTCAAACATTGGACTTATTTAATTTTTTATTATATCAAACATTTTTATTTCACTTTTAAAAGAAAAATATTTTGAGCTCTAACTTGGGAAACACTTTCAAAACTCCTGCATAGTTTCATGAAACTTGAAATTATTGTTTTTAAAAATAGTCACTATGAAATTATTTCTTTCTAATATAGCTAATTCTCAGCTTCTACGTGGAACCCTTGGGGCTACAATGGGGGACCACATTAACATAAATCCCAACCTCGCAGATTTCTATTAAAAATAATTTCAAGTGGTTCTCTATTTTATTCTATTAATTTAGAAATGTTTTCTAAGCAAAATCTGTCACATACCTATTATTTTCAGTGACTGTAGTATAAAACTGGCTTGGAAGTCACATTAATGAAAACTTTACGATTACCTCATCTGAGCTATTTATTTCCAAAAAAAAGTTTACAATACACATGACAAGTATTTCACAAACAGCATCACACACATGAACATTTTTAGTTTAAAAAAGATGAAAATAATATTAGCTAACATTTCTTGAGCTCCTACCATGTACTAGGCACTGTTCTAAAGTGTTAGTTAATTATATCATTACAGTTCAGGATTATAACTAAATCTTTTTTTTTTTTTAATGAACCATTGGTAAACTTACCTACTTAAAGCTATCTGTTGAGAAATATTCAAGCCATATTTAAGTTCACTTGGCAATTAACTTGTAATCATAAATGAGTAAAATCTTTTAAAATAAGGAATATATTTTATTTTAAAACCACCTTAAAAATAGATGGGAAGACATTGAGGAGCAATTTTTGTTTGACCTTTAATGGATGAATAGCTGAAAGCCTAGAAAACAAAAATAAAATAAAGTCAGCAAGGCTGACAGGAAAGCATGAGAGAAAGCCACACTGATCTACGTGTCACACTTAGAATATTTGACCCTACAAACAATAGATAAATTGATTAATCAATTTACCCAAAATGTATACTTTGAGAAGATTAATACAATTTATAATCTTCTAGTCAGACTGATCAGGAACAAGGAAAGAAGATACAAATCATCAATGTAGAAATAATATAAATTGGAGAACAGAGAAATGCAAAACAAAATAACAAAACTCTTGTTAGTAATCATAATTGAGATGATAGTATTAGTATTGTTATTCTGAGACAGTTGTATGTACAATGAGAAATCAAGCAAATGAGTAATTACAGGTTATTCTCATTCTATCATCTCTTGTATTTTGAGAGCCAGAATTATAAAGGCATATGAATTGCAACAAAGAGGTAATATAGAAGAAGTCTTGCAAAAATCTTATAATTTTGAATTGGAAATGAAGATGGAAATATCAGTATGGCCTCACAAGCCTTTATCTGTGTAACTTTGTCTTTATCTATTAATCCTAAATCCCCTGAAAAGAACTAGAAAATATAATAAACTCAGATTGTAGTACTGTCCAATTTAAAAGATAATGTGTTTTGTGGAGAAATGGAAGTGTTCATGCCTATAGAAGAAAATGTACAAGATTGAGTATAGACCATCTTGATAAAACAGACAGCAAGGAAGCTATCAATGACCGCTAGGATCATGCCTGAAGAATTCAAGAGCCAACCTGCTGATGTTTTGCTCATCATAGATGAGACAAATTGAACTTCAATAAGGATAAGAGGCACAATGAATTGAAACTCATCATAAATCCATGAGTTTATATAAATGTGAAAACTAATAATTGATCAACTGCTGAAAAAACAGTGATCCAAATCACTTTTGGAAAACTGATTAAATGACAGAAAGGATCGAGATGATTTTTCCACCTTTCCTGTATGAACTGTATCATTGGATAATCAAATAGTAGATGAAAGGTAGTATTCCTTTGCAAAATTATTACACCTGAAAAAATAAAATGATAGAATTAAATTGCAACCACTTTTTAACACCAAATGGAAGATGAAATGAACAACTAGCAGGCAATAAATAGCTGGGAGAAAAATAAAAATAAAAGCCAGAAGGCAGATATACTGAGCCTCTTGTTAAAGGAAATCATCTAAAGACTTTAATCAAATCTTTTTCTGAAATATATTAAAGTGTACCATGAGTTTATAATCAGCCTGACTCAGATTCAGGAAAACTTTCCAAGGTAAACTTTACAGTTTTTTTTTTTTTAAAAAAAAAAGAAGTAAAAGGAAAAGAAAAGGATGGAGATTTAGACACAGCGAAAATGGGGAAAACTGTATTCTGGTGTCTCAGGATACACATTTGCTTGACAAAACATAAAGAAATTCAAGGACTTGATTATGTATCAGGATAGTGGTTAACTATTGAGATAAAGAGCATTTAGTGGTCTGGGCCACAAAGGGAGTCTTTTGGAATGGGTGGGAAAGTTATATTTCTTACCCTATACAGGGAACACAAGTAAGGGCAACTTACAATAATACACTAAGCCAAATAAAGAAAATTCAGAGGTAGTTGTTTAACTGAATTATCACAAAATTCAAAATCATCAATTTTAAGATAAAAGTTCTTTTATTGTATTCTTTCTTTTGTTAGATTTGTTAATAATGGCATAGGTTTCTTAAGACTAAATGTAAAATTATTGACAATTTGATTTTTTCCATCCAAGAACTTCATCCTACTTCATTTATCATATTAGTTCATTTTCCAGAAACTGGGGCAGTAAATCATATTCCCTCAAGATATTCTACATATAAGCACAGATCTTAAAGAATACATGGCTTTAGCAATTGAACAATCAAATGGATTTAGAAAAAAAAACAAAAAAACAAGGAAATAGTCAACTTAAATTTAGTGTCCTCTCTTCTACTAAGGTTTCAAAACCATAGGGGAAAATGAAGACAGCTTCAACATAAATTCTGTGCTAATGATATTCCATTTTTGGCAGAGTAATTTGTATTGTTAATTAAGTCCCTAATACATGACTTTTATATGCAATTACTAACTGGTTAGGAAACAATCAATGAGAGCATTACCTACCAATTAGTGTTCTTTCTCATTAAATATTTAATTGCTCAGTGGAACTAAACATCACATGTCCTTGTCCATGTAAGTTGAGGAAGATGAAAGATAAAGCAACATATCTGAGTAAAATGTCATCTCTCACATCCAAATTGCTTCCCTTTTATTTTTCAAATGATCTCTTAAACATCTTTCATTAAATGGCTAGCCTGTGGTATTTTTCTATCAGTTTCATCAGTATAATAGTTAGGGAATATTTCCCAGAGAATGGTTACAGAAATATGAAACTTCTCATTATGCAGTCACCAATTTTCATGTGAAAATTCTGATTCCAAAACTACGTTCTCTTACCTAAGGTAAATCTTGGTTCCCACAAATTACCAAAATCTTATTTCAATCACTTGCTGAAAACATTGAATGATACAAAAACAGCTACTCTTGCCCATTTGAAAGTGAAGAGTAGAATAAAAGTCATTTATATGAAGATTTAACAAAAGTTAAAAGGTGAGCAAACCTTTTCTTTAAGGAGGCACTTAATATTTTTGTCTTTGCTAACTTCCCATTCTGTCACAACTATTCAACTCTGCCATTGTGCGAAAGTTGCCATAAACAATATGTTAACAAATTTGGAGGACTCTTTTCAATAAAATTTTATGTACTTATAGAAAACAAATGGCTGGCTAGATTTAGTCTGAGGGCTTTAGATTATCTGCCTCTGGTATAGAAGTAAAACTCAACTCCTGTCTTTTAGGTATTAATTTATTCATTCATTTAACACGTATTTATTCTGTATTCATTAAATATTCTGGTGATGGACTGGCAATAAACAGATAATGAGTAAATATGTGTCAAGTCAAGTGGCAATAAATTGTATGAGGAAAATTAAAGCAATAAATTGGGGAGATGGTGTCAAGGCATGGTTGGAGGATGGGGGCATGCTACATGGTAGCCAGTGTAGATTTCACTGATAGGTGACATATAGGAGAAACACCTGAAGGATAAAGTGAGTGTGAAACTTTATCTGAGGAAGAAAATTATCAGAACCATATGCATAAAGGCCATGAGTTAGCAACATATATATTATGGTGGAGACACAACAAGACAACTAACAGCTCAGAGCAGAAAGAGAAAGGGTGAGAGTATAATATGAAGCCAGTATAGTAGGGGGGTGGCATTTGGGGAACACATAACATAGTCTCTTTATGGTATTCTAATAACTCTTCACTTCCATCCTGAGAAGATGAAAATCTATTACAGTAACATGAGGTGACGTGATGTGACTTGTATGTTTCAGGTGAATCACCCTGGTTGCTTTGTTGAGAATAGAATGTAGAGAGGCAAACCTGGAGGCAAGGAGAAGTCGTAGTAGGTATTGTAGCCATCTAGGTTAGAGGTCATGGCGACTTCAGAGCAGTACCTGCAAAAATGGTGAAAAGTGGCATAAGCAATGTCTTAAAATAATGTGGTTTCCTGGGAATGGAATCAGAATTCAATTACTATTAAACTGAAATCTGAGAAATGTAAGCATGTTGTTTCACAAATTGTCTTTTACTACAAAAATAGTTTTTTCACCTTAAAATACTTTGATTAATTTGTATATATGTGAATGATCTCAAATAACAAAAAATGATCAACATTCGCAAAAGTATAAGCATCATATATTTAATATATTTTATTGAATTTAGGCTTGAACATAGTCTGGCCACAATCTTTTCAGAATATGACGAAAAGTGACAAGGGAAAAAGTCTTATCTTGGCCACGGATTTCACAGAACAAAAACTAAAGAGATGTTACTGCTGTTTCTCCTACCAGATTTGAGCAGTGCTTTGACTACATTATTGGAAAAATTCAATCCTGATTAAAACTTTTTTACATATTTTGCAAAATTCTTTAAATGGCTATGTTGACATTTTTCTTGAATTGAGGTCATCTTTTAAAATATATTAGAGATACTGAGTCACCTCTAACAATCAAGAATTAACTTGATGTTTTTCAAACTGAGTGCCATTACATAGGTGACTACCTGTAATAAATGTTAATGCCTCAACTACAGACTTTGCTAAAAAGAAAACCTACAATATTTGGAATGTCTTAAATGAATAATAATTTAATATATTAGCATTAGATCTGCACATTTCTAGCATTCATCTAAAGAAAGCAATAAAAGAAACGTGTAGGAGGATTTTACCTAAATTATAAGAAAGTCTCCCAAACCTACCTATAAAATAGTTGTTTACTTAAAATATCTTTAGAAATAGTGATTGACATTTTCTATACGCTAATGGGTAGATGTTTCTTGTTACTTTCATCTAAAGAGATGTCAGTTTTAAGTTTTATGGAACAATATTTTTAAAATATTAATATTAACTTATAAAATGGCAATTTTAGTAGAAACTAAAGGATTATTGTCTTTAAAAATATTGATAGGAATATGATTGTGTTAAAATATTTTGTGTTCAGAATATGAGTAATACATTTATTAAAAATAAACATTAATCAACTAGAGGCAATTAAATTACTTCCAGAAAAGTTGTTTTTGATAGTGTTTTACTCAACACCATAGAAAAATATTTGGAGAGAAAATAACATTATGTATAACTATAAATTAATGAGGTCTATTTCCTTACCATATGGAATGAGATTTTTTGGTTTTCTATATGCCTAACTTTTTGACTGATGTTAGGTCAGATTTTAAAAAGCACAATTTAAGAGCTCAGGCCTCACAGAGCTTAGAGAAAGAGTCATAGCAGTAATAATATAGTATGAGAGAGTACGTAAATAGGAAAAGATAACTTGTGTTTCTGAAGGAGACTCAAGAAAGCGGAGACTGATGCAGTTTACAAGCTGTGTGAAATTTTTTTTCAAGGAAATAGGACTTGTTCTGCTCTTTAAAAGATGCGGAATATTGAGGTGGCTCTTTTAGTTTTAGGGAGTTACTATGGACAAGTTATAATTATTTAAATGCAACATGCCTGAAATGAAGAGATGTACTCTGTTGGATTCAGGATTGCTCATAGTCCTTTCTGTATTAGTTACTGAGATGCTGGAAGAGGGCGTTGGAGGAAAGACAAACACGGAAGGGCAAGAAAATGCAAGTGATAGGGTCTGATCAAAAGCAATTCTCATTTTCTGGAGAGGAAGGAATAGGAAGGAGTAATGACAATATCATTGTGAATCCTTGTTCTTTTATTTAGATTAATTTCTTTACCAATGCAATTATTTTATTCACAATTTATAGTTTATGTGAATGATATAATCATAAAAATATATAACATTGTTTCTAATTATATGTATTGCCTCTGTATCTACAAAATTTGGTAAAAGCTAATTTTCTCAGAGGACAGAGAGAGAAAAACAGAGAGAAGAAAGAGAACTAAGGGAACATTCTGAAATGACTTTAATAGTTAAACAGCTAGTTTTTTGAGGTTAAAATAATCTTGATAAATAATCATTAATTTTTCTGTCACTCTTTTTAACCCTGAAGAATAGCTTAATTGGTTAATAGCTTAACTCTGCCAAGCCTCTCATCTTAAAAGCAGAAATTTAGTGAAAAGGCAAAGTTTATGAAATACTTATTTTTTTAAAATGTAGGGGGGAAAAATGGCAGGCTGTGGGAGGCTAAGGCGGGACGATTCCTTGAGACCAGGAATTCCAGGCTGTAATTCATGTAGTAAGCCATGATCATAGCCTGCGTGACAGAGTGAGACCCTATCTCTGAAAAAATTTTAAAAAAAGACAAGGTTGGGTGTGATCTGTTGAGTACAAGCCATTGACGCCTTACATTGATTTAGTAAATAAAACTGAACATATCATTCACTGGTAGTAAGAATAGTGTTAATTTCTGCAAAGATGTTTAATACTTAATCTCCAGCAAAAGGGAATGTACAGGAATGATTAATATAAAGATCCTGAGATGGGGAGAATATTCTGGACTATCTGGATAGGACCAATGTAATCACAAAAGTCTTTATGAGAGAAATAGGAAATCAGAAAAGGAGATAACAAAGACAGAGCAGAGGTCTTAGTGATG
Source organism: Homo sapiens (assembly GCF_000001405.40). Taxonomy (NCBI): domain Eukaryota; kingdom Metazoa; phylum Chordata; class Mammalia; order Primates; family Hominidae; genus Homo; species Homo sapiens. The sequence continues at coordinate 23,416,872 of NC_000021.9, forward strand.
CTGTTGCTGCCTAAAAGGGCCATAAAGCGAAGGGGTAGAAGGTGCCACCCCTGAAAAACGTAAGCATATTCTTCATTGAATCTCCAGTGGGAACATGACCCTGCTCACACCTTGATTTTAACCCTGTGAGATGCCTGTTGGACTTCAGGTCTCCAGAACTGTAAGATAATGATTTGTGTTAAGCTACTAAATTTGTGACAAATTTCACAGCAGCAATAGGCAACCAATACAGTGCTAATCAAATACTTAAGTTATATTTTGATATGTTGCATTAGCAGTAGTATTTGAAGGAAATGAAAAATGTGTTTTACTGTAGAATACATCGTAGAGCTCAGAGATGAACTGGAGAAATGCCTATTTTTTTTCTTAAAGGCCTCTAATCAGAGAAAAGATTAAGTAGAAGTAAGATCAGATAGCTAATAAGTTCTAGAATGGTTAAAAAAGACCTCACTCAAACTCTTATATACTCTTAGCTACCACACGTTCTTCATTCTTCTTTAATCTAAACCTCTAAAGTGGGTTCTCCATACTTATGTACATTTGAATATGTTTATTGTTTTTAATTGACAGCCTTGCAGTTTTACCTTTACAACTAGATCTCAATTGAGTTTGCACAAATAACAATCTCCATATTTCTTATTATTTCTTGTAAGATATCCATTTTTACTTTTTTCCCAAATTGAAACCAGGTGAGAAAATATTTTAAAACTTTAATATTTTATGAGAAACATAGAAAGGGTTATTTTTGAGCCTCTCCAGCTGCAATAGGAAGATTTTCCTGTAAGAACTGGAATACTAACATATTCTAAACATTGAAGTAAGTACTTCACTGGCAATGCCAAAGAAGTCAGTTACTGAATGATTTTTAAATGAAACATTTGATGAATTTATTATTGTATTGAACATGACTTCAAAATGTGCTATACTGCCTGAGGGTTTTGTAGATGTTATAATTCACTTTAGTTCTTTGTATTCCTATATTAAGATCACAGACTTAGCAATAAATAAGACTTTATATCAAAACAGCTCCCAATATTATAGTAAGCATGAGTCAAATATAAGAAAATAAACAGAGTGAGAACAGGAAGTATCAACGATGCTTGAATTTGTCATCTGTATTGATTTATGGAGTTACTTGTATAAACGTATCAACAGTTTAGCAAAAACTAAACCAATGCAGGAAGGTAAGAGTGTCAACAGTTTTCTGGCACACTTGAGTCAGGTTTTCACGCACAGCTTTAAATATGATATACAATATTCTGAATATTATATGCAGTGATACTTAAATATGAGAAAAACATCAATTCTCCTTATAAATTATTAAACCACATAGAATTTAGTAAACTTTTCAGATGGTTGGCACAAATATTTTACTTTATCATACAGATTATATAAATATTTTAAAATATTATCTATTTTAAGATTCTGGAATGGAAAAGAGACATTGACTATTGCCTTAAGATGAAGATAATTATCTAATTATGACTTTAATATTCATGTTCATAAAACCAATTACCTTCAATGTATCAACCAAGTATCTGATGGTTATTATAGGTAATGGATCTAATGATTGCTCTTCTGATAATGGCAATATCATAGTATTTTTAATTATCATTTAACATAATAATTACCACAATATTGTGGGCTGAACAATTGATAAATACATAAATTTTTTCATTAATTTATATTTACATTTTTATGCTATTTATCATTCTGAAATACTTTTATTCAGTCTTGAGATTATGTTAGTAAAGAGACATTACAATGAACAAATGAATTTAATATTCTTCCAGGCCAGGTGCGGTGGCTCACACCTGTAATCCCAGCACTTTGGGAGGCCGAGGTGGGCGGATCATGAGGTCAGGAGATCAAGACCATCCTGGCTAGCACAGTGAAACCCTGTCTTTACTAAAAATACAAAAAATTTAGCTGGGTGTGGGGGCGGGCGCCTGTAGTCCCAGCTACTTGGGAGGCTGAGGCAGGAGAATGGCGTGAACCTGGGAGGTGGAGCTTGCAGTGAGCCAAGATCACACCACTGCACTCCAGCCTGGGCGACAGAGCAAGACTCCGTCTCAAAAAAAAAAAGAAAAAAAAATTCTTCCAATACTAGCAATATAACTGGTAATTTATATTGGCTTCTGATTTTCTTAAAAATTCCGAAAGTACCTGGCAATTAAAGAAAATCCTTTGAGCTTGGTTTCACTAGCATTAATTTTCATAGTGAGGCCACAAAGCAAGAATCCCAACACCCAACTTTTTGCTGCTCCTCAGATATTCTGATGACTAGCAGTGAAATTGCCAGGAGGCACTTTATGAGCACATGTCTGATTCACTTTGAATTTATTGTTTCTGTTTTGTTTCCTTTCTTTTTATTTCCTTATGTTTATTGCATTAGTTCTATTTTCCATCATAACCCTCCTAGTTGGGCATGTCAAAAAGATTAAGAAAGACAGTTCATTTGTATCATTTGCTGTTTATATTTCACAGCCACACATTGCATTGAACAACATCCCATAGTTCATTTAAGAAGCCATATGAAATAAACCTGATTAAAGACTCAGAGAAAATGCAAACAGGATTGGGGCAATTTTCATTATTTTACTATAATCTTGTTTGTGATTTGTTTTCACTCTTGTTCACTGTCATGTGTACCAGAGGAAAATTATAAAGGAAACAAATAACTAATTATTAGGCAGGAAAAAAAAAGACAGAAAAAAAATTCAGTCAACTATGCATGTTCTCTTCAAACATATTCTACTTTGCAGCAATCTGATGTTGTCTATTTTATATTTGGTCATACACTCCTTTTGAATTCTGTAGATTACTTATAATAACTGAATTTCCTGGGAGCACTTTAAATAAGACTCTTCAAGTTTGAGCACTTAACCCAGCAGGCTGATTTGACAGAAAGTGCCAATTACAGGTACTAGAGAAACAGATGGGAAGTATTTGCCTCAATAAATAAATAAATAAACACTTTAATAATATGGGTTAAAATAGGGGAAGAGTGATAGCTTTGGAATTAGTTTGAATTGTGTGCACACTTTAAAAAATATTACTGATAATACAATTAGAGCAAAAAAATTAGAGGATGTAGAAAATAAGTTTTTTTTTTTTTTTTTTTTTTTTTTGAGATGGAGTCTCTCTCGCTCTGTTGCCAGGCTGGACTGCAGTGACAAAATCTCGGCTCACTGCAACCTCTGCCTCCTGGGTTCAAGTGATTCTCCTGCCTCAGTCTCCCTAGTAGCTGGGATTACAGGCATGTGCCACCACGCCTAGCTAATTTTTGTATTTTTAGTAGAGATGGGGTTTCACCATGTTGGCCAGACTGGGTCTCTATCTCTTGACCTTGTGATCTGCTGACCTCAGCCTCCCAAAGTGCTGGCATTACAGGTGTAAGCCACCATGCCCAGCCAAAAAGAAGTTTTAACACATATGAAAAATCTACAACAAAAGGAAAAGTCTAAATTAAATAAGGAAATAATAACGATAATATTTTTAAAGCATTTATATATTTTTAAAATTTATATCTTTCATACAAATGCAGTATGATCATCAGTCACCTAATGAGTTTACAGTTACTAATATTGTTCCCATATAAGGTAGAAAAGTGTAGAAAAGTATGTAGAAAATATTTATCGAAAATCTATTCCCAGAGGGAAAATGCAAAAAAAATTACATAAAATAGAAAATATAGGATTATTAATTCATATGAGATAAGATACTTAAGTATAATATATACTTCCTACCACCCTGTTCATGGAATAGTAATACTATGTAATTATGTATATCACAACTTATAATAGTGTAACCTGAATGGTGACTACACACGTCTGTGGATAAAAAACAATTTATGTTACTCTTATATCACAGTCTTCCTTTTATTTTTAGACTGAGTCTTGCTCCTCTGTCACGCAAGCTGGAGTGCAGTGGCACGATCTCGGCTCACTGCAACCACCTCCTCCCGGGTTCAAGCGATTCTCCTGCCTCAGCCTCCCGAGTCGCTGGGATTACAGGCACCCACCCTACGCCTGGCTAATTTTTTTGTATTTTTAGTAGAGACAGGGTTTCACCATGCTAGCCAGGATGGTCTTGATCCCCTGACCTCATGATCCTCCCGCCTCGGCTTCCCAAAGTGCTGGGATTACAGGTGTGAGCCACCATGCCCGGCCAGACAGCCTTACATTTGTTATATTTTACAATGTATGTTTAGAAAACTAATATATTGAGACAATTTGTATTCACAGTAAAATATTTGAAAACTATAAATATTCTTTGTACCAGAGTCTCTGCTATAAGTTCAAATAAATTTAGCCTCTTTTGACAATATTGATGGAGTGTAGTTGGACACAAAATAGTCTAATCTCCATCTGAACCCACTTAATAGAGGAGAAAATGCAATTGTGAGTTATTCCTATTTGAGAAAAAAATACTTTCTAAGAAATGAATCAATTTATAATAACAATATAGATAACAAATAGGTAGCAAAATAGTGATATTTGAATTAAAAAAACAAGGGCTTGTCTAAAATACAAAATATGTTTTATAAAATTAAGATTTTTGTATTCAAGATGATTTAATTACTAATCAGGTTAACAAAACAATTACCTTAAATAGAAGAATTGAAAAGAATGTATTTTAAAGGATTATACAAAGATGTATGAGCAGTGAACAATTTTGTGGAAATAATGAGAGGGGCTAAAGGATGTAAGAAAACAAATAATGAAGTATTAAATAAAAAATACTTTTTGGCTAGGTCCAGTGGCTTATGCCTACAATCCCAGCACTTTGGGAGACGAAGGTGGGAGGATTGCTTAGAGCCCACACGTTTGAGACCAGCCTGAGCAACATAGGGAGACCCCATCTCTGCAAAACATAAAATAATTATGTTTTGGTGTATGGTGGCAGGTGCCTATAGTCACAGCTAGTTGGGAGGCTGAGGCAGGAGGATTGCTTGGGCCCAGGAGGTAGAGTCTACAGTGAGCTGTGAGTATAATTTTAAAGTATGTGATGAATTAGGGAAATATTTTATAAATGTTTATGGACTGCAGTGCCCCTTCGAATGTTGGGACCATTATTGCACTTGCTCATGGGGCTAAAATCAGCAGTCATTCAGAAAACCAAGCAAGCAAACAAACAAACATCGCAGCAATTTAGGTAAAGAATGCAATTTCACCAACCTGATGAAGAGAATTTGTACAAAACTCACCAGCTTAACTCCCAGCTGTCAATCAATACCAATCTGCCAATGTGTGGGTGAACGGTTTTGTAAATGGTCCTCTGCTGCCCAGCTCACGTTTCATGGAACAGACAGATTATCTTCTTTGCGCTCTTCCTAAATTCAAATTCATGGACTAAAATATGTGTATATTTTCTGTTGTTTAAATAGGCTAAGTTTTAAGGAGGCTTACTACTGCAGTACTGCTTTTGTAAGAGAGTGCCAAGCAGCTGGGGAAACATGATACAAGAGACATTGGTTTTGGAAAAAAGAAAAAGGCAGAAGCTGGAAGACCCTTGGGGTTAGTATTAAAAGAAGCCTAAAAGGCTTGAGAAAATTATCAGTAATGGCTTAACAGAAAGTAAAAAAAGAAAATGGAATCTGGAGGAAAGGAAACACTTTGTAGGTAGTAGCTATAAATAGAAAATAGAAATGTACAAAATAAATGTGGTGATCTAGCTAAGAGGATTTTCAGGAAGATTACTGAAAATAATACCTAATGTTTGACTGACTGTAAAAAAAAAATGTGACAGGAGAAAGATCAACTAAGAAAAGTTAAAACTAATGGAGCCAGGATTTGTTGTATTAAAAAAATAAAAACACTTTCTCATTTCAAGTCTCTCCAGAGGGAAAATTATACTTAAATTAAGAACAGCTCTCAGGCTTAAGATCAAATCCATAGGAGGTTTAAAAGAGTATTTACGAATGCATCATAGCAAGCCACCTCATAAAAACCTGCAGACCAGAAAAAAACAAACCAAAGATCCTCTAAGTATCTTATAGATGTATCTTGTAGGTTCACTTTCTTAAAACAGTAAGTCTCAGAATCCTAACAGTTACTGGTTGCAGGGAGTTCGTACAATCTTGAAGGCATGTGTGGGTTTTGCTTTTATTAAATCGAGTGAATGATAAATGGATATACATAAAGGTCAGAAATATTGTAAGGCATTGTTTCAGCTTGGACAAAAGGAACAGAGACATTACCACTTGTAAAGAGGATATTGACATAAAATTATTAATATAACGAATTTAGATGAGAGATGTTAAGAGGTGTTATTGTTAGAGTAGGAAGATAGGCAGATGTGAGCAGGGCAGCAGAGCTCCCCCAACCCCTCTCCCCCACCATAAATGTCAGGCAACCATCAGGTGATGGTCAGGCGGTTGTTAAACTGTCTCTCTAAATAATAATGGGTCACAGCCAGCGCCAGGGAATGGCAGTCTCCCAGTAGTTAGAAAATACTGGAAGCTGGTGATCAGCACCTTCCCAATAAGAACTCAGGAGCTGGACACGTGGGCTCAAGCATGCGCACTAAGGGGCAAAATGCTGGCGTTTAACTGGTTATATGACCTTCCTCTGGGAACACTTGACTGGGTAAGTGAAAATGCCTCAAATGAGCACGTGCATAACTTGAGTAAACACACTGTGTGTGTGCCCCTTTGCAAGTTGCCAGCAGGCCACTGCACATGTGAACCCTAGGAAAATTCGAGGGAGGAGAGAGGTAATCCCCCGCCCCAAAACGTGCCAACATATAAAACCTGAAGTCAACGGTTGAACAGCGGATTTGGAGCTCTCAAGTTGCCCTTTTGTCCCTCTTCCAAGTGTAATTCATTTTGTTTATGTCCAAATACGTTTTAATAAATTCTCCTGCTAAAAAACATGTCTCCGGCCGAGCGCGGTGGCTCTCGCGTGTAATCCCAGCACTTGCGGAGGCTGAGGCAGAAGGATCATGAGGTCAGGAGTTGGAGATCAGCCTGGCCAACATGGTAAAACCCTGTCTCTACTAAAAATACAGAAATTAGGCCGGGCGCGGTGGCTCACTCCTGTAACCCCAGCACTTCGGGAGGCAGAGACGGGCGGATCAGGAGGTCAGGAGATTGAGACTATCCTGGCTAACACGGTGAAACCCCATCTCTACTAAAAATACAAAAAGTTAGCCGGGCGTGGTGGCAGGTACCTGTAGTCCCAGCTACTCAGGAGGTTGAGGCAGGAGAATGGCGTGAACCCGGGAGGCGGAGCTTGCAGTGAGTCGAGATCGCGCCCCTGCACTCAGGCCTGGGCAACAGAGCGAGACTCCATCTCAATAATAATAATAATAATAATAATAATAATAATAATAATACAGAAATTAGCCGGGTATGGTGGTGGGCGCCTGTAATCCCAGCTACTCAGGAGGCTGAGACAGGAGAATTGCTTGAACCCAGGAGGCAGAGGTTGCAGTAAGCCAAGATTGCGCCACTTCACCCCAGTCTTGGTGACAGAGCAAGAGTCTGTCGGGGGCGGGGGGAGGGTATCCATGCCTTGGCTGGGCGCGATGGCTCACGCCTGTAATCTCAGTCAGCACTTTGACAGGCTGAGGCAGGTGGATCACCTGAAGTAAGACCAGCCTGGGCAACATGGTGAAACCCCGTCTCTACTAAAAATACAAGAATTAGCAAGTCATGGTGGCAGGCACCTGTAATCCCAGCTACTCAGGACGCTGAGGCAGGAGACTCACTTGAGCTTGGGAGGCGGAGGTTGCATTGAGCTGAGATCACCTTACAATATTTCTGACCTTTATGTATGTCAATTTATCATTCACTCTATTTAATAAAAGCAAAACCCACACATGCCTTCAAGATAGTATGGATTCCCTGCAACAATGACAGGATTCTGAGACTTACTCTTCAACAAAGTGAACCTACAAGATACACACATAAGATACTTACAGGATCTTTGGTTTGTTTTTTCCGGTCTGCAGGTTTTTATGAGGTGGCTTGCTGTGATGTATTCATAAATATTCTTTTAAACCTCCTATGGATTTGATCTTAAGCCTAAGACCTGTTCTTAATTCAAGTATAATTCAATTTCAAAAAGAGTCAACAAAGATTCTTGGGAAGTTTTTCATTAAAACACCTTGAACCCACCTGCTTTTGCCATTCTCTGGCTCATAGAATGCTCACAAAATATGGCTGTGCCAGGTGTGATCTGCTCCAGCCGGAATCTCAGTTTTTGTTTTGTGCAAGGGGATTTATGCTTTGGTCGCTTTGTTCATTGTTTCATGTATATTGTAAAGTCTAGGAGGAAAATCTCTACCTTCACCAATAACACCCTCATGACGCTTCCCTTTGCTGGACTTGAATGTCTTTGTAACTCTCCTTCATGAAATCATTCCTAAACTTTTTTAAAAAAATTTCTCCATTAGCTTGGGGAAGGGAGAAAAAGGAAATCTCAAAACATTCTTCCCCTAAGCTTATCAATTACCTTCTTCAAATTCAACCAATTCTATTCTCCAGGGAATTTCTGCCAATGTCTCATCTTCCTCTGACATAGGCTCTTGAGGTCATTTTGAATATCAATTAACTTACTTTTAGCAAATTCTGTCTAGAGGGTCTAGAAGACTTCTGTACAATAGAACTTAGTGAAAGTTACATGTGTAATTTTAAAATTGTTAGTCACATGAAAAACTGAAAGAGAATTAAGTGAAATTAATTTTAGAAATTTGTTTTATTTAATTCATAATACCTAAAGTATTGTATTCCCACGTTCAATCAATATGAAACATTATTGATGATATACTTTACATTCTCTTGTGTTTAATTTACACTTACAGTGTGTAACTTACTAGTCTTTAGTTAGACTAGTCACATTTCAAGGGCTCTATAGCTACAAGTGACTAGTGGCTACCATATTTAACGGGAGGTTTACAAAGACTTCCTCAGGTTATGGGTTGGTGGTGGTGGGGGCTTATTTCTTATACTCTCAGGTTTCAGATAACTACCATTCAAAATCCTGATGAACATGTAATGCATAATTGAAGGTACGACTCAGTCATCATTTCCACTTATTTCAAACTTCATCAACAAAAGAAACAATATTAATGCTGCCTTAAGTATACAGAGTGGATCAGATCAATCCCTATATTAACTGACCCTCCATTTGATCCCTTGAAAATGTGAAAATAAATCAGGAGCAAAATGTCCTTACTTCATGCCAAGAAGGTTACAAGTAAATAGATCCCAGCATATTTTGTATCATTTAATTATAGCAATTGATGCCTTCCTGAAGTATATCATGTTATCTGTCAATGTATTCATGAAGCACTCCCATCTCATTTACAAACCATCCCTTGCCCAGATGGCTAAGCACATCTAATTATCTTGAATAATAATTTTAGATGTCAGAGTTTTCTGACCTTTATAAAAATTAAGTATACTCATCTTGGTTCTCCCTACTGAAAATACTCTGAATATATAGTTATATATAGGCTTAAGATAATAAGTTTATTATAATTACATATTTGCTCAGTGTAAGAGGACTATTTAAGTTATATTATTTTACCCAAATCATTTTGTTAAAAAAAACCTGGGGTACATGAAGTCTATTAGTCAACTGTAAACTGTAAATAACCTGAAATATTAATGCTTTGATCATTTTTAATTTTGATGCAAAACACTATATGTCATTTTATATGTATTTGTAGTTTTCTTGTGTTCATAATTTTCTCATATTTTAAGAATATTTGTGTTTCTATTTCAGTTTTCAAACAATCATTACTCATATTTGTTGTTACAAATATTTACAATCCTTAAGTGTCTACTAAAATCACTAAATGTTTACTTTGTACATGTGAAACTTGTAAAGTGCTGCAACTAGTTATGTATCAACTGGGGACTTGATTGTTATGTGATGAAAATTTTAAAAATAGATTACACAGAAATTTCTTATTTTTTAAAGATTTTCTTCAATCAGTCAATTATCTATCATCAATCCCTTCTAATTATATATATAGCTGAATGTCTATATACACATATATAGCTGATTGTATATATACGCACATGTATATATACAAGTGCGTATATATACACACATATACACATATAACACATATATAATGCTTTGATCACTCTATAGCTCAACCATAATAAAATTATATTTAAGAAATGTGCTAATTCATTCATCAATATTCAATATCACGTATGTGTGTATGTATACATTGCATATATAATACATATACACATATATGGGTATATATACATTCAACTATACATAGAGCCAGAGTAAGTGAGAGAAGTATGTGAAAACATATTCATCAGTTTTTGGGGGGCAAGATGATAATATTGATTAAGTGACTTTTTTGTTCATTTATATTTTACTTTTCTTAAAAAAATCAAGAAAATCATATAAACTATCTCAAATAATATTCTTTTATGATATAGTATCAGATGAGTTAACATATTCCCTATAGTTATACATTTATCTTATTCAAATTAATTTTTTATTAAATATACAAACCTGAAGACATAATTGATGACAAATATTATTTGCTTATTTCCTTATGGATGTTTGGATATCTGCATTCTGTTTGTGACACAATGCATTTTACTTGGTTCCTTGATGTCAACCAATTCAAAAATTGAACTAACATCCAGAAAAGGTAGATTTTTGATTAATCTACTTAATTGATAAATTACATTAAAAGCAATATTAACAAAAAATAAGGCCAATTTGTTTGAAGACAGTTGTAATGAATACATAGGAGTGGAAGGTAAATAAACTTCAGATTTACAATCAGGAATTCTAGATGACCATAAGCTGCTTACTGGACACAGGTGGCTGTTTTCTCAGGAGAGCATTTCATAATAGGTTTTAAATGAGGAAATGGGAATCATTAGTTTTAGATACTTTTGAAATCTCACAAGTGTGAAAACCTTCATACATCATAACTGAAATAATGAGAAGTGATTAATAAATGTCATTGACTTAAATGAGTTGCCAGATGCATCTGATTCTCAAGTGAGCAGGAAAAATAAAATGCAAAAAAGCCTCATAAAATGTGTCATAACAGTTTGTGATAATTTATGTTAAACCACAGAGATGATTCCCATTTCCAAACATAATGTAATTTTAGAAACCAAAGTTATTTATTTGTAGAATATAATCAAATTATATGTTTTAACATTTGAAAAATTGTATTTTTCTTCTGCCCCAAAGTAAAATTAGAAAAAAAGACGACAAAAATATGGATAACATGTAAAAATCTCTCATTTGAGTTAACAAGGAATAGAATGGATTATATATGTACGCCATTTAAAATAAGTAGACTAAAAAATAATACATTACGAGAAGTTCATCTGTTCGGTGAGGATGTTTTTAAAATATTAATTTATCCAGCTACTCGGGAGGCTGACGCAGGAGAATGGCGTGAACCCGGGAGGCGAATCTTGCAGTGAGCCAACATTGTGACACTGCACTCCAGCCTGGGCAACAGAGCGAGACTCTGTCTCAGAAAAAAAAAAAAAAAAAAACAAAAAAAAACCCACAAGTAATTTATTAGATTTTATTTTAAAAACTAAGAAGCAACTTAGTTAATAAGCTATGCCATGATACATGTCATTGGACAGTCATTTAGCAAAGTTAAATTTTAGAAAATCGTGTTAAAAGAGCAAATTTTTCTTTTTCTATGAGAAACTTAATTTCTGGCAATAATTCAATATTTTAATCATTTCTTATGAATCTTTTTTAAATCTATAGAAATTATATAGCCCATCCATAACAAAATTATATTTAATAAATTATATAGCCCATCCATAATAAAATTATATTTAAGAAATGTGCAAATTCATTCATTTTGCAAATCAGATAAATTTTAGCCTCATGCCAAATAAATATTGAGTTTATGTTCTTTAATATAAAGAAGGTTGTAGCATTTAAAATATCACCAAAGATATACATATTATATATATTATATAATATATAATATAATATATAATATATATAACATATAATTATATATTATATATTATATGTATAATATAATATATAATTATATGTTATAATATATTATTATATATTTATATAAATATATATAAATATATAATATATAATAATATAATATAATATATATATAATATAATATAATATAATATATAATATATATTACATAATATATTATATAAAGATATATAATATATTATATAAAATATATAATATAAAATATAAACATTGAGTCCATGTTCTTTAATATAAAAAAGGTTGTAGCATTTAAAATATAATCAAAGATTTTATTTTATTTTTTATTGTTGGTGCTAATGGAGGTTTTCTAATTATATCTGTCTTCCACTCCTAAAGATTCTGATTTATAGGTCTAGGGGAGTGATCTGGGCATTAGAATATTTTATATGCTCTATGGCTTATTTAAAGTGCAATGAGTTTGAGATGCACTCTGTTACTTGGTATTAATCAATATCTCCTTGCTTAAAAATAACCTCCTTTTATTCATTCATCATATGTGCATGTATGTATTTCTGCATATCTTTAGAATGCATTAAGTACAAGGCGCTGTGTACTGTGAATAGCATAAAGTGAAATAAAATACCTTCTTCTTCAATAATAGTTTTAAAACTAGCAGGAATTATAAAATTATTTGGTAATTTTATCTACTCTAAGTGTTAAAAATGAATAACTCTGAAATCTATTTTTTCACAACAAAACTGGCTTTTAAAATTTTATTTACTGATTAATTCATGAGTATGTAACTGAAATATTCTACCAGCGCCCTGAACTCAAAATGCCTTAAGCAAAACTGATGATCCTCTTTCCTAAATTACTTATTCCTTCTGATTTCTCTATCTCTTTCAAAGGAGTGAATAAACTCTTCTTTTATTTCTTCCTTTGGGCTGGCTGGAATATCATGATAGCTGAAGCTAGAGGAGCTGCTTTGAATGAACTGGTGTTTAACAGAAACAATGCACCAAGAAGAAGCTGTATTCTCTATACTTTTCAGCAACATGCCACCTAGTTTCTCATTTTTAAAGTAAATCATCTAAAAATCCCATTTAACCAAAATTATTTGTTTTTTGTTGTCCGATTATTTAAGCATAATCAGAACCAGTATTTATTGAGTGCTTTTTGTATTTTTGGCACAATTCTTTACCTACAATTAATCTTCTTAATTTGCCTACCAGCATACTATGTGCCAAGCAAAAATTCCATGCAAATTTCTATAACCATGAACCTTAGATTTTAGTTGAAAAAGATAGAAAATAAATAATAAACTTATGTCAGATAATGAAACATAGAATATAATTTTTATTTGTATGACCTTATGATAGATTATATATGTGCATTTATATATAAGTATATATTTATATATATACTTATATATAAATGCATGTATATAATTGCATATGGTAGAATTATATATATTTTCAAGCAATTCTATACTTTTACTGTTTAAATAAACTTAATTTGATGCTGTAGAAAGAAATGTGGGTTAAACCTCAATTGTCAAGTTAAACCTCAATTGTAAGGTGGATGCAAAGGTGGATTTGCTGAAACTTATTTGCATATGGAGTACTATGACCGAAATGTGTCCCCCAAGAAGCAAGTGTTGGAAACTTAATCCCCAATGCAATGCTATCTGGAATTTGGCCTAATGAAATATGTCTAGGTCATAAGAGCTCCACCTTCATAAATGGATTAGTACTACTTTTAAAAGGGTTTAAGTCTTTGAGTTTAATCACTTTCTCTCATGTGTTCCTTCTGTCTTGTCCTTCTTCTTTCTACCACGAGATGATGCAGCAAAGAAGGCCCTCACCAAGTGTGGGCCTCTTGACCTATTACTCCCGACCTCCAGAACTGTAAGAAGTAAATCCCTGGTTTTACTTCTTTTGTGTGTGTGTGTGTGTGTGTGTGTGTGTGTGTGTGTGTGTGTGTGTTTGTTTGTTTGTTTAAGACAGGGTCTCACTTTGTCGCCCAGACTGGAGTGCAGTGGCACAAACAAGGCCCACTACAGCCTCCACCTTCTGGGCTCAAGCGATCCTCCCACCTTAGCCCCCCAGGTATTTAGGACTACAGGCATGTACACCACACTTTGCTAATTTTTGTATTTTTTGTAAAAACTGTTTCACCATGTTGCCCAGACTAGCCTTGAACTCGTGAGCTCAAGCCAGCCTCCAGCCTCTGCATCCCAAAGTGTTGGGATTACAGGTGTGAGCTACTGCACCCTTACGTTTGTTTGTTTGTTTAATAAATTAACCAGTCTCAGGTATACTATCACAGCACAAAATGGGCCGAGACAGAAAATTGGTACTGAACAATGAGGCTGTTGGTATAACAAATACCTAGATACGCGGAAGTGGTATTGGAACTTCTAGCCTCTAATGAATAGAGGCTAGAAGAATTTAGAGGAGCAGGCTAGAAAAAGCCTAGACTGCCACAAATGAAGCAGTAAGGGTGATTCTGGTGAGAGCTCAGGAGAAGAGAAAAAATGTAAGAAAATTCTGGAATTTCTTAGATATTAAGTAGTAATGATCAGAATGCTGGTAGAAATACAGATAGGAAAGGACATTCTAAAGATGTTTCAGTTAGAACCAAGGAACAAGGTATTGGAAACTGGAATAAAAGCCATCATTATATAGTTGCAAGGAACTTGGTGAGATTGTGTCCCTGCCCTAGGGTGTTATGGAAGGCAGAACTTAAGAGTGATGTACAAGGATATTTGGTAGAAGAAATATCTACAGAGCCAAGCACCCAAGGTGCTGCCTGGCCTGTTTTGTCCACTTGAAGTAAAATGAGAGAAGAAAGACATGATTTAAAGATGGAATTGATAATTGAAAGAAAATTAGAAAGAAATAATTTTGGAAATGTTTAGCATTGCCATGTCAAGAATGAAAAGGCATATTTTGGATAACAAACTTTATGTATGGCCAAGCAATCCTTTGCCAAAGTGCCACAGATCGAAGAGATCCAGATAATATTCATCAAAACAATGAGGGAAAAATCTCAAAGGCATTTCAGAAATCTTCAAGGCCTCTCATCACAGGCCCAAAGCGTGACCTTGAGGTCAGGGTTTCCAGAGAGGTGCCCATGGGACCTCAGCATTTGCTGCCCTGCACCACCTCCAGTGTCTGCTCCCTGCATATTGGCACAATGCTCCTCAGTTGCCATTGCCACAGCTCACGTGGGCCCAGGTGCAGCTTGGGCAGGCACTCCAGAGGGTGCAGGCAAGGAGCCTTGACAGCATCAGAGTGTTGCTAATTCTGCAGGCACACAGAGTTTGGGAGCTGTGGGGCTTTGACAGTCTTCACTTACATTTCTTGCTTTCTTTTTGTTAAGGCTACTCAAGTGAAGCAGTAGAAGTGGACAAGGAACAAAAAAATCTGTAAGTTGGTGTGGTCAATTAGTTGTAAATAACCCTGTACTCAGACCAGCTGTCTCCGTCTAAATTTTAACATATGTTGCAGACAGCCTGGTGGCATAGGCAGAAACTTGCCACAGGAGCAGAGCTGCTACAGAGAGTAGTGCCTAGTGGATCCATGGGAACCAGGCCAACATAGTCTCCAGTAGTCTCCTCCAGCTCCTAATGGGGCTGTGGGAGTGGGACCAGCACTAAGACCCCAGAACTGTAGAGCTACAAGCATGCAATGATAGCCAGAGAGAGCCGCTGGCAGGAGATTCCAACTCAGAGAGAGCTGTGGCATGGGCTGAGCCATAAGGGTAAGCCTGCTTGAGGCTTTGGGGGCCAAACTCTCTTGAGTCTACCCAGAATGTGGGATATGTAGTCAAGGAAAATTATTCTGAAGACTTATGATTCAATCCTGTTTGGCTTATTGGATTTGGGACTTGCTTAGGACTTATTACCTCTTTCTTCTTGCTAATTTTCCCCTTTTGAAATGGGAATGTGTTTTGCTATTGTATTTTTGAAAGACAACTTGTTTTAATTTTACAGACTCACAGCTGGAGAAAATTTGTGTCAAGATGAATCATGTTTTGAATCTTCTCTCATGTCAGATTTAGATAACTGTTTGGACTATGGACCTCTTAGTTGATGCTGGAAAGTGTTAAGATTTTGGGGACTATTAAGGTGAAATAAATGTATTTTGCATGTGAGAAAGACATTAATTTTGGGGGCTGTGGTGGAGAGCTATGGCTTGAATGTGTCCCCTAAGAAGCATGTGTTGGAAACTTAATCCCCAGTGCAACAGTGTTGGAAAGTTGGGCGTAAGAAAAGATGTTTATGTCATAAGGGCTCCACCCACATGAATGCATTATTACTGATTGTTAAAAGGCTTGAGGCTGCAAGTTTGATCTCTCTCATACACAAGCATATGTGGTTTCTTGCTCTTCTGTCTTTCACCATGGGATGGCTCAGTGAGAAGACTCTAACCAGATGTAGGCCCCCTTGACTTTGAACTTCTCAGCCTCTCGAGCTGTAAGAAATAAATCACTGCTTTTTAAATAAATTATCCAGTTTCAGATATTCTTTTGTAGCAGCAAAAAATGGACTATGACATGGAGCTTTAAGAGACATCTGATAAAAATAAAATTTAAGTGAAAACGTGGGCAGATAGGATGAGAACCTGTCCCATGAAAAAACCCTGTGTAGTCACTAGGTGAGAGAAGAAATTCAGAACACCATGTCTTCACTCTATATGTGTACATCCTAGAGATGAAGAATTATAGATTAAAAAACCAAAATTACTATTTAATTATTTTGTATAACAAAATGAGACACTACCATCACTTTTTGAGACACTTATATCTATGTCAACCAAAAAGCAAATCCCAATTTTTCCTCCCCATACAACAGACCATCACATAAACTCCGCCCTGTGAGGGCCCAGGCCATCTAATTACAGCATTGCAGCTATCACAACTAAGCCAAGTATCTCAGGAGAAAAAAAGCTACCTGTTTCTAGCCACACAATTAAGCCATGTAAACACATGTCATACTTTGTGTCAAAGCAGTGATAGTATCAGTTACTTAGAGATGAATAACTGGTGCTTGGGACTGGAGCAGCCTTGAGACAAGAATATCACTCATCAGTCCCAAAGAAATGGCAGAGGAGGAACCATGGCTGGAAAAGCAGACGCTATAGTGGAAGACAACCTTTTAGGCTTCCTCAAAAGCCTGGAGTTGGGGTATCTTGCTGGTAATTGAAATTCCTATGTAAAATGTTGGAATAAAGAATAAAGTTAATTTGGGTGTGTTCTATTTTTTCCACATAAACTTGCAAGTTAGACCCACAGTTTTTGCTTATGTATCAATGTTATAATATGCTACTTTAACACTAGTGCTAGTTTATTAATCCTATGAGTTCAACTGTGTAATTTTCATTTTTTTGCTGTGTTTTGTAGGATTTTATGTAGTTTAATGTTTTCCTCCATATCTGAAATAAAATTTAAAAAAGTGTGCTTGATAGTTTAGAGTGCTTTCTTTAAATTTTTCTCTTAATTGCTGTTCATATTTCTTCTTTGATAGATATGCTTATGTTTCGTCTAAAAGTTTTATATTTTAGCACATTTGAAGATTGGCTTGGCTCTTCTTGGTCTTTAGATATCCATATAAATTTTTTAATGAATTCATCAGTTTCTTCAAATAAGCAAACCAGGATTTTAATAGGAATTATATTGAATCTGTGAATCAATTTGGAAAGTATTGCCATTTTAGCAATATTAGATTTCCAATCCATAAACATTGAATGTCACTTCACTTATTCAGGTCCTTAATTTCTTTCAAATATGCTTTGGAATTTCCAGTGTACATGTTTATCCTAAGTATTTCTTCTTTTTAATTATATTGTAAACACGTTTTTTAAAACTTTACTTTTGGATTTTTCATTGATAGTTTACACAAGTTATTTTTGAATATTGATCTTGTTTCTGGCATGCTTGCTAAACTTCTTTAATAGTTTTAATTTATTTTTTGCCTATACATGTAAATCCCCTGAGATTTTCTTTTTTTTTTTTTTTTTGAGATGGAGTCTCACTCTGTTGCCCAGGCTGGAGTGCAGTGGCACCATCTCGGCTCACTACAAGCTCGGCCTCCTGGGTTCACGCCATTCTCCTGCCTCAGCCTCCCAAGTAGCTGGGACTACAGGTGCCCACCACCACGCCCGGCTAATTTCTTTTTGTATTTTTAGTAGAGATGGGGTTTCACCGTGTTAGCCAGGATGGCTACGATCTCCTGACCTTGTGATCCGCCCACCTTGGCCTCCCAAAGTGCTGGGTTTACAGGCGTCAGCCACCGCGCCCGGCCGAGATTTTCTATAAACAAGACAATGTCATTTGTGGAAAGAGCTTTCCTTCTTTCTTTGTTATCTTGATGTCCTTCATTTCATTTTCTTACCTAATTGCCCTGAGTAAAACATTCATTAAAATGTTGAAGACAAGTGGCAAGCGTGGACAGCACTTTCTTGTTCCTAAACTTAGGGGAAAACATTTCAGTCTTTCACCCTAAAGAGTGATGTTATCTGTGGGTTTTGGTAATTGACCTCTCTCTCAGTTATGTTTTGTGCTCTACTTCAGGTGGAACTTGTCCCACTTCATTGTTGGGGTTCCATGTCTAGTATGCTTTGGCTCTGTGTCCCCACTCAAATCTCACCTTGAATTGTAATAATCCCCATGCATCATGGGAAGAATCAAATGGGAGTTAATTGAATCATCGCCGCAGGTTTGCCCCGTGCTGTTCTGGTGATAGTGAATAAGTCTCATGAGATCTGATGGTTTTATAAAGGGGAGTTCCCCTGCACACACTCTCTCTTGCCATATAAGATGTCCCTTTGCTCTTCCCTCTTCTTCCACCATGATTGGGAGGCCTTCCTAGCCATGTAGAACTGTGAGTCAATTAAACCTCTTTCCTTCATAAATTACCCACACTTGGGCATGTCTTTATTAAGCAGTGTGAGAACAGACTAGTACAATGTCCTTGATTGTCCTGTTGATATCACATGAAACCTTCATACATGTGATTCATATCAGTTTATATTTCTTCCTGTTCTACTCCACAATTTCCCATTTATCCACAGCCACTCTTCAACACATCTGCACACCTCTTTCAGGGACAGGAAAATTTTATCTGCTTTCTGCCACCATTTGCAGGCTGGAAGTAAGTGTAGGTTGTGGCAGTTGGATGTAGGAGCACCCTTATATGAGGACAGATTAATAAATATTTTCTTTTGGTAGTAATATTTTGTTTTATTGTCTCATGATTGAATCTACCATGCTGCCATGTTTACTTTGGTATGGCATGTTTTACCCTTGAGACATATATTCTCAGGAACTGGCTGTATCCACTGCTATATGCTGAAAGGATGGCACAAAATGTTTACTTGAACATCATATTTCTCAAAGGGGATTAATTTAACTCTCTTACCCAAGAGTCTGCACACAAAGGAAAAGGGAGGGCCCAGGGCAACACACACTGTTCAGCCCTCTTCATTTTTACCAGTTTAAATAGCATCATTTAAATCTGGAGATGAGGTTAGGAGAAGATGAAAACAAGTACCTAAGCTGTAACTTCCTGCACACACATGCACACACACACACACACACACACACACACTACATATATATATATATATATATATATATATATATGTATTTGAATTAGCTTTTAAATTCATTTTATATTTCAATGGATTTAAAAGCTAAGAACTTACCGTGTATTTTCCTCTCTTCTTTGGTGTCATTCTAACGCCTTCCCTGGGAGGTAGTTATCTGCCTTAATGATGGAATACAGGAAGATGGGGTAGAAACAATATCAATAACACTTCATCTCTCTCTCTCTCTCTCTCTCTCTCTCTCTCCGTCTCTCCTCTCTCTCTCTCTGTCTCTCTCTCTCTCACACACACACGCACACACACATCTCCATTCACACTTACTTTCATAAATATTTTAAAGTCAATCTTGTCTCTGGTCCTGGAATATGAGACAAACACTAAATTTTCCTTTAGTTGTGATTGAAATCTAAGTTTACAGTTACTTTTGAATAATTTGTTTATATTATTTACCCTGAAACTTAAGTTAGCTTTATATAAGATAAAGAAGTCTCCAGAAATACCACCACTACATTTGGGCATTTATGCCTAGAACCAACTATGAAGCAAAATAATTTCTATGCTATCTGACTCACTCTGAGGTTTACGGAATTTTTTTCTTCTACTTATTTTTATCTATATTATCAACTCACACCTCAAATGATGTGAAGGCACCCTATTTGAGAATGAAATTTCTTGAAGACAATTTTCCCACAGGATATTTCAACATGGAATCGTCTGAGCAACTATATGAATATAACTATTACTTTGAGTGATGAAATGCCTGATAGGAGCAAAAAGTATCACAAAAATATAACCAGCAGAGAGAGAGAGAGAGGGAGAAAACAACCCTGTCAAACACAAACGCAAACACACATCCAAACAGTAAATCCAGATTTTGTTGAATGTAATTGTGGCCTCAATTGAAGTTGAACTCAGAATCCCTCACAACCCGTGAAGACGGAAGGTTGCCTTTATGAAGTATTTGTAAATACTTGGTAAAGCTAAAATTCATGTGAGTATTTTCTCAAAAGATGGAATTTCATCTAATAGCTATATATTTTGGAAGACAAAAATACTAGTATCAGGATTGTCATTTTTATGTTGCCTTGTCATAAACCATAAGGGAAATTCTCTTGCTTACTAGTGATTAAAATAAAAGTCCTTTAAGACTGCAAATGTCTCTAGTAGAATACATCTGTACTTTGAGGAAAAAAGAAGTATATTTACATTGTACAATTTTTTTTTTTTTACAGTGGAAGTATATTCTTTTTCCAAAGCATGTTATTTCAAGCCTGGGACTGGAGAAAGTGTAACTAGATTAACATTATTAGTTTTTATATTAAATTTTTAAAAATTAAACCTGTGTTTAATCCTTCTAACTTTATTTTTAATCAACCTATCCAAAAGATCTGGTTGAACATATGTTATGATTTGCTCATTTTTGTTCTACAGTCTTTATTCCTTATAGTTCTTTCTGTAATTTCTGAAGTGAACCTCCTTTCCCACTGGTCTTGCTGTCGGAATCCAACATCATGATAATTACAGAATGAGTATTCAATGCATATTTATTGGTGACAAAATTCAATGAGATAACATTGCCACAATTTGTAGATAACTGTTTTCCTACCGCATTATTATGGTATTAATTTGGTAGATTTTACTGTGATTCTGACTTTAAATATAACTCAAATTAATAAATAACATTTTATTTCCACTATTACTAGGCATTAACAATTTTTTACAGATTTTATTTACAACATCATCATTGCTCTGTTTATATTTTTTTGAGGAAGAAACCACATTTATAAGTGCTTTGCAGCTAAAAACTATTAGAATCTATAAAAATTACCACACCACAAGATTAGATTAGCTAGAAAAAGGCAATCTGGCACTGGAATGAGGCATAATCACATAACTATATTTCACAAAGAAGATGTCTGCTAGGGTGTTGCCTGGGGCTTCCTTAGCATTTTCTTTGATTCAAGAACAGCTTTTTTTTTCCCTCTAGAAAGCAAAAACAGACATTTCATCATAGGGCTATGGGATATTGGTTGCAATTTCCCTTTCCTAGAATTTCATTGTTGATGTTTCCGTATTCACCCTTTCAGTCACATACATGTGGATTTGGATGTGTACAATATGAATACAATTACATTAAATTAAATACATAACACACACATACATGCATGCACACACACATCCACATATACACACACAGGGGCATATACCTTTATGTGAGATGCTTTCCAAAGACTAGCAGAACCTGTTTTTTTTTTTAATTATTCAGTCATGTTTCATTTTACTTTTCTGTCATGAAGAAATCTGATTAACCTTGACACTGACCCTTCACATAATGAAGTTCAAGTTTTTGAACTTCAACTATAAAAACATATTTTAAGAATGAATAGCAGTGCTGAGACACTCATATCTTCCCAGTGGCTCTTCCTGGCTTTATTATGTGATAATTATCTGTTTCTTAGATAAACCTCACTTTCTTTAGACAGGCTAAAGGATCATTTTTATTCTCTACACTTTTCTATCATGGTAGGAATAGGCTGAATAAGTGAATAAATGAACTAATGAATAAAAAAATGTGCATTAAGATCTCTGGGTTCAGAAAATGAGTCAAGCTCAATTAGGACCAGCAAAAATGTTTTAGTTAATCAAAATAAAATTAGAGCAAAAAAGTATCCAATTCAGAGAGTTTTTTATGTGTTCTTTACATTTGTTTGCTTTTTTTTTTTTTTTGCCTGCGTATATATGTGTTTGCTGTGTATATATGTGTTTGCTGTGTATATATATGTTTTGTGTGTTTTTAATCATTGTAGAGCACACAGTGGTGGTATTCACTGACATGCGAGTCACAAGAAAGGTGAATAAAATGAATGATGAATATAATTAAGTTGTTATTCTAATGAAGAAACATCAACATTATTTATTTCAAAGTAAAATAAACACGTTTTTAAAGAGCATACACAAATACAATAATATTATTTTTGTATCAACAATTTGTTTTTCAAACAGTGCATTTTTCCTGGTCATATCATAACTAATGTGGACCTAATCACAGACGTATTTGAGAAAGGGTAGAAATTAAAATAAGACAATTTCCAAAAAAAAAAAAACCAGTAAACCTCAATGATTCCTTTGTGTGTTTTCTTGTATCTGGTCCAATCAAATATCGTGTTGTTTTTCTGTTTTTCAGTCTGATTATACAGCTAACGCCCTGCCGGTAAATAAATAAATACAAGTACTCAGTATGCATATTTATGAGCAGATATCAAAAGTATTTGCATTTTGTTTTTATAAATCTGATTCAGAAAAATATAAATTGCTAAAATAAAAAGGGTCTAGATATAGCTCTTCATTTGAAAGAAAGTATTACAAGTTTTGTTTTATAGTATTTTTCTGTTTAAAAAATATTATAAAAAATAAATTCCAAAAAAACCCATTATTTTATTTCATAAGAAAAGGGTAACTGCATCGTTTTTACTAATGTTCATAAATGAGATTTTAAAACCAACAAATTATCCTTCATGTAAAATATTTTCATATAAATAAAAGCTTTTGTCATCAATGCTTTGCTCCACTGAAATGGATATTTTTATATTTCTGATTTAAATTGGAAGTAATTTAATTAAATATTGAAAAAATAAGAAAGACAAAGAAGGACAGAAAGAGACAGAGACCAGATAATCAGGAAACAGGGAGAAAGAAAGCCACATAGGTAATTAGAGATATTTCTGACTGGGCTTGCTTATCCAAATTACAAGAATGATTTCAGCAATGGAATTCGAAGTGTTGACTGACTCAACTTCATAATTCATCTATTACTCTCCTAGAGGCCATTAGAATAGCAGTAAAATGACAAAGATATCTATGTGCTGATCAGTCTTCAAATACTGTAGTGCCTATGTTTTCTTACCTAGGAGCTTTGTGCAAGGTTGACAGTTACAGGCATTCTCTATGGCAACCATAGACTACCTCGGTATACTGAAGAGCTCTCAGATTCCATTTTTATTTCCTTTCAGAATCTGTAGTAAACCTGTTAACTCTGAAGAAGAGTTTAAACAGAAAGTTAGGGCTCCAAGTAAACTAAATTAAAAAAAAAATTTAATCCTCAAAGATTTAAGAGATGTCTAGGAAGTTTCCAATTAAGCATGTTCCCAAATCGTGAAACCTCTGATGGACCTGTAACATTTCCAGGTGCATGATGCACCTATTATCATGCACGTATGATTTTTCTGTTGATTATTGATGGAAGATGTGGATGTGTCTCACGCATCCTGCTTCTTCTATATATGCAAAATACTGTGAATGTAGAATGGAGAAATTTATTCTGGAATTCAGTGTGGTCATTCCCACAGGTGACTTTACAGAAATAAAATCTACCCTGATTTTCTCAGCAATGATCAAGCCAAATTTGAGGCATATAAGCAGTCTTCAACATGAAACCTCCCTAAAACATCTTAATAAATGAAAATTCAGTATTTTAAGTGATTAGATGACAAACCATTTATTCTTTCTGCAAGTTCTTTCCAGGGTGTGTATGTGTGAGGGAAAGGTAGGTCTCATTGGTATTTTCAGTTTAACAAATAGCAGTAATTATGCTGCCTACAATTTTATTGAGAACAATGAAATGATTTTAATAGATGAACAAGCAAGAGATTTTAGAGAAAAGTGATCACTTTACACAGCGGATTTCCTTTAATCTTTCTAACATATGAATTAGCTAGCATTTTAATCTACATTTTCGCATAATTTTATTTTCACATAAAAATGTAGATTGCTATTGACATTTTCACATAGCATTATGTTAATTCATATGGAAATTGAAATCTGGGAGTTTTAACTTCTTTTTTCTGTTTTTCATTATATTTCAACATATTCAAAATTTTGGTTCATTGGTGCTTTGCCACTTTCATTAATAATTTCCTCTGGTACAAGAAAAAAAACTTAGTAGGTAAAGGTGAGATAAACAGCAATAAAAATACAGGTTAAGAATAATTAAGAGTTACCTAAGTTCATCTAGTAACTAAGTAGCTTGCCAGGTTTCTGAAACTAGACAAGCAGGCTTACATGCTAACACACATAAATTCTACATCATATTGTTGCTAGCAAAATAAAAACTGAGTAGACACAATTTTTATTTTATTTTAGGGTATATCTGCCATAATGCATATATTAAAATGTTATAGTTGATAGGTCAAAAATTGATCTATTCATAATACGTGTGTGTGTGTGTGTGTGTGTGTGTGTGTGTGTGTATCTCATAGGAAAACCGGTGAATGAAACTGTGGCTCTCAAAGTTACGGAGAGTGAGAATGTATAAGTCCCCCAAATCCCTTGCCTTTCTGGTAAAATAACTGAGGCATATTCTACACAGACTCTCAGTGGCGCCCAGAGGGATGAAGCCACAGCTGCTCTCACGAGGACCCTGCTTATTACCACATCTCATATTTCATCCCTTCCCTCTGCTACTTCCCACTCTTCTACAAGTGCTTCCTGGGATCCCTTCCTGAGTAAGCTATATACATTTTATATATATATAAAAGGTATATGGGTATGTATATAAAATGAGTATTAAAATATATAGGGCTCCTCTTCAAGGCATTGAGAATCAAAGTAACATAAAACCTCATGTGATAAAAAAGACATTAAGCAATTAGATTTTTCCTTTAAGTCGTAAACTGTTCCTCTGTCAAAGGGAAAGTAGGAAACACTAACTTGCCCTAAAACTAACGGAGACTCTGAAACCTAATGTTATAGTCTCTTCTCTTTGCTGACTACACAAGATAGTCAGAAAAGAAGAAGCAGAAAATATTAAATCCATGTAGCTAAACATAATATGCTTGGGGGTGGAGGGCAGAGAAAGAGCAGGAGGAGGACTGGTTATAAAAATAAGTAATGCCAAAGTGTGATTTTGCTCCTCACTAAGTGTCAAGTATTCTAGGCTCTTTCCTGATATTTATTGTAAAAAAAATACTAAATGTAAATGTGTTGTTCAAGACCTGATTCCCATTAGGAAATGCAACACTCAAGCTACTTCATGATGATATGGAAGTAGCTTGCTCAGGAAGGGATCCCGGGAAGCACTGGTAGAAGAATGGGAAGTAGCAGAGGGAAGGGATGAAATATGAGATGTGGTAATAAGCAGGGTCCTCGTGAGAGCAGCTGTGGCTTCATCCTTCTGGACGTCACTGGAGTCTGTGTAGAATATGCCTCACTTATCTTACTAGAAAGGCAAGGGATTTGGGGGACTTATACATTCTCACTCTCCATAACTTTGAGAGCCACAATTTGATTCATCAATTTTCCTATGATCAACACAAGCAGGACCCCAACAGCATCTGCCACAGAGACTGTCACCTTTTCCCTCCCATCACCTGATTCTCCCACATCTACCTATCTCCAGCTGGGAATATACGTTGTGATGTAATGGAGAAGGATAATTTAATTGTAACAAACAAGGAAACTTTCTACAAAGAGCTTTTTCTTCTTTTACTTTTTTTAAAATAAATTTTATTGTGTATATTTAAGACATACATGTTGCTATGTAACAGATAGATAATAGATAGATACTAAAATGGTTACTACAGTGAAACAAATTAACATATCCATCATTTACATAGTTACCATTACCCATTTTTTGGCTTGTTTTTTGTGTCAAGAGCAACTAAAATCTACTTATTTAGCAGGAATCCCAAATATAGTACAGTTTTTAAAAAATCTATAGTCCTGGCTGGCCGCCGTGGCTCACTCTTGTAGTCCCAGCACTTTGGGAGGCCGAGGCGTGTGGATTGCTTGAAGCCAGGAGTTCGAGAACAACCTGGCCAACATGGTGAAACTCCATTGTCTACTAAAATTACAAAAATCAGCAGGGCATGGTGGCACATGCCTATAATCCCCACTGCCCGGGAGGCTGAGGTGGGAGAATCACTTGAACCCAAGAGGTGGAGGTTGCAGTGAGCCGAGATCACACCACTGCACTCCAGCCTGGGTGACAGAGTGTGGCCCTATCTCAAAAAACAAAAAACAAACAAACAAAAAAACTATAGTCCTCATATTGTACATTAAATCTGTATATTTGTTCATTATACGTATCTGCTACCTTCATCCTCTAATCTACATTTCCCTATTTCCCGCACCTTTCACCTACTCCTGGTAACCAATTTTATTCTCTATATCTGTATATTTGACCTTTTTTAAATATTCCATAGATAAATGAGAGCATACAATATTTTTCTTTCTGTGTTTGGCCTATTTGATTCATCTTTGTTAGGGCAAATAGCAGGATATCTTTTTTTTTGTTTTCAATGTATTCCATAGTATCCGTATACCAAAATGTTTTTATCAATTCATGCATCTAGAGACTTTTCTGTTGTTTTTGTATGTTAGCTATTACGAGTAATGATGCAATGGGCACAAGATGGCAGAAATTTTTATGAAAATTAAATTAAATTTTATTTTCTTTGGATATAGACCCAGAAGAGGGATTACTGGGTCACATGTTAGTTCTATTTTCAATATCTTCAAGAACCTCCATACTGTTTTCTATAATGGTGACACCGATCTATATTCCCATTAAAAGTGTACGAGTCCCTTTTCTCCACACCATAAGAAACATTTGTTATCTTTTGACTCTTTGATAATATCCGTCCTAACAAGTGCAAGGTAGTATTCCATAGTAGTTTGATTTACATTTCTCTGGTGATTAATGATGTTGAGTACCTTTTCATATACTAGTGGATTCTTTTTATGTTTCTTTGGAGAAATGTTTATTATAGTCTTTTGCCTATTTTTAATTGATAATTTGTTTTTCCACTACTGAAATGTATGAGTTATTTCTATATTTTGGATGTTAACCCCTTAGCAAATATATATGGTTTGCAAACATTTTTTCCCAATCCATAGGCTGAAGTTTCATTTTGATGATAGTTTCCTTTGATGTGCAGAAGATTTTTAGTTTGATTTAGTAGTCTCATGTATTTATGTTTGCTTTTTTAGTCTTACTTTTTGGTGTGATATTAAAAAAAAAAAACAACAACCATCGTCAAGACTAATATCCAGGACCCTTTCTTCTATGTTCTCTTCTCATAGTTTCATAGTATCAGGTCTTATGTTGAGATATTTCATCCAGGCCCAGTGGCATATTCAGTTGTTATACTGTAAGATTAGTCATTCAAACCCACTCACTTTTATGTATAAAAGTGGTTCTTAAATAAAGTTTCTACCCCATTATTCTATCTTATAAAAATATAATAATTGAAGTTTATTTTAAATGTGACTTAATCAATATTGTTGCACACATTATTATTAAGGAGGATCAAGTACATTGCTATCTGATGAACAGCAAAAAGGAAAATGACTTTAAATATAGATAAGCAACAAACAACAAAGAATCTTAACTAAATAGCACATAAAACCTCAACTATTATATGCACACAGGTACGTAAATACATATCAACGCCCAAACACTGTTGACTCATTTTAGAAATATAATCTCAACGTAACATAAAACCGAGTAAAAATAGATTAATATTATAGGAAGACTGAGCATCATAGACAAGAACTCAATCCTAGATTACTTGAAAAATGTAGTATTATAAAAACAGTTGTACGATTTACAGAATGGTAGTTTGCCAGTTGCTGTTGTCTCTTCCAGAAATATTTGTTCTGATGTATAGCAGCTTGTTTAAATCCAAGTATCCAGTGGTACTCAATTAGTGACTTTCAAACTCCTTGTATATGATCCACTTTCACCAAAAATGGCCTATGTTTCCTACAGAAGATTATTCTCTAGTATTAGGTCCTCAGGTACTGGGTTTGCTTTATGAATACGGACCAAAAATATTACATATTATTCATGATAAATTGGTTTTGTTTGTTTGGAAAGTTAAACAGTCAGAGAAACAAATGGCAGCATTCTTGCTTCCCAATCATTGTAGAATTTATCCAATAAGACAAGAGCATAGTGGCCTTGCCTGTAAACTTCAATTATCAGTACACCAACATTGGACCAACCCCCAGAGAGACCAAATATTTTACACTCTGACACGTACTCCTCTTCTGGCAATCAGTTTTGGCTGACATAATGAAATACAGTTAATCCATGAACACATGGAACCACAGCAGTTACCTTGTTCAATCATGCCTGTAACAATTCAATTAGCAAATCCCCATGGACATTCTGTACCTCAGAAGAATTATCCAGGGATATTTTTACTATGCCTGTTTTCTAATCACATTGGCAAATCTAACTGTTTGTACAAGAGAATATCACTGCCCTTGCCAAGAGGAAGGGTCAAATTTATTAACAATCCCGTATGTCTACATTCATAAATTGTTATTTCACGTATGTGATAGTGATTATGGTTAAGCAAAGGCTTTAAATCTTTGCTAGAGAGTAATAGTCAAGATCGTGTTCTTTTTGTCTACTCATCCCAGAATGAATCTGGCAGAAATTGCAAACAATTACCAGGTCAGAAATAAGCCAGATTTATAAATTAAGAAATGAGAGTCCACAGAAAGGTTAATATGAACATAATTATTCACGAAAGTCTAAGGTAACAAGTCAGTAAGTCAATGACTCACTGTGGTCTAAGCACATGAAAACGGATACACAAAATGGAGGGTTACTTTAAAAACAATGCAGATCCCAATAATATAGTTCAACGCCTTCAAAACTATACAAGAAAAGGCAATTATCTGCAGCATTTATTTTTCCTGTTGACTAAACCCTATTGCAGAAATTAAAATAGGTCTGTTTAATTTGTATTGGTGCTTTCAGAAAATAAATAACAATGTTAGAGACTAGTATTATTGGATATATATTGTTCATTAGCACAAGGAAGAATAGTTATTTCACACAAAATTTATCCATTTCACAAATTTTTCTTTTTAAATAGAAAGAGTAACTTAAGTTGCTGTTATCAATTTAGTATCCCACAACATTTCTGACTTTTATAAACAATAAAATTATATGTGTTCTTGTCACCCATTTATTTATCTTTCCCATATGTCGCAAAACATGTCTGGAGAGAAAGAAACAGCCACAATCAGAGTGGAGCTCGAAGAAAGTAGCAACTTTTCTTTTATTCTGGATACTGTTAAGTCCTTAATTTTTAATTTTACTACCTTTAAAAAGCAAACATTTTATCTGATAAATAGACTTCTAATAGACATAAAGAGCCAGATTTCTAACTATCCGGTATTTCAAAATTTACTTCAAACATGTTCCCCAAATTCTTCATTTAGAGAACAAACTCAAGCATCATTTATACCTGCATGTTAAGAGATGAAATTAGAAACAATGTGACTCATATTACGTGACTAAATTATTTTGGAGTGGAAATTACTTTAAACTCTAATTTCTTCTAATCAAATAGTCCAGTGCTTTCGCAGAGCACTCCATGCCATTTAATTTTCTTTCTTAGTGTTTTAAGATGCCATTGTTCTCTGACTTTCATTATCAAAGAAATGCCTACCTTTCCCAAACTCTTACAGAATGATAAGAAGATACTCCTCATTTTGAACATTTTCTCTTGAGTCACAGGCCCTGCTTGACATTCTTCAAGGGTCCGGTGAATCTCCTCTGTTTACATGTGTGTGTGCTGTGTGTACGGGGTTGGAGGTGGGTAAGATGAACAGAGAGAGTGGGAGAGAGAGAAATCTTCCCTAAGCATCTTTATCTGCAAATACTTATTCTTCTAAACCCTTTGTCACCTTCACTGCTTAGTAAGCTTCACAGTACATAAAATTTCAAGCTGGCTCTGTGTGTGTGTGTGTGTGTGAGTGTGTATGTGTGTGTATAATAATTCACTTTCTACATATATTTTGTTATTACTACTAGATTCAACTTTTAACTTTTCTTACGTTCTTAGGTTGTTCAAACAGCAGTTAGCACAATGAGTTTTTTTTTTTATCCTAGGTGCTTGGTAAATATGACTCATTTGAGTAATTTTTAGGAATGGTAATTTTTCTATCTGACTGTCGCAACCCCCTACTCTCATTTTTTCCATTTATGAAAAGAGATATTTAAGTAAGTGTTTTGTCGATCCCACCACACTGGTAACAGAGGACCCCGTAACATCAGCTGCACCATTCAGCACACTCAGGCATTATTTTCAAATAGAATCATAAAATAGGCATTCATGCTCCAGATTGTCCAGATAAGTAGTGGGATTGGAGGCTTATATGGAAAACACAGTTTGAAGGATTGGGACAAGTTCCCTGAGGAAGAATAAAGCTGAAAGTTATAGTTAATCAAAGATGAAAATGAAAATCCTTAGTGTTAACATTTCTAAAATCAAATCTTTGCATCACTGGTACTTTGGGTATGTGAGTTTTCACATAATTTTTGTTTACTAAGTGAATTGGAAATTAGGTTAGTTATTACTAACCTGATCATCAGTTATTACTAACCTAACCATTATTACTACATAAAGTTTATGCACTAACTTAAGGACACATTGCTAGTACAGCTTTTTAAAAAATATTTTACCATTTTATTTTGAAAGGATTTTAGACTTATAGCAAAGTTATAGTAATTTTACAGAAAGTGCTTGAATGGCATTCATCCCTCTTCCTCTCATGTTAATATCACATGTAAGAATTGTAAACCTAAGAAATGAGCAATGGTAAAATACTATCCTCTAAACCACAAACTTATATTTGGATTCCATTACGATTTTCACTAATATGATTTTCTGACCCAGAATTTAATCCAGGATCACACAATACATTTAATGGTAATGTCTCTCATTTTCTTCAACTTGTGATAGTTTTTTTTTATTACTTTGACACATTTAAAAAATACTGTTCAGGTAAGTTTGGAATATCTCTCATTTTTTATTTGTGTGATATTTTATTATCATTAGTTTGAGGTTATTCATTTTTGGCAAATAATGTTTATTCTTCTCCTCTTAGCGTATCATATCAGATGGTACCTGATTTCGATATGCCTTATCTGTGGTAACCCATATTGCTTGGTTGATAGTGACTGCTAGATTTCTTCATCCTAAATATATTATTCTGGCTTTTGTACTTTGAAAGAATGCAATATTCTATTCCTTCTTAAAGTTTTACCCACTGATTTTAGATCTATTGCTACATTTTGCCTTATAACTATTACTACTATTGATGTTCACCTAGTGGTGATTCTATTTTTCCCTCATCTCTTCTACATTGATTAGCTGAAATTATTCTGTAAAACAAACAAACAAAGACAAAAAAACCTTCTTTATACCTATATTTTTTCTATTCTCATGCTGCTAATAAAGACATACCCGAGACTGGGTGATTTATAAAGAAAAGAGGCTTCATTGACTCACAGTTCCACATGGCTTGGGAGGCCTCACAATCATGGAAAAGCAAGAAATGCCTTACATGGTGGCAGGCAAGAGAGAGCTTGTGTATGGGAGCTCCCATTTATAAAACCATCAGATCTTGTGAGAGTTATTTACTGCTACAAGAACAATATGGGGGAAACTGGCCCCATGATTCAATTATCTCCACCTGGCCCCACCCTTGACACTTGGAGATTATTACAATTTAAGGTGAGATTTGGGTGGGGACACTGCCAAACCATATCAATACCCATTTAGTTATTTATGCCAGAAAATAAAGTCTGACCTCTATTTTGATGTATATCACTGACTTCTTTTTGGGCCTCACCTCTGTTCTCCTGTGGCTCCACATATAGACAGGCAGATAAGAAGGCACATGAGCTTGCACTTCCTGGAAATTCAAATCTTCTCTGTGGGAACTTTTTCTCAGTCTCACACCTTAGTATCATAATGACATAAGAGAGGCTAACTTTAATACCCATAGAATCTTAACACACATATTATAAAGCTGAAAACATGTTAGAGAAACACCACATTGTAGTAGCCTGTCCAGTTTTCTTGAATCAATTATTTATACATTTATTTCATAAAATATAACGTATTTATTTATTTTCTTTTTAAACAGTTTTTATTTTTAATTATTATGGATACATAATGGTTGTACATATTTATGGGGCACACGAAATATTTTGATTAGATACCCACTGAGAATTTTATTTGAATTTTTAACCCCATTACTTACATATATAAGATCTTCCAATAATGTGGTTTCATTCAACATTGTTTAATTATAACATTGATAAGAAACAACTTGATTCCTGATGGCTAAGGTTACTATCTGTGTGGAGTTTGCATGTTTTCTTTATGTCTGTGTAAGTTTTCTCTGGATTTTCCAGTTTCCTCATACATCAAAAAGATGTGCTTTTTAGGCAAATTAATTTGTTTAAATTTTCCCCCTCTGAGTGTGTGAGTGGGTGTGTGAGTGTGCCCGGAAATGGAATGGCCAGCGTTGGTTCCTGCCTTTTTCCCAGAGCAGTCATGATAGGCTCCAGCAATTTGCCACCCTAAACTGGAATAATCATATGAAAAAAAGAATAGAATGGACGAATACAATTTATTTCCAAATAAGTATTTTTAAGGCATACAATATGTGATGGTTAATATGAGTGTCAACTTGATTGGATTGAAGGATGCAAAGTATTGATCCTGGGTGTATCTTCAGGGTGTTGCCAAAGGAGATTAACATTTGAGTCCGCAGGCTGGGGAAGGCAGATCCACCCTTAATCTGGGTGGGCAAAATCTAATCAGCTGCCCATGCAGGCAGAATAAAAAGAAGAATAAAACGAAGAATGTGAAAAGACTAGACTGGCTTAGCTTCCCAACCTACATCTTTCTCCTGTGCTGGATGTTTCCTGCCTTCAAACATCAGACTCCAAGTTCTTCAGCTTTGGGACTTGGACTGGCTTCTTGCAGTTGGCCCATTATGGGACTTTGTGATCGTGTGAGTTAATACTCCTTAATAAACACTTAATAAACCCATATATATATATATATATATGTATATCCTATTAGTTCTGTTCTTCTAGAGAACCCTGACTAATACACAATACTTATACAAATGCATAATAAACAATGTGGTATAAAAGCTCTCCACAAGCCCACCATATTTGTCCTTGTTGTTTTTGAACTGCCCAGTGATAGGAGGTATTCCTTATAATTTTCCTTAGCAAATATTTATTCCTTGATCTAACTGATAGCCACTACAACCTCCATCACTCACTTATTCACCAAAAATTTGGTAAATAATACCAACTAAAGAAAAAATCAAATTTGTAAGTAATTAAAATAAGTTTTATTGGAAGTGTTACTGAGGACTGTAGACTGAAGTTTCTAGCCTGGCAACAGCCCTTTCAAGAGGTTCTTCCAGACTGTTCTGCCACAGTGTTTCAGCCTCCTGCATATATGCAGGTGGTGGAAGTTCAGTAAATGCAATATAATACAGAACTTGCTCAGTAAATGCAATATGATACAGAACTTGCTCAGTAAATGCAATATGATACAGAACTTGCTCTGAAGTTACAATATAGCAGAATCACAGCAAGGTTTGGGTCTGTTATAGATTACAGAGACATAACCACTCACCAAATCAGACATTATGTTATGTGTAGGAAAAGGCAAGGACTAGGGTTACTTATGTTATATGGAATATATTGATTAAGGCAAGAGATGCACGGAACTGTGTGTTGAATCCTGTTTTGTCTTCAAAGCATATTTTCAGAGAGCTGCACATTGTCTCAAATTCAGGAGATCTACAAAATTTTGTTCGCAAGCAGCAATAAGCAAATATGGCTTTTTACATTTCTTACTTTGTCTCACAAGTTTCTCCTTTTGCTCATGAATTAATCCCCCAGTTATATTTACAAAGCCAACATTGATTAGCTAGGAAGGATGTTTTCTAGGAAGGTTCATAGTCTTCAGTTGCGGATGTAAGGAAGGAGGACCAGGTGCATATTTGCCTATTCATTGGAAAACATGCATTGAATTACACATCCATTTTTATTAGAATGACCTTTTCTTCCCCCCGATGTTGTCATTTCTGCACCCAAAATGACACCTCAACAGGACTATTGCAACGATACTATAGATTATACATAGAAGTACATATTTAATATCATCAAAATTACATATTGGAAAAAATACATGATAACTGGAACATATATTTGTATTTTTTATTAGTTGTACTGTTTACCCCTTTTTATATCCATACTTATGAGAGACTTCCCCATAAAAATAGATTTGGGCTAAAACAAATTGTAAATATTTTTAGAGAAAAATTCTAACCAAAACTCTGGATGACAAAACCTTACAATAGCCACAGTTAAAATTTGATGAAAGTTTTCAATTGACAAGGAAATTGGTTATTTCTATCACATGCAGCATTTTAAGATAACCAGAATCATGACTGAGAGCATCACATTAAGACCAACACATGTTTATGTTTTATAAAATTTTTAGAATATTTACATTAATAGCATATCTATATAACTATAATTTTAGAAACAGTTTAGCATAGCCATTAAAATTATAATTAACATTTGATTTTTATGAATTTATATAATTTTGGGACATTTATATCAATAACATACCCATAAATCTAACTGAAAGACCTAGTATAATTTATTATTTGATAATATTTCTCATACAATTTACGAAGTTAGTCTAATCATTTAATCCAAAAAGACATACTTTAGAATTTTGATGCTGGGGAAACCTTCAAAAGATGCCAAAAGGTTTAAAATGTTTGATCCAACACAATCACATGTCACAGTATAAAAAAAAAGTCAATTATTTAAACAGAGTCCAGAGTGGTAATCAAAATACTTCAAAAGCAATTGAGAAAGTTACATAGATGTAAAAGATGTGAAAACCTCAAGCCCTTTAAAGCTCAGTTTTCTAATTAATCAAAAACCTAATAAAGACAACAGAGGAAATTATTTTGATAAAACATGAAATCTTTGTTTTTAGGCCAGTTACCAAGAGGAAAAGAAAAACCTGAAGTGTAATTTTTCTACTTTCTCGAAGCCCTTTTAGATAATCTACATATATCTATATAATCTATATAATATATATACTATATATAATCTATATAACATATATAATATAGAGATAGATTATATATTATATATCGTATAATATATAGATGAATTAGATATATATAATTATATAGATTATATAGATTATATATATAATAGCGCTGCTATTCATTGTATACAAGGCAGGGGGGCAGGGTAAGGAATATGAGTCATCTCCAATGAGCGACAGAGTCACACAAGTCACCGGGCCACCGGACAGGGGTCCTTCCCCTTTGAGGTGGCAAAGCTGGAGAGAGGCAGGACAGCTTACGTCACTATTTCTTCTATGCAGTTATCAGATAGATCAAAGACTTTAATACTTTCACTAACTCTGCTACTGCTATCTAGAAGGCGGAGCCAGGTGTGCAGAGTGGAACACGAAAGTGGACCAGGAGCGTGACTGCTGAAGCACAGCATCACAGGGAGACGATTAAGCCTCCGATGGCTGCGGGCAGGCCTGACTGATGGCAGGCCTCCCACAAGAGGTGGTGGAGCAGAGAGTTCTCTAACTCCCCCGGGGAAAGGGAGATTACCTTTCCGGTCTGCTAAGCAACGGGTGCCTTCCCAGGCACTGGCATTACCGCTAGACCAAGGAGCCCTCTAGTGGTCCTTACCCGGGCGTAACAGAGGGCTCATACTCTTGCCTTCTGGTCACTTCTCACTGTGTCCTTTCAGCTCCTAACTCTGTACGGCCTGGTTTTTCCTAGGTAATAATTATGGAACAGGTAATAAATGTAGAACAAAGATTAATATAATAAACAATTATGCTACAAACTAATGATTGGAGATATTCATATATAATCATATATATTCTATTTCTAGTATAACTATTCTCATTCTTATTATTTTCTTTATTATACTGGAACAGCTTGTGCCTTCAATCTCCTGCCTCGGCACCTGGGTGGCTTACATCTTATAAATAATGCATCTTCATATTCATAATTTTCTTTACGTCTCTTTCTCCTACTTACTGAATTATTTCTGTTATTTAATAAACACCCCTTAAATAACCTCTGAATTAGACAAAAATATTATTTTCTCAATAAAGAACAAATTTTTATATCATGATTACAATTTTTTACACTAAAAACACATCAATTTGGGTACACATTATACATAGAATTACATATATTAATTAAAACATTTTAACTCTTAGTAACCTTAAATTTTAGTGAAAGCCTAAAAAGCAAGATATTGAATTATTTGTCATATATCAATGTTTTACAGACGAGAACCATTTCATAATTTTTAAAAACACTTTTCCTTATAACATAACTTTTTCTAAATTGACGATGACTTGGACATTTATTATCTATTATTTAATTTATCATAACTTAAGATTTAAAATTCTATAAAAATTATATTTATAAGCATTTATTCCATTTACACTTCCCTACTTTATTTTAAACAATTTCCTTACATTAGTTATGAAAACTGTGATATTAGACAAACCTAGTCATCATTTCAAATTTTCCTTAACAGTTTTTATAACTGGTGAATATCAGGTGTTTACATACATGAGAAAATTAAAGTAAAATATATGGGTATTTTGCCAGTAACTCAGAAATACAACTGTTGTTTTTATTAAATCAACAATAATAAATTAGTCATGTTTATCAAAAATTACACTAACAAAATTTATTTTGTTTGGGGCTGGGCTTATAGTTTTAGGTATTTTGCGCCAAATCCTGACACCTCAAAATATTTTGAGGTGTCAGACATATAAAACTGTCTGACCAGTAAACACAGTAAACACAGGCAAAAATGCATGCTGACAAGTTTGAAGACACTTCTATTTTATTTTACCAGTAATTTTATAACCAAATTACTTATTAGTAATTTACTTAAGTCATGAGAACTAGGAAATATTTGCGCTTATTTATGAGTACTCATTTATGTAAGATACTCATTATGTAAGATACAGTTTGGCTGTGTTCCCACCCAAATCTCATCTTGAATTCTCATATGTTATAGGATGGGTTCAGTGGGAGGTAACTGAATCACGGGGACAGGTCTTTCCTGTGCTGTTCTCATGATAGTAAAAAAGTCTCATAAGATCTGATAGTTTTAAAAAGGGGAGTTGCCCCAAACAAGCTCTCTTCTCTTGTCTGCTGCCATGTAAGACGTGCCTTTAACCTTCCACCATCATTATGAGGCATTCCTAGCTCTGTGGAACTGTAAATCCATTAAACCTCTTTGTTGGTAAATTGCCCAGTCTCAGGTATGTTTTTATCAGCAGTGTGAAAATGGACTAATACAATGTATAAGTCAATTTGATACCATGTAAAAACAGCATGTAACACAAAATATGTACATGTATGTAAACATGTAAACACATATGCCCTCACACTCAAAGATCTAATAGTTTTCACTTTAGAGCTTCAGACATAAAATAGTAATATAAATTCATTTGTTTATAAATAACAGTTGGATCCAAATTATGTCTGATAAAATTGAGAACTGTTCATGTGGCTAAACTCTTCTTGCTCATATGGAAAATTTATTGAATGCCATGAATCAAAATTTTGGCTAAAACTGTTCCTACAAAAATTTGATTTTTAAAACCCCTTTTACTTTTTTTATTCAATTTTAAATGAGCTTATGTTTAAATTTTTAATGTTTACATTGTAGCTAGAACTGGCTGAATTGTATGAAAAACAAAAAATCTCCAAGGAGCCTTGAATTAGTGATACTGTAAACAATGAGTTTTAACTCAACACCATTAGAAACGTGAATAGATCAAAGGAAGTGGGAAAACATAGCTAGACAGAGAACCTGGCTGACTCTACATATTAGCTCTATAGTTGCAGGTTGATCATTGGAGCTCTAAGTTTTTCTTGATGTAATTTGACCATCAATTTAAAATATGCATAAGAACAGACCACAATATGTAGGCTTCTGGAAGCCTAGCCAACCCAGCATGTTTTAATGTTTAAGAATTCAATTTTTTGTAAATTTAGTATTAAATCTCTTTTAGTTAAACCCTTCCATCTAGGGAGGTACTTGCAAGAATAGGCTGTGTGTGAGTTATACATGAAGCCTGCAGGAATGTTGACTAGAAATTAGTTTTTCGGTACCCCTATTATTTCAGTTTGGGATGATTTATTTCCCATGGTGAAATGTCAGCAAAGCGAGAATACTAGTGAGAAATGTAGCAGATCAAATGTCCTCTTTTGAGTGTTGCCAATGGCTATCACTCCCATTACATGTTTCAGCTCCTCCACCTGGTCGTCTAAAGCAATTATGGGGACTCAAAGCACTGAGTGACTGACCCTGACGTGTCTGTCCCTGGAAGAACCAATTCTTAATTACGTATGACAAGGAATTTTCTACAAGACCACTACACATCATAAAGATTGTACCTCTGACACTTCCACAAGACCTCTGATCACCAGAAATGCCAAATCAGAATCTGGCTGAAAGGATTCTGAGTGTCTCTAGTCTGCAGAGTTAACACAGGTCAAACCCTCATAAATTATTAATAATTTCTGTCTTCCTGAGCCTTATTTACAGAGTCAAATCGAAAGGGAAAGCACCAATACAGCCTAGCCAATCTTACAGCTTCTCACGTTTATTCCTTCCTACTATCTATCAACTAGGAGACTTTTCCTTCTTGAGAAAGAAAAAAATCTCGAGAAAGACCTTATCTCTTGTCAAGGAGTGAGAGCAACTAGCTGAATAAAACTCAAGTTTGTTAACTAAATGGGAATTCTGAGACTCAGGAGAGACACATCCAGTTGTCTGTAACTGGAGGAGCCAGAAGGAATTAAAGGGCAGGGACCAAGTGCTGGTACCAAGATGCCAGGTCCCTGCAATGTTTCCGACGACCCTGAATAGTCAGCTCTGAGTCCCTTTGTGGTTGTTATGACTGTTGATTAAACGAAAAAAATTACGCTTTTAAAGAATTAAAGTTAGTTTTATTCTGAAGTCTTACTCAGGACTATAGACTGAACCAGCCTCTAAAAGAGCAGCCATTTAGAAAGGTTCTATTAGTTCTAGCACAGTATTTTAGCCCTGTTTATGGACAGGTGGTAGAAATTTTAAAAATTTTATTAGAATTGGTTAGGAAAAGTAAACAGATACTTTGTGCAAAACCACATTCAACTTTCTCAGACATTCCATTAAAGTAAATAACATCAAAGTTTTGGTGTAGGAGTAGGAGTAGATCTGGTTATCGATTACAGAAGCATAATCACTAACATCAACAGATGTTATCTCCTGTATAGGAAAAAGCAAAGACTACATCATTTACTGTTCAAGAAATATAGTGACAGCCGGGCGCGGTGGCTCACGCCTGTAATCCCAGCACTTTGGGAGGCCGAGGCGGGCGGATCATGAGGTCAGGAGATCGAGACCATCCTGGCTAACACGGTGAAACCCCGTCTCTACTAAAAATACAAAAAATTAGCCGGGCGTGGTAGCGGGCGCCTGTAGTCCCAGCTACTCAGGAGGCTGAGGCAGGAGAATGGCGTGAACCTGGGAGGCGGAGCTTGCAGTGAGCCGAGATCGCGCCACTGCACTCCAGCCTGGGCGACAGAGCGAGACTCCGTCTCAAAAAAAAAAAAAAAAAAAAAAAAAGAAATATAGTGACTCGGCCGGGTGCGGTGGCTCACGCCTGTAATCCCAGCACTTTGGGAGGTCGAGGCGGGCAGATCACGAGGTCAGGAGATCGAGACCAGCCTGGCTAACACAGTGAAACCCTATCTCTACTAAAAATACAAAAAATTAGCCGGGCGTGGTGGCGGGCGCCTGTAGTCGCAGCTATTCGGGAGGCTGAGGCAGGAGAATGGTGAGAACCCGGGAGGCGGAGCTTGCAGTGAGCCGAGATTGCGCCACTGCACTCCAGCCTGGGCGACAGAACGAGACTCAGTCAAAAAAAAAAAAAAAAAAAAAAGGAAAAGAAATATAGTGACTCAAGTAAGGGATGTGGGAGAGTATGTCTTCTATCCAGTTTTATCTTCAAAGCATCTTTTTGGAAAGCTGCACATTGTCAGAAAGTGAAGGATTGTGAAAGTATGTTAACAAGCACAAATCAGCAAACGTGGCTTCTTACGTTTGCTACTCTGCCTCACAATAATTATCCTGCTTGGTTTTTATTAATCTTTCTTAAATGTGTATAGCTCACATTTATTTTAATATTTAATTTTAGAAGTGTTTGGGGTCTTTATTTCAAAGGTTGGTAATTTTACTATTTTTTTTTTTTTTGACAAGGCATATGCTGTAGGAATTTACCTCTTGTTTTTATCAATTAGCCTATGGTAACATTTGTTTTCTCACACGTCATTTCACTTAAAAGTCAAAGTTTCCAAGAACCTATCAAAGACAGTAAATGAGGACTTCCTGTATCTTGCCCATTTTCATTAGATTACAAGTTAATTTCAGGGCACGCAAGGAAAAAACACTATATTCTATTTACATATCTATTAATTGATATTCTTTCTTTCAAATATGAATCAAAGTAACAGAATACATGCCTGAATTGAAAAGATTTCACAGATTTCAAAGTGTCTTTTTACTTTTCCTAACCAATTCTTATAAATTACTAAAATAAAACTTTTTTGTGGAAGTAGAGAAATGATTTTAACTTGACTATGCCTTTTTATTCTCAGAGTGACTGGTTAAACTACAAGATATGTTGTGGAAGTCGCCTAAATTCTACTAAGCATATGACAGCAATGGTCATAAATTGGTTTGGGATTTTTTTTATGAAAGTTTATAAAGAATACCACTTTTATTACCTACTATAATTGTTAAAAACTAGAAATTCACTCTGTTATTTGAATTGCAGGAGACGAATAAAAGCAAAATGAAAGTAAAACAATTAACTTTGTTAATTATTTATATCTATAATCACTCTAAATTATATATTTGATAACATCATGGCAACTTGCATGGAAGAATAGCTAAATCTTAATCCTTAATATTGGCTTATTTGGTAAAAAGTAGCTTTTTAAATATTTCCCATAAGGATAATAGGATTATATTTATCAACTTTTAATTCTTTATAAATGACATTTTTGTGATGATTTCAGTTGTTTTAATTTACTTTGCAAATTGATAATCATTAAAACATTCATGCTTCTAAGTAGGAAAGTGTATTTTGATTAATTAAGGGCCAGTGCCTGAAGAATATGTTTGCTGTCGATGCTGAGTTGCTCTGTATGAGCAGTTAATATCATAAGAAATGTAAGATAACATAACCATCATTTTATTGATGTTCAAGAACTGACAAAAATATGCTAATAATTAAGAGTTGAAGAATTATGACCCAAATATTTCTGATGCTAACAGCATATGCTGTGATCTGTAAAGAAAAAAACAAACTTAGATGACACAGTTTTGCGTGGTGTTTACTTTCTATTAAAATTCTTCCTCGGGGCTAATTTGCAATATTTTATTCCTGACTGGCTAAAGGTATAATTAATGATTTGCTGAATCATATTTTACATGTATAAATAGCACAAGCACCTGAACTATTCTACAATGAGCTACTTGGATGTTTTAATGTAGTTTTCTAGTTTCTTGGCCATATACCGCTGAAATTAAAGTGGATTTCTTTTGTTTACAAGTGTACAATAAAATAATAAAGAGATACATCCATGACTAGATCTCAAGATGCCAGAAAAAAGAACTAAAACCTTCTGTTAAAAGACAATTAATTATATTTATCTTATAGTTATTGGCCATTTTATTTAGGTAAAAAGTATTACACACACATAGTTCTTTTTTCTTGCTTTACTCTTGCTTTGAGATAAAGCACAATATAGAGATTTGATATCAAATTTTATCTTTTAATAGAACAGATTTGTGTCACTAAAATGACAATTTTAATGTAGTATCTGAAAGACTAGTATTTGTCGAAAACACTGTATTTAGCTCGATTTATGAGGAATGCCTGATGCTTTCAGCAGCTTTACCCAGCCTGAGATCCCAGTTACCCAACTTCTCCCAACCTGAGCTCCAAGTTAGTTGGGACAGAAACAGTCCTTCAGGCAGCTCCAGACCCTTTAGAACATTGTAAATACCGTCTGCTCTTCTCCCTCCAGTTCGGTTCAAGGGAGAGAAGTGACAATTGGGCCTACATGCCACCGTCTTCAGACCAAGACTAAGATAACCCAGAAATGGAGAGAAAGTGGGGGAAGAGGAAGCAAAAATGCCACAAAAGTTGAGTTTTCCTCGTTTGTTCATTTACTTGAAGCTGTAAACTTTTGACTGTTTTCCACTGCTTCTATATAGTTATTTTATTCATTTGCAAGCTTTTAAAAAATATTTCTGTGGGGAACCAAAACTTGAGTTTCCTGTTTTGCCATCTTGCTAATTTTACAGGATGATGTTACTTTTTAAGGATGTTTCTGTTTGTGTTCAGGAGATGTATGTAGATAAGAGAGATAAGGTCTCCAGTTTTTGATATTTTAAGAATTTTTTTCTTTTAATTGTTTACTAAATTTGGATAATGAGATAATGCTGGGCTCATAGAATGAGTTAGAAAGTACTTCTAATGCTTCTATTTTGGGGAAGAGAATATAGAGAATTGGTATTACTTCTTTCTTAAATGCTTGGTTGAATTTATTAGTAAGTAACTTGTAATTAAGGATGTTCTTTTTGGAAGGTTACTAATTAGTTATTACATTCCTTTATAGAAGAATACTACGCAGATTATCTATTTCTTTTTGTATAAGCTTTGGTGTTTTTTTGCCTTTCCAGCAATTTTAAAATTTCATCAGCTTTGTCAAACTGTGGACACAAAGTTATTTTTAATAGTCAATTGTGATTATATTTATGGTATCAACCGTAATGACCCCTTTTTCCATTTCTCATCTTGGTAATTTGTGTTTTTGTTCTTGTTTTTTTTTTCCTTTTGCCATGTTAGAGTTTGATCAATCTTTTAGATGTTTTTAATGAACAGTTTTTGGTTTAGTTTATTTTCTATATCATTTTCGTTTTTAAATTTGTTGATTGTATTAGTCTGTTATTATACTGCTACAGAAAAATAACTGAGGCTGGGTAATTTATGAAGAAATGAGGTTTAATTGACTCACAGTTCCACATGCTGTACAGGATGTATGGTTGCTGAGGCCTCAGGAGACTTACAATCGTGGCAGAAGGTCACGTGGCATATCTTCACATGGTGGCAGGAGAGTTAGAGAAGGGGGAAGTGCTACACACTTTTAAAAATCAAATCTCATAAGAACTCACTCACTATCATGAGAACACCAGGAGGGAAATGCACCCCCATGATCCCATCACCTCCCACCAGGTCCGTTTGCCAACATTGGGGATTATAATGTGACATGAGATTTGGGTGGAGACAT
Organism: Homo sapiens; assembly: GCF_000001405.40. NCBI lineage: Eukaryota > Metazoa > Chordata > Mammalia > Primates > Hominidae > Homo > Homo sapiens. The sequence goes on from NC_000021.9 coordinate 23,460,682, forward strand.
AGAGCAAAACCATATCATTGATGTGTCTTCTACTTTTTCTTATTTCTTTGTCTTGACTTGTTTAGGCTTAAATTGCTCTTCTTTATATGCTTTCTATGGTGGTGGCTTGGTTTATTGATTTTAGTACTTTTTTTCTAATATTGCATTTACTGTTCTATACTCTAAGCACTGCTTGTGTTATATATTACACATTTTGATAATTATATTTTCATTTTGAGTTAGTTTAATACTTTTTTTCCCTCAAGACTTTCCATCTGACCTATGCATTACTTAGGTATGTGTTATTTAATATCTTAGTGCTCGTATATTTTTTGGGTATGTTCTTCTTATTGACTACTAATTCAATTAAATTATTTTCAGAGAGCATATTTTAAATATAATTTCCATTATTTTATATTTGTTAGGGTTTGCTTTATGAATTAAGATAGTCTGTATTGATGAATATCCATGCACACTTGAAAATATTTGTTCCTACTGTTGGTAGGTGGAATAAATGTCCATCACATAATTTTGCTTCTGGTATTCAGTTCTTCCACAATCTTGCTAATTTTTTCCAGTGAACTGACAGAGAGGTTTTGAAGCTTCAAAACATAACAGTAAGTTTGTGTACTTCTTTCAGTTCAATCAGCTTTTTCTTCATGTGTTTTACAGCCATTGTTTGGTGCATGCACATGTAATTTTTTTATACCTTCTTGATGAGTTGATATTTTTATTTTTATATGATGTTCCTCTTTGCCTCTGGTAATTTTGTTTGGGTTTTTAATCTACATTGCCAGATATTAAAATAGCCACTCCAGATGTCTTTTGATTAGTTTTTTATGACAATGTTTTTCATCTTTTTACCCTTAACCAACATACATAATTATATTTTATGTGAGTTCTGGTATACATAATATTTCTCCATCTTTTATTTAAGGAGTTTAGACTATATTTAATGTAATAATTAATTTATATTAACTTATGCTAACATAGTGTATCATTATCGATAAGTATTTGTTCCTTCTGTTTTTGCTTCCTCCTTTTTGTCTTCCTATGGATTATATAAACATTTTTGATATTCTAATTTTGTTAATCTATAGTTTATTATATTGAAAATGACTCTGTATATTTTTCATTGATAGCTCCAGGAAAAGCAATACACTTATAGAATACATTAGAATCTACTATTATCAACATTTTATCTCTTTGAGAGACATACAAATTCACCTCCAACCACAATTGTTAGATAGCTGTCTTAAAACTGTCAGAAAATACTGTTCCATTAAATTTACACATTTCTGCAATTTGGCTTTTTGGCCAAAATAAACTGAGATGCTAAAGAAAGTTTCTGTTCTTTCACTCTGCTCAGGATGGTGTCACCTGTATCATTTCTACATAAATCTCAGACTTATAATTTCAGAGTTCTTATGTCATAAAATAAATCCCCTTTGTACATGAAGTGTAACTCTCCAGCTCTCACCACATTGCCCCCAAGGAGAGAATAACTGTGTGTGATAAACTGATGTGATCATTTCTAAAATAATCCTTCTGATCTTTTCTCTAGAAATCTCATAATTGAATTCAATATAATATCAAAATTATCAATATTAAAAATATTATTAAATGTTAACTCTAACAGATATTGGCAACCATCTCAATGTTAAAATTTTTGCTTTTGACAGTCAAACACAATCTTAAAATCTAAATAGGAGAATAATAATGTATTATATTTACCCATATGGTTACTCTTTCTGTTCTCCATTTATAATCCTCCAATATATATTTTAATATATTTTCCTTTAATATGTATATTTTTTCTTCCCTTAATATATATTTTTTATTTCCCTAGAACTCCCTTTAGCCAAGTTTCAGCATATGGGATTGTGGCAAATCTTTTTAGCTTTCAATCACAGGAGACTATCTTTAATCATAATTCCTGAATATTATTCTTTTTGGATATAGTATTTCATGTTGATAACACTTTATTTCAGTACTGAAAAATGTTATGTCAGTTCATTCTTGCTTCCATGGTTTCTAATGAGAAACGTGTTGTTTTTCAAGTTGTTTTTCTCCTATAAGTAGTTTTCTTTCACTAAGCCTGCATCAAGATGATTCTCTTGTTTTTAGAAAGAAGTTTGCCAGCAAAATATCTCTGCATGATTTTCTTTGTGTTTATCTTGTTTAGAATTGCTCAAGTTCTTACATCCATGTTTGTGTCTTTGCCAAAGTGGAGAAATATTTAGCTTATTATCTTCAAACATTTTTCTTCAGTCACCCATTTGTTCTCTTCTTTTTCTAGAACTCTAATAAAACATATGTTTGATGTTCTACTAATGTCTAACTCATAAAGCTTAGCTGCACAGTTTTAGTTTTGTCTGTTTTCCCTCTGTTGGTTAGATTAGATATTTTTTATTGATCTATGTTTGATTCACTGAGTCTTTCCTCTTTTATTTCCAGTTTGTTGCTGAGCCTCTCCAGTAAGTTTTACAAATTTATTATTATTATTTCTAGTTCTCAAATTATTCTTTGGTTTCTCTTTATATCTTTTTTGTACCTCAGATACTTCTGCTGAGATTTTCTTTTTTTTACCTGTTTCAAGAGTGTTTAAAAATGCTTTCTAGAACATGGTTATGCCAGCTGCTTCAGAATCCTTTTTCTCTGTCTTTCTATGTCTTTCATCTCTGTTCTTATTCAAATTACTATTATTTAATTTTTGTAGGAAAAAAATTTTTTTGCATATCTCTTGGATGTTTTGAGTATTAGGTTTTAAGTCTCAATTTCTTATTTAAATCCTCTCTTTCAGTATTGTCAACCTGTTAAGGAAGTTGTTCTTTACATTTCAGTTAAGTTTATAAAACCTTGTGAGTCACTCAGATGACAAAGTTCCACCCTATAGTCTCTTCAGCCCTGGCTTGAAGTTGGCAGGAGCAGCCACCTTGTTATTACATGGTAAGGAAGAGCAGGACAGGGTTTTCCTCACTGACTTAGTTTGAGTGTGGTGCCTTTGTCATTATTGTAGGAGGTTTTTAGTCAGCGATTTTTGAATCTGTAAGATGATAGAAAAAACTCTATTATTTATTTCACTATATATATATTTTTTTCCACACATCCTTTTTTCTCTCCAATGCAAACTCCAGTTACATGTATAGTAGTGCTCTTGATATTTCCCTTTGGTCATTGAAACTCCGTTTACTTGTATCTATTTTTATCTTTTTTTCTGAGATTGGATAATTTCAATGAAAGCTTAAATAATAATTTCTTCCCAACTATCTAATGTTCCTAGAATGTGCTGAAATTTCTGTAAATAGATTTATGTTGATATCTAATATCTAGTTGAATTTTAAACAATTCAACTCATTCAAATGAATTCCTATAAAAGACTTTTTACTATAGGTGATTAATTGCATTCTCAAATTTTCTTGACTTTTATTTTAGCACTGCAGAAACAGAAAAGTGGCATGCCTGATCTCTGCCATGCGCCTAAGGTTAAACAATATAATTATACTTTAAAAAAATTACTTGAGGTCTTGGATAATGTGCTATTTTATCTAGGCAGAATAGCAAGAGGAGTGTGAGATCTTGTGTGTAGTGATGCTGCACTGTTGTAAAGAATCATCTGTTGACTATGCAAGACAAATATAATAATTTTAAACTTCATATATGCAACAGAATTAATTATATATAATTAAAAAACAATTTTTTAAATGTTAAGTAGTTGAATCTATATGCAAACATAAGAGAATATTTACCTTACTCTGAGTTATAAAAATATTTTGAAATTTTGGGAAGCCTGTTGAATAATCACCAATGACAAACAGATTGAGAAGTAAAAAACATTAACAAAGAGGTGGGTTCTGTTTTCCAGGTGAAACTTTTAGCTCCATGACAGACCAGCCTGTAGTTATCTGTGTGCACAGTTTACAGCTACAAAAACCTACTTTGGTATTCATTACAGAAAAGTGCTGAGTTAATTGTAAGTGTTATTCCTTCAGCAAAATATTCACTGAGCTAAAACTCTTTGTGACATTTTACAATGCATACAGCCTCATGCAAGTTTAGACAAGTGGATTTATACTGTCTTATGAGTGCCCACTCCTGATATATTACCTCATTATGCAAAAATAACATATCTTTCATGACTATTTTGACAAAAGCTTAAAACACATATGAAGTTCAACTTTCAGGAACCAAGGACTGCCAGAAAATATTAGCCTCTACATTATGCATGCATTTAGAAGCTTACCTGAAATCTACCTTTTATAAAGGAATAGTATGGGTAAGTGGAACTGTACATTTTTTAAACTTGATTGCCATTAAAGCAGAAATTTTAAGGCTGCAACAACAACAAAAAAAAATTACTGCATGCTTACTGAGTACAATATTTATATTTTTAGCCACGAAGAAATTTTTAAAACAGAGCCAGGGTCAAAATCACTTCATCAGCTTGGGGCAGAATTAAGAAAAGACTTTGACTGTTATAATTCACATTTCTAAGTGTCCCATGAGTTTTATTAGTAAGATTTAGCAGGTGCGAAGCAGCTACCTTGGCCCTGTGCTCTCTGAAATCACCTTACCATAGTCTGAAACCATTCTACCATAGCTGTTCAAGAGAGAAGACTTTTAGAAATAGGAGCAATATTATAGGTCAAGTTGCAGAAAATATTAACGTATTAGCTGATCTAGTGCCCAGTACCATTATGACAGCTATGCCTGCATAATATTAGCTACATATCCTAAGTAATTAAATTTCACATGGAATATATCAATGTTGTAAAAACTCAATGTTGTAAAGTATTTAATGTGTAGTAGAGAGGTGAAATATATGACAAATATATGAGATAAATTTACCTTCAAACATCTTTGGTAAACAAAAAAAAAGTCTTTTAACTTTTTCTTATTGTTGCTTCTCTTGTTTTTGCTATTGGTGTATTTTTTTCCTCCAATTTCTGAGGTATAAAAGCCAATAAATACTCTGTAAAGCAACAAATTCTGTTATAGTTCCTACAGAACCGATGCTCACGTGTCTTCACAGTGAACTTCTCTTAGTCCTATGTATGTGTTTGAGTGGTTTGTGTGTATATGCATATGTGTATATACATCATAAACATAAATACATATATATGTTTTGATCTTGCTATTTGCTCCACTCTTTGTAGTTTTCAAACATTAATAATTATCTAATCTGATACTCATAGTGATGGAGGACTCAGTGGATCTTCCAAAACTGTGATTGAGCCCACTCAAGTAGAAAAATTGATATACAGTCATAATGTCCAGAGGGATGCTGGCTTTTATAGAAGTCCTTTTAAAATCACTAAAAGACCAGGTGCAGTGGCTCATGCCTGTAATCCCAGTAATTTGGGAGGTGGAGGAAGGCAGATCACCTGAGGTCAGGAGTTCGAGACCAGCCTGGCCAACATAGTGAAACCCTGTTTCTATTAAAAATACAAAAATTAGCCTGGCGCTGGCGTAGTGGTGTGTGCCTGTAGTTCCAGGCTACTTGGGAGGCAGAAGGTGAGAAGAATCGTTTGAACCTGAGAGGCAGAGGTTGCAGTGAGCCGAGATCACACCATTGCACTCCAGCCTGTGTGACAGAGTGAGACTCCATCTAAAAAAAATAAAATAAAATAAAAATAAAATCACTAAAAGAGTATGGTCATTATTTGAGTGAACATGCACCCAAAATGCTTTTCCTTGGAGACAGCAAAACTTCATTTCTAGTCATGCTGTCCAGGGAGACTTATCTTATTGATGTCCTTTATATAATACCAATGACAGATACTTTCCATTTGAGTGGATATGCCCTGTGCTATGGTTTCCATGTCCTCTCCAAAACACATGTTAACATTTAATTTCATATGTGGCAGTAAGGAGAGGTGAGTCCTCTAAGAAGTGGTTGAATCATGAAGGCTCTGTCCTTATGAATGGATTAAGCTATACATGGATTAATAAATCAATGGGTTTTCATGAGAAGAAAACTAGTGCCTTTATAAGAAGAGGAAAATAGACCTAAGCTGGCATATTAATGTGCTCACCTCATCATTGTGTGCTACCCTGTACTGTCTCTAGATTCTGAAAACAGGCCCCACCAGCAAGAAGACACCGGACACAACCCCTTCACCTTGGCCTTCTCAACCTTTGAAACCTGTAAGAAATAATTGTTTGCCTTTATAAATTACCTAGTTTCAGGTGTTCTATTCTAAGCAGCAGAAAATGGGGCTAATACACTCCTAAAATGTATTTTTAATAGAATGCAAATTTGTTTTCTTTGTCTATAAAAGACAGTTATTTTAGCGGGTTTCTGCCAAATTGCATTTCTAAAGAGGATAATTTCTTGCAATAAAAGGAGCTGTTTCTTCTTCATACTTAGAATTCCACTGAATTAATAGGAACTTTGAAGATTTGTGGGTCTTGCATTTGTTTTCTGTACTAAATACTCACTTGTGATGCTTGTTGTTTCAGAAATCCTTTCTCCCTGCGGCTGAAGAAAAAAGTGTGCAGCTGCCTGATAACCTAATAATAAAGGATATCAGAGTCCTCTCTCCCCAATGAACAAACAAAAACATATTTACACATTCCAAAATCAATACAAAAGAAGTAATTTTGCTAAAGTCTAACAAAATACATTTCATTATAACTATATATACACCTAAAATACACATTTGACCTAAACTTTGCTACTCTGAGGTCTAGCCATGGGTATGCAAGTCTAGAATTTAGATTGTTTTTGTTCGTTTGGGCCTTATTTATATAAATGAATACGTTCATCCTGGAAACAACCTATTTCGATAGAAAACAGATGGATACTGACATTTTGACAAAGGTTAATGTAATGGCATTGCAGAAGAGGTTTATGTTTTTGTTTTTAAAATATAATGTCTATTCTTTTTGCCTTTTAGTTTTTGTCCTAAGTGGATTCATGCCTCAGTCATAGTAAAAATTTAAGTTAAAAAGTTTAAAACTTTTTTTAGCATGAAAAAAAACAACTTAAAACAATGTTTCAACAAAAATTGCAAGTTTCAGGGTACAATTGACAAGCACTCTTGTAAGGGGACTTTGGTGGAATGGGGGACACTCACCATGTCAGTATTTTTCGGGCTTCTGAAGAAAGTGCCTCAGCACAGACATTATCCTAGTAGTCCAGTTATCTGGGATGCTGGCATAGAAAGTGGCTCTGGCAGCATCACAGCAGAGGCAATGCCTTTGGCAAGAATCAGCATTTTAGATGTTACTTCAGCACAAATAAAAAACTAGAAGCGACAATACAATCCAGAGTTGCCATATACAGGCCAAGAAAACTTATGACTCTGATGGCATGCATGTAGAGCATAGAACTAAGCTATGAGCAAACAAAGGTATAAGAATGATACAATGGACTTTGGGGACTTGTGGGGAAGGGCGGTAGGGAGGCGAAGGATAAAAGACTACCAATATGGTGCAGTGTATACTCCTTGGGTGATGGGTGCAACAAAACCTCACAAATCACCACTAAAGAAATTACTTGTGTAACCAAATACCACCTGTACCCCAATAACTTGTGGAAAAATTTTTAAAAAGTAAGAAAATAAAAATAAAAAAAGAAATTAGCTGGGCGTGGTGGTGCACACCTGTGGTACCAGCTACTCGGGAGGCTGAGGCAGGGGAATTGCTTGAACCTGGGAGGCAGAGATTGCAGTAAGCCAATATCTCACCACTGCACTCAAGCCTGGTGACAGAGCGAGACTCCATCTCAATAAATAAATAAAGTAAACAAAAATAAAAACAGCTTCTGGAATGTCTTCAAATTATTTCAAATGGTTGTAATTGGAGCTGAAGTGACACTAAAGCCTATTTGAGTCAAACCAGCAGAATCTGTTTTTGTGCCTGATGTTCAGAGCTGTTTTAGCTATATTATAGACTGATGGCTTTCATTTTTCACTTCAAATTTCCCTGTATAGTCCACTATATTTTCTCAAGAGCTTAATAAGGACAAAAGCTAAAATGGAAGCTTATTGCTGTCAATGATTACCTGCCTGTTAATGTGTGTGTAGGTATATATAATGCTAACAGTGCGATTTTTTCTTAACTACTATTTAAAGATGTGTCAATGGTAATTCATTTCACAGAGAGTAACACGAGCCTAAAAATAGAATAGGAAGTACCAAATTATTCTTAAAGGAAAAACTTTCGTTTGCTGTTTTGAGGTGGACTGGACAAACAAGCATTTATTGTTAAATTATTTACACTTAATTGTAATGCATTATACATTTCAAAATTATAGGCAAATCACCAAGATATATTTCTAGATATACGTGTTAAATGAGTTTGCTCGAAAGGAGACATCATTTATAGTAAGTTTTATTATTATTATAGACAAGAACAAATGCAAGTGGAGCCTATCAAAATAAGCTACATTAAGCCCAGGTGCGGTGACTCATGCCTGTAATTCCAGCACTTTGGGAGGCCAAGGCGGGTGGATCACCTGAGGTCAGGAGTTCGAGACCAGCCTGGCCAACATGGTGAAACCCTCTCTCCACTAAAAATACAAAAAACTTAGCCAGGCATGGTAATCCCAGCTACTCGGGAGGCTGAGGCAGGAGAATTGCTTGAACTCAGGAGGTGGAGGTTGCAGCGAGCCAAGATCGTGCCATTGCACTCCAGCCTGGGTGACAGAATGGGACTCAGTATCAAAAAAAAAAAAAAAGAAAAGCTACATTAAAAGTGAGCAGTCAATAAAACTCTGAAAAAAAATACAAGCTGATGTCATAAATTCATAAATAAATATATATTTTTGAGTTTGAGCTAATATTTGAAAAGACTGCAGTATATTACTCATAACTGCTTATACTGTGTAACTGTGTGAAAATAATATAAAGGCAAGGATGTTTGACATGAGGACATTTTTATTCGAGTGATTTCTCTAGAGATTGATATTTCACAAGTATAGAACTAATATATATTTATTTGTGATACAATTTACATTTTATATAGCAGTAATAATAAATTAAAATCTTAGCTAATACCATTTCAGCAAGGCAAGAACAATATCCATGAATCTTTTACTATTTCATAATTAAATGCCAGATCAAGAAAATCAGTGAAAAATGAGCCTTAACCCTGATGGCTCATGCCTGTAATCCCAGCACTTTGGGAGGCCGAGGCAGGCAGATCACGAGGTCAAGAGATCGAGACCATCCTGGTCAGCATGGTGGTCTAAAAATTAGCTGGGTGTGGTGGCGGACGCCTGTAGTCCCAGCTACTCAGGAGGCTGAGGCAGAAGAATCGCTTGAACCTGGGAGGCTGAGGTTGCAGTGAGCCGAGATCAAGTCATTGCACTCCAGTCTGGCAACAAAACGAGACTCATCTCAAAAAAAAAAAAAAAATTGCTCAAATAAGAATATTTTTCGTCAATCTATTTAATTTGTCTAAACTCATACCTTATATCTCTATGGTATTCCCAAACAACATAAGCAAATTTCAGTTTTTCATTATAATACTTTCACATGTATAATGATAAGGTAATGTCTAAATTTGAGAAAAAAGAAAATAAATTACAATATCACAATACTATAAAGAATAGTGTTATCTATGGATATGTTTTATATGTTTTCATGTATGTGGAGAGGTTAGTAGATATGTATAGGAGTTTACATTTTATTGTTAATATAATCCCCTGTCTCTATAAGGCTACCTCTACCCACACCCACACCTCTAGTCTCCTTATTTCAGAGCTAGCTCATGATACAGGCCTGAGGATGGTTGTCTGATAATTTTGCATGTCCATCTTTTAAGTAGCAGGTAGCCTGGCCCTTAAACTCTCTCCAGTTTTATAGGCAGAAGCACCTGGATGCCTCAATCCTATCAGTAGGCATGGTTTTTGAGTCTAAATTATTTAATATTAAAGATTTATACTAAAGTGCAGGTCCAGGGAAGATACCAGCAGAGATGGCTTCAGATAAAATCATTTCAATTACTTATTTGGTCTTCTTATATTTACACAGAAGCCCGGCAGAACAGCTGCTTCTAAACCAGTTTCAATTACCTCTTGATCTCTCATGCTAATTCACACCTGGTTGTTAAGTGTAGTTAGCCTCTTCTATTAAAATGTAAAATTTCACATTTTGTTTAGCACGATTTGAGGATTAACAGTTGGCATTTGCAACTGCGAAATCACAGTATTGACTTAATCAGAAGTTTACATGGCAAGTACATTTTAAAAAATGTTTTTGTCAGCATTCTTGATTAAAACAATCAGGATTTTCAAGCACTGACAGCAAGACGGTAGATACTGCATAGTGGTGAGGAGTTCTGATAAGAAAGAAATAAACTAGGTGACAAATATGAAGGAGAATGGCAGAGATAAAAATGAAACTGATAAACATAGATTGAATAGAAAGAAGTAAAAAATAATTATAGCAGAAATTCCTCTCCTTTTTAAAAAATCATGGTTTTCAGCAGAAAGGAAAGGCAGAGAAATTAAGATCACTGGAAAAGGTCGATAACCCAATTAGGAACTGCCTGTCTTTAAGGAGTTGTCTCATGCTTGGTCAGAGGAATTGGACTCCCACAGCAGACCAAAAATATGATGCTTCTTTAAATTAACTTCTATTAAAATTTTGGATCAGTTCAAGCATTTATTTAGTGAAGAAAACAAGAATTTATGTATTTTTTCCCATAAAACACAGATAGCATTACACATAACAAATGATTAGTTACATTTATATAATATATATATATATTTGAGACAGAGTCTCGCTCTCTTGCCCAGGTTGGAGTGCAATAGCATGATCTCGGCTCACTGCAACCTCTGCCTCCTGGGTTCAAGCTATTGTCCTGCCTCAGCCTCCTGTGTAGCTGAGACTACAGGCGCATGCCACTATGCCCAGCTAATTATTTTTTTTTTATTTTTAGTAGAGTGGGGTTTTCACCATGTTGGCCAGGCTGGTATCGATCTCCTGACCTTGTGATCAACCTGCCTCAGCCTCCTGAAGTGCTGGGATTACAGGCGTGAGCCGCCGTGCCTGGCCAGTTAAATATGTGAAAATGTAACTTGAACCAACAGTCCCAGAAAAGGCATATGAAAAACTTTAACAAATAATAACATAAATTACCTATGTGAACAATAGTGGATTTTTGTTTTTTACTTAGAAACTCTATAATCCTAAACTCTTGTAAAAAATGGCTGAGTTGTTATACCTATTCGATGAGGAAAAATGTCTACAATTTTATGGGTTACATGTTAAATAGAAATAAATGTTAGTTATTATTAAACTTAATTGTCAAATTTCTTCAAACATGTATATGCTGGTGCAGCCTTTATATCACAAAAATACTCAAAAAATAAATAACTCAGATGAGTTTCCACCTGGAGGTCAGTGCCTTTTGCAGAAGTGAATCTATTCATTTCACAGTAGTTATTTAAGGAGTAAATATGAAAATCTAAGTCTGACTAATAATTAACTCAGCACAGTGAAAACTGAGTGATGTAAAGGACAGAAGTATCAGCAACATTAGATGAATCAGAAGTCAGTTTACCCTTAGTTTTATGTGTATCACTAAAAACAAATTTATTTAAGTCAGATTTAGTTGGGTTTGTAATCACCTGTAACTGAGAGATTCTCTAATATCTATTTTCCTGAAAAAGGCAAGAGGTGCTCCATAGAGGTATGTAATTGTATAACTATGTTTCAACTATCAAAAGACCTCATGAAGCAGAAGAAAATAGTCTTACATCACGATAAGTGATCAAATGACTTAAGAGACATAAACAAAAATAACATAAGACAACCTTGATTTTAAAGGGCTGTACCTCTGAACTAAATGGAGGATATATAGTGCGCCTCTGTATTGTTTCTTACAGCTGAATGAGAATGTACAATTTTCTCAAATATAAAGCTTAGTGTTAAGAACACTTCAAGTCCCTTAAGCATCATGTAGGTATTTGCCAAAAATAACTTCTACAAATAACTTTACTCTAAACATACAGACACCAAGTATAATGGTGTCACTCTAATTCTGATACACAAGCAAGCTCCTTGAAAGTAAATTACATACAATTTGTTTTTGATCTATACCAGACTTACATTTCCCCTTTCTTTTGGAAATCATAGTGTGAAGGACATACTACCTATCACAAGAGATAGAAGTATAATCTCAGAATGAAAGACACTGACTAAATGAGTATAATGTGATAGAAGTAATGTTTGGCTGCTTTATACATTTTTTAAAATCTCTAGTCCAAAGTTACCTTTTTGTATGGAAAAATGACTGGAAGATTGTTTATATAAAACTTTAATTTAGAAATTAGGTTTCTATATTAATCTCAAGGAAAAAGATAGTGTGAGAAAAAATTATAATGAGGAATCTAAACTATCATACTTCCCACGTGGGACAGCAATGTAACTATGTTTTATTTTCATATTTATCAAAGAAAACACTCTCTGCGTCATTCTGAAAATGGTGATGCTAACTAAGTACCTGCTCATTATCTTCTCAGCTGAAATTCTTGCCAAATGGGTGCTTCTTTGATAGAACTATAACAAGCTCAATTCAATTTATTTTTATATTGAAGGTTTACACGAATTATCATAAAATATGTTTTACAGAGAATTAAGACAATGAGAAATACCTCATTGTACTGACTGCAGTATCTGACATGTACTAACAAAAGCTAGAGTTTGCAGATAAATTGGCATGTAATAAAAGAATATTGACATTTAAGATAGCTTTTTATTAAAATAATTCTTACATTTTCTGTTTGAAGAGGGCAGATTTTAAAAGGAAGTATATTTTTAATAATAATGTAAAGGAAGGAAGAATAAAGTGTAAGGACACAATATAACAAAGAACAGTTCAGTGAGAAAGAACAGTTTGCTCAAAAACCTGGGCATATTTATTTTAAATTGTGGCATAGTTCACATATAATAATCACAATTTCCAATTGTACACTTTAATGTACTTTGATGAATAGGTACAGCTCCAGAGCTTCTTCTACAAACAAGATTCAGAATACACCTATTACCCCATAGACTTCCCACAGAGCCCTTTTCAGTCAGCTCACCCTGAACTCACCTCCAACTCTGGCTGTTGGCTCCTGGAAAAAACTGATCTCTGTTAAGTTCATATAGTTTTGTCTTTTCACGAATGTCCTATAAGTTGAATGATACAATGTGAAGCCATTTATTTCTTCTTGCATGGGTCAAGATATTTTTGAGATTTATGCACGTATAAATAATCTGTTATTTATCTTGCTAAGTAGTATTTATTGTATGATGTAATATTCCACAGTTTGTCCAACTGCCTGGATGAAAAAGTTTTGGTTGTTTCTTATTTTTACCTATGCATAAGTTACCATTAACATTCAAATATAAATATCAACACTAACATATGACTTTCTGAGATAAATACCTTGGAGTGGACGGGTCTATCTAGGTCATGTGGGAAGTGTGTGTTAAGGAAATGGTCCTTCTAGTTTTCATAGTAGTTGCACATTTTTACACTTCTATGAGCAGTAAGAATTTCAGTTTTTATTTTTCATACAACCACTAATAATTAATAAACCAGTCTTCTTTTCATTTTTAAAAAAAAATTTCAATAGTTTTTTTGGGGAACAGATGGTTTTGATTACATGAATAATTTATTTAGTTGTAATTTCTGAGATTTTGGTGCACCCGTCACATAAACAGTGTACGCTGTATCCAGTGTGTAGTCTTTTATACCTCACCCCCCTTCCACACTTTCCCAAGTCCCCAAAGTCCACTGCATGATTCTTATGCCTTTGCGTCCTCATAGTTTAGCTCCCACTTATAAATGACAATATGTGATATTTGGTTTTTCATTCCTGAGTTATTTCACGTAGAACAATGGTCTCCAACTCCATCTAGGTTTCTGTGAATGCCATTATTTCATTCCTTTTTATGTATGAGTACTATTCCATGATGTATATATACCACATTTTCTTTATCCACTCATTGGTTGACCGGCATTTAGGCTGGTTTCATAGTTTTTCAATTGAGAATTGTGCTACTGTTGTAGTCAATATATGTCCAATGTAAACTTGTTTTAATTACCATTTGCCTAATGACAAATGATATTGAATATCATTTCACAGGCTTATTTGATATCCATAACCTTCTCTGGTGAAGTGGCATTCAAATATTGCATATTTTTAAATTGCGTTATTTATTGTCTTTTTGCTAAATTTTGAGGTGTTTGTTGTTTTATTTAAAATCTGAATATATGCCCTGTTAAATTAAATTAAATTCGGCCTAAAGCTGCCTCCATATGTGGCAAATTGCAACCTAACTTAGTATGTAAAACAAACTGCAAGCTAACTTAAAACTATATTCTTCTGGCCAGGTGCGGTGGCTTACGCCTGTAATCCCAGCACTTTGGGAGGCCGAGGCGGGTGGATCACGAGGTCAGGAGTTCCAGACCAGCCTGACCAACATGGTGAAACCCCGTCTCCACTAAAAACAAAAAATGGTGAAACCCTGTCTCTACTAAAAACAAAAATTAGCTGGGCGTGATGCTGTGTGCCTGTAATCCCAGCTACGGAGGAGGCTAAGTCAGGAGAATCACTTGAACCCGGGAGGTGGAGTTTGCAGTGAGCAGAGACTGTGCCACTGCACTCCAGCCTGGGCGACAGAGCAAGACTCCATCTCTCTCTCTCTCAGTCTCTCTCTCTCTATATATATATGTATGGAGAGAATATATATATATATATATATATATATATATATTCTTCTAACAGATAGCTGAGTCTCCGCAAATCTTAGCAGCTGAGCTTCAGCCAATCACAGGCTGCCAACTGATACAACATGGTTCATTTAAGGAAAAAAAACTTCTTCAACACATCATACCCAAATATAGCAAATGAGCAAGTTTAGCCAATCAAGATTTTTTGTAAGTGAATTTCTTTTTCTCTCTAGAAATACTGGCTGCCTGCATTGCTGAGTGGAGCTCTCTGAAGCTCTCCTGACGCTGAGTACTGCCTGATGTTTGCTCAGATAAACTCCGCTAAATTTAATTTTTCTGCGGTCTTTCTTTTATCAATCCATTATCAAATACATGGTTTGCAAGGATCTTTCCCAGTTTGTGGCTTATCTTTTCATTGGCAGCCAAACTTGAGTTCATCTTTGACTACAATTTGTCACTCACACTCTATATATAATTTGTGGGATCTAAAATATGATCATTTCTCAAGTACTTGTAAACATCTTGATTCAAAATGACATTATCTTTTACCTATTTTACATTCTATCTGAATGCAATACTTCCATTATTGCCCTTTATAGTAAATTCTCTACATAGCAACCAGAGTGATCCATTTGAACATAAGTCAAATTATGTCATCCCTTTGCTGGAAACCATCCAATGACTTCCTATTGCAATCCTAGTGAAAACGAAAGCTTACACGCTCTGCATAATAGAAATTCCAGTTACATCCCTGATCTGACTAACCATTATTCCCTTTGCTTATCTATTCCAGGCATGTTCTCTTTTTTTGCTATTTCACATATGCTCCTGCCATAGGGTGTTTACACTGGCTATTCCCTCTGCCAAAATATCTTTCCCTCAGATATGTTCATAGCAAACTCTTTTCTCTCCTTTGTATCTATACTTAAGTCATTTCTCAGTGTGGCTTACCTGACCGCACTATTTGATATTGCAACCTGCAATCCCTCTGCACTTGACATTTCCAAATTCATTTACTTGGCTTTATTCTTCTACAGTACATATAACCTCCTAACCATAATATAATCTACTAATGTAACTTTTCTGTTCACAGCCCACATGCCCTGATAAAATGCAGGCTTAAAATCAGAAAACATTTTTCATCTATTCCATATACTCATATACCTCAAGAAACAATTACAATACCCCATTGAATGCATTTGAGTATTTGTTGTATATTAGTGAGTGAATAAGAAGATTCCTATACAATTTTATGTTTTTTAATGGTTTTGAACATCCAGCTAACACAAAGCCTGTAGTCAATTAAAAATGATGGTTCAAAGGTTTCTTTAATGAGGTATCTGTAGCACTGAGGTTTAAATGCAATTAATTCCAGTAGTATATAACCTTTTATTTTGTTTATGGTGGCTATGGGGAATTGTTGCTAAAAGAGATACAATTATTTTTTAATCCTGTGAAGAAAAGTGTGACATCTTTATTCTATCCTACTTAATCACACAATATAAAATCATTTACTCTAGTAATTATCTATTATATCTATCTACGTATGCATAGAGAGCAATTCAAAATCTTATAGTATTGTCTCAAATATTGACAATAATATATTAAATATATTATTTATTCTGAAATATTTATGTTTTGCTACAATAAAATTATATATCAAGAAAATTTATCTATACATGAAATGTTACTGCTACATATCATAATTATTGATCAGAATTACTAACTAAAATTCTCCTCATTTTGACATATATAATTTAAACTTAAACACTTGAACTCATTAAAATAAAATTGAGTAGATCAATAGAAACCTGCTGTTAATTTAACCAATTTGCAGTATTTAGCATCCTCAATATCTTTATAGATATGTCCTTTAAATTTTAAAATCAAGACAATCTTCCTTCAATTATGAAAGATAAACCTAGAGTCATCGTCTATGCAAACAAAATCACTATGAGTTACATTTGTATGTTTTCTCATAAGATGGCTTATCTTTGAAAGGGGTTACCAATCTTTCTTTATTTCTTATGCATTTGATTAAGCATATGGAGGTTAATTGACTTCATTATTTATTAATAATTGTGATGGCTAATATTGAAAGTCAGCTTGATTGGATTGAGGAATACAAGGTATTAATCCTCGGTGTGTCTGTGTGAGTGTTGCCAAAAGAGATTAACATTTGAGTCAGTGGGGTGGGGAAGGCAGATCCACCCTTCATCTGTTGGGCACAATCTAATCAGCTTCCAGCGAATATAAAGCAGGCAGAAAAACGTGAAAAGGAGATATGGGCCTAGGCTCCCAGCCTACAACTTTCTCATGTGCTGGATCCTTCCTGCCCTGGAATATTGGACTCCAAGTTCTTCAGTTTTGGGACTCACACTGGCTCTTCTTGCTCCTCAGCTTGCAGACAGCCTATTGTGGGACCTTGTGATCGTGTAAGTTAATAGTTAACAAGCTCCCCTGCATGTGTGTGTGTGTGTGTGTGTGTATTCACACACTAATAGGATATATATTCATGTATATACTAGTATATATAACTATATGTACTTATCTATATATATACTATAATTATATATATAACTACATATGCTAGTATATATAGTTATATTTGTATTTGCAGTAGGATATATAAATAAATAAATAAATTCATATAAATATACTAGTAAATATAGTTATATATAAGTATATGTATCCTATTTTTATATATATCCTATTACAAATACAGTAATAGTGTCTCATATTAGGCACAAAAAATTAGCTTCTCTTTAAAATGCTAGTGATACAGAGTAGTTAGTCTAAAACTGTGATAAAATAGTCACAATACAACTGTGAAGGTATATTTCAAAATTTTTAAGATAAGCAATAGAAAGTTGAAATAAGCGGTATAAATTCTTAGTTGACAGAGTAAAAATAAAGAAACAAGAAAACACATCACACTCACACTTCCAATTCCATTTACCTTGCTTTATTTTTGTGGCATATATAAACAATACAATTGTAAATGTAAAATATCTCCTAACTCCAAGTTTGTAATCATATAACTCTCTCAATATTAGCTGACAGGTTAAAGAGCAATTACTCTGAAATTATGAAGTATTTATGATAATAAGGGATAATTCATCTCACACAGAGAGTTGACCTTCTACAGAGCTCTATGGAAATCAGCTATAAACAGTTGCTGAAGGTAACCCTGGCTGAAATTCCTTCAGCTATTGTGGCCATGAAAGTGGTGATTCTTTTCCAGCCATGAATGCTGATTAGGTAGAAGTAGGCTGGAAGCTAAGTTTCTACAACATCATGTTGCTTCCAAGACTTGGAGTACAACTCTTGATCACTGCAGCAGAGGCCATGTGTTTCTCCAATCACACAGTTTGTAAAGTGCTTATAGTATGGATGTCCCTGTCATTGAGGCATTTACTTTATACCTGTATTCTGTCCCCAAAATGGCATTCTTAACAGAAAAACTGTACCCCTGCTACTACTTCTGTCTCAGTGGGAAAAAAATAACACTAATATGAGAACTACATAACGAAACTTAAGAGATTCATAATTAGGAAATCATTTGAATCTTTAAAGAAACACCAGAAAACAAAAAAAAAAGTGAGCAAAATGTATAAAAAAAACAACATTAAATCATTTTGTTAAAAAGCACAAGAGTAACTTAGCTAGAGTATGTCATGGGCAAGAGACATGAGGCAAAAATTCATAAAAGAGAAAACAAAACAAATAATTTTTCATTTTTTCAAAAATAATAAAGCATAAAACATTTTGTGTAGGAATAGTGAAACAAAGTATTTTAATAAACTAAAGAGGAATATCAAAAACATCATTATTAAATAATTTATTAAATAATAAATACATTCAAATATTTTTAAATAAATGTAAATTATCTGAGGAAATTAAATAAATAAGACAAAGGAATACACTATCTGAAATGTAATATCCACTAAGGAATGTTATTTGGTAACAAAAATCTTTCTATTCAAAATAAAATAGTCTCAATGTCATAGAAAGTTTTGGCAAATAATGAAGAAATATATCTTATAAAAACTTTTTTTGATAATAGAGAGTATAAAAACAGGACAGAATAATCTGCTCATTTTATGAAGATAGTACAGTTCTGTAATATAGCCAACAATCAATATCACAGAAACACAAAACTAAATACTAAATATCCTAGTAGACTATGAAAATAATAAAACATTATCAAGTATGATGGACGGGGAAACAAAATACAATGTAGGTTTTAAAGTTTTTTTATTTAGAAAGCAAAATAAAATAGGCTGCTAACAAAATATAATAATACAAGGCTAGTGAAAGCAGACTGTTCTCTATTACTATAACATTCAGCAGTAATTTTTTTAAAAGAAAGACATGATAAGGGACCTCAACGTTTCCATCTAAAATGGTTCTTTGGTAGATGGTACTATAGGACCATCCTAAGGTAGGCAACCTGGGGAAATCTGAGTGAACAGCAAAATTAAAATGAAAATAAGATAATTTTTGGATTATGTATACATATGAGAAAGCAAACTGCTTTTGGGGGGAACTTCTTGGAAACAATACACCACCTTTTACTTCTATGAACTCCAATCAAGGCATATTAGGTCATAAATTATGTTATTTTAAAAATGTGTTTTTAGTTGGCATTACATTTCTTACTAGGGAATTACTTAGAGGTACAATCTACCGATTGATAACTCCAAGTAATCACCTTAATGTTGACTTAAAACTAAAGCATCCAGACACTCTACTGCAGAGATCACGCTCATTTCCCTTATTAACCAACAAGGAGAGACAGCCAACCCAAGAGACATGAGTAAAATAGTGTCAACAAAATACGTTTCTTTACATAAGATAAAGTACATCCAAACCCACTAATATGATTAAAGGAGGAAAACTACATGACAGTTATAATCAACGTATGACTAATTAAATAACATATATAATCATAAAATAATAATTTTAAGACATAAAAACTAAGGTTTCAATAAGTTTCTTAAATTTTAAAAGGTATTTACCAAATACACTTTACAAAAACCAAAATAATAAAGCATTGACATTTTCAAAAATTAGTGAATATGTTCTATGAAGTTCAACATTTGATTTTAATTGGATGCTCTAAGAAAAGCAGCAGATAGAAAACAAAACAAAACTACAAATAAAATGAGTTGAGCAGAAGAAATAAATCTACAGTTACGTCAATTTATTAGGTAATTTTAATTAGCTAGAAGTCCAAGAAAATCAATAAAATAGCAAACTAATAAAGATAATAGATTTCAGCCAGATTCTTGGCAAAATACCAATATTAAAAAATCAGCATTGTTTCCATATATCCGCAATAAACAATGGAACAACAAAATCACTAATATCAACAAAACTCATAATGTGCCTACTATCATACCAAGAACTGTTCATGAGTAATGTGAATATAACTTTTACAATTATGAATAGCCATAAGATAAGATCTGAGCAAATATAAAATACCATATCCAAATATTAAGAGTCAATACCACAGTGGTAAATGTTCTCAAAATTAGCTAGTAACTTTAATACAATTCTAATACATTTTATTTAAGATAATATCTAGAATTTTTCATGTAACCCAAAAATATTATTCTAATATTTGTCTGACAGAGTAAAGAATAATGAGACTCATATAATTTTAAAAGGTAATAAAAAGTAGTAAATGAAAGGGTTATTATATTCCTTGATATCAGGCTTGTTACAGAGTAACCACAGATAGAAACAGTGTACATATATAGAGAAAGATAAATAGTTCAGTAGCTGAATTAGGAACTTGGCATTTGATAGAGCTTGATTTAAAATCTGTGGGGAAAATAGGCTTGTTTAGTAAGTAATGACCCTTAGAACTAATTATTATTGAAAAATAAAGAAAATTAGTTTTTGGTGGGGTGATGCCAACAAGATGATTGACTAGAAGCTTCTTGTGCTCTTCCTTCCCATAAAACAAACAAAAAACAAATAAACAAACAAAAATGGATATAGCACATTTTGACCAAAATAACTCTGGGGGAGCTCCAGTCGATTTAAATATAAGATTATTTATGTAAGTCTTATAACTCCAAAACCAGACGAAAATAGCAGTTATACAAAGGACAAAGAAAAATTAATCAAAGCTTAGCACTACAAAAATTATTAAATCACTATGATGGACAGCAGAAGAAAAAGGAATAAGGGAGCTGCAAAACAGCTAGAAAACAAATACAAAAAGGTAGTAGTAAACACTTTCTATATATAAAAACTTTGGATGTAAATAAAATAAATTCTCCCATCAAAGGATATAAAGTGGTTAAGTGGATTGAGAAAATAAATTAAAAATATTCTAGTATATGCTGCCTACAAGAGATCCACTAAGATTTAAGGATACACATACAATGAAAGCAACAAGATAGAAGAAGATAATCCACACAAATGGTAACCATAATAGAGTAAGCGTGGTTGGTTATACTTATATCTAATAAAATGTACTTCAAGTCAAAAATTGTCCAGGAAACAAATTGTTGTTGTTCAATGATAAAGTGGTTAATTCATCAAGAGGACACACGAATTGTAAATATATATGCAATCAATATCGGAGCACCTAAATATATAAAGCAAATACTAATGACCACAAAGTGATTAATAGATAACAATACAAGTAGGAGACTCATATACCCTACTTTCAACAATGAATAAGCAACAAATAAATCAACCAGACAGAAAATTAACAAAATACTGGAATTGAATTTCACCTTTGATAAAATGAATCTAACATAGCTTCTATCCAACAGCAGCAAATATATATTTTTCTCTAGCACACATGGAACCTTCTCCAGGATAGAACATATAGTAGGCCCAGGAAAAGTCTTAATAAGTTTAATAAAGTTGAAATCATATCTAGTATTATTTTAGACCATAATAATATGAAATTAGAACTCAGTTAAAAAAGAATCTTAGAAAATTCACAAATATGTGGAAATTAAACATCATGCTTCTGAATAACCAATGGATAAAAGAGGAAAACAAAAGGATATTTTAAAAAAAGAGACAGCCAACAATAAAAATACAAGATGTCAAAACTTATGGAATGCAACAAAAGCAATTCAAAGGGGAAGATTACAGAAAAATATTCTTACATTAAAAAAAAAGAACGATCTCTAAGAAATAGCTTAATGTTTTGCCTCAACAAACTAGGAAAAAAAACCAAAGTACTTAAGCCCAGTGCAGTGGTTCACGCCTGTAATCCCAGTACTTTAGGAGGCTGAGGCATGTGGATCACTTGAGGTCAGGAGTTTGAGAGCAGTCTGGCCAACATAGAGAAACCCTGTCTCTACTAAAAATACCAAAAATTAGCCCGGCATGGTGGGTCATGCCTGTAATCCCAGCTACTCAGGAGGCTGAGGCACAAGAATCTCATGAACTCGAGAAGCAGAGGTTGCAGTGAGCCGAGATTATGCCACTGCATTCCAGCATGAGTGACAGAGCGAGACTCCATCTCAAGGGAAAAAAAAAAAAATCCATAAAACTAGCTGACCCTTAAACAACATGGAGGTTTGAAGTGCTGACACCCTGCACAGGCAAAAATCCACATAAACCTTTTGACTCCCCCAAAACTTACCTTCTACTAGTCTACTGTTGACCAGAAGCCTTACTGATAATATAAACAGTCAATTAGAATATATTTCACACTTTATGTAATTATATTCTGTATTCATACAATACACTAACCTAGAGAATGAAAATAGTATTAAGAGAATCAGAGGGAGAAAATACAGTTACTATGTATTATGTGGTAGTAAATCATCTTAACAAACTGCATCTGCACCATCTTCAGGTTGAGAAGGCTTAGGAGGAGGGGTGGTATTTGATTTTATAAGCCTTATCTCCTTTTTTTAGACTAGCTAAGAGTTTGCCAATTTTGTTTATTGTATCAAAAAAATCTTAATTTTATTTATTTTTAATAAAAGAATAAGAATCTGTTATTTTCATTATTTTCTTACTCTTGCTAATTTTACATTTACAGTTGACCCTTGAACAACACAGATTTGAGCTATGTGGGTTCACTTATATGTAAATTATCTTTCAGCTCTGCCACTCCAGCATTCAGACAAGAAAAAAAAAAGCATCCACATTGGAAGGAAAAAAATGAAATTATCTTTATTTACAGATGACATAATCCCATATTAAACCCCCCCCAAGGATTCCACAAAAAACTATGAGAGCTAATAAATGAATTCAGTAATACCGAAGGTCAAAAAAATCAACATATGAAATTTAGTAGCATTTCAATGCAAATATTTTGACCTAATTAAAAAAATTAAAAATACCATCCCATTTACAACGGCATTAAAAAACAAATAAAATGATATTAAGTAATAACTTTAACCAAGGTTGTTGAACTTGAATATATATACACTAAAAGCTACAAAACTTTGATAAAGGAAATTGAAGAGGACACAAATAAATGGAATGGCATCTCATGCTCATGAATTGGAATAATTAATATTGTTGAAATGTCCATACTACTCAAAGCAACAAACAAATTCGATGAAATCTCTACCAAGACCCCAATGGTATTATTCACAGAAATAGAAAAAAAAACAAAAAAAAGTACTAAAATTTGGATGGAACCATGAAAGATTCTAAATAGTAAAAAACATTCTGCAAAAGAAAAACAAAGTTGGAGGAAGCGCACTTTTAAATTTAAAATTATATTATAAATCTATAGTAATCTAAACAGTATACTACTGACATAAAGCAGGCACATACACCCAGGGAACAGAACAGAGAGCCCAGAAATAAATCCAAACTCATATGGTCAACTAATTTTTGACAAGGTTACAAACAAAACACATTGGGGAAAGGATAGTCTCTTCAATAAATGGCGCTGGAAAAACTGAATTTGCACATGAAAAAAACAAAATTGGACCTTTATATCATGCACAAAAATCAACTAAAAATGAATAAAAGACCAAACTTTAAGGCCAGAAACTCTAAAATTCCTAGATATGAATATTAGAGAAAGTTCTTGGCCATTGGCCTTGGCAATAATTTTTTAGTATGGTATCAAAACCTCTAGCTACAAAACAAAAATAAATAAATAGTGCCACAGAAAACTACAAAGCTTCTGCACAGCACAGGAAAAAATCATCCCAATGAAACTGTGACCTATCAAGTAGGAAACAATATTTGCAAACCATATATCTAATAATGAGTTAATATCCAAGATTTATAAGAACTCATACAACACAATAGCAGAAAAATAAATAACCCAATTAAAAATGTGCAAAAGACCTGAATAGATATCTGCCCAAACAGTATATAAAAACGATCAACAAGTACATGAAATGGTCAACTTCAGTCAACAAACGTAAGATCATTGAACGTGGATTTCAGACGAGACATGCGTAATAGACTCTCAGTATCCTTCAGGGGCAAGGTCCAGCATATCCACTCATTAATATGGACATAAATAAAATATTTATAAAATATATACCTAATTAAAATATTGATTTAGATCTATTGTATAAATATATTTATATTATTAAATCATAATATTAAATATAAAAACAAATTGCAAAACTATATGCATGTTCTGAGGTGATTTATTAAAACATCAAAAATGCAAAAATATTTTATAGTGCTCATGTGTAGTATAAGTGTTTATGAAAAGATACAAAGTGCTTTGTACAAAACCACATGTACCAACTTCATGACAGTTGTTGATTTGAGAGACTCATCAAGATAAATGGCAATTTGATTTGATTTCAAAGGGGATTTAACTCTATATATAATGCTATAAATATTTTATTTCAGAAAAAGCCACATGTAAATATGACAGAGTAACAATAACTTGTTGCAGATTACAGCTAATTAAGTAATTGCTTTTTGGTTTATTTGCACTATTTATTTGTTATATTCCTCAGGAAATAAATGACCCATATAATTGTAAACTTTAGTAGATTTCTGAAAATACTTTATGAATAGATTGTAATAAGATTCAAATATTAATTTTGTTCAGTTTTCCACAAATCTCATGATTATTAGGAAAAACTTTGCGTGTCTTGTTAAATTATATTAAATAATAAGACAAATATTCAATTTATTGAGTTTCCACGTTGAATGTGGAATTGATAACCTTTTTTAGTAAAAGTGGAAGGAATTACCGGTACTTTGTTATTGAGATGGATCACTTCAGAAAATAATGGATTGAGGTGTTGCAAAATAACTTACACCTTTTGATTTAAAGATGTTATGGAGGAATTTGTTCTCTCAAGAACTGTGAAAGGGGCCCAATCTGATTTAAAAATAGTATGTAACTTTCTCATGCTTACAATACAGGCAAGAATTAAAAGAAAATAGCTACTTTTAAAAATCATCAATTACTTTGTCATACTAATATGAAATTATTCTGATACCTAATTAAATGCTCTATGCCATATCAGTTTATCTGACAAGATAAATATAAATATAAATGCATCTTTGATTGACGTGGGTGAGGAACCTGAGTACCACAGCTGGTTTCAAGACAGCAGATTGAAGAAATTATAGTGATAGACAGGAGCAAGAAACACAGAAGTGGGGGCTTTTCTGTAAGACCTGGAGCAAAAAAGATGTCATCAGTGTCTCACAACACCTGAAACAGTGACAAGAAGGTGAATATACTTGCTTATTTCTTATCTCACCCTTTCTATTTGACCTCCCAGTAGGACCTCCCTAGGGCCAAATCTAATCAGATGTCTCCTGGATAGAGGAAAAAGACACAAAGCAGCATAGGAGAGAAAA
Source organism: Homo sapiens (assembly GCF_000001405.40). Lineage (NCBI taxonomy): Eukaryota > Metazoa > Chordata > Mammalia > Primates > Hominidae > Homo > Homo sapiens. Next base: position 23,486,125 of record NC_000021.9, read on the forward strand.
TGGAAAATATTAGAAAGCAAAACAAAACAAAACAAAACAAAACAAAAAAAACAAAAAAAAACCAAAACACAAAAACAGAAACACACACAAATGATTATTATAATAGAAGTAATAATACAAAGAATTAAAACCTAACATTTAGGAATAATGTTAGAACATTGAAAATAATAATTTAAAAATTATGAAATACAATATTTAAAATAAAAAATATTTACAAAGAAAATTCGGGATGTCATCAATAACACTGGATACAAGCAGACAAGTAAACAGTAATGTTAAAATGCTTAAAGGGAATTACCTTGAAGACAGAAATTCTTTTCCATTAAAACCATATTTAGGGCTTCTGCTTTTGTGTATGACCGACAAACATGCTGTAGTTGTCCTTACACCTTACACAAGAAATCTGAAAAACCTATGAATCAACTATTTTCAGATAGTTTTGGAGAGTGCTCTCTAAGAAGACTGAAACAAATGAGTTGAGTCCTAAGATTATCCTGGCTTTCAACCTAAAAGGACTTTCCAGGATGAAGAACAGTAAGGAGAAACCTAAAAAGTCTAATACACAGTCTCACTGAGGAGAAAGAGATGGGAATGAGGCTGAGATGGCTAGAACTTGTGGGACATAGTTCCAAAGAGAAGAGAAATATGCAGATAAGGAGATACAAGACTGTATAGGACATTGAAGTTTTTGCAGAATGCTAAGCTGCACAAGCACGTGAGAACTCCATGAGGCTAGGCGATAACCACTTCTTGGGTGCTGTAGTGTATCTTTCCCCAGCAATCATGTATGGTAGAGGAATATATTTGAGTTCCAGTAGGAGTGAACAGAGAGGACTTGGTAAACACCTAAGACATTCAGCAGATACTCCACAAGTATCCTGCTTTAACAGTAAAGGATAAAGTAGTCCTAGAGTAAAAGCTGTTCTAGACCTGCAAAGTAAAGCTTTGAAAAGAGGTCCGGAAAGGTCAATCTGATCTTCAAACAACTCAAGCACATGTCAGAAACAAAACAAAATAAAATAAAACAAAACATAAACCTTTCAAAAAAAGATAAAATCTAGTAGACATTCAAAAATACAGCAAGCAAACTAACTGACATCAAATAACAATTATTGTAAATGAAAAGAATAAGAAAAATGGTATCCTTAATAAACAGGAAAATCATTCCTTAGAAACAAAACCAGAAATGATAGAAATGTTGTAGTTAGAACATAAGAACTTTAAAATAGCCATTATATACATGATAAGGGATTTAAATAAAAATATTAATGTAGTAGGAGAGACAAGGTAGCTATGAAAAGGAAGCAGGTGAAACTTCTTGAATTGAAAACAATCCTCAAGTAAAAATAACATTGGATTTTTTAATGTTTTTTAAATTTTTTAATTTATAATTTTTGTGGATGGATAAGACATACTATCTGATAGCACTACAGGGTGACTATAGTCAATAATAACTTAATTGCACATTTAAAAATAACTAAAAAAGTGTAATTGGATTGTTTGTAACATAAAGGATAAATGCTTGAGGGGAATGAAAACCCCATTCTCCATGATGTGATTATAACACATTGCATGTCTGTATCAAAACATCTCATGTACTCCATAAATATATACAGTTAACATTGGATATTCTTAACAGCAGATTACACAAAGCAGAAGAAAAATCAATGAACTTATTATAGAAACATATCAGACTCTAAACTACAAAGAAAAACTCACGCTGAACAATGGTGACTGAGAGACTCTTCTCCTGTTCATAAATGTTAAAATGTAGAAAACAAGTGTGTCTTACAGTTTATGAAAGAAGGTTAAATAGGGCCTGACTGTGAAAGATTTGAAAGCCTGGCTAACAAGTTAAGTTTGATTTGTGGATGGTTGCAATTCTCTATTTCTGAGCAGGGGAGCAATGTGATCAGAGATGAGCTTTATGTATTGCAACATCCACCTTCTCCCAGGAATGGAAGAGTACAAAAGCCTGCCTGGCTGGGTTTGGGGAGCATATTGCTAAGGGAAACATAAACATGTCAATTTAAGTAATCTACATTAGTGTACCCAATTACTATTCAGGTATTTACTTATCCAAGAAATATTACCGGCAGCCACAAACCCATGCTAATAGTTCCCCACTGTAATATACACATCAGTACAAAGTGGAGGTAGTTTCAGAAAACAAATATTAAGGAGATCTTGAAACCATGATTTTCAAAGCTGGAGATTCATTATTTCATCGCATAGTGTGCTGTTCCAGGAGTTTGCTTGTATTCTCATCCCAGAGATTGAATAATGAATACAATTATAGCAGTAGGGAATCTGACAAGACAATCAGAAACAAGCTGACAATTATGGATATTAGTTGAATACAGTGACGGTTATTTACCTACATGAAATGAAAGGTGTATTTCTAAAATTGAGCTTATGCTTCAGAAAAACCTGGATGAATCATTTCATTTAGAATTTTCAGTTTGTTGAAAGAAAATAAGACAATTCTACTGAATATATTGAGGACTTTAAGGTGATGAAAAGTCCTGGTTTCCTGGGAGATAATTCAGTTTTACACCTATTGTCTTGGTTTATGTATTAATAACAGACTCTCACCATATCTGCCCCTGATGGATTTAGAAACCTTTGTTTAATTAATTCACACTGCCATGAAAAGACAGCTGAGTGTTTGTATTGCATTAATGCCCTTCAAAATAGAATGGGAAAGATGTTTAAAATGTAGTTTTCATTTGATGACTTCAAATTTCTCTTCATATTTCCTCAAGACGTATGTATGACATAAGTTCCTTTTAATTGCTTTAGGTTCACTGAGGAAGTATAGGACTCTGGGGAATTCTCTGCAATATCTTTTGAAGAATTATAGAACCCCTGCTATATATAATGCAGATATAATGCAGTTAAATGTGCTGAAGAGTGTGGACTTGGGAGCAAAGTCACCTGGGTTTGAACTCTGGTCCTGCCAAGTGCTACCCAAATGACCTTAGGCAGGTCACTTAAGTTCTGTGCCGCTGCAGTCATACAGTTAATATAAGGATTCAATGAGTAGTTATAAAGTTATTAGACAGTATATGGCACATTCTTGTTAGAATTATGTAACCGTCTACTGTTGTAGTATTTTCTATAGCAAATTAAGAAAAGGTTTTTTTAAAAAGACAATTTATAGTTATTTCCAACTCCAAGTATAAATTTTGCTGGGAGAAAAATGTGGATGGTGGTGGTTTGCATACACTCTGGAAAAAATGCATATTAAGTATAAAAATATTCCTTGTCTGGGCATAGCGGCTCATGCCTTTAATCTCAGCACTTTAGGACGCTCAGGTGGGAGGATTGTTTGACCCCAGAAGTTAGAGGCCAGCCTGGGCACCACAGGGAGAGCCAGTCTTTACAAAAACTTAAAAAAAAATGTTAGCCAGGCATGATGGCTCATACCTCTAGTCCCAGCTACTCGGGAGGCTGAGATGGAAGGTTTGCTTGAGCCCCTGAGGTTCAGGCTGCAGTGAGCCTAGGTCGTGTCACTGCACTCCAGCCTGAGTGACAGAGTACCACCTTGTCTCCAAAAAAAGAACAAAAAGTTCCTTACCCAGTGACTGTTAATTGATCTTTAACCATTTCCAGAACTAAAGACACAGTGAAAGGATTAAGATAATTTGTAGAAATGTGACACCCAGCACTGCCACACAGAGGAAATGCTACTTAAAAAAGTTGACCACAGGAAAAAATCAAGTGTTATTATATGAATTGTCATAAGGCTTTAAGCTAATAGCATAGTTTGGCTGATCCTATACCAATTCCAAAATCCTTCCTTAATGGGCCACACAATGGAATCTGAAAAAGCTAAAATACATCTCCTTCTCTTTTTTTGCCCTTTAGGTTTCGTGCAACGGATACAAGCAATGAAATTTCAACAGAAATTTCCTGGGGTAGGATGCAGAGTTCTTAGGAAATCTTCTGTTTTCTTATAAAAGTAAGAGCCTGAAGTAGGTGATGATTCTTATCACATTTTACTGCTTTGAAATAGAAAATAAAGCCTGAAGATTCAGTGGGAAATTTTTCAACCATGAAATGATAGACAATCTGCTAAGTAAAATGATCACAAAAGAAAGGAGGAGACCGTATTGTTAAACCATTGAAGTCCTGGGCTGCTATCTCTTGATTTCTTGGTGTTTGAGGAAATAAATACCTCTGTTAAATTCAGTTTATGTTTACTTTTTGTGTATGTTTTTGCCTTCAAACACATTTTTAAAGTATTCAAGAGTGTATGAGGGCTAAAGCTCTATGAATCATCCTGAAATCTTAAGGTTTGCATTCATGAATATTATCTGAGGATGTGTGGTATGGTTTGGATTTGTGTTCCCGCTCAAATCTCATGTTAAATTGTAATCCCCATTGGAGGAGGGACCTGGTGGGAGGTGATTGGATCATGGGGGCCAACTTCCCCTTGCTAATCTCATGATAGTGAGTGAGTTCTCATGAGATCTGGTTGTTTAAAAGTGTGTAGCATCATCCCAGCACTTTGGGAAGCTGAGGCGGGCAGATCACGAGGTCAGGAGATCGAGACATCCTGGCTAACACGGTGAAAACCTGTCTCTACTAAAACTACAAAAAAATTAGCCGGGCTTGGTGGCAGGCGCCTGTAGTCCCAGCTACTCTGGAGGCTGAGGACGGAGAATGGCATGAACCCGGGAGGCGGAGCTTGCAGTGAGCTGAGAATCCGCCACTGCACTCCAGCCTGGGAGACAGGGCGAGATTGCGTCTCAAAAAAAAAAAAAAAAAAAAAAAATTATTTAGCACGTCTCCCTTCATTCTCTCCTTCCTTCTCCCTCCATGTAAGATGTGCCTGCTTCCCTTCACCTTCCACCATGATTGTAGGTTACCTGGGGCCTCCCAGGTGTGCTTCCTGTATAGCCTTTGGAAATGTGAGTCAGTTAAACCTCTTCTCTTTATAAATTACCCAGTCTCAGGTAGTTCTTTATAGCAATGCAAGAATGAACTAATACAATGTGTAATACACCAAGGACTTTGTAGAAACTTTGGGGAGGAGTTTGCTACTGCTCCAAGCACTGTATAAAAAATTACAAGAAATGCAAAGAAAGGAACAAAGCACAACTCTTTGAAGCAGACAGTACAAGATATTGTAAGTAGACTTAAAAAAGCTTCAAGAAATCATTGGTAAGAGTTGCTACACTCCCAAACAACAGACCGTGTCAGAATAAATATATTTTAATTCTTAGATATGTCTTCTGTTATTTGTCATTGCAAATGTGAGAAACTCATAACAGATGTGGACATCATACCATATTGTCTATATAAAATCAGAAGCAAAATGTGAGTAGACATGTAGATATGCTTGATTTTCACTAAAATATCATGAACAAACAATTTTATTTCAGTGAAACTTTCACTACCTATAGGTGCCAGAATCTTGAGTGGGACTCAAGTTAATTGTGCTGACTTTAACATTTTATTCAAATAAATTATTGATACATTTAACAAAATAAAAGCAGTTTCAAATAAAATACAAAAAAAAATCAAGAGAAATTACACAGACATAGATCTCTGGAGAGACATTCTAATTTTAGATTAGAAGACTTAATAAAATAAAAATTCTATTTCTCTCCAAATATATATACAGATTCAATGCCATTCTCTCCTTGAAACCCCGGAAATTTTTTGTTTGGAAGTAGGGGTATGCATGAGCTCAGTGATAGCCAAAAAGCATTAAAGAATAAGAACACGGTAAGAGGGCATATTCTACTAAGTATTCTGACTTAATATAGAGATAAATCAATTAAGAAAGTGTAAAATTTGTGGAAAGACAAACAGATAATGGAATAGAAGAAATAGTCCAGAAACACCAATAAACTCACTAGTACAATAGGAGGTTTCCCATCTCTTTCATGCCTAAGATTTCAGAAAAAAGATCCTGTTCCACAGACTCGAATATGTCGAACATTCTGGGTTCCATTTTGTTCTGCTGTGCCTTGTAGTCATTGTGTCTAACTTGTCTCTTGCGGTTCACTGGCCTCTGTAACTCCAGGGTCCTATCATATACAGTAATGCCTGGGAGCTCGACAGCATCCTCCACCATTACGACAGCCACCAAAACTCTCTGTTATTATAGCGTAGGTATCAGTGGTTTTGCAAGGACCTACCCTTCGGACTCTCATGTGGGGAGGGAACAAGTCCTCTCCTGATTAATCCACTGTCATATTTCTATATTTTTGGATACCTTCCCTTATATGCTACCAAGAGAGTGATGGCATCTCATCCTCCTTGAATGTGGGCCTAGTTGAGCTTGAGCTTAATTTTTGTCAGTCAACCAAGCAAACCACTAGAGCCAATCCTGTTTAAAGCATGCTCATAATGAATTGTTATAATGGCCAGGTCTTCGCTTTAAACTGATTTCCAGTATCAAGTCTGTTTTCGTTTTGTAATCCATGGTGCTAGAACATAATAGCAGAAATGAAAAAAAAAAAAGGATAAAAATGCTAATATTATCATGACATTTAATATATTCGAACAGTTCTTCATAAGCTAATTATCATACAAACAATATGAAGATGTTCTGTGTATCTTCATCAATACTTCACTACTAAAATGCTTTGTTAACTGCTAATGAAAAAACAAGTAGTTCATTATAAAGTGGCAGCCATTGAACGGCAAATTTTAGTGCTTTTATTTTAGCAGGTGACTGTCACCATCGCAGAATCTGCCATGGCACTGCATAATCTCAGTCTGAAAAGCAAGTATGAAACATGTCTTCAGGATTTTGATTGAGTTAAAAATGGTTCTCTGTTAAAATAAGAAATCATATTCTTTTTTTTTTTTTTGAGACGGAGTCTCGCCCTGTCCCCCAGGCTGGAGTGCAGTGGCGCAATCTCAGCTGTCTGCAAGCTCCGCCTCCCGGGTTCACGCCATTCTCCTGCCTCAGCCTCCCGAGTAGCTGGGACTACAGGCGCCCGCCACCACGCCCGGCTAATTTTTTTTATTTTTTAGTAGAGATGGGGTTTCATCGTGTTAGCCAGGATGGTCTAGATCTCCTCACCTTGTGATCCGCCCACCTTGGCCTCCCAAAGTGCTGGGATTACAGGGGTGAGCCACTGTGCCTGGCCCAATAAATCATATTCTTTATGTTCAGTTCATTTTGTTTAATCTACCAATCCTACTTACGCAAGAATCTTTTTGTTTGCTAAGTATCTACTTATGAGGAGAAGGAATATATGTATATATTTTTTCCATATACCTTGGAATATTTAAGTATATATTAAGTACTTATATATATTTAATATATGCTTATATATTCCAAGGTATATGGATGTATGTATGTGTGTATATATGAGTGTGTGTGTGTGTATATATCATATATATATAGAGAGAGATAGATAGATACAGATTTGTCTTGTCTTGCCCAAAAATGACAGTTCTTTTTCCAGGGACTTTCAACAAAGAATGCCAGCAATCTCTAAAGCTGAATTTTTTTCCTTCTGGAAAATTCTTTCTTCAAGAACACTTAGTTAATTCCCTTCTTTTATATGCTAAATAAAAAAACTGCATAAATTTATTTTTACCTATTTTTAATACACTGATGTGTTTCTTAAGATGTTTACTAGTTTCAGTGTTCTGTATAATTTCTCTTTATAAAATAACTTGCTGTTTGTGACTAATAGCAGATCTATGAGGGTGAATTGCTATGAAAAACAGAACTTATAGGAGAACTCTCACCTCTCTAGTGACAACATCTTACATTATATACTTTGATACTGAATTTTATGCATTTGCATGAGATAAAAATGCATTTATAATAACACATAAATTGTAAGAACTGTTTTGGAACGATCACTTGTATTTGTGAGATTTAGAGGATTTATGACTATTGCGTCTTTCTCTTAGAAGAGGTCCACACAAATGTGACATTCTCTCAGGTCAGAATGTAAAAAAAAAACAATGCAATCTAAATTCGACTACTTCATTCATCTTTTAGAACCATTTTTAAAGTGTTCGTTAATTCTAACTTTCTTCATTTCTGAAATGAAGTTCAATAAACGGAACAAGCACTTTATCTTCCAAAAGTGATTCGTTTGAAAATTCCTCTGTTGGATTTAATTAGGTGAGATGTCTGCAAGTGGGTAATTAGTTCACTCAGCAGATGAATACAGAAATGTTTCTCAGAAGGCAGCTTTATTATATTTTCACCTTCATGTACCAAGAGGAAACATTTTCAAAAATAAACACTTCTAATGAAACTGTTCTCCTTCCACTGGTGTAATTCCAAATAAACAGCAACCCAGATAAAATATATATAATCTTTTATCAGTAATTCATGCTTCAAAAAAGTGTGCAATACATTATTAAAAATTTTATGAAGACAGATATTGTTATATGGAAGATACCAAATTTAAATAGATATTACTTGGAAATAGCATACATATTTTACCATAAAAGAAAACAACTGAACAAAGGATATTAGACACACTTGGCAAGACTGAATTTTATCTTAGTAACATAATAGAGCTAAAGCTTTTTACTACAAAATACTTTAAATAATTGCCTCCACTAGGGAATTTGACTTTCAGCATTTATTATTCAAATTACTGAACTAGATCTATGGATTCCTATTACCACATATATATTGCATTACTGGGAGATTAACTTGACCTCTCTCAAATTAACCAGTGCCAATAAGGCAAACCCAATCACATTATAACTACGTGAACCATCTATACAATAGAGCTATATCTGATGTCTTTGTAAAATTATAAAATTTTAATGCTAGTTTTAAAATATTTATGCCAGAGAGAAAAAATTAATAGATTTTGTTCCTGGGTTCCAGATTAGAGAATTGCTCAGAGAAAGAATTTGTATGATGTTTATTCCCGCAATTGCATTTGAGCCTTAAGCTTTTGCTTTCTTTAAGATTTTATTAATGCCCCAAATCCTGCAGCTTTTGCTACAACAGAGGATAGCCCTTTGTATTTATATGTTTAATACAGGCAATGTATATCTGCAAATATTATTTTGTACACTAAATTGTATCTACACTTTCATGTGATATATATCCCATATTAAATATTTATTATACTTTTATGAAGCACAATTATATGTATTTAATTTTCATTAAATTGTAAGCAGAATCTACACAAGAATAGAAATATATTTTTAAACAAGAAGAGAATAGATTTTTCAATCTGGAAGAAAAAGTTTCATAATGAAATAGTTGTGCTTGTTTTGTTTAAATAATTGCGTAACTGATTACTTGACACACACACAAGCACACAGTTTTAAAGGATAAAAATCATTCCTTAGAATTCCACACAGTATTGTTTTACCAAAAAACAATCCAACTGAATATTCACATTTACCATTCACAACATCCAGGTCTTGCTTTTCTTAGTCAAAGGAGGTGAAGATTCCCTGTTCTGCATTCACAGTGTTGTTGCCTAACCAAGTTTGAGTGTAACTTAATTTTGTTTTGCATTTTTCATGCCTTTTCATTTAGTTACCCTGTGGAAAAGGGTCTATTATCAGTATTAAAGCAACTAGAATATACAGTGTCGAACAGTTACACTCTCAAGGGGATACTTAGGTTAGTTAGAGGAAAATTATTCTCTTCTACATGTCTCTTCATTTCACAGATACAAAGAGAATAGGGAATACTTCTTTGAATACAGTGTAAGCACTTGTTACAATCAGAAATTACTTTGGAAATATGCACCAAAGTAAGAAGCAGTTTCCTTTGGGCAGTGATTATGAATATAATCACATCATCTATCAACATATGTCACCTTTTGTTTTGAATTTTAATTATTTTATTTACTGGTATCGTATGTTACATTGTTGTACTAAGTCCTCTAGTTTGTTTTATGTAAGTGATAATAGTAGGCAAACTTGGTCCCTAGTCTTAAACAGGAATGGGAAAGTTTTACCATTAAATACAGTATTTGCTACAGTTTTCGTATGGATTATTTTTGACTAGCTGTGGAGTTCATTGCTATTCCTTGTTTGCTAGAAGTTGTTATCATGAATGAACAGTTCAATTCTATTACTTTTTCCTGTATCTAGCTTGATAATTATTTTATTTTTTATTACTTAATCATTTTCTTGTAATCTCAAGGAGGCTCACAGATAATGCCAAAGTCCACAGATGATAGTTTGAGAGCCACTGCTTAGACATCAGTTAAGATTTTTAATGAAGATTTACTTCAGTTAAGATGTTTTCCGAGTGGTGAACTTTCTTGCCCCTGGTTTATGTGAAAATATCTCTGCTTGCTTTCATCCTTTAATGATGCTTTCACTGTATTATTCCCAATTCTAGATTTAGACATGTTTTTTGGACCTTTGTACATTTTATTCCACATACTTTTGAACTCTATTGATGTTTTTTCAGAAGTAAAATGTCAGTTGACTCATTTTTTTCTTGTAGAAAGCTGTCTTTTTTTCTCTGAATGTTTCAAGAATTATTTCTGTATCTGTACTTATTTTCTCTTGCTGCCGTACAAACTACTGCAAACTTAGTGGCTTAAAACAACACAAATGTATTAACTTCCAGTTGTACATAAATCCCCAAAGCCTGTCGTTGGGCCAAAATCAAGGTCAACAGGATGACTTTTTCTATTAAACCAAATGAAGTTTACTTGTTAATTACAGTCTTAGAAATGAGTGTTTTCATTTATCTATTTGCATTTTAAAAATATATAAGAATATATTTATATGTAACAATTTCATACAAACATAATAATGATCTATCATTTTCTGTTTCGTTTAACTCCTTAGGAAGTGGCATCAGGGTTATATTAGTTTCATTCTCTGCTTTAAACAGCTTTTGTGGTTTTGTAGTTACTTATTTTTGAAAGATGAAACAAACCTAGCTTTAAAATTGAGAGTTCTAAAATCTTTGCCACTAGAGACTTCAAATCTCTTCAGGCTTAAGTTGGAAATAAAATTCAAATAGCAATCAAACAAAAACAAATTACTATTTTCAAATAAAATAAATGATATTTAGTAAAAGCAATTCAAATATAACAAATAAATTTTATCACAGCTTTTTTTTTTTCAATTTTAGCCTGTAAATCAAGGCTTTTGACTAATTGGTTGATATAGAGACTAGAGCTAGGGACTACAAGTCACCGTTTGTAAGTCTCTGAGGTTGACATAATAGAATATGTTTAGCAGGGAATTATCTTAACAGTAAAAGCAGTGAATTTATTCAGTTACATTTCTTTCCAGATTAGATAACAAAATCTGAAAACTAGGGTATAACTACTTGACCTAATTCAAATAATGAGTTGGTACCCAAGTATAGATTGGGGTGTTCATTAATATTTCATATTGTCTTTCTAGCAATTCTTCAGATAAGCTTAATATCTCACAGCTATTTTAAGTAAAAATAAATAATTATGCTTTATTTATTAAATAAATGTGAGGTATTAATGCTTAGGTGATTTAATAGTGACTTTTAGAAATTTTGTTCTTTTAATATATGCTGAAGTTATTTAAAATTCACTTTTTGAGTTATTAACTCATAAGACTGATTTGACTTAAAACTATAAGCTAATTTGACTTATTTTATCAGATATGACTTATTACATGTCTTAAAATATATCTTGATTTCATTATATAATATTTTTAATATGTGTGTATGTGTGAAAGCAGTGGCATTTTGTGAGGGTTGAAGATAGTCTTTTCTTGGATCAAGCTGAAACAATTTTAATTTCTGCATTTCTTACTTGTTAAATTGATTTGTCTTCGGGCAGGTTAGTTAATCTATACATGCTTCACATTTTTTTTTTTCTGTAAGACTAAAAAAGTGTTTGATCCTTTATGCTGACACAAACATTCTACTATATAAAAAAAGAACACTTCTTCTGATAAGTTTCAAGGCTCTGTAGATATAATAATTATATTGAATTATGCTCAATATTTCCATTTTGCCCTTAATTTGGTGTGTTATTCTGTTTTCATGATGCTGATAAAAACATACCCGAGACTGGGAAGAAAAAGAGGTTTAATTAACTTGCAGTTCTACATGCATGGGGAGGCCTCAAAATCATGGAGGAAGGCAAAGAGGAGCAAGTCACGCCTTACACGGATGGAAGCAAGCAAAGAGAGAGCTTGTGCAGGGTAACTACTATTTTTAAAACCATCAGATCCTTTAAGACTCATTCACTATCATGAGAACAGTTCAGAAAAGACCTGCCACCGTAATTCAATCACCTCCCACTGAGTTCCTCCCACAACATATGGGAATTGTGGGAGTTTCAATTCAAGATGAGATTTGGGTGCGGACACAGCCAATCATATCAGTCCACTCCTGGCCCCTCCCAAATCTCACGTCCTCACATTTCAAAACCAATCATACCTTCCTGACAGTCCCCCAAAGTCTTAATTAATTTCAGCATTAACTCAAAAGTCCACAGTCCAATATCTCATCTGAGACAAGGCAAGTTTCTTTTGCCTATGAGCATGTAAAATCAAAAGTTACTTCCTAGATACAATGGAGATGCAAGCATTGGGTAAATACAGCCATTCCAAATGGGAGAAATTGCCCAAAACAAAGGGGCTACAGGCCCCATGCAAGTTTGAAATCCAGCAGGGCAATCAAATCTTAAAGCTCCAAAATGATCTCCTTTGACTCCATGTCTCACATCCAAGTCATGCTGAGGCAAGAGGTGGGTTTCCATGGTCCTGGGCAGCTCTGCCCTTGTGGCTTTGCAGGGTAAAGTCTTCCTCCTGGCTGCTCTCATGGATGGCATTGACTGTCTGCCGCTATTCCAGGTGCATGTTGCAAGCTGCCAGTGGATCTACAATTCTGGGGTCTGGAATACCGTGGCCCTCCTCTCACAGCTCCACTAGGTGGTGCCCCAGTAGGCTGTCTTTGTGGGGGCTTCGACTCCCCATTTCCCTTCTACACTGCCTAGCAGAGGTTCTCCATGAGAGCCCTGTCCCTGCAGCAAAAATCTACCTTGATATCTAGGGGTTTCCATACATCCTCCAAAATCTAGGTGGGGGTTCACAAACCTCAATTCTTGACCTCTGTGCACTCGCAGTCTCAACATCACATGGAATCTGCCAAGGGTTGAAGCTTACACCCTCTAAAGCCACAGCCCAAACTCTACATTGGCTACCTTCTGCCATGGCTGGAGTGGCTGGGATGAAGGGCACCAAGTCCCTAGGCTGCACAAAGCACAGTGACCTTGGGTCAAGCCCATGAAACCACTTTTTCCTCCTAGACCTGTGGGCCTGTGATGAGAGGGGATGCCATGAAGATGTCTGACATGCCCTAGAGACTTTTTCGCCATTGTCTTGGGGATTAACATTTGGCTCCTTGTTACTCATCCAAATTTCTGCAGCCGGCTTGAATTTCTCCTCAGAAAATGGGATTTTCTTTTCTATTGCATTGTCAGGCTGTAAATTTTCTGAACTTTTATGCTCTGCTTCCCTTATAAAACTGAATACCTTTAACAGCACCCAAGTCACATCCTGAATGCTTTGCTGCTTAGAAATTTCTTATACCATAGACCCTAAATCATCTCTCTCAAGTTCAAAGTTCCACAAATCTCTAGGGCAGGGGCAAAATGCTGTCAGTCTCTCAGCTAAAATATAACAAGAGCCACCTTTGCTCCAGTTGCAAACAAGTTCCTCATTTCCATCTGAGACCACCTCAGCCTGGACTTTATTGTCCATATTGCCATTAGCATTTTGGGCAAAGCCATTCAACAAGTCTCTAGAAAGTCCCAAACTTTCCCACATTTTCCTGTCTTATTCTGAGCCCTCTTATTCAACCCTTGCCTGTTACCCAGTTCCAAAGTCGCTTCCACATTTTCATGTATCTATAGCAGCACCACACTCTATATGTACTACTTTATTGTATTAGTCCTTTTTCATGCTGCTAATAAAGACATACCTGAGACTGGAAAGGAAAAAGAGGTTTAATGGACTTACAGTTCCACATGGCTGGGGAGGCCCCACAATCATGGTGGAAGGCAACAAGGAGCAAGTCACATCTTATATGTATGGCGGCAGCCAAAGAGAAAGCTTGTGCAGAGAAACTCCCATTTTCAAAACCATGAGATCTCAGGAGACTCATTTACTATCACAAGAACAGTGCAGGAAAGACCTGCCCCCATAATTCAATCATCTCCCACCGGGTTCCTCCCATGGCACATGGAAATTGTGGGAGTTACAATTCAAGATAAGATTTGGGTGGGGACACAGCCAAACTATATCATTTGGATAAATTTAAGTGAAGATCTTTCTCTTTCCTATTTTATGCCTGAACTTTTTATACTTAGAGATTTTGCCATATGGAGACAGCAATGAATAAAACAAAAACTGGGCTTCAACTTAATATTTGGGCTATTGGTATAATGATACTATATCTCCAGTTCATTCCATTCTGGTTTGAATGAAGAAATTGATTTAAAAAGGCAGACACTTTGTTTCAGTATGCCTTGATTGTTGAAATATTATCAACATGAAGGCAAACAGGAATAGGATTTGAAATGGTTTGGATTTGTATCCTCGCCCAAATGTCATGTCAAATTGTAATTCCAAATATTGGTGGTGGGGCCTGTTGGGAGGTGATTGGATTATGGAAGCATATTTCCCCTTTTGGTGCTGTTCTCATGATAGAGTTCTCAAAAGATCTGGTTGAAAGTGTGTGGTACCTCCCCCAGACCTCTCTTCCTCCTGCTCTGGTCATGTGAAGATGTGCCTTCTTCCCTTTCACTTTTCACTGTGATTGTAAGTTTCTTGAGACCTCTACAGCCATCCTTCCTGTGCAGCCTGTGGAACTGTGAGCCAATTAAACCTATTTTCTTTATAAATTACCCAGTCTCAGGTATTTCTTTATAGCAATGTAAGAATGAACTAATACAGAAAATTGATACATAAGAGTTCGGCATTGTTATGAAGACACCTGAAAATGTGGAAGTGACTTAGGAACTAGGTAACAGGCAGAGGTTGGAAGAGTGTAGAGGGGTCAGAAAAAGACAGAAAGATGGGGGAAAGTTTGGAACTTCCTAGAGACTTGTTAAATTGTTGTGACCAAAATGCTGGTAGTGATATGGGCAATGAAGTCCAGGCTGAGGACTAAAAAATAAAAAAAAAATTAGCCGGGCGTGGTGGCGGGTGCCTCTAGTCCCAGCTACTCAGGAGGCTGAGGCAGGAGAATGGCATGAACCCGGGAGATGGAGCTTGCAGTGAGCGGAGATTGCACTACTGCGCTACTGCCCTCCAGCCTGGGTGACAGAGCGAGACTCCATCTCAAAAATAAATAAATAAATAAATAATGCCCACATTTCTCTGAGGCTCTGTTGTTTTTTTTTTTTTTTTCATTGTTTTTTCACTGTTTTTCAGAGTGTATAACCTCAATTAATCCATAAATCTACTGATTCTTTGGCCAGCTCAAATCTTCTGCTGAGCCCTTCTGGTAAATTTTTCAGTTGGTTCTTAGGATTTTCAACTCCAGAGTTTTCACTTGGTTCTTCTTAATAATTTCTTTATTTCCATTGCTATTTTCTATTTTTTTTTTTGGTCTTTTTTATTTCCTTAATTATTTTCTTTTAAATCATTAAATATAGTTTTTTTAAAAAGTCAAATAGTTAATGTTGTATTTAGTATTATTTCCTTGATATTCATAAGCAAAACTGTTCTGTGTTTTTAAAAGTTTTTTATTTCCATAGGTTTTTGAAGGATAGTTGGTGTTTGGTTACATGAGTAAGTTCCTTAGTGATGACTCGTGAGATTTTGGTGAACCTATCACCTGAGCAGTATACACTGAACCCAATTTGTATTCTTTAATTTTTCATGCCCTCCCATCATTTACCCTGGGTCCCAAAGCTCCATTGTATCATTCTTGTGCCTTTGAATCCTCATAACTTATGAGTGAGAACATACCATATTTGCTTTTTCATTCCTGAGTTACTTCACTTAGAATAATAGTCTCAAATTCCATCCAGGTTGCTGTGAATGCCATTATTTCATTCCTTTTTATGGCTGAGTAGTATTCCATTATATTTATATGTGTGGTGTGTGTGTATATATATGTGTGTGTGTGTGTGTGTGTGTGTGTATATATATACGTATTACATTTTCTTTATCTGCTCATTGATTGATTGGTATTTGGGCTGGTTACACAGTTTTGGATTTGTAAATTGTGCTGCTATAAACATGTATGTGTAAGTATCCTTTTCATATAATGACCTCTTCTGTGGGTAGATACTTAGTAGTGGGACTGCTGGATCATATAGTAGTTCTACTTTTCGTTCTTTAAGGAATCTCCATACTGTTTTCCATAGTGGTTCTACTTGTTTACATTCCCACCAGCAGTATAGAGTGTTCCCTTTTCACTGCATCCACACCAACATCTATTTTTTTTTAAATTTTTTGATTATGGCCATTCTTGCAGTAGTAAGGTGGTTTCATATTGTGGTTTCGATTTGCATTTCCCTGATCATGAGTGATGTTGAACATTTTTCCTTATGTTGGTTGGCCATTTGTATATCTTCTTTTGAGAATTGTATATTCATGCCCTTAGCCCACTTTTTGATGAGATTGTTTGTTTTTTTCTTGTTAATTTGTTTGAGCTCCTTGTAGATTCTGAATATTAGTCCTTTGTTGGATGTATAGAGTGTGATTTTCTCCATCTGTGAGTTGTCTGTTTACTTTGCTGACTTCTTTTTGCTGTGCAGAAACTCTTTAGTTTAATTAAGTCCCACTTATTTATCTTTGTTTTTCTTACATTGCTTTTGGGTTCTTAGTCATGAATTCTTTGCCTGATTCAATGTCTAGAAAGTTTTCGCTGATGTTATCTTCTAAATTTTTATAGTTTCAGATCTTAGGTTTTAGTTCTTGATTCGTATTTGTCATAGCTATATTAGTAGCTATAATAGCTACTTTTCCTATACTTCTCCTATTAATTCCAACATTTCAACCCATATAGATATTTTCTCTTGCTGTTTTTTTTTTCCTTGTGTATGGGTCACTGTTTACTGTTTCTTTTTATGTCTTATGTATTTTTGTTGTCAACTGGATGTTTTAAATAGTATAGTGTAACAGTTGTGAATCCTAAGCACTCCCCTTCTTAATATTCAAGGGCTTATGATTAGCATTGTTTGCTCGGGTGCTTGTTTAATTGTCAATCTTCACACAGTTTTCAGCCCCAGATTTCTGCTCCTTAGAGGGACACAGCCTTTCTAACCACCAGGACAACCATATTTTAGCTGTGTTCTTTCGAATTGTCTTCTTATGTCTCCTTACTATATTTGCTTAGGCAGGCTTTCTATTATATCAGCTGTTAATTTTCACTTATTATTATCTGGTTGGCCTATTGCTTTTCAGTAGCACCCTGGTGTATAAATTGTGCTAAAGTCTTATTCAATGAGGTAAGTTTATTGGCGGAAGCCAGAAGTTCACCAGTATTTGTGGTTTGCTGGGCCTTTCACTTGACAAAAAACCTGAACCATGAAGCAGGAGCTAGGGGAAGAAGAGGAGCTAGTTTTTCATCAGCAGCCCTAACAATTTCTTTTCTATGGTTATATCTGTGTGTGTTCTGAGAGAATGGAGTGGGAACAGGTTTTGAGTTATGGCTGCTGCCACTGTCCTATATAAATATTGTGTAGCCCAGAGCCAAGGATGACAAAATCATGTGGCAATGTACACTGCCTGGCCAATTTACCTGGAATAAATCTTAGTCTCTAGGAGCCTGAGGTTGATCTGAGTTGCTATTTATCTGCCAAACCCTCCAGGGCAGCTCTTCTTCAAAATAGACCTATATGGGAAAGGGGGACAGTCTCTTCACCAATTGGTTCTTCACTGTGTAGTGGGAGTTGGGAGCAGGTGGGAGACAGGTGTCACATGATTAACACAAGCCACTCAATAAAAACCTTTCACAAATTAGATCTGTAAAAAGCATTCTTGTTAATGTTCACAAGCTGCTAAAAACACACAGAATAGCTTTTCCACCCCGAGATCTGCGGGAAATTCAAACTTCTACTTGGCTGCTGAGTCCAACTGGGGAAGTAAGCCCTGTTGCTGGGTTTATCAGTGAATCTGGAGGGGAAAGGAAAATGGCAGCAATGGGATGGACAAATGGTTGTTATCTTGAATTCATGAAATCATGAGGATGATGATGATAATGATGATGATGACACTTAGTTTTAATATATAGCTGAGTGAAAATGAACCTGAAAATAAAAACACAGACAAAGCACTAAGTTAAAAAGAATAGATCCTCACCTTTTGCAAATGTAAATTCTCAGTTTCATTTACAAATAGCACATTGTACAAGTTAATTTGTAATTTTACCTTTAATAATAAAATCTATTTTATTCTGAGAAAAGTGACCATCAAGGGACAGGCAGTGAACATTTTTAAATGATTGTAGTTTAAGGCAATGCCTCTCAACCTAAATCAACTGCATCACCTGGGAATTTTTTGTTATGAAAGATTTTTCATATATACAAAATGTTCAACAAATTATGGAAGAAACACTTATATAACAAATCACCAAGTTTCTACTTATTGACCCATTGCCAGTTTTGTTTCATGTGTTTTCTTCAAACCACATTAATGGGCCATTTAAAAATAATTCCCAGACATGCATCATGTCAAATAACATTTCAAAAAACTGAGAGCACTTACAAAGTACAATTTGCACAATTGAAACAATTTTATGGTGCCTTATAAGAAGGGTTGGCCAATGAATAGAATTCACTCTGTAAACATGCTGCATTTCTCTCCATGAATGGAAGGTACAGTCATGGTCCATTTCATTCATAGCTCCATCTTGATCAGAGAAGTTCCCTCACAATCTGCTTTAGACATTCAGCCCCTGGGGAGGATAGACATTAGCTCAGATGGAAAACGCCATTTGTAATTCATTGCTCTCATTTCAGTATGATGTAAATTCTTCTCCTCAGCCTTGTAAACTGCTAAGTTTTTATCATATACAAGAATCCAATTTATCCTAACTATCTCTTAGTCTGACACAGCACACTGCTAAGTGTAGACAGTAGTCCATGCCTCCACAGGTGGGGATGACAATGAATCCCCACCCCCGCCCAGAAAAAACAAAAACAAAAACAAAAACAGTTGAGTGTTTGGAAAAACCAGAGTATTAACTCTGAGTTTTTAGAGATGTACAAACTAAAGATTAGAGATTTCGTATACCAGTCAATCTAAGTTTACAATCTGTAAACTCCTGGACTCTCTCTCAATATGTTTGAATACAGTCCTCAAATGCTTTCCTTTATCTACACTGAAACATTTTCCTAAGCAAATATTTGGTGTCTTTAGAAAGCGGCAGCATGGACTGCATGCTGGCTGTTGGAGATATGGAACCCAGCAGAGTGCAGGGTGGAGGATGAGCAATAAACGAAATCAACCCAAAATCACTTCAAGGATTTGGAACCAATGAAGGCTCAGACAAGAGCAGCATAGGAATTGGGCGTCTGACAAATTACAGTACAAAGATGTTAGATGTAAAGAACTCTGGAGTCTCAATACGCACGGCATCAAGATGAAATGGGAGAAGGGAATAAAAGCAGCAGAAATATGCCATTTTGGCAAGGTATCTGGGTGGTGGGTTGTAGATAACTACCAATTAGTACAGCTATTTTGAGATGAACATTGCAAAGATAAGAAAGTGATAGCCTAGAGCTATGAAAAACATTACTGTCTATAAACTCTGTCTCAGTTTCTAGTTTATAAACACTTTGAGCCTTACTTATTCCTTTATTCTGAGCTACATTCTGACTTCTGACTGTAGCCTACTGAGTTTAGGATATTGTCATAATAATTCCGTCATTAAAATCTTTTTGTGGAACTATCCATCTTAGCTTTTCACTTTGTTGCAGGTATTAGTTCCTGTTTAATTCATTCAGTGGACATAGTCTCACTCTACTATTAGCTACTTTGTTCTTGTCGCTTCTCCCATGCTGCTCTTTCTTCCAGTCACCATCCCTAATCACTCCCTACACAAAAGAAAGAAAGTTTTAGAGCAGCGATTATAATAAATAAATAATTTATAATAATAAATGCAAGAAAATTTTAATAAAGATAAAATATTCAGTTTGGTTTATCATTCCATACATTATTTGGAAATACCCTTAGCAAGATTAGTATATCTGAAGTTTAGGCAAACTACATGAATATATGGTGACATTTACAACTGAAGAGGTATATAGAGTACTATAGTAATTGCAGAATAAATAAAAAATCAGGGATACTTGCTTTTCTTATTTAAGAAAATGTAACCAGATATGTAAAAAATTCTTGATTTTACATATTCCATATACAATTATTGAAATTTGCATTTCTATAGCATCTGCTACAATAGAACTTAAACAACACATATCTCTGGAATATATAAGTTCAAATTGGAATACTCAAGCTATATTTTACCAATGTTTTTTTCAATCAACACAATGGCATCACCTAAGCCAGATAAAGAACAGTATTTTCACTGAGGGCCTGTTAGATGAATATTTTAAAGTTATTTTCTACCTCTTTACAAAACAAAATGCATTTTCTTTTATTTAACTTACAGGGAACTTTATTTTCATGGATATTCTTCATTTCTTCTGAAACGCTTTATTGAACCAATATATATGAGTGATTTTGTGGCTTAGGGGAAAATACTTCTCATTCAAATTCATTTTATTTTGCTACAGCTCTCCAAGCAAGAGAAAAAAATAAAGAATCTTATGATACTTAAAAGTAGATATAGTTTCAATCCTAAAAGAGTAAAAATTTTAGAAACGTCTAGACTTTACTAAGCCTCATTATTAAAAGATTTCCAGAGTACCTGAGTGAGATCTAATCTGCTTTATTTACTCCAAAAGTACTATGCACACATAACTACAAAGAACAGTATAAAAATGTTCAATTAATATTTCTTGAATGATTCAATTCACCTTCTCAGAAGTTTATGACGTTTCTTAAAAATCCCTACATTGAACCACTAATTTGACTTCCTTGTAGCTAAAACATACATTTCATTTTCGTATACTTTTATTTAAAAAATGTTTATTGGAAAGCCTTGCAATGTCACCTGATGTTTAATTTCATTGTGATGTGCTATTTGTCTTTAAAAATAACACCTAATATTCATAAACCTGGCTAAATTTAAAATATCTTAATACTCAAATATTAATTTTTATATTTTCCAATATAATGAACTCACCCAATCCATTGTTCACAAACCATGATTGTGTACCTGTCTCTCTTTCTAAGGAAGACATATGATCAGGTTTACTGCTTCGGCCCTTTGAAAAGATTTTTCTTTTTTCACTAGCAGCTTTCTTTTAGGGCAGTGTTTGAGTGGGACTGTAGAATGGCAATTGTCCACTTTCTGGTAGTACCAGCATTTTATGTGTGGTATGCAGAACTATCTGTAAATCAGGACTAAAGGTTTGCTTTATCAGTCATTCAGTCATAGAGTACTTTCCAAAAGGCTATAAATGTAAGGTGAGGAAGAGGACTCAGTGTAATAAGAGTAAGAACCAATATAATCTAAGACTCTCAATCATGGAACTTACTTATGCCTTCAAGAATGACTCTTGTATGTACCACTACCATGTGGTGACCCAGTGTTACTGCCACTGTGCACATGACTTTGTAGAGTGATGGATCCGGATACACCCAGGACCTGATGGGGAGCTCAGGTCACATGGTAACTTGGTGGGGAATGGTTAAGCATGTAGCCTCTATATGATTCAGTAATAAGGTAGATGCTTTTTCTAAAAATGAGATACTTATCTTCAAACAATGGCATAGCTTTTCTCCCAAACATAAGCATTTGCACTGTATTTTATCATGACAGTTTGCCAAAGCCTCCATAGAGTATTGTTATTTGCTATAGATACCTCACCAACTATTTTATCTTTTCCTAGAAACCCAGGGGCAGAGCAGCTTGTACAGCAGACCAGATATTTTACTTTCAGCAACACTCACAACTGGTAGCTTTGAGAATAATCAGTAAATGATATGGACTAGCATGCCCATATGAAGTGTATGTTGCCTCTCAAATTCAGAGGTCCAATTGTCATTGTGTTTCTTGTTATTGGGAGATACCAGATAGAGAAAATTTATTCTTTATCTTAGAAGGAATGTCTTGAACCATATTTCTGAACCTCTAGAAATGTTACTGAACTTGACAGTTTCTGGATTTTTTGTATGATTTACTTTCTATCCTCCAGAATGCAGGTGTCTCAAAAGATCAGAGGAGCATGGTATCATTAATATGATAGGCCAGCATGATTTTCCAGGTAATGGAGAGATGTTCAAAGTCCATGGAGAACAGATGGGGAAAGTGGGGAGGATAGTTGATCTATCCCTAAGTTTGGGCAAGTAAGGTGTGTTGCTCCTATTGAAAGCTGAAACAAACTACTTCTTATGATTTTTATGAACATAGAGACAAAAGCATTCTCCAGATCAACAGCCACATACTAGGTGTTAAAAGTTGTATGAGGCCAGGTGCAGTGGCTCACTCCTGTAATTCCAGCACTTTGGGAGGCTGAGGTGGGCAGATTTCTTGACCCCAGGAGTTCAAGATCAGCCTGGGCAACATAGCAAGACTTTGTCTCTACAAAACATACAAAAAATTAGCCAGGCATTGTGGTGTGGGCCTGTAGTCCCAGTTACCTGGGAGGCTGAGATGAGAGGATCAACTGAGCCCCAAGGTCAAGGCTCTAGTGAGTTATGATTGCGCCACTGCACTCTACCCTGGATGACAGAGGGAGATCCTGTCTAAAAAACAAACAAACAAACAAACTTGCATGATACGTATGCTTTAGTAAAGATACATTGGGACAGGCAAGTGTGATATAAATCACCAGTTAATTTAATTAATGACATTCTGTCTTTATTCTCCAAAATTATTCTAGTGTCTGGACAGGCCAAGTAGGTGAGTTAAATGGACAAATGTGCATGAGATAGTAATAATTAGTCTTGCGTCTTCCAAGTCTTTTTTTTTTTTAAGATGAAGTCTCACTCTGTCGTCCAGGCTGGTGAGCAGTGGCGCGGTCTCAGCTCACTGCAATCTCCACCCCCTGGGTTCAAGTGATTCTCCTGCCTCAGCCTCCCTAGTAGCTGGGATAACAGGCACACACCACCATGCCCAGCTAATTTTTGTATTTTTAGTAGAGATGGGGTTTTGCCATGTTGGCCAGACTGGTCTCAAACTCCTGACCTCAGGTGATCCTCCCACCTCAGCCTCAGCCTCCCAAAGTGCTGGGATTACAGGTATGAGCCACTGCGCCCAGCCATCCTTCAAGTCCTGATGGACACCAACATTTGCAATCCATCCAAGCATAAGCTATTGTTTTTGGCTTAATATTTTAGTAGGCAGGAGTACTTCCGGGGACATCCACTTTACTTTTCTTAATATAAATGTCCTATCTGCAAAGATGAGGTGATAAAAGTTTTCTGTAGTGTGTGTGTGTGTGTGTGTGTGTGTGTGTGTGTGTGTGTAGCAGGTGGACCATAGTGGTATTTTGCATCTATAGGATTTTATTTAAGCTAAGAGCCAGTATGTAGTATATTAGCATGTTTAGTTCAATGAGTTCATGCTCTCAAATCACAGTATATCAATAATTTGTGTGTCAACACACACATGCATAATTTATAAAAATGAATTAGAATATAATGAGCATTTTGAAATGCACACTCCATTTCATTTTTAAATAATATTTCCTTAGAACTTCTTTTTTAATTTTGTACCTCAGATTTTTCTAATTGAAAGATTTTAACCATGTTATTTTTCATACATTTGACCAAGAAGAGATTGTTTAAAATAGTATCTTAAACTAATAGTTATTGGGACAATTTAAATAACTTATTGGGTGCTTATGTTATACATTTCTGCCAAAAACAGTATTAATCGTGCGCTTAATTTATTCCAGAACTTTCACTAATGTGGAAGTTGATAATAGTGCACCAAGCAAATGAGCTTCTTTCTCTTACTGCAGGTAAGTGCTATTAATAATATAAGCCTGGGATGAGTAAGTAGCTTTCAGCAAAATGTAAATTAATCATTGCTTCTTTCACTTGAAAAGACTTACTATTAAAAAGCAACATAATCAGAAATAAGCAGTGTACTTATTCTCCTAATCTCAATGAGAACCACACTTTGATTAGCAGTAGCCTAGTTTATATACAATAGAAACTAGCAGTACTCTCACTACTGGTGTCAAAATTATAGTATGCGATGTAATTACAATGTGTGGGTTCCTCTGGCCCCAAGGACTTTGCTAGTGTTGTTTATTCTGCCTGTTTGTAACGTCTTTCCAATTCCATAGTTTAGTTAACTCTACTCATCTTTTGAGACCCAGTTTCTCAAAGGTCCCTCTTACAACTTCAGAGACAAGATCATTCCCTTGTAATTTTGTAAGATCTCTTATCCCTCAGTAGTTTTCTTTACAATCATTTATCAAAGCTTATGCATTACTTATGTAATTATGTAATTGATGTATTTATTGCTATTATCCTCAAACGTTCCAAGAATAATAGCTAATATTTATTGAACAACAATACCATGTCAAACACTGGGATCAAATAGTTTACTTGTGCATATCCCTGTCATTCTCTGTGTATGTATTTGTGTGTGTGTGTGTATTAATTTATGTATGCACATGTACATACATGTACTTATAGATACCTATGTCTGTATACATGAATATCCCATATACATGTGTATGTATATACACATATACATAATCTCATTTAATGCAATAACATAATGTTAATGAATTTGTAAACCTAGAGTTAATACATATTAACTCCAAAAACCACCAATCTATATGTCTGACCATTTATTCTCCTCCCTTTGCAAATGAATGTCCCTTGGAATGGCTATTAATGGGTTCAGGGGAAGAGAATGAGATCTGTCACTTAGGACCTCGTAGTACTGCAAGTATACACCTACATTAGAAAATTTAATAATTCTCTACATTAATATATTAAAGGAATGAAAAGAGCCACCTAGTAATCTCAGTAGATTAAAAAATGAACATTCACTAAAATTTAATGCACACTTAAAATAATAAAAATATTAAATTGTAATGGAAAAAACCTTCCTTTTTATAAGCTAGAAAATATATTAGCAAAAGTCTAAATTAAACATCAAATTAAGGGTTAATAGGATAAACATTCTTATTAAAGTCAGAAACAAGCAAAACATCCATTATAAACTACATTATGCATTATCATTCTGAAACTCTGAGCCAACATGCAAGTAAAAGGAAAAAAAATAGGTAAATTAGGAGGACAAATTGGTTAGGAAGTAACAAATCCTTGATGTTTTCAGACGATATTATTGTCTAAAGAATCTAAAGAATCAGCTGACAAATTGAAGGTACTCATAGACAGTTTAGCAAGATCAATATAGGATTTATTTAACAACTTAAGACCTATCTTATGTGCCTGTATTATTCTATAAAGGAAATAAAAACAATTAAGAAAATTATTTTAAATGGTACTAAATTACATCTAGCAGGATATGTGGGGGAAAAAAGTGTTCTGTGGGATGCCATAATAGCTAACAATTATTGTGAGTTCATTTTGTAAAATGCACTGTTTTATATTCTTTGCACAGCCCTTCTTCACCCTTGCTAAAATCATATACATCAGAAAAAGAGTTTTTTTGTTGCTCAAAGTCGTAAAATTCATAACGAAAAGGCACCTTGGTGGAACAGATTGAGAGAATCTAGTAAATATCAGCGACACAAATCCCATAACTTAGCAATTCTACTTCTTTTATATTAATTAGAGAACAAGTCAAATATAGACATGAGGAGGAGGTTAACTACAAATTACAAATTATTTGTAATGACCCCCAAAAAGGATGATAAAAATCATTAGCAAAGGGGAATACATAATTTGAGAATTCTCAACACCATGATTTTATTATCCATTAGACTTCAATGGAATAGGATGAAGTATATCATTCATATGCACTGATACTAAGAATTACCTAGATGTAGTGTGAATGAAAAAGCTATTTATTACATGTTAAAATAATAAACGTATTGAAAACATCCTGTCGCCAAGCATTGACATATCTCAAGTCACATATGCATATATATGTAATTGTGTAGTCAGAAAAAATTCTGGTAAGAAACCAAACAGTACTGTAATAATAGCTATCTCTGGGAAGCATACTGGACTGGGAAAAATTTTAAAGGAACATTATTTTCACTTATGTAAGCTTTAAAAATAAAAATACGTATTACCAGGCCAAGTGCAGTGGCTCATGCCTGTAATTACTTTGGGAGGCTTAGGCGGGTGGATTATCAGAGGTGGGGAGATTGAGATCAGTCTGGCCAACATGATGAAACCTGTCTCTACTAAATACACAAAAATTATCTGGGTGTGGTGGTGGATGCCTATAATCCCAGCTACTTGGGAGGCTGAGGCACGAGAACTTGAACCCAGGAGGCAGAGGTTGCAGTGAGCCGAGATCGCACCACTGTACTCTAACCTGGGCAACACAGCAAGACCCTGCCTCAAAACAAACAAACAAACACACAAAACATATATATATATATATATATATATATATATATTATATATATAATTGCATTTATAATTTAAATAATTAAAATGCCTCTAATATATAAGGTAAAGCATTCACTTTCTTATGACATTATTTAATGTCATAAGAAAAAGTCTTTATATATCTATGAAGATAATTTTGACTGAATTAATGACATGTTTTATAAAAACAAAATTTCAAACGTAGTAAAAAAATTGAAGTCTAATTAACCTTAAAACAAGAAAAAAATATGAATGAAACTCTAGTCAAGTAAAACAAAATAGAAGAAAAAGCAACCGACCCATCAACTCTTTACCTCCAAGCCTTCAATTACAGATACTTTTATAGCCAGGTTAATTTAAATATTTAAATAAAAAAAATTATGCTCTCTAAACAGATATTAAGTATACAAGAAGATATAAATTACTTCTGAAAGCTAATATCAATAGGTAAAATTTTAAGAATAATATAATAAAATGAATACATTATTCCTTTTATCAAAGTATATGCAAAACATGTAATCAAACCTAGGTAAATATATATTTATAGAATAATCTATCTGGCAAATCGTATATATTCCAGGAATGAAAAGATGCTTTACTATGAAAACATATGTAAATAAGACAACTCATTAATTAATTAGGTGAGGTTAAGCCCATTTATAGGTGTGATAGCCCCAGTTTCAGGCAGGTGCTGGAAACTGAACTAGTGAACACAGTTAACTAGTTTCAGACACTGCTTGCTAGTGAGCAATCTGTATGTGGCCAGGATTATTTTTTATATGCTGGAGGTTTCATAGGAATACATTGGTAGACTGCGGTTCTTGATAAATGGCACTAACAAGCAGAAACTGATAATTCTGGAAAACAGAATACATACATACTAAGAATGAGTCAATATTTGCATACGTTCTTTTATAATCACAAAATCTTGCTGTCTACCTAAACTTCATGGGTTAATCTACACAGACTCATATTTTCTTTTTTTTTTAGCTCATAAGTCATTGATACATCAACACAGAAGTTAAATATTGAGAGAAAAGTTCTAGGACAACTTGAATTCATAAATAGTGCAATCCGGAAAACATAAAATCCAAATATTAAACCATGAAATAAAGTCAAAGAGCAAAATAATTACTTACATAATAGGCAAGATGGATTCAAAATTCACAGCAATTTAGAAAGGTTTTGGATGCATCATTTATTTGTGATTCCTTCTCAGCTTTAGTGTGCTCAGAACATACTGGAAAACCTTACATAAATAGTAGCAGTTATGATCCCCACAGTCCTTGTTCTGCTGAAGTCGGGATCTTATGAAAGTATTAACTTGGAAGGAACAAATAATTATTTTCCATTATTTTATGGTAATAACAATGAAACTTTCACTTATAATCTTAAATTTGACTAGACTTTAAGGTACTCATCTTTTTACTGTTAATGTAATGAATGTTAAATACACAGTAAAAACTGTGTACATTTTAATTTGCCTAACGAAAATTTGTTTTTTAACCTATGTGGAAAAATATAATGTAAATTTCTTAGCAGAATATACATATCTAATTTTAGCTACATGAGATATTTCATCATAACTTCTTGCAGAATTTCAAAAATGTATAAAAATAATGAATGTTTGAGCAATGGATTATATAAAATGTGGTTTTCATCTCCAAGTGGTTCTGATAAAACATTACTATCAATTTTAAAATATTGAGTTTGGTTGGGCGTGGTGGCTCACACCTGTAATCCCAGCACTTTGGGAGGCCGTGGTGGGCAGACCACTTGCGATCAGAAGTTTGAGACCAGCCTGGCCAATGTGATGAAAACACACCTCTACTAAAAATACAAAAATTAGCTGGGCTTGGTGGCTCACACCTGTAATCCCAGCTACTAGGGAGGGTGAGGCAGGAGAATTGCTTGAACCCAGCAGGTGGAGGCTGCAGTGAGCCGAGATAGTGCCACTGCACTCAAGTCTAAGCAACAGTGAGACTCGGTCTCAAATAAATAAATATAAAAATATTGAATTTTACCACTAACATATGTTTACTTGTACATGTCATTTCTCAACACTATTTTAACAATATAAAAAAGACACAAATATTAAAGTTTAAAAATACTGAGATAAATGTACAATTTTAAATGTTTTATTTTCACAAATAAAATATCATGTATTCAAATTCATCTTTAAAACACTTAGTTTAAGATGATAATATAATTATTTGTGAACACGATTTTCATTTCAGTGGATTTCAAAATTTTGTTCTGATTACAATTAAAAAATATATTCCAAGGACATTTGAATATAAATCAAACAAAAGCCTCTTTGGTGGTGCTTGCTTAAATGGTCTCATTCATTCTCCATTTTCAACTTCGAGCTATGAAAACAATTTTAAAATCGAAGTTCGTACATTTCCATTTCTCCAGTGTCAACTAGTCAAATATTACTCAAAGTCTTATTTCATATATTTTATTTATCAAATTAGAAAGTGCTATTTTACAATATTGTAAATGTTGAGACATGAATAAATTTATAGTTGACTGACTTTCTAAGTTTTACAGTTTTCTTTTTGTGGTCAGCCAGTAAATGTCTGTGTATTTTAAGTTAATTTAATCTAAATGTCCATGTTATTATTTAGTCATTAAAATAGTCTACTATTTAAATATTTTTGAAACAAAACCACAATTTTTATGTCTTTTTTTTTAAACATACAAAAAAGAGCAATGACTTATAGTAGTCTGAAAGTAATGCGTTTCAGACACCTGATAGGGAGTGAATCTTGTTTTACTAACTGCAGCTCTTTCATTTTACCCTTCGATAACTCCTTAACATCTAACACGTGATAACCTAAAGTACAAATAGTGAGTGTGACAGTGTCAATTCATGCTCTGAATATTAATGATACTTAATATTGTTTTAAAAACAGCTTAAAAATTGTAAATTCTAATATTTCCTTCAAAAAACCAGCAAAAATTGTTGGGAAGAATGTTTCCCAGTAGTAAACACTGGATACTTCTAGGTAATATTTTGTTGGTTGGTTTGCTCTTTCTTTTATTGTAGAGTTATTGCCTAACATTTTAGGACTAGTATAATGCTTTTGTAATTAAAAATATGCAATCTCGGCCGGGCGCGGTGGCTCACACCTGTAATCCCAGCACTTTAGGAGGCAGAGGTGGGCGGATAACGAGGTCAGGAGATCGAGACCACCCTGGCTAACACAGTGAAACCCCGTCTCTACTAAAAAAAAAAAAAAAAAAAAAAAAAAAAAAAAATTAGCTGGGCGTGGTGGTGGGCGCCTGTAGTCCCAGCTGCTCAGGAGACTGAGGCAGGAGAATGGCGTGAACCCGGGAGGCGGAGCTTGCAGTGAGCCGAGATAGCGCCACTGCACTCCAGCCTGGGCGACAGAGCGAGACTCCACCTCAAAAATAAAAATAAAAATAAAAATATGCAATCTCTTAAACATAAATTTGGCTTTTATTATGAGAATATTGTTGAAAGATTCAGTACTTTCAATAGATTTTAAAACACTTTAATTTCATTTCATTTAAATCTCACTCTGCAAAATAAGGTAAACTATTATATTTATTTAAAAATAATATGATTAGAAAAAAACACTGAACTGCAAAGGATTATTATTGCTGGAGGTTTTTTATATATTATTCCTTGTTACAAATACATGGAAAAGTCATTGGTACTGACAGGACTAAGATTGAAAAACCAAGTCCCCACTGAGTTGGCTTTTACAGAATGTAACTGGCGAGAGTCTGTTGAAAGTCACCTTCCTTGATTCCCTACCTTTATTTCCAAGTGGTGAAAATCATTTTAAATAGGCTCCAAACACATTGATGAGTGAATCAATCATCTATAACAAAGGCATGTGAAGTATATTTAAGGAACTATATATACACAAGCAGTAAACATGAATGTACAAAGGGCAACATGAACATTGTAAAACAGCCAATTATTAAATTATTATGTAAACTGTTTTCAACAAAACAATAAATACCAAGTTTTGCAAAGTAAAGACGCCATTATTTCTATTTCAAAAAACCTAATATCTGAATCTGAAATATAGTAAAATACCTCCGATTTCTGGCTTACTATATCACATTTTTTCCCCAAATTTATGTGTTATATTTCTGTAAAGTAGTAAGAGCTGTGAGACCATTAGAGAATTAAATAAATTCACAAACTAACTTCAATGGACTGATACTTTATTAGGGAAATGGCTTGACTCTTAACTCAGGGACAATATTGCCCAAAATGTATTCAGTAAATTGATGGCATCAGAATTTAGGAACATAAATTAACTTACCAATTTTTGTATCTTCTCTCAGACCTAATGAATTGGGATTTCAGAGGGTTTGAGGCCTAGAAATCTGGATTTTTAATAAATTCCTTAGGTGATTCTAATGATAACCTTAACTGAGTTGTGATTTTGAGTTTTGTTGAATCATTGCACCTCTTATCACCATATTTTAACTAATCTCATCTTCAGAATTAAGAAGATAGTCTATTTACATTTCCTGGTGGTCAAGAATTTGGTACCGTATTAAAGTATCTTTTTGTTAATTAGAGTACTTGTAGGATTTAATTAGCTGACATTTCATTTAAAGTAGCACTTTCCCCAATTGTTTGCTACTGTAGTTTTTATCAGAAACTTTGTAATTTAAAGTATATTTAGAAGGAAAATTAAAAGAAATGCTATGTTTAGATATAAGCAATTTATAATATCCATTTAATGGCACAAATGTCTTCAAATTTGCAACTGCCTGCAAGTTAGCAGACTAGGTAATCTCCAGTTGCCACTGAATTCAATGCGTTTTTTTACCTGTCACCAAATTAACAATCTTAAATCCTTAATTTCATCCTTTCCTCCCAGAAACTTGAATAATATTCCATCCTTCTAATTCTCTATTTCAAGATCTTCCATATTCAGGATTCATTTACCCAAAGTTAACCTCATTATTCACAGTATAAATCACCTTATGTAAGCAAGGTAGTCTGTTTCATTATTTTGGCACGCACCTTCTCAAATTTAAAATATTTCCTTTGTTTTCTATCTTGGTTAAATGTTCCTTTGTTTTCTACCTTGGTTAAAATTGTAATTAAATTGAAAATAATAGTTCTCCCATTTGCCTTTTAGTTATTTTTTTAAAAATCCAGCTTGCCTTTATTTATATATCCACTTCATTATTTACTCATAATGACATTCTATTTTATTTTATTTTAGACAAGGTCTTGCTCTCTTGCCCAGGCTAAAAAAATAGTATTATGCAACAGCATTTTTTAGAAAGAAATTAAGGACTCCAGGCTTGCTAAAAATTAAAATTATTATATTTAAGGTGGATATTATCTCATGGGATGCACTTTCTATTTTGGGTCTGAATCATATCTTATTTAACATATGTTCAGTAGTTCTATCACATCGTTTAGAAAATAAAACAAGTCAAAGAAATATATTGCCTAACACTGTTTTAAATGATAACAAACGAACAAAACCCACGGAGCTCTGACCCTATTTAAAAAAAAAACAAAAAAACCCAAAAAACAAAACACAAAGCTTGTCCACTTTGAAAATATGGATATAGCTTTTCATGTCACATTATTCTTAGTATGTCTAATAGGTCTACTTTAAAAGCAATACATTATTTTATTAAAATAAATAAAACAAAACAATTATTAATAATTAATTTTAATAATAATCAATAATAAAATAAAATAAATATCTTTTCTAAGTACTCATATAGTCTGATATATGAGTTTTATAATTCATGCTTATAAGTAAACATTTATCATCAGAAAAAATATTTATCAGAATTGCAACAAATTATTTTTGGAATAAAGTATATGAAGCAGTGACATTTTGCTCCATTATCAGTAAAATTATCATAAAGGATAAGGCAGTTATTAGGAATTGAAAACTATGTAGGATTTGTAAAAAGAAGAGGGATAGCACCACATACTAAAGACTCAGTGAAACAAAACTACAGAAAAGTTTGGAACTTTCTGGGATACCAAAAAATTTTGGGAGGGTAAAATCTGATAAGAAAGCAGAATTATGAGAGATAAAGCGAGGCCACTTATTTGTTCAGTAATCCTTTCCTTTATTCTAAAATCATAATTTAGTACTTTCTAGGTGCCAAGTTGTTTGGTAGGAATTAAGAATGAACAATCAAGCCACCTGGTCCCGGGTTTTCTTTGTTAGAAAGTTTTCTTATTTATTTTATGATTATCATTTATTTCTGATTAAAATACCTTACTAGTTAGGAGTTGGTTCAGGTTTTCTATTTCTTCATGAGATAGAAGTCATATATTTTCTATTTTTAGGAATTTATCCGTTTCTTCTAGGTTCTCTTTATCCAATTTGTTGGTGTGCAATTATCTACAGCAGTGTCTTATGGTGCTTGTTATCTCCGTGGCATGAGTTGTAACGTCTCCTCTTTCATTTCTGATTTTGTTTCTTTGAATCTTCTCTTTTCTCGTAGTCTAGACAACAGCACTGTATTGTATATTTAAAAATGTGTTAAGGGAGTTCACCTTATGTTAAATGTTCTTACCACAATTAATAAATTTTAAATGAAACATACAAATTTAAAAACGAAGAAAGCACAGGTGAACCTAGCAACTAATCAAATCTATATTTGTAGCAGTGATAAAATGATCAAAGTAATGACTGCAGACAAAAGTTGCAAAGTATGAATTAACTAGGCTTAGTGATTGATTGAGGCAGTGGCTAGAGGTGCCATATGCTTGGTGTATACAAGGAACATTGTGAAGGCTGGATTGCTTGGAGCCAAGAAAGCAAAGCAAGGGCAGTGGGAGATGATATCAAAGAGGGTCACTGACAGAATCTATATTATATTATAAGCTATATTATATTAATTATGTAATATGTTATTTTCATTTCTAGATTATTTAATGTTTTATTATAATTTAATAATATATTATTTTCATTTCTAGATCATACAAATGCAATGTTTATTTAAAAAATAAACAAAAATAAAACCAACTTAGAAAATATATCATAAAAAATTAAAATATCTACATTATTATTATATCTAATTCATGTTGTCACAAATGGCAGAATTTGTCTTTTTTTGACTGAATACTGTTCCATTGAGTATATATGGCATATTTTGTTGATCCATTCATTCACTGATGGATGCTTCAGTTGATTCCATGTATTGGCTATTGTAATAATGCTGCCATGAACATGGGAATGCGGATATCTCTGAAATACTGATTTTATTTCATTTGGATATATATCTAGAAGTGGGACTGCTGGATCATATGAGAGTTTAATTTCCAGTTTTTTTAGGAATCTCCATATAATCTTTTTTCATAATAGCTGTACTGATTTACCTACCCACCATAGGGTACAAGGGTTCCCTTTTCTCCATAAATTTTCCAACACTTTATTTTTCATAGTTTTGATAGTAGCTATTCTAACAGGTGTGAAGTGATAGCACATTGTGATTTAAATTTCCCTGATGATTAGTGCTGTAGATAATTTTTTATTTACCTGTTGATCATTTGTATGTCTCCTACTGAGAAATGTCTATTGAGATGCTTTGCCCATTTTTAATTGGGTTATTTGTTTTCTCACTATTGAGTTGTTTGCATACATTATATATTTTGGATATTAACCCCTTATTGAATGTATGGTTTGAAATTTTTTTCTCCTAATCCAAACGTTTTCTCTTAACTCTGCTCATCGTTTCCTTTGCTGTGAAGAAACATTTTAGTTTGATGCAATCCCATTTGTCTATTTTGCAATTGTTGCCTGAACTTTTGGGGTGAAATTCAAAATATCGCTGCCGAAACCAATGTCCTGGAGCTTTCCCCTATGTTTTCTTCTAGTATTTTTATAATGTAAGATCTTATGTTGAAGTCTTTACTTAGTTTGAATTTTTTTGAATGTAAGGTATTGCTGAAAGGTCCATTTGTCTACATGTGTATGTCAAGTTTTTCCAACACCATTTATTGAAGAGACTATCCTTTCTCCATTGTGTGTTCTTGGCAACTTTGGTGAAAATCAATTGACTGTGTATGCATGGGTTTGATTTTCAGCCCCTTATTCTGTTCCCTTGGTCAATGTATCCTGCTTTTATGTCAGTACCATACTGTCTTGATTTCTACAGCTGTATCACATAATTTAAACTGAATTAGTGTGATGCCTCCAGGTTTGTTCTTTTGCTCAAAATTATTTAGCTATTTATGGTCTTTTGTACTTCCATATTAATTTTATCTTTTTTCTATTTCTATGAAAAATATAATTGGAATTTTGATAGAAATTAAATTGAATCTGTAAATCACTTTGAATAGTATGGAAAATTTAAAATTAATTTTTACAAAACACGAATATTGGATATCTTTCCATTGATTTGTGTCTTATTCAATTACTTTCATTAATGTTTTATAATTTTCAGTGCTGATGTTTTATCTCCTTTTTTAAGTTTGTTCTTATTTTATTTTTGTAGCTATTGCAGATAGGATTTATTTTTGATTTTTTTATGATAGATCACTTTTAATGTATAGCTGCTGGGTATTTTTGCATCTATATTCATCAGGGATATTGGACTGCAATTTTCTTTTCTTTTAGTGTATTTGACAAACTTTGGTAACAAGATAATAATGCTGGTGGGCTGGGCGTGGTGGCTCACACCTGTAATCCCAGCACTTTGGGAGGCCGAGGCGGGCGGATCCTGAGGTTCAGGAGATCCAGACCATTCTGGCTAACACGGTGAAACCCCGTCTCTACTAAAAATACAAAAAATTAGCCAGGCGTGGTGGCGGGCGCCTGTAGTCCCAGCTACTTGGGAGGCTGAGGCAGGAGAATGGCGTGAACCCGGGAGGCAGAGCTTGCAGTGAGCCAAGATCACGCCACTGCACTCCAGCCTGGACAACAGAGTGAAACTCCGTCTCAATGATAATAATAATAATAATAATAATAATAATAATAATAATAATAATTCTGGTGTTGAAAATGCATTTGGAAGTATTACTTTCATTTAGATTTTTTGGAAGTTTCTGAGGATTTGTATCGGTTCCTGAAATATTTGGTAGAATACAGCAGTGAAGCTGTAAGGTTCTAGGCTTTTCTTTGATGGAATAATTGTTGTTACTGATTCAATTTCTTTAGCCGTTATTCAGTCTTACTGAATAATTTGTTCAAATGTTCTTTTCTTCATGATTCATTCTTGGTAAGTTTTATGTTTTCAAAATGTATCGATGTTTTAGGTTCTCCAATTTGTTGGCATATAATTGTTTACAGCAGTCTCTCATGATCCTTTGTATGTCTATAATATCAGTTATAATGCCTTATCTTTCATGATTTATTTAAATCTTCTCTCATTTTTTTCTTAGCTAGCCTAGAGATTTATTTTATCCTTTCAAAACAATAACGCTTAGATTTATTTATATTTTCTATTGTTTTCCTAGTTTCTATTTTATTTATTTATTCGCTTCTTTATTATTTTCCTCCTTATACCAATGTTGGGCTTAGTTTGTTCTTTTTTCTGTAATTCTATGATGTGTAACAGTAGGTCGTTTGAGCTCTTTCTTCTTTTTTGGTGGTACTTTTTATTGCAATTAACTTCCCTCTTACAACTCCTTTTATTGTATGCCATACATTTTTTCTATGCTGTGTTTCTATCTTCATTTGTCTCAAGATATTTGTAAGGTTTCTTTTAATGTTTTCTTTACTTCATTGCTTGCTCAGGAGCATGTTGTTTAATTTTCACATACTTGTGATTTTTTCTCCCATCACTGATTTTAAGTTTTATACCATTTTTATCAGAAAATATACTTGGTGTGATTAAAGTCTTCTTAAATTTGTTAAGACTTACTTTGTCACTTAACATATGATCTATCCTGGAGATGTCCAGTGTGCTTGAGAAGAATTCCATTTGAATGGAATGCTCCATATATTTTTGTTAAATTTATTTAGTCTAAAGTGTAGTTCGATGTTTCCTTATTGATTTTCTGACTTGATGTTCTGGTTGATTGTTTAAAGTAGGATATTGGGGCTTCCTAATATAACTGTGTTGCAGTCTATCTCTTCCTTCAGATCTATGAATATTTGCTTTACATATTTATGTGCTTTAATATAGTTTCAGACAATATTATTTGGGGCATGTGTGTAAGTGCATATGTCTGAATGTGTTTTAATATGAAAAGATATATTAGAATCTATCTCTTTCACCATGACTTTCTTTTTGTCTCTGGATTATTTTTACAAACTAAATATTCCCTTGTCTCTTAGGGCTTACAGTATGATCTATGATATTCAGTACCCTGGAGAGCAGCACAATATTTCATTGCCTTGTGGGGTAACATCAAAGAGAATAGAGAAATGCAATGAAAAATGACGTATAACAAATCTAATACTATCTATGCTTCACCTGATTCTATAACTACAGAAATATGGGAGTTCAATTTATAAACTGCAAATGCAGTTTAATAAATTGTCCTTTAACCTTATAATTTTCCATATTGGTTGATTTCTGTCTCTTTAGTTGCATTCAATCTCTTTGCAAATATCCATCTTTTCAGTTTAAATGTCTTTTGTCTGAGGAATCCAAGTAATGATTATAAACTGTTTTTTTTTTTTCATAAAAGAGGCGATAGAAAAGCTCTCGTTATACATTAAACTCTTCAATTTTCACTCAGTCATACTGTAGGGAAAACACTGAGGGCAGTGAATCTGAGTTTATCCAAAGGAAAAGTGATTTTTTTGTCTGAAATGTTCTTACAATGACAAAATTTATATCATTATAGAAAGTGTTCTTCTGTCCTTTTGAAGTTGGCAGCATTTCAAGTTCACATTATAAAACAAGGACTTCAGAAGAAAGGAAGACTTTAGGTGGTGAAAACTCACACAACATGAAAACACTAAATTATTTCAAGGCTGTGTATCTGTAACTCTAAATTAGTACTGTTAAGTTACCACTTGTGGAAACTGTTTGAATATTACTAAAGAGTCAGCACAGTAGTAGTTGTTTTGATGACAACATATTTAGAAATATGTAAAATATTCAAGTCATCATCAACAACTTCTTAATGAAGTATCTATAAAAAGCCATGTGTGTTAGTAATAAATGATGATCAGTGAGAATATAATACTCATGAATTGCTTGACAAAGAAGCACAGAAAAGAGCTATAGACTAGTCTGAGCAGAAATTATGGAAGAAGAGATTTCAGTTTTTATGGCCCATTTTGAAGCTTCTACAGTGGGTTTAAACATTCTCTTGGTATGGAACTATTTTAAGAAGATTTGAAAGTGTGATGTTTTATTATATTTATCCAAAGTGGATTCAAGACCATTTATAAAAAATGGTCTTGTTGTCTTCTGAGCTATTTCCAAAGGGATGCAGTTTTTAAAAGACTAAGCAGGTTGGAGTTGTAAATGAAGTGCTTGGTGAAAGATCATTATTAACCTTGCCTTTGAAATTGATGGAGAAGTGATGCTTGAGCCTTAATCACTGAGCTAATAATTCACCTTTAATCAAAATCAGTGCTTAATATTTTGTATAACTGTGATCACTGAGGTTATTTTCATTGAACTGCTACCATTCCACACTTTCCTGCACTAAATTTCTGTGCCAAAGAACTTCTGTGGATCTTAATTTAAGAAACAGGTTTTACAGGCTGGGCACAGTGGCTCATGCCTGTAATCCCAGCATTTTGGGAGGCCGAGGTGGGTGGATCACGAGGTCAGGAGTTCAAGACCAGCCTGGCCAAATGGTGAAACCCTGTCTGTACTAAAAATACAAAAAAATAGCCAGATGTGGTGGCACGTGCCTGTTATCTCAGCTAATCAGGAGGCTGAAGCAGAGAATTGCTTAAACCTGGGGAGTGGAGGTTGCAGTGAGCCGAGATTGTGCCCTTGCACTCCAGCCTGGGCAACAGAGTGAGACTCCATCTAAAAAAGAAAAGAAAAGAAAAGAAAGAAACAGTTTTTACAGTGTCTGCTTTTCTCTATTGATTTTGTTCTTTTTTGTTTACCTGCTTAGTACTCAGTGTCTTTCTAGTTTATGTATATTGTGCTATGCTTATCCCCAAGTTGCTGGAATATTGGATATTGTCCTTCAGTGGCAGCCTGTCGATGGATTCCTGTTGTTCGTAAATAAGACTCATAACCCTCAATGCCATTCTGCGTAGATATCAGAATATGGGCTTCAGCATGCATCCCCGAATGTTGTTTCCTGCCTACATGTTGGTATCTGTTGCTAAATCATCTCAGGCCTCAGAGGTTCCTCTTTCTGGCAGTGATAAGAACAATGATGCAAGCTTCAGACTGTTAGTATTCTTTATTTGGTTTCCAGCTAGATGCGGTCAACTGCCTCTTGTAGTTGATAAAGCTCTCCTCATTGCCTCTCATGCCTCATTTTGGTACCTATTTTAGCTGAGGTAACCTGCAGTATCTAGTTGCTTAATTTATAAAAAAAGAATGTTTTTATTAAAAAAAGGATCCAGTAATATAATGTGATGTTTTAGAGCAATGCAAGATCACTTGATTTTAAAAGTATCTAGAGATTAATGAATAAATAAGTTAATAATTGAATGTCATATTATTGCCATAAAATATTTAATGAAAACATGTGAAGTCTCATTAAATATATTTAGCATTTCAGAATTCTCATATTTGCAATATATACAAATATGATTTTACTTATTTGAAAGAGCAGAGAACAATTCTTTGACAGGTTCTTAGCTTAGCTTTCCAAAACTATGGATGTGGTCATGCACAAAAGACCACATCCATACAGACACACACATTTCTGTGTTCATACTCAAAGTAATATATTCCTCTCTATATAGACATATATACACTTTTATACACATACACAAATATATCCTCTCATTAAATCTCTGGAAATAAAATTATTTATATCATATTAGATATAAAATACTGATTTTAGGTAACATTTGATGTTCATGAGGAATAACCAAAATAAAGTGACCTATAAAAGTTCCCTAATATTAAGAGAAAATCTATATGCATTAATTTATTGTTTCTTTCAAAAACATATTTAAATAAATTCATGGAGATCATCATGACATTCTTCTGTACAAATCGGATACTGACAAACAATATCAATTTTATTGATACCAGGAGATAACTTTCTGTACAAAGGTTGAGGGTGAGGGGGAGAGACCAGTCTTCCATCTCCTCAAGTCCTCCATAAGACACCACTGCTGCAGCTAACACTACTTTCATTGTGAAGACATGGAAGTCCTAGAAACTCCACTTCACATTCTTAGGAGGTATCGATATCCGTTTGGCCTTTCAAACTGTTCAATCTATAGCCCTTTGTGTGTCAGCCCACCAGGTAGAGGTTAGCCCTACTATAATCTCTATAAGAATGAATAAACCTAAGGACATTTCGCCAGGCCTACCTTCGTACTAACAGATTTCAGCAGCAGGTATCCCTGAGTTATATTTTTACATATGGTATAGCTTAGAAATATATACAGGTATATAAACAACCACACAAAAGCAAATTAGAAAAGTTACCTCTTCAGCCTTAAAATGGTGTATTTGTGAAAGTAAACTTCTTGGTAAATGGAATAAATGAGCTTTAATATATACGATCTGTAAATTCAGGAGATACTATAAAATGACTTTAAAATCAGCATTTAATCTGTTATTTGAAAAGTATTTTTCCAGATTTATTGTTTACAAATAACCTAAGAAGAATGTGTTTATGATAAACATTGGTTTCCTTTTGTTGCTATAATACGTGCTCACAAATTTAGTAACATACATCAATTAACAATTTATTATCTTAAAGTGCTGGAGGTCAAAAGTCCAAAATTACCGGGCTAACTTCAAGATGCCGGCGGGGCTGTTTGCTTCTGAAGGTGCTGAGGAGACAGTATGTTTCCAAGCTTTTTCAGCTTCTAGTGGCATCTGCAGTGTTTGGTTTGTCAACCCTCCATGAAAGGGCATCACTTCAATCTTGGCTTCAGTCATCACATCACCTTCCCCACTGATTCCTCATGTGCCCCTCTTATAAGTACCATTGTGATGCTTGGGACCAATGTTGATAATTCACAAAAATCTTCCAATCTTGAGATCCTTAACTCAATCCTATATGTAAACTTCCTTTTGCCACAGAAGGTAACATTCACAGGGTTTGGTAATTAAGACGTGGACATATTTGGAAGGCATTAATCTGCTTACCACTTGGTGGCCGTATAATATATACATTTATAAAACATATGAAAATCAATTTTTTTGTAAATGTATGAATTTGTTTCCACACCCTTTATCTTATTTCATTGGTAGATGTGTCTGCTTATACATAATTTGTACACTTCTGTATAAATTACATTTATGTATCAATGTACATTTATGTATAAATTATGCATACGTTTATTTATACATATACATTTATTTATACAACCATTATGTAAGTAATTATAATTACATGAAATGACAAACTGAACATAAGTAAAAATAAAATAATTTGAATAAAATGCACATAATATTAATATCTGAGGAAACAAATATATAATTTTTAGATTATCAATGTTAACCTAGTAAAATCTTAAAAGTGTGATTCTGTCTTACATCAAAATGATAAAAATGAGAAATTATGGTATAATATGGATAATTTAAATGATACCAGTATCAGGTAATTACTTCCTGATTATTATATATATTAATATAACTAAAAAGCAGACTCATGTACACATATTTTCTAAATGTAAGCTATGCAATAAACCTATTAGACAGATATTTTCCAGTGATTAAACTAAGGTTTCAAAACTTTGAAAATATAATAATAGAAATAATTATTAATCTAATGCTAGAATTTACATCCCTTTGTTGCCAATACTACATCTGATGTGAGATAGTCCCGCAACCCTTGATATTAAACTTAGCAACTAGGACTTCGATATACAGTTTAGCTTCTTATTAGATAATTTTGAAAAAATGGGACTGGAAAGAGAATGAGATGAAGATAAGGTAAATCTCGACAGCTTTATTAGAAATTGATTTTCTATAAGTTTGTGGATTTATTTATGAACTCTATATCCAGGTCCATTTGTTGATGCATATGTTTGCATGCCAGTATCATGCCGTTTTGACTACTATAATTTTGATTTTGATATCAGGTAGTATGATGCCTCCAGCTCTGCTCTATAGCTCAAAATTGGTTTGGCTGTTTGGGGTCTTTAATGGTTCCAAGCAAATTTGAACATTGTTTTTCTTATTTTTGTGAAAAATGACAATGGAATATTGATAGGCATTGCATTGAATCTATAGATTGTTTTGGGTAGTTTGTACATTTTTACAATATTAATTCTTCCAATCCGTGAACATAAGATACCTTTCTCTGTGTTTTCCTTAATTTCTTTCATTATTGTTTTGTAGTTTTTATTATACACATCCTCCACTTCCTTGATTAAATTTGACCCTGAGTATTTTATTTATTTTTTATTTGGGAATGCTTTCTTAATTATTTTTTCCAGTAATTTGTGTTTAGTGTATAGAAGTGCTACTGATTTTATATGCTGATTTTATATACTATCACTTTAGTGCCTTTGT
This sequence comes from Homo sapiens, assembly GCF_000001405.40. Lineage (NCBI taxonomy): Eukaryota > Metazoa > Chordata > Mammalia > Primates > Hominidae > Homo > Homo sapiens. The sequence goes on from NC_000021.9 coordinate 23,528,212, forward strand.
TTATAAGTTCTAAATACCATTTGGCCCAGTGATCCCATTACTGGGTATGTACCCAAAGGATTATAAAGCATGCTGCTATAAAGACACATGCACACATATGTTTATTATGGCACTATTCACAATAGCAAAGACTTGGAACCAACCCAGATGTCCATCAATGATAGACTGGGTTAAGAAAATGTGGCACATATACACCATGGAATACTATGCAGCCATAAAAAAGGATGAATTTATGTCCTTCGTAGGGACATGGATGAAGCTGGAAACCATATTCTGAGCAAACTATCACAAGGACAGAAAACCAAACACCGCATGTTCTCACTCATAGGTGGGAATTGAACAATGAGAACACTTGGACACAGGGCGGGGAACATTATACACTGGGGCCTGTTGTGGGGTGGGGGGAGTGGGGAGGGACAGCATTAAGAGAAATGCCTAATGTAAATGACAAGTTAATGGGTGCAGCACACCAACATGGCACATGTAGACATATGTAACAAACCTGCACATTGTGCACATGTATCCTGGAACTTAAAGTATAATAATAAAATAAATACATAAATAAATAAATAAAAAATGTCAAAAAATAGTTTTATTGGTTGAGTACTTAGAATTTTTATGCTAGACCATATTGTCAAAAAACAGAAAAAAAAATCAATTTTTCCTTTTTCTCTTAGGATGCCTTTCATTTCTTTCTCTTGCTCAATTGCTCTAAGGTTTCCAGAACTATGTTGAAAACAAGTAGAGAGAATGGGCAACCATGTTTTATTCCTGATCTTAGAGAAAACTCTTTCAGCTGTTCTCATTTGAACATGATGTTGACTCTGGGCTTGCCGTATATGGACTTTATTGTGCTTCGGTACATTCATTCTATACATAATCTGTTAAGAGTTTTTTATCGTGAAAAGATATTGACTTTTGTCAATTTATTTTTCTGCGTCTATTGATATGCTCATACTAATTTTCAATAAAAGTCCCAAAAATATTCAATGGAGAAAGGACAGGCATAAAAATGGTGTTGGGAAAACTATATATACACATGTAGGAGAATTGATTGGATCTTTATCCCTTATCACATCCAAAAATAAACTCAAAATTAATTAAAGACAAATATAAGACACAAAACTCTAAAACTTCCAGGATAAAACAAAGGGAGAAAGTTTCACAATATTGGTCTGGGAAATAATATTTTGGGTTTGACTCAAGAAGCTCATGCAACAAATGCAAAAGTAGACAAATGTGAATACATCAAATTAAAAAGCTTCCAAACAGCAAAAGAAGCAATCAACAGACTGAAGACACAACTCAGAGTGGGAGAAAATATTTGTAAACCACACATTCAACAAAAGGTTATTATCCAAAATGTACAAGGAATACAAGCAACTCAATATCAAAAAATAACATATAAACCAATTAAAACACGGGCAAATAATTTAAACAGACATTTCTTTAAAAAAGACATACAAACTGCCAAGTTCATGGAAAAAGTCTTGATATCACCAAGCATTAGGGAAATACAAATTTAAACCACAATGCAATATAATCACATACCTGTAAGAATGGCTTTATAAAAAAGACAAAGGGTACGAAGTTTTGGTGAAGATGTGGGAAAAAGGCAACCCTCGTACATTGTTGGTAGCCATTACAAAATACCTGCATGGAATTATGCTGTGTCTAGACCAGCAGTTTTTAAAATGAAATAGAAACTAATAAAATTGAAAAAAAAAAGAAAAAAGAACGGTAAAAATAATTTTGTGAATATACACGCATACACATCTGTACTGTATAGAAGTGTAAAAACCGCTGTTCAATGTGGATTGCATTCAAAAGTATAAATCCCAGTGACCTAAATGATACCATTAAAGCTTTCTACCACAACGTAAAGACCCTTCATAAACAAGCATTGGAACAAAGATTCGGCATCATCTCTTGCAACTCTGCTTCCTTGTATGGTCCCAAAGTCTTGAATTAGTCACAACTTCTTAGAATCATTATGATGTGTAGGTTTATTCCAGTTTGTCTTTAATATCTTAACACTGAACATAAGATAATTTATAGATTCCAATTAAGATAATTTGGTATAATTAATATATTTAAACTAACGTAATTTATAGACTTAGATAATCTTTCAAGATAATATTCTATGCCAGTGGTTTTCAAACTTGAACCTGCCTCAGAATTACTTGAAAGGTTTGTTTAAACACAGACAGTTCGACCAAAATCCCCATACTGCTTAATTTAGTATATCTGTGATTAGGCCTGAGAATTTGCAGGTGATGTTAGCACTAAGATTCCAGGAACCACAGTTACAACAGGAGAAGTGTCTCTGGCCTGGTTTCTGGATTTGAGTATGTATTTATTATAGACAGACTCATCTTTCACATAATCATATATTGTAGTATAATTGTCTGGTTTTTTGCTCTCACTTAAGACAGTAGAAAAATGTGAAAGATATTTTGGGCAAGAAACATAAATTTTATTCTTCCATTTGGACCACCTAACTAACAAAACAGAGAGGGGGCTCAACATTCTTTATTAAATGCCTTAATGAAAAGCTTAATTTTGAAGACTTTCACCATATTTATCTTTTAAAAATTTGCTTTCATTCATTTAAAATACTCAACAGGAAAAGAGCCCAATAACATATTAAGTGCAGTTATAGCTTCCTCACATATCTGGTGAGTAATAAAATGCCTCAGAGGCAAAGATGAGAGCACAGAGACTTATTTCATGGTCCCGTTAGCTACATATTTATAATAACGAGAGACATTATGAAGACATTTCTAAAAGATATTCTAAAAGCCAGTCTAAATGTCAGACAAAATTTTTAAAAATCTAGTATTCAAGAGGTGAAGAAATGTTTAGAATAGAATTTAAGTTAATGTCACAATAGGTTTCAATAATGTTACAAAGTTCATTCCTAGTTTTGAAATGTCTGTAAAAATAAAATTTAAAAGAAAAAATAGTATGAATCAAATTTACGTTTAACTGAAGAATTTGAAAGGGACTGTGTATTTTACTTTATAAATCCATTTCATTGACAGTTTCTTGCAACATACGCCAATCATCTTTACTGTACTATTTACTAATATCATTGTCCTAGCTTCAGACATGTAGCTACAAATCAGATAAAATATATGCAATACGCAACTAAATGCCATTTGAATATAGGTAGAAATTGTAGTCTATAGAATAAGATGACTATGGAGAATCTGATAGTTCAATTAGGCAATGTGAGTGGGTAAGGAATTAAATTTATTTTTTTGCCCAAACTGGGTGACAAAAATAGAAAGAAGTTATCAGTGAATTGTGTAAGGTTATGTATTGCAAAATGCTTTCAATTATAAACATCAGATTTCACTATTAAATTAAAATATAGATTAAATTACTATTTAATCCTAAATATTTACTATTTAATTACTAAATTAAATAGCAATTTAATACATTAATTTCTATTTTAATCACTATTAAAATATAGATTAAATTACTCAGATATGTGAAATCAATTGGAGAGCTCAGGCAATCCTAGAGAAACAAATCCTACATATGCAGCCACATTCACTAAGAGAACCAGTCTCTCCCATCACTAACCTCAGTTGTTAGACTCACATTCATGCCACCTCTTTCATAGTCAATAACTTGTTCAATCCGAATACCTGTTACTAACTGAGGAGCCATCCCAATAGCTGATAGTGTCCAAAACAGGACATTTCTTGAAAATATATGCCAACAAAATAGATGCCTGACAATTTTGCCAAAAAAATACCAAATTAATCTCGTGCCCATTCATGTGGTGTGATCTGAACCCCATCTGCTGGCCTACAAGGGACTGTAGAAAAGGTAATTATTAGTATGTCCACTTTTTCATACAGATCCAGTTTAGAAAGGATATGCAATGGATGTTTAGCAAACTTAACTAGAGCATCTGCAGCAACCTACATCTTAAGTGCTCAATATCCACACTTTAAATCAATAGCAACAGTAACATTATCTGCCTAATGCAACTATTCCTGCTAAAAACACACAGATGCGCACAAACTTCCCCCCCCACACACAAGCACGATAGTTCTATAAAGTGATGCCCCAATTTTCATAAATTGTCAGTGTATTTTCTAGTTAAATCCCAATCTCATCTTGAATTTCATAATGAAGTGGTGAAATGTTACAATTAAAATGAGAGGAATCTAATCATAATATATTTTAGGGGAATCTATAGAGGGAACATGAACATTTAACCACATATCAGCATGAAGAAGAAACTGTGGGACATCCTAGTGTACTTATGATGTACTAGTCATGAATTCATAGTTTACATTTAGAATGTCTTATTCCGGTAACCATACCACATCGACTTAGCATCTGCATATCACATCAGATAGTGGAACTTTTCTAGCTGTGTCCTTTGGTGTTTACACTTATGTCAGGATGAGTCTATTAACTTTTATTTTTGAAAATACAGAATATTTGGATGTGTCCCATGGAATCATGGGGATTCAGAATACTTCTCCCTGCCTCCATCAAATTGTGATAAAATTATATCCCCTTGATAAATAAAGTAAATTTTGCCATTTAACAAGATGTCCTCCTTTTTTCTTCCTACTGGACTGGTGAAATGAATATTTGAACATGATCAGGAAGAAGAGTTAAATTCTAGCTTTCTGAGTTAACATTGTTTTTCTGGTAGAAACATTCTCCATTTGATATCTGCTCTTTTATAAGACTAGATGCTCTTTTATGATAGGGTAAATGATAAGACGTGTGAATATCATCAGCACATTGATGGATCAGCATATCGCCTCAGTAATATAGTGAATAATGGAAAATTATGCATTCAGGTTTAGATATTCACCAATAGGGTAGTTGACAGAAGCAATACAGAAAGAAAACACAAGTAAGTAATCAGAATAAACTGTATATTCAGCAAATAAAATTGCTGGAGTTGGTTTAATATATTTGACTTGTCCTCTTAGTTATTATGACTGTTATTTTATCACTGGACAGAGAAAGCCATATCTCTGGGGACATCTGGAGACTGCTACTGAGTCTCATTTAAGGTAAATGCTACTAAACTAAGTAATACTTTACAATATGGTGGTGTTGCGGGCTAAATGTTTGTGTTTTCCCAAAATTTTTATGTTGAAGCCTTAACCCCCAATGTAACAATTTTCAGAGATAGGACCTGTGAGGAAGTGATAAAGGTTAAATGAGGTCATAAGAATGGGGCCCTAATCTGATGGAGCTGGCACACTTACAGGAAAAGGAGGAGACATCATATAACTCTCCACCAGGTAAAGACAAGCCAGGAAGAGAGCCATTACTGGAAACCTAATTAAACAGCATCTTGATTTTGGACTTTGCAGTCTCCAGAACTATATGGGAAGTAAATTTCTGTTGTTTAAGCCATCCAGTCTGCAGTATTTTGTTGTGGTAGCCTGAGCTAACTGATACAGGTGTATAATCTTTAAAACTTCTTTGTTGGGATCCAGGGGCTTTTTGTTTGTTTTTTTAATTTATGGCTAACAGGTTAAATAATCTAATAAACAGCCTTATTGGCCACTTGACCAGTATAGCACACAATATCTTGCTGTAAATTTTGCCAAAGCTCTCTGGAAACCAAGTCCATTGCAAAAATATGTGTTTTTCCTACTCTGTAGGCAAAGAGAATCCAGTGAAATAAGATGGTGATCTAAAGAGCTGTGCCTGGAACTCACTCGGGTCCCTCATGTCGTACTCTTTCTCCTGCTAAACAACATCATTTCCTTTTATTCAAAGCTTTTCATGAGTATGCTGCTTGCAGTCTTTAAGTCATTTGAGATTTCTGAGTCTGTCACACTGTTAGAGGTAAGCAAATGTAGAGAGTAAGCTGTAGTCTGTATTGCTGACATATTAACTTAGCCTATGATGTTAACATTAGTCTTGATTGAGTGCATCTGTAACTATTGGAAAGAATAGTCGTAACTGGAAAAGAAAGAGATTGACAGCCACTACTAAAGTCACCTTTTACAATGAATTTTTATGACCCAATTCCAAGTGTCCATACACACCCCTTGAAATTAATGCTTTGTCAAGAATCTCTCATGCTTGTTCTTTTCGTATCCTAAACAGGTAAGTAAACCCTTAGCTTTAATCTCGATTTACTATACAGCCATGCCAATGGTCATCTGTCTTACTGGTAAATTGACTAATCAAGAGTACTATTTAAATTGTGCCTAGTGGGGAGATTTCCCTCTTCCGCTTTTCTTCAATATCACTCCTGAGCTATAATGTTCTAATTGTCCCTTTCTCCTCTGTAATTTTGTTACTGGAGTCTGATACTGAAATTGCAGAATCAGCTTCTTGATAATCTAGAGATGATCTTTGAATATATAGAGATCTAGAGATACTTTAAATAAGCATTGGATTCATTGGGTTATCCAGGTCAAGTGATAGAACTGTTCTACTGCTGGCTGGACCTGCTTTGAGATCATTGCTTTGCTATGAATGCCATATGCTCAAATGTGAAATATTTTAATTTTAGAATATGATCCATTAGCTTTCTTATGGGTAGGAATTTAAATTACAGGTTTTTGCTTTTTATCTTCGAAGGGGGAATTCTAAAATTTGCCAGACTGTTTCACTCCAGAAAAGTCATTGAATGTCAGATCCTAAATTTCTATAGGATTGATTGATCCAACAGTCTCTGGGACATATTCATCTAAATATAGCACAGGTAGCTTCTACATCTGCTGTCTACATTCACAGCTGTATAATATCAACAATGTAGTCAACGTTTATATGAGATAGTGAGCCAGTCAATATCCCTGCAGATTAATTTAGGGAACAGAGCCTGAGGCACCTAACAGATGGAAGACTGAGATAATGAACAGCAGGAAGACAGATTTAAACCAAACCATACCAGTATTATATTGAATGTAAATGTTTTAATCCAGAGGCCAGCAATTTTTTTTTCTGTAAAAGTCCAGATAGTAAATATTTTATGCTTGTGGGCCATATGGTCTCTGTCTCAACTACTCTACACAGTCCCTGTAGTGTAAAAACAGCCATAGAAAATACATAAAATGATGGTCATGGATGTATTCCAATATAGCTTTATTTACAAAAATAAGTAGCTGAAGAGATTTGGCCCCAAGGATTAATGACTCCTGCCTAAGTATCCCAAGGACAAGTAAAGGACAAATGGAAAACTGATTGAAAGAAAAACTACACAGAGTTTGAAAAATAATTTACATTTAAAAACACAATGTTTCAAAATAATAGAATAGGAAAAGAATGCCAGGAAAAATAGAAGCAAAATAAAGCTCATATTCTTATATTAAGATCAGACAATGGAGATTTAAGGAAAGTAACATTAAGAGAGCTGGAGAGAGCCATTTCAAAAACATTAAGTATCAAGTGAAAAAAAAATCAATGAAAACTTACATGCAACTAATAGCATAACTAACTTACAGACAGTAAATTAAGTTATTGTGGTATTAGATATCAATTAATGAGTTGGTAAAATGAATTCAATATATGGTCAAGAAACATAACTGATCATAAACAACTACCTCACTGATAATAGAGAAGAAACTCTACTGCAGTTTTGTGGGCAAGAGATTTATTTTTAATAAACAGTGCTGCACCAATTAGATATCTACACTCAAAAATAAATGAGTTAGCTGTAAGCCCTACTCCACACCATAGACAAAATTTAATTTGAAAGGGATCATAGACCTAAACATGAAAGCTAAATGTAACAAAAGAAAAGAAATCACCCTCCTTGAAATAATAATAATTATATTGGTTTAGCCATGAAGAAGATATTTTCGAAGAAAGATAAAATGTCCTAATTAGCCAGGCATGGTGGCACATGCCTGTATTCTCAGCTACTCGGGAGGCCAAGGCAGGAGAGTCTCTTGAACCCGGGAGGCGGAGGTTGCAGTGAGCCCAGATCGTGACATTGCCCTCTAGCCTGGGCAACAAGAGTGAAACTCCATCTCAAAACAAACAAACAAAAAACAGATAAAATGCCCCAAAATAAAAGATGGATAAAATGAATGTCATTAAAATTAAAAATCATTTTTCATCTGTGAGCTACATTAAAGGAATGAAAAGGAAAATCACAGAGCCAAAGAAACATATGCAATTTGTGTAACTGACAAAGGCTTATATACAGAATATATAAAGTATAGCTACACATGAATGAGAAAAGACTATAATTTAATAATGGGCAAGATTCTTGAATGGACACTTTACAAAGAGGATAATTAAATTGCATGCAAATATTGACAACTGTTCATAAGATAAATTCAAACTAACCACACAATGAGATACTAACATAACCATATTGGCAAGAATTTAAATAAGACTGATAATATCAAGTGTTGTTGAAAGGATAAAGCAGTAGGAATTCTCTTACATTGCTGGTGGGAGTAAAAATTGGTATAACCCACTGTAGCAAAATATGTGTACTCTATGACTCTGCAACTCTCCTTTGATCTATTAGGGATCAATGTGACCTGGAATTGTTATAAGCCCTGGAGAAGGTGCTTGTTCTATCTGGAGGAAAGTAGCACCATCACATTCTCTGTGAGCCATGTACCCTACAAATCCTTGCTTCCTTGTTTTATCTCTTGATTGCTTTCAAACTAACTCATATGGCGTTTTTAATTCACTTCTGGCAATGCACATGCTTTTTTTTTTTTTTTTTAGGTGTTTGTAATGTGTAAGAGAATTGGACTTAACAGAGAATCTGGCACATAGGCCCACTCTCAAGGGGAGGGGGGTACCTCTAGGGTGTCAGGAGGTAGGGTCACTGGGGCATTCCTAGAAGAGAAATAAAAGAGAAAAAGCTGCCATTTTCCCCAAACATGCAGAATTTTATGCACACTGGCAAACAAACAGAAGAAAACAACAGAATGAGATCATCTAATAAATATTGCAAAAATATTTGATATATTTCATCCTTATAACCCTCTAGGCTTACTCTGATGGGCATCTGAGAGTAGTGATTTTATATTTGTCAGATAAATTGAAAAACTACTGTAAGATACTGAAACACATTGCTAGTTGGTTGCCCAGGCACATTGTATTGAACAGAAGGAGATACAGCTACATGGACTGAATAAGAAGAGAGGGCAGACTGGGTTCAGTTGACATTTGTGCCATCTCACTTCTCAACTCCTTTATGATTCTTTGACATCATAACATTGTACCCGTAGACTTCCCGCCCTGCCATGCTAAATGATAGTTCCAGGACTGGCAGCGAACTTTGGCAGGTCTATACCCAAGAGAGACATACTGTGGGTTAATTCTTAATTGTGGCATGTTTGTCTTGAGAGATGTTTCAGACAATTTTATTTCCACACCTCTCCCGGCTTTTTTCATGTCCCATTCCCACTCAAGCACTCATGTTTTCTTTAGCCAACCCACCCTGCTTTGTGCTTCCATCTGGGTATAGAGGAATCTCCCCTTAGCAAACCATATATTGAGTTTTCTGTCACCCTCTTTGGGTAAATGAGGACTGGCTAATCCATGCACTGAAGTCTGAGTCTAAGTTTCCAAAAAGACCAAGTCTATAAGCACCTGGTCCAGATGCCTGCTGTTTGTGAACCGCAGGCTCTGGTACTTCAACCCAAACACTCTGCAGCACATGTAGGGGCCTAAGTATTTTGAGTGTCCTACATATAGCCTGATATTTGGCAAACATCCAAAGCTATAGCCGTGAATAACCTTAATTGGGATGAAGGTTGTGAGAAATGAGTAGAAAACAGCAGAATTTCCAATTTTGTTTGATACAGGTTTGCTGGTATTTTCCTTGACTGAGATAAGAAAAATATACATAGATCTGTGTGTACACATATATATGTATGAATATATTTTGAATGAGGTTGTTTAAATAATATCTTGGTCTATTCTGTACATAAAGTTAGACTTTAAACATAGGATTGACACACATTCTGACTCAATCATAAACATTTTTTGTCAGAATAATAAACATGAAGTATCTAAGAATCTGATCATTGACTACTCAACAAATATTTGGGGCCAGATGCGGTGGCTTACATCTGTAATCCCAGCACTTTGGGAGGCTGAGGCAGGAGTTCAGGAATTCGAGACCAACCTGGCCAACATGGTGAAACCCCGTCTCTACTAAAAATACAAAAATTAACTGGGTGTGGTGGCTCGTGCCTGTAATTCCAGCTACTTGAGAGGCTAAGGCAGGAGTATTACTTGAGCCTGGGAGGTGGAGGCTGCAGTGAGCTGAGATTGTGCCACTGCGCTCCAGCATGGGTGACAGAGAGAGACGGTCTCTCAAAAAAAATAAATAAAATAAATAAATTTAAAAAAACTTGGTGCATGCCTACTATGTGACACATATTAAGTATTGGTAGCACAAGGATTATAAGAAGGAAGATATCCGTTCTCACCTGGCTTACATTGAAATATGTTACATGCAATTTGACTCTACTCAATCAAGTTGGATAAGTAGTTATTGAGGGTGATACTTAAGATTGTGGTAAGCAGCGACCCATATTTTTGGGGGAAAAACAACACAAGTTCTGGACAGTAAAGATTTAAGACGTGCTATCATGCTAAGAAGTATCAAGAACATGAGAGGAGCAATACTATAATAGATACACAATTAAGATGCAGTTACATTTTAAGATAAACGTTTTAAAACAAAAATAAACATTCTGACATCCCAAAAGTAAATCAATTATTTTATAGTCAAGTAATATATTCAATTATGTAGCACAAAATGGCTTCATATTATCTGGTCCAAGACTGTATTAAGGAGATAAATAAAATAATTACATAGAGATTGTGGGTATATTATTATAAATAGAAAATAAGTTCAGACCATGAAAAGGAAGGTACCGGTGATGGAACGGGAAAAGCTCAGGTCTGATATTTCATATTGTGAGAGCTCACAATGTTTCTGAAGAGCCCTGTATTATTATGGCCAGTAAATAAAACATTGAGACATATTTGTACTCAACACATCTGCCTTTGATCTGAGCAGCATTTCTCAGACACTTCGAGTAGAATAAAATTCACTAATGAGATGATAGTCTAAAGAAGCCATTTAATATAAGTTAAGCATCTAAACTCTGACGTGTATGACTGCAATTAATATCTGAAATGCATGTCAGGGTTATACAGCTCTGCTGCTTTTGCAGCAGAAATAGCTTACTATTCTTAGAGACCTCAAACCTTCCTCTTCTAGATTGCATGGAAATCTTTCCTCTGGCACTGTGGGTTCTCATTAAGACATGCAGGATATAGAGTATTCCACTATACCTGTCTTCGTGTCAACCTTTAAAAAAGACCTTAAATAGTCATGCACAGACACACATGCATGTAGAGAAGGGAATCCAGAATGATAAAAAAAAAACCTCAAAGGCACTAAATATGAGAAGGGAAGAGAAAAATAGTCTTATTTTTGATTGAGACAAGAATGATTCAAGGTGTCTGAGTGCTGTCATCTAACATAAAAATTTGGAACATGGATTAGCCATATTGTACTTGCTACCTATATAGTTTAGGTCCAATTATTAGAAGTGGCAGAAGGACAGACTTGGCTAAAATATGTATTTTATTAAAAGAGCTCCTCAAAGATAGAGTGGGGAGCTTTAGAGCATAGAGTTCTTGATCATTGAAGAGTGTTGACTCTGTCTTGCCAATTGCAGCTAGAGTACCCACACTGGGCTAGCCTAGGGGAGCCACAGCTGTCCCTGTATTCCGTGGCTGAGCTGCTTTGCAGATGAAAGAAAATTAAGGCATGTAGCTGTTTAGGAAAAGAAAAACTCAGAAAATGAACTTTTATAAAGTTTAATGTTTAGAAATACACGGGCTAAAATCCATTGCCCATGGAAATTCCTCCACTCCTTCCCTCTGCACATCGTTTGCCAAATCTTCCTCATAAAGGGATTATGTTTGCTGTCTTTTTCATCCATGGGAGGCTGGATTCATTTCCATGTCCTCATAGTCTGGGGAAAACAAACAAACAAACAAAAAACGGTGTCCATTAAAGTTGGCTTCTTCTACTCAGGGGCCAGTTAAAGCTTAGGTCTGCACTACATCTGCCGTTACGTGTCTATAACGTAACATCTAAACTATTTTTAGAAATTCACTTTGTTCCTAGCACGGCAACTTTTTCTCTCTCAGTATCTTATTTTTATTCAGCTTCTGGTTAACATAAAATAACTCAATTTTATTCATTAGATCCTGAGCCGGTGTCTAATGTGAGGTACAAACACAAGTCAGAGAATGTCTAGGTAGTAATGCAAGAGAGGAAATTAACTAATTAGATTAATGAACTCTAATTTCCCTTTCAAACCTGGATTCTCTTAAGCCCAATGGCCCAGTACATCATTTGTCCTCAGCTTCGCCTTGAAAGCAGTGAAGCTGAGTCCTATTTTTTTTTTTCTAGTTACACTTCAATTTTTTGGTCTCTTTTGCTCCCAATATTTTCACCTGTGCAGGTAGATGTAGATTTGGTAAGAGCAAGTATTTCTAACACAATTTGACATTTTACTTAAACAATGTTATGCATGTAACATTATGTTAGGATTAAAAGAAAACATTCACTCTTAGAGAAAAAGTAGGTAGTAAAAATTATATGGCCAAATACATCAAAAGGTCAAATAATGTAGGATGACATTCAAAACTAATACATTAAGAATATCATGTAAGAAAATTTAGTATTTTTGCAAATATTTTGTCTGAAATGCTATAAAAGTCATAGAGCAATATATTTGGAAATTTTGAAAAATGATTGTTTAATATTTGCTTGTATTTTGGTGATTCTATCTTTACTGCTCTCTCATCACAGTCACTCATTCACTCCCAAAATGTCACTCTGACTACAATATTGCTTTTTCAGACATAATAACCTACCTTCTATCTGAAAAATATAACAGCCTCTTTCACATTCACATGCAGCTCAGTCCCTTTGCAATATTTAAGACTATTTACCATTATCTTCTTCTTAAAGTTTTTTTTTTCCCCCCTCTGGCTTTTGTGATTCTATCTGGTTACACTTTTATGCCTGATCAATCACTTTTGCTACAACTTTCAAATCTAGTGTCTGCCAACACCATTCATATTTTATAGCATTTTATAAGCCTGTATCTTACCTGTTATCAGATGTTCTTGATTGGCCTGAGATGCATGTTCTTTGCTTTTTACTGCTCTATCCACCCGAATTATCTTATTTGCTAGTCAAATTTATTTATTATTATTACTATTTTTGAGATGGAGTCTCACTCTGTCACCCAAGCTGGAGTGCAGTGGCACTATCTTGGCTCACTGCCTCCTCTGCCTCCTGGGTTCAAGCGATTCTCGTGCCTCAGCCTCCTGAGTAGCTGGGATTACAGGGCCACACCACCATGCCCAGCTAATTTTTGTATTTTTTGTAGAGATGGGGTTTCACCGTGTTGCGTAGGCTGGTCTTGAACTCCTGGCCTCAGGTGATCCACCCCCCCTTGGCCTCCCACAGTGCTGAGATTACAGGTATGAGCCAATGTGCAAGCACATGATCTTTCACAGTCTGCATTTCCCACAAAGAACAATGACCCTGATTCATCCAGTCATTCAGCTTACTCAGGAAACCCATCAAGGGCTTAAGAATCAGAAGTTGTAGATTTAAATTCTAGCCATTTCATTCATACATGTGTCTGGATTTTAACTACTTGATCAGTCCCTGGCAGGTTTGGTCTCTTAATATGTAACAGAATTAATAATAATTATGCTATAAGATATTTATAAGAATTAGAAAATATAATATATGAAAGTGCAAAGAACAGTTTCTCAGACTTAGTAGAAGCCTCTGGATGTCCTTTATTTTGTATATATAAAGGAGGTTACCTGAAAAGATGATTACAACTGCTATTATTATTATTGGCATTTTGTTCCATTTAGTTCATCTTAATAATAGTGTAATGAGTGTATTCCCTAAGGAGAAAATATAATTTAACAATTTAATCTTCAGTTAGGCTATTCTTTCAAAGTAGAGTTAACCCCAAAATAGCATAGTTTGTGAAGGCATTTACATGCCAAGCAGGATTAATTACTCCATGTCTCCAATGATATATTATCCGACCTTTACTCAGATGTTGATTCTGTTCTATAATTTGTGGTTTAGATGATGACTCACATGTGAAATTTGTAACAAAGACCACACAGTAAACTTTATCCATAATTATGTCTTCTCTACCCAACATGAATTTTCACCTTTGTTGAAGCTTTCCAAACTATATCTCATATTGGCAACTTAATTGATCCCAAAATAACAAAAAATATTACCTAGATATACAGAAGGGTAATTTATGTGTTTTATTTGTTTACTTTGGAATTTGAGATATTTTATAATTCACATGAAGCTTGATTAAGTTGTTAAAAGTGCAGATGCTTCTACCATTGCTGACTTCCAAGTTACCTGGAGAACATTCGAGTATCTTTGTTCTTTTCTCAATGGCCACCAGCCATGTTACACAATATAAATGTGTGAATAGGAGTTAAAAATATGGATATCTACCTTTAATCTCCAATGTTGGAGGTGAGGTAAAGGGGAAGATAAAATACTAGACAGCCAATGGTTCTTACAGGGGCTTAGGTGAGTAATATGGTCCTAGGAAGGTTTGGGTAGGAAGGATAGAAGAAACACAGACTATGAGGCAAAACCTAGAAAGAAAATAGGCTGTGACTAGAAAAAAATGAAGAAGGAGAATCTTGCCATTCACTAGCTATTCACAAGTCTCCTAGCCTTTAGCTCAGCCACGACTAGTTCTATTGGAATAATAGCCCCTTGCAAAAATCTCTGTATTTTTGAAGATTATCCATCTTTTCTATAACCTTTCAGTGCCTCTGCAGAGAAATCCAACTCTCTCTTATATTGTTTACTATACATGTGCTTCCATCAGTAGTCATAAAATTATGTTTAAGATTTGTTATCAAAGCCTTAAAGCTATTTGAGGGGATCTCAACAATTTGAATAATATTCTTAATGACTAAAATAAAAAATTCCAAAGCCCTATTTACAAGCCAACACCTGCTCTCTATAGTATTTCTATACAGTAAAAGTCATTAAATTCAAAAAGATAGGCACATTAAACTTAATAAGAGATAAATCTTAGTCTCTGGGTGAATCTTTGACTTAAACTTTAGCAGCATTCTTACCAATTGATGATATTAAGTGCTTTGTAAGTTTAAATGATTTTAATCCGGAAATCATTGTGTTGCTTTCTTTGCTTTCTCTATGTCTGCTACACAGAAATATCTGGTCTGCTGTAATTCACTCTGGAGTAATGCCACTGCGACCTGCTGATAATGGCTGGTTGCACAACAGTTGATCCAGAAGGACCTTGGCCAGGATGATTTGGCAGTGGAGCCAAAAGGAGTGCCACAAATATTGTTGCAGAAGTGATACCAGATTTGGAATAAAATATTCCCCCCCCACAAATGTTTCTCAGATGATGTTGTATCATCTTATTTTATCAGACTCATCTCTGTTGTATCAGACTCATTGTATCAACACAATTGTAGATTCACTCTCAACATTCATTTCAGGCAAACTAGTTTTCTTAGAGTGTCTCCAGAGTTAACAAAGATTGTAAAGCAATGGAAGCCAATCAAGTCACAATAAAGAACCCCATTCTGATCTGTTTGTTTATGTATTAAAGAGAATAGCATCCTCAGAATCATTTTTCATTTGTGTATAGCCATACAATCTAAGAATCAATAAAAATTTTTGCACATATATGCAAATATAAACTTAATTCATGTTGGTAATTTTAAATATTGAAATAGTAGCCTTGTATACTATTTTTTAGGCGTGGTCTTGTGGTTTTTGGTTGTTAGTGTTGTTTTCTCATTTGAATGCAGACTTTTTGTGGTTGTATTCCCCAATTTATTCTTTTCTCACTTAATGGTAAGAAGTGGGGTTTTGTGGTGATTATAATTTTTTAACTATTAATACAAGTCTATATAAAATAACTGGAAGAGCACATGAATAAGTGACCAAGGAATAGTCAAGTATGGTAGATACATTATTTTCTCTAATTAGTATTTGTTTTAAAATCAAGAGTTTTCTGAAAGTTGTTTTTGTGTTTTGAATAAAATAATAGAATAACATTTGAGCTCTATTTCTCTGCTCTGAAGCCTGTAAGAGCCATTTACTTCATGACTGAGTTTTTCACTACATAGGTATATCTCAGTATTTCTATTAAAAAGGACCGTAGTACAGGTAATATAATGTCATGACTCAAGAAATCTGGTATTTCATTTCTCAAAGTATTCCAAAAAAGATAGCTAGTTGGATAAGTGACAGACAGATTGATACATAGATACAAAGATAAATAGATAAGTCGATTGAATAAAACAAAGGAACATTTTAAAGAGTTTATTTGAGCAAACAGAATTTCATGAGTTGGTAAACACCAACCAAAAGGGGTTTTGGATTCTGATGAGGAAGCTCATTGGACAGGCTTTTATAAAGTGAGTGTTTTTGATTAGTTGAGCTTTGCAGTTCAAGTAAGATTAAGGTTAATTTCAAGACCTAATTGGCTTTGTCTGCTCAAGGATTTTTCAGGCCTGGTCTCCATTTCAATTTACCTTGAGAGAAAGATAGAGACAGAGAAAGAAAGAGATAGAGAGAGAATATGTGCATACATAATATACATGAATATTATATAAATCTGTGTAACATAGGAGAGAGGTCAGCAAATTTAATCTACAAAGTTAAAGAAAGTAAACATTTAGGCTTTGCATACCAAATGGTCTTTGTCATCTCTACTCAACCCTGCCAAAGTAGCACAAAAGCAGCCAGGGACAATATGTAAATGAATGTACATTGCCAACCTGTAATATAGAATATAGGCTTCACATATAAAATGTAATGAATCTTTAATTATGTAAATGTGATAAAATATATGTCACTTAAATCATATTTATAAATGAATGTGCATGCATTTTACTAAAATAATATAATAAGGTTATATAAATGAATACCAATATGAGTTGGTATTTTCAGTCAAGCAAATTTAAATCTTGCATTGATTCATCAGATTTTTTTTTACTTCTAAAATTCTGTGTTATTTATTCATATATAACACTATGTGGTTAACATTAGTGGATATGTAGGATATCGTAATCTTATTCTAGCAGGGCACAGTCCTGCTAAAGATGAATTCAGTTTACATTGTTTAAATACTACACATCTGAATCTTCAAAACTAAAATTCTGTGAGAACAGGGATTTCAATTTTCTTTTGACATCACAATAGAAACAACAAAATAATGACTTTATGCATAGAGTTGAATAAATTTACCAAGTAGAACCGTTTTCTTCTCTAACCAAGCACCAGTTGGTCAACATCTCAGATCCTGCAACCTTGGACTGGCTGGTCTGCAATGGTGTTTTGGGTTGTTTTGTTTATTTATTTATTTTTCTGTTTTCCTTTTGTGTAAGATAAAGCACTGCACTATACACAGATATAAAGGTAATATCACATAAAATATCTACCAGCTTTAGTAGCTGGGGGGAATTATTACCTCTATGTCCAAAACAAGGATGAGCACAGGACAGAGGCAATGAAAAACAAACCAGAAATAGGTGTGTTAGGGCTTTTAATCAGGTTTAACGAGAGGTCATAATTTATCCAATTATGAAGGTTTGTATTTTATTTGCTTGCTGAGATGTTTAAAATTCTTAGAATCTGATAGGAACAATAGAGACTGGGGACTGCTTTAGAGGGGAGGGTAGGAAGGGGGCATGGGTTGGAAGGCTATATATGGAGTACTATGCTCATTATCTGGGTAAGCATTGTACCTCAAGCCTCAACAAAACACAATTTATGGCCGGGCGTGGTGGCTCATGCCTGTAATCCCAGCACATTGGGAGGCCGAGCCGAGCAGATCACCTGAGATCAGGAGTTGGAGACCAGCGTGGCCAACATGGTGAAACCCCGTCTCTACTAAAAATACAAAAATTAGCAGGGCGTGGTGGCGTGCGCCTGTAATTCCAGCTACTCGGGAGGCTGAGGCAAGAGAATCGCTTGAACCTGGGAGGCGGAGCTTGCAGTGAGCGGAGATTGCAATGCACCATTGCACTCCAGCCTGAGGGGCAAGAGTGAGACTTTGTCTCAAAAAAGAAAAAAAAAAAATTTACTCACATAACAAACCTGCATATGTATCCCTGGAATCTAAAATAAAAATAGAAAAGAAAGAGGACATTAAAAAATAAAATATATTTAAATGTTTGAATTTGCCTATATAACTTCTGTTTACAAAATATTAATGTGCTACATTAATAAATTATATTTTAGTGGTATAAACAGTCTGTTAGTGGAAATCTTGGTTGTATAACATTTAAATAAGGTTATTTTAATGAAGTCCAAAGATAAGTAAATTTAAAAATGTCCAAATTTCTTTTTCATTCTAATGAGCTGTCTGGAATCTGTCAACATTCTGAACTGTAAATGTATGTAGAAGTTCAATACTGAAAAAAGAGCTTAAAGCATAAATCTATAATTTATAAAATGTATGGAGGAGAAAACCTCCCTTTAAAAAAAATGAATGATTCTCTCTAATCATTAATGACATGGCAGCATTGCCAATGCAAGAATTATATTTTCTGTTTTCTATTTAATTTAACTAATTCTTCTAACATTTGGAAACTACTGTGGTATTTAATATAAATATAATATTCAAAACACTTTTTTAAAGTTTCAAAAATAAGAATTATCATCTGTCAGGTATAGCCTACAATTCAACTGAACGCTTTTTACTTTGCTGGCAATGATGAGTTCCCTTGTGTTAGCTTATGAAAGAAAAAGTAGCTTTTATTGGAACTTTCTCGATATTCTCTTCTTGACCACTAAATTTTTTTTTTTAATTTGCCTCTAAAAGTTAGCTACTAGAAAGGGCCAAGTGCCTTTTGACAAATTAAGAATATAGGAAGATATTAAATCTTAATCCTGTAAAAAAATGATGCAGTTAGAAGATGAATTTTTCATTTTTTAAACAACTATGCAAACTTGACTTATTACTCATAGTGCTAGACCTAATATTTTTCATAATTACAATGGAGAAGAATAACATCTACCATGGGGTATTATAAATTTTAAATAAAACTTAAATTCTGAAAGAACTTTGAAGTTTAAAAATGTTACAGCGATGTAATATTACATTCTGTGCCCTCATCAAAGATAAACATTTAAAATTACAAATAATTGAAAATGTCACCCAGGCATATTTTCATAAAATAAAGTTTCATTTCTCACTTAACTACAAAAATCTTCTCTTAAAAGAAGTTCTTACAAAAGATGTTGCTATATATGAGAGCCCACTGAATTAATTAGTGAAGTTTTGACTTATAGTTTTGAAATGTGTCTGCTATATTTCCCAGGGTATGATAATAGTAATAATTGTCTGGATCATGAATATTAATATATACAGAATTTATTTTAAAATAATTTAAACTTAAATGTCAATTGTGTGTTAGAAAAATGGATTATTCCTTAGCACTTCTTTCTTAAATTACATTATTTAAGTTTGTTAAAACTATATTATCTGATTAAACAGGTGACGGAATCGACCTTAGGAGAGTAAATAGTAGAGTGATGTGTATATTTTCTTTCTTTCATATGCCCATAAATCTCAGTAAATCCAAAAGCTCTTGAATAAATGATCACAAAATAATACCAAGATGATGTATAATGCAGTTCTTGATGTATTTTACATTTTAAGAAGACAATCTATGGTTCATATCTTAGCTTTATATACATTCCAGGCAGTTTATATAAGATGCTGAATATTCTCATTTTATTTTTCTTGTCTCTCCACTTAATCCATTACAGAAAACATGCACTGGCATCTTTGGAGGTGTGTGATCGTTAGGAGTAATCTAAGGACTAACACTAACATCTGTCAGCTTTTCTGCTGTCTGTAGCCTGAAAGCAACAACACATGCCCTGGTGTCCCAGAGGGTCTCCAAAACAGGCTTGAGTGTCTTATGAACAGTTGGTGCTTCATTTTGAGTTTACTTTCCAAGTTCAGAATCTTTATTAGAAAAAGAAAAAAAAAAAGAGGCCTAAGCTAACAGATGTTCAATTAAGTGGAAAAAAAATAGATAACAGATATACCCATGAATCCCAAAGGATATTTATCAGAAAACAAACTAAATATTTTTGTCTCTATATTATTCCTTTTTAATGTAATATTCCAGTCAAATATTAATGTTTTAGTCAAAATTGCACAGAAAACTCTTTTTGCCATGATAAAATGTAATAATCTAAAGATGTTAAATTTTAAATAAGTTTTGGAGAATATAATTACAAGAAGTCACATATTTTATGCTTAATTTACTACAGAAAAGTTGCTGCATATGTTTAATTTCTCTGACATTTATGTAACGTTTTATTAGTCTACCAATAATGGTCAGAAATTGTTATTATATTTATCCTCTCTTCTCCAAAGTGCTCATAAAAAAAATCATGTTTTCATGAAGCTTCCCAAAAAACACTTCCTCTTTTGCAATTCCACAGCACTACTTCCAAGGTTGTGTTCGAAATTGACACCCTGTCTCTCCACCCAAATATTCTCTTTTCAGGTAATTTGTGAGGTGCCCTACATTATATTTCCTTTTGAAGATTGACAATAAAGTTTGAGTCATTAAACTCTGAAATGAAATTCAGAAAAAAAATTGTGTTTTAAAAAGTTTTTAAATTTTATTTTATCTTAATGTAGTTTATTTTAGTTTAGAGTTTAGTTCAGTTTTTTGAGACAGGTTCTCACTCTATTGCCCAGGCTAGAGTGCAGTGGCGCCATCTCCGCTCACTGGAGCCTCCACCTCCCAGGCCCAAGTGATCCTCCCACCTCAGCCTTTCAAGTAGCTGGGACTACAGGCACATGCCACCATGCCCAGATAATTTTTGTATTTTTGCAGAGACGGGGTTTTGCCATGTTGCCCAGGCCTGTCTCCAACTCCTGGGCTCAAGTGATCCACCTGCCTTGGCCTACCAAAGTGCTGGGATTACAAGCGTGAGCCATCAGGCATGAGCCACCAAGAGTAAGCCACCAGGTGGCCTGGCCCGTTTTTAAAATGTTACTGTTTTCAGTACAGTGAATATTTTTGTTTAACTTTAGAAATATGTATATGTTATCCACCAAACCACGCTGTGAATTTCCTTTGGTTATTTTATTGTTTCTTAGAAGCATAATAAGTGTTCAATAAGTATGCTGATCTGGTTTGATCCAGTGAAATTACTTTTATCAAAATATGAGCTGTAAAAAAGGTGTAGATAATTTTTACTAAAAACACTGAAGAGGCTACAAGTAAGAAAACAGTCAAGGCTCAACAACTTAAAAATTTATGATATTATTTTCAATATAATGAAGTTACAATGATTGATGTATCTAACACCACCAATCTTAAAAAATAAAGCATTAAAAAATATGCTTCCTTTTATAATGGGATTTTCTCCAGAAGGTATCACTATCCTAGATTTTTATTAATGATTCTCATGTATTAATTTAAATTCTAATTTCATATTTATATATCTATCAACAAACTGTAGGGTCTCACTAGATGTTTTAACACCATATGTATATATATATATATATGTGTGTGTATATATATATATATAAATGCTACTATCCTGTTATTATGGTTAGGTTTTGTGTCCCCACCCAAATCTCGTCTTGAATAGTAATCTCCATAATCCCCATAACCCCTACCTTCAAGGGAGAGACCAGGTGGAGGTGATAGAATCGTGGCTGCGGTCTCCCCCATGCTGATCTTGTGATAATGAGTGAGTTATCAGGGAATTTGATGGTTTTACAAGGAGATCTTCATCCTTCACTTGGCACTTCTCCTTTCTGCCTTCTTGTGAAGCAGGTGCATTGCTTCCCCTTGGCCTTCTGCCATGATTATCAGTTTCCTGAGGCCTCCCCAGCCACGCTGAACTGTGGGTCAATTAAACCTCTTTCCTTTATAAATTATCCAGTCTCAGGCAGTTCTTTCTTTTTCTTTCTTTCTTTCTTCTTTCTTTCTTTCTTTCTTTCTTTCTTTCTTTCTTCTTTCTTTCTTTCTTTCTTTCTTTCCTTCTTTCTTTCTTTCCTTCTTTCTTTCCTTCCTTCCTTCCTTCCTTCCTTCCTTCTTTCCTTCTTTCTTTCTCTCTTCCTTTCTTTCTTTCTTTATAGCAATATGCAAATCAGGTAACATACCTGTTCTCAATAATACTGTGCACATTGTGTCCTCAGTTTCCACAATGTACACATTCAATCTTTTGCTATTAGATATTTAAATTACTTCTAATTTTTGGCTATTACAAGCATTACATCTGATAATACTCCTGAACTGGTATCCATGAGCATGCATGAACCTTTCACTAGAGTATATATTTGGTAGCAGAATTGCTATATCATATTTTAGGCATGTCTTCATAATTGAATGAGTGTTGCAAAATAATATCAATACATATTAATAACAAGAATAAATAAGACATTCTAATATTCTCAATCTTTATGCTATTTGATATTGTCAGATTCTAAAATCTTTGCTCATCTGAAGTTTGTAAAATGATATCCATTTGTAGTTTTATTTTGCATTTTCCTATTTGGCAGTTGATCATTATTTTATATATTCATTTGTAACTAAGTTTCCTATTTTGTTAATTGTCTTTTCAAAACTATTTCCTCTGTTGGAGAGGAACTCCACAGGAGGGATTTGAGAATTTTTGTCTTTGTCTAGTTGATCTATAAGAGGGTGTGTATTTGTGTGTGTGCATCATGGGGTTTTTTATTACTTCAAATAGCAAAAATGTGGTTTTCTTTAATAGTAGGGAATTGATATTGCTTTTATAGAAATTATGAGATAGCTTTATTTTTTCCTAGATAATTGTCTAAGCAATATTGATGGATAAATCTTTACCCTTATGTTTGTCATAAATTGATGTTTTGTAAATAATTACAATTCTGTTTCTCAGCTGCTTTGTTCCAATATTCTATTTTTCATTCTGTACCTATACTACATGGCTTAACTTAATTAACTAAGATTTATAGAGGTATCTGGTACACCATTATCCCTGACCTCTTGTTATTTTTCTTCCTCCTCTCCTCTGCTCTCTTTCCTGCTTTCATTAATGCTCATTTGTGCATCCTGCATGCTCCACAATATACATGTTCAGTCTCTTCCTTTTGGACATTTGAGTTGTTCTGAATTTTTGGCTATGACAAACAGTGAATATTAAAATATTCTTAGACATGTCTCTAAGACACGTTGTTGCTGTCCTGATGTTCTTCACCTTGTCAATTCTTCCTCTTCTTCTCACTCATTCTTCTCCTCTTTCTTCCAAAGCTCTTTCTACTACTTCTTTCTCTTTCCATTTCAAAAGTTTGCTAAATATTTTGTGGCAAATAACATTTTACAATTAAAAAATAATCAATGCAGTCAAATTTCATACACAGCCCTAATGCATTTGTGAATAATATTCTATTAACTTATGGTTAGTTTTGGAAGAAATATTATATTGAGCCCTCTATGAATGAATCCAGTGAACATTTTCGTATATTTTGATATTTAATTTTATTTAAGTCTGTGTCTTTTTACTTAATTTTATTTTTTCTTCAGTAGGTCTTGTACATATTTTTTATCTTCTGGAATTTGGTCAACATTAGTAAAGAATTTATTCATTTAAGAAGACTGGGAATTAATAGTACTAGAACCATACATGTATATAGTTTAGACAGCAATTTTTAATTGTGACATTGAAATTATCACTTTACATCATCATCATAGTTTTGTCCACGTGATCTAGAAACTACCTAAGGAGATTGCTTAAAACTACTAGAGTGATTTTGGATAATTCAATCTGTACTTCACATTTGAGTTATATGTTTTATGTAATTGGAGCTATACAAATTTATTATTTACATTTAGAATTTTTTAATTTTTTAATTGATAAATTAGGCCTTGTAGTGTGCAACCTCTTTATATCTACTGATATATTTGGCCTTAGCATCAATTTTTCTGGTATTAATTTGAATCAGCTTACCTGTGTTAATGTTTGCATGATGTAAATTAATTTTTAACTTATTTAAAAACTCCGGGTTTTACATTTTAGGCACTTCTTTTGTAAATTACATAATCATGACTTTTAAAAATGCAAACAAAAAGTATTTTTAATTAATTGACAAGTTTTATTCTTGTGCATTTTTGTGATGGCTGGCATGTTTAAATTCTGTTTTTTCATATTATTTGCACAATATTTATGTATTTATCACTCTTTTTTCTAAATGTATTTTAAATTTATAATTCATTTTTAATAATATAGATTCTCAGAATGTTTTTGTGCAAAAGACAAAAGGGAAAGACCTTTATTGTTGCACTTCAAAATAATCCAAACTTGGATTATATTTTGTTCATTTCAGAATATAAATATAAATTTAAAGTTAAAACTCTTCCTCTTTAATTATGCCTAGAAAAATAATAGTGTTTATTGACCATTCCTGAACACCTCCTTTCTCCAGTTTTTATTCCTCTAACAGTATTTGTTTACATCTTGCTGGAAGCAATATGGCTGAACATATC
Source organism: Homo sapiens (assembly GCF_000001405.40). Taxonomy (NCBI): domain Eukaryota; kingdom Metazoa; phylum Chordata; class Mammalia; order Primates; family Hominidae; genus Homo; species Homo sapiens. The sequence continues at coordinate 23,552,785 of NC_000021.9, forward strand.
TTGCCTTTCAGTAAATAGAATTTAATTTGTGGGTATGTGATTTAGAACTAGAATAAAAGGTACATACAATGTTTAATTAAGTACATTTTAGAAGAGATAAACTAATGTAGGTTAAACTAACTACAATAGAAACATAGAAGTTAATCTTATCCATATTTTCACATTCTAGAAAGTTATGCATCTTTTTTTCTCAATTAAAAAGATTATCATGGGTTAAAAATTTGTCATAAAATTCTTTAAAGGGTAGGATAAAAATGAAAAAAACTCTCACTGGAAATCTGTATTTGCATAATTACTGTAAAATACCAATTTTACACACAAACAAACAGAAGCCAAAAATGCTTCGAAATCTCATTTGAATAATGCATGCATATGTATTGGTTCTGCATGGCTAAGCCAACAGTTGCATCAGTGAAAATATTTACCTTTTAATGTCAACACTAGAAATAACAATTATCAATATGAAAGAGAAGGCCCTAGTATAAAATACATACTATCATCAAACAAATCTAATTTCTTATTTTGTTATGAAGTAAAATAATACATTTGTTATGCATTTCTAAAGCAAAAAATTACATAAGTATCAGGGGTCTATTAATTTTTAAAAGTACACATAATGCCTAATTTTTTACATTGAAGTTAGGTAAAGACATGTATAGTTAATGAATTAAATGATTTTAGTAAGATATAATATTCATGGAACAAAATGCATAGGTTATAATTTTTCATTTTGATAAGTTTGTTAATTGTAGAAAACCATGTCACTACCACCTTAAACAAGATTTAGAATAATTCTGTAAACTTTCTCTTCAATTACCCAGCAGTAAATAATCTGTCAGCATAGATTCATTTTGGTTTTTCTTGGAATTTAGATAAATGAAATTATACAATGTGTATTTTTTAGAGTATCACACCTTTTCACTCATAGATGCAAAAACATGTATTGGTAGTTTTCTCCAATTGTACAGATAATAAAATTTATTGAATAAATAAATCAACATTTATTTATTCTGCATTTAATATACTTGTGGGCTGTTTGTTGCTTTGGGCTTAGATTATCTCTTTTAACCTTTGTATATCTTTCAACTTTCCTTATGATAAGTATAGACAAGAGGCCTATGATGGGTAAGTTATTTTTCGTGTTATAATTTATAATACTTTTCAAATATCACCTGGCTTAATTCATGCCACAGGCCCTTTTCCATCACTCAGATGAATTTTTAAATCTTATATTCATTATGTATTTTGCTATTTTGTTTACCACATTGATTTTCATGCACTTGCTTAGTACACTTTCATTCACCATCACATAAGTTTCAACATGTTCTTAGCTTCATTAATTTCTCAATCCCAGGTTACTACATGCTATGGTTTGAATGTTGTCCCCTTCTGAACTCTTGTTGAAATTTAATTGCCATTGTAACAGTATTAAGAGGTAGGACCTTTAAGGCGTGATTAGGCCATGAAGACTTCACATTTTTGGGTGGAATTGGTGCTGTTATAAAAGGGTGACTTCAGTTCATCCCCCTCTTGCTCTCGTTCTTTCTATCTTACTATGTCTTTACCCTTCTCCTATGGGATGATGCAGCAAAAGGCCTTGCCAGATGACGACCCCTTGATTTGAACTTCACACTTCCAGAACTATAAGCCGATAAAGTTCTATTCTTAATAATAAGTCAGTCTGTGGTATTCCATTATAGGAAGACAAAACAGACTAAGATAATGAATTGGTACTGAGAAGTGGGGCTGTTGGTATAACAAATACCTAAAAATGTGAAAGCAACTTTGAAATGGATAGTGGGTGGAGGTTGAAAGAATTTGGAGGAGTAGGCTAGAAAAAGCCTATACAGCCCTAAACAGAGCATTAAGGGCAATTCCGGTGAGGGTTCAGAAGAGAACTTTAGGGTAAGTGGAACTTCTTAAGGATTACTTAAGTTGTTGTGATCAGAATGTTGGAAGAACTATAGGCAGTCAAGGCAATTCTGATGAGGTCTCAGATAGAAATAAAAACAAGATATTGGAAACTGGAGTAAAGACCATTCTTGTTATACAGTGGCGAAGAACTTGGCTGAATTGTGTCCATGCCAGAGGGCTTTCTGGAAGGCAGAATTTAAGTGCAATGAATTAAGATGTCTGCTGGAAGAAATATCTGAGCAGAAAAGCATTCAGGATGATGTGTGGCTACTTTTAACTGCATATAGAAAATGGGAAAATAAATACTTACAAGGAGAACAGAATTTAGGGAATTGAAATATTCTGAGCCTGGTGGTGTGGTCGAAAATAAAAGACCATTTTCAGGCGAGGAATCCAAGGTTGCGGCCAAGTGACCTATTTGATAAGGAGATTAGTAGGAATAGAACAAAGCCCAAAGCTATTCATCAGGACAATGGGAAAATGGCCATAAAGGCACTGTGGAGCTTACAAGTGTGACCGCTCCCATCACAGGCCCAGAGTGTCAAGGCCTGACTGAAGGAAATATGTCAAAGGAGAGGTTTCAGTGCTCTCAGGAACTTGGAACTTACTGTCCAGGGCCAACTCAAGTCTCAGTTCCCTACATTCTAGTGCAGGGCTCGTCAGCTGCCCCAGCCACATCTCAGGACTGCCAGGATCAGCTACACGCAGCTGAGAATCAATCCCACCCACTTCTCCAGAAGGTATGAGCAGCAAATCTTGGTGGCACCTAAGTGGTGTTGTCTGCAGGCATGCAAAATAAACAAGCTGTGAGGGGCATGGTTTCCTTCACCTGAATTTGAAAGCATGTTGCTAACAGCCTGGTGTCCCGGGAAAAGACTTGTTATAAGGGCAGAGCCACTGCAAAAAGCTCCCATTGGAGAAATACCTAGCAAAATTTTGGGGTTGGATCTGTACAGCGAATCCCCAGTGGGCTGAGGAAAGCTGTTGGAATGGGGCTTCCTTTGAGACCCCAGAAATGGAGAGTCACCAGTGTTCAATTCCAGCCTGAGAGAGCTACAGGCACCTGCTCTCAGTGTATGAGAGGTGCAGGCATGAGCTCTGCCTGGCAAAACTATAGTGATGGGGCTTCCTTAAATCTTGTGGCCCCCAATTCTGTGCCACTGTGTTCAGAGGGTGGGACACGGAGTCAAAGAAGATTGTCCTCCAGCCTTAAGATTTAATCTTGTTCTCCCTGTTGGGCTTTGTAATTACTTGGAACAAGTTATTGGGTTTTTTTCTTGTCCATTTTCTCCTTTTGGAATAGTAATGTCTATCTTATATCTGTTTTCCTATTCTATTTTGGAAATATATAATTTGTTTGATTTCACAAGCTCACAGTCGGAGAGAAATCTGCCTCAAGGTGAATTGTGCCTTGCGTTTCACCTGAATCCAGTTTAGATGAAACTCTGGACTTTGGATATTTTAGTTGATACTGGATTCGGTTAAGAATTTAGAGATTGGCGGGGCATGGTGGCTCACACCTGTAATCCCAGCAATTTGGGAGGCCAAGGCCGATGGATCACCTGAGGTTGGGAGTTCAAGACCAGCTTGACCTACATGGAGAAATCCCATCTCTACTAAAAACACAAAATTAGCCGGGTGTGGTGGCAGTCGCCTGTAACCCCAGCTACTCATGAGGCTGAGGCAGGAGAATCGCATGAATCCGGAAGGTGGAGTTTGCAGTGAGCCGAGATCACACCATTGCACTCCAGCCTGGACAATAAGAGCGAAACTCCGTCAAAAAAAAAACAGGAAGAAGAAGATGAAGAAGAAGAAGAAGAGGAAGAAGAGGAGGAGGAGGAGGGGGAGGAGCAGGAGGAGGAGGAGGAAGAGGAAGAAGAAGAAAAAGGGGAAGAAGAAAAAGAAGAAGAAGGAGAAGACGAAAAAAAGAAGAGGAAGAAGAAAAGAAGGAGAAGAAGAAGAGGAGGAAGAAGAAGAAGAAAAAGAGGAAGAAGAAGAAGAAGGAGAAGAAGAAGAATTTAGAAGTTATTGGATAGAATAAATGTAGTCTTTATGCTAATACTGCATGAGTTTTAGGGGTCAGAGGCAGAAAGCTATGATTTCAATGTTGTCCCCTTCAAAACTAATCTTGAAGTTTGTCATTGTAGCAGTTTTAAGAAGTGGGACCTTTAAGACACGATTAGGCCATAAGGGCTCCAACTTACGGGTGGCATTGCTGCTGTCATATAAGGACAAGTCTGTCCCTCTGTTGTCCTTCCACATTCCACCACTACATACTACAGCAAGAAGGCCATTAGACAATGTCAGCTCCTCAGTTTTGGAATTTTCAACCTCCAGAATTATGAGCTAATAAACTTACTATCATTCAAAAATTACATAGTCTGTGGTATTTTATTATAGCAGCACAAAATGGACTCTGACACTACACTATTGTCATAGAGTCATGATAAACGCCGTTTTTGTGCAAGCTGCATAACATGGAGAGGTAAGACAATTAGCTCAGTCTCCATTGATTGAATTAATAAAGAACTTTTTTCTTCAAATAATGTACATTATTAGACAGGTTAAGGATGTGGTTAAATTTATGGTGACCTCCATGGATCAAGAGATATATTTTTCCTATCTGAAAGGAGAAGTCATCCAAAAGGAAATGATCGGAAATGAGTATACCTGTCCTTTGCCTGAGCTACTAGTACAGCACTGCTGATGTTATACTATTCAGAGTGTATTAGGAATATATTACTTCCCCTTTCAGAACACAATAATATGCGTGTGTAAATCAGCCTTGGCCCTGCCACTGGCTGAGATACTCTGCTTGCTAAATCTTAGTGAAGTTGCTGAACTCATTTCCCATTGTATTTCTCAAATTTTCTTTAAGCAGATGTTATTAATGGAATTACATAATTCCTTGCCAAGAGTCAATTCTTCAGAATGTTGAATTAGTGCTGTTATGTGGTGCCTCATTCAGTGAGAATTAATACAAATCAAAGAGATCCTTGAAACTCTGCAAGATAGATTTTGTGGATCAATTAGCTTGACTGATAATCAGTAAGTCTAAACACTAATCAACATTTGGAATTGTCTTCTTGACAGAAATAATGGAAAGCAATAGTCTGTGTTCACTGGAATGGAGGAAAGCTGATGCACATAAATAGGTAGTGTCATGTATATGTGAGTGGGAGGAGGTTGAGGGAGAGAAGTTTGGTTATAGAGATTCATTCCTTGTCTGAGCATGTCTGCTGCTGCCAAAGGAACATCATGAGTAGTGGGAAGACAGCTTAGCTAAAGAATAGGATGCGTGCAGATTTTAAATATTCTGGGGCTGGGCGCGGTGGCTCACGCCTGTAATCCCAGCACTTTGGGAGGCGGAGGCAGGTGGATCACGAGGTCAGGAGATCGAGACCATCCTGGCTAACACGGTGAATCCCCGTCTCTACTAAAAATACAAAAAAATAGCCGGGCGAGGTGGCAGGCGCCTGTAGTCCCAGCTACTCGGGAGGTTGAGGCAGGAGAATGGCGTGAACCTGGGAGGCGGAGCTTGCAGTGAGCCGAGATCGCGCCACTGCACTCCAGCCTGGGCGACAGAGCAAGACTCCGTCTCAAAAAAAAAAATAAATAAATAAAAATAAATAAATAAGTGAATAAATATTTTTGGCTCTACAGGTTTCTTATATCTGTGTATTCCTACAACTTCTCTGCATGGGTATTCCTTCTCCACTTATCTACGTATGTGTAAATTGTTGCTGTTTAAAATATGTCACTGTGGAGCAGTGTTTACCCACTAGTACACTTTATTAATAACTTTAAATTGGGGAGGACCAATAAAAAGTTAGTAACAGCATTCTATTTGTACATATAAATTTTAACCAGAAACATTCTAAATTGATAAAATTCCTGAATAAATAGTTGAATTGAATCACATATTTTTCAAAAAAAAACACAATTTGCTTAATTTAACCTGTTCTTAACAGTACTGGCATAAATCTTACTCTAATGAATGATTGCTTTGTAATAAAAACAGAATATTATAATACTAATAATGTATTTATGCCTTAATATGTATTTGTTTGTTAAGTTCTAAAGTTCTTACCTGTTTTTCACCTTTTCCGTTATTTATTACTTAATTCCTTCCTCTGTTTTTTATTTCCTCTCTTCTTTTCTTCTTTCTTCCCGTCTTACTTCTCCTTCCCTCCCTCTCTCCACTCGCTCCTTTCTTCATTTATTCTTTTTCTTTGTTGCTTTTATTTGACAATTCATGAGTCTCATTCTCTTCTCATTCAATAGGCAGAATTTTAATGTGTTTGATAGAATATTTAATTCATATATTTATTTTTGAATCAAATATACAGCTCTTTTATTTCTATGAATGATAGTATGCAATAGTTTTAATTTTATATTTCACAGCTTTTACTCAGTATCCTTGCAAAAATCAATCCACGTTGCTGGATGTGCACTGCTACTACACTGTTAGTAGCAATTCTGGGATTATGCCATAATGTGCATCAACCATATTGTATATATTCAGTTCACAGTAATGGAAGCATAGATCGCATTTAGTACTTAATAATTTCATATGCTTTCACTCTGAATGTATGTAAAGTTTTCTCTGAACACATAAAAAGATGTTTAACCTCCCTAATCATCTGGGAAATGCAAATCAAAAACACCATGAGATTTACCTCATATCCACTAGAATGCTACTATTAAAAACAAACAAACAAACAAACAAACAAACAAAAAACCTCTAACCAAAACCCCGAAATAAGTATTGGTAAGGATGTGGAAAATTTAGAACCCTTGCTCATTGTTGGTAGATATAAAAAATAGGGCAGCCACTATGAAAAACAATATGGTGGCTCCTCAAAAACCTAAATGTAGAATTATCTTATGGTTCACCAATTCCACTTCTGAAATAAAACCCAAAGAATTGAAAGCAGGGACTCAAATGGGTATTTGTACATCCACATTAATGTAGCATTATTAATAATAGCCAAAATGTAGAAGCAACCCACCAATTGTTAATTGACAGATGAATGCATGCACAAAATATGGTATAACACTTACAATGGGATATTAAAAGGAAGGAAATCTGACATATACAAAATGGATGAACCTTAAGGATAGTGTGCTCAGTGAGGTAAGCCAGTCACAAAAAAGACAATTACTCATACAATGTTCCTTGAGTCATCAAATTCAGAGAAACAGAGAGTAGAATGGTGGTTGCCAGGTGCCCGAAGGGTAAAAATAATGGAAAGGTTTTTATTTGTTTTTTTTTTTTCCAAATCATTATTATTATTTAACTTTTATTTTAAAATTAGGAGTACACATCCAGGATGTGCAGGTTTGTTACACAGGTAAACTTGTGTCATGGGGGTTTGTTATACAGATTATTTCATCACTCAGGTGTTAAGCCTAGTATCTATTAGTTATTTTTCCTGATCCTCTTTCTCCTCCCACTCCCCACACTCCTATAGGCCCCAGTGTGCCTTGTTCTCCTCTATGTGTCCATGTGTTCTCATCATTTAGCTCCCACTTATAAGTGAGAACATACAGTATTTGGTTTTTTGTTCCTATGTTAGTTTGCTAAGGATAATGACCTCTGGCTCCATCTATGTCCCTGCAAAGGATATGATCTTGTCCTTTTTTATGGCTGCACAGTATTCCATGGTGTATATGTACCACATGTTCCTTATCAAGTGTATCACTTATGGGCATTTGGGCTGATTCCATGTCTTTGCTATTGTGAATAGTTGTGCAAAGAATATATGCGTGCATGTGTCTAAAATGTTAATAGAATAATTTATATTCCTTCGGGTATATACCTAGTAATGGGATTGCTGGTTCAAATGATATTTCTGACTTTAGGTCTTTGAGGAATCACCACACTGTCTCCCACAATGGTTGAACTAATTTACACTCCCACCAACAGTGTAAAAGTGTTCCATTTTCTCCAAAACCATACCAGCATTTGTTATTTTTTAACTTAATAGTAGCCATTCTGACTGGTGAGAGATGGTATCTCGTTGTGCTTTTGATTGTCATTTCTCTAATGATCAGTGATATTGTACTTTCTTTCATATGTTTGTTGGCTGCATATATGTATTCTTTTGAGAAGTGTCTGTTCATGTCCTTTGTCAATTTTTTTTTTTTTTTTTTTTTTTTTTTTGAGGCAGAGTCTTGCTCTGTCACCCAGGCTGCAGTGCATTGGAGGAATCTCGAGAGGCACACTGCAAGCTCCGCCTCCCATGTTCACGCCATTCTCCTGCCTCAGCCCCCCGAGTAGCTGGCACTACAGGCTCCCACCACCACGCCAGGCTAATTTTTTGTATTTTTAGTAGAGACGGGGTTTCACCGTGTTAGCTAGGATGGTCTTGATCTCCTGACCTCGTGATCTGCCCGCCTCAGCCTCCCAAAGTGCTGGGATTACAGGTGTGAGCCACTGCACCTGTCCCCTTTGCCCATTTTTAATGTTTTTTTTTTTCCTCTTGTAAATTTAAGTTCCTTACAGATGCTGGGTATTAGACCTTTGTCAGATGGATAGATTGCAAAAATTTTCTCCCATTCTGTAAGTTGTCTGTTTATGCTGTTGATAGTTAATTTTGCTGTGCAGAAGCTCTTTAGTTTAATTAGATCCCATTTCTCAATTCTTGCTTTTGTTGCAATTATTTCTGGCATCTTCATCATGAAATCTTTGCCCGTGCCTATGTAGTGAATGATGTTGCCTAGGTTATCTTCCAAGATGTTTATAGTTTTGCATTTTACATTTAAGCTTTTAATCCATCTTGGGTTGATTTTTGTATATGGTGTAAGAATGGGGTCCAGTTTCAATTTTCTGCATATGGCTAGCCTGTTCTACCAGCACCATTTATTGAACAGGGAATCCTTTCCACATTGGTTGCTTTTATCAGGATTGTCAAAGATCAGATATTTGTAGGTGTGTGGTCTTATTTCTGAGTTCTCTGTTCTTTTCTACTGGTTTATGTGTCTGTTCTTATACCAGTACCATGCTATTTTGTTTATTGTAGCCCTATAATATAGTTTGAAATCAGGTAGGTGATGCCTCCAGCTTTGTTTTTTATGCTTAGGATTTTCTTGACTATTCAGGCTCTTTTTTGGTTCCATATGAATTTTAAAGTAGTTTTTTTCTATTTCTGTGAAGAATGTCAGTGGCAGTTTAATGAGAATAGCATTGAATCTATAAATTGCTTTGGGCAGTATGGCCATTTTAATAATATTGATTCTTTCTATCCATAATTGTAGAATGTTTTTCCATTTGTTTATGTCATCTCTGTTTTCTTGGAGCAGTGGTTTGCCATTCTCCTTGTAGAGATCTTTCACATTCCTTGTTAGCTGTATTCCTAGGTATTTTTTTGTGTGTGTGGTGATTATGAATGGGAGTTCATTTGTGATTTGGCTTTCAGCTTGACTGTTGTTGCTGTGTAGGCATGCCTGCAATTTTTGATTTTTGCATCCTGAAACTTTGCTGAAGTTGCTTATCAGTTTAAGAAGCTTCTGGGCTAAGACAACGGGGTTTTCCAGATACAGGATCATGCCATCTTCAAATAGGGATATTTTGACATCTTCTCTTCCTATTTTAATGCCCTTTATTTCTCTTGCCTGAATGCTCTGGCCAGAAATTCTAATACTATGTTGAATAGGAGTAGTGAGAGAGTGAATCTTTGTCTCGTGCTGGTTTTCAAGGTGAATAATTCCAGCTTTTGCCCATTGAATATGATATTGACTGTGGGTTTGTCATATATGGCTCTTACTATTTTGAGGTATGTTCCTTCAATACCTAGTTTATTGAGAGTGTTTAACATGAAGGTATGTTAAATTTTATCAAAAGCTTTTTCTGGGTCTATTTAGATAATTATGTATTTTTTGTCTTTAGTTTTGTTTATGTGATGAATCTCATTTATTGATTTGTATATGTTGAACCAACCTGCAACACAGGATTAAAGCCTCCTTGACTGGGTGGATAAGCTTTTTGATGTGCTGCCAGATTTGATTTGCCAGTATTTTGTTCAGGATTTTTGCATCCACGTTCAAGTTTTCTGTTTTTGTTGTATCTCTCCCAGGTTTTGGTATCAGGCTGATGCTGGCCTCATTGAATGAGATCCCAGAGCCGGAGTATGTGAAGCTCCTGTGTCTCTGTGTTTGCCTGAGTAGCTGCTCGGCCAAAACTTCAGTCAGCTCTGTGTGTCAGACTGAAGGCCCTGGTGGAGTGGGCTCATGAGGGGATCTCCTAACCCGAGAGTTGCAAAGATCTGTGGGAGAAGCATTGTTTCCCGGGGTCACACATTAACTCACTGCCTCCTTGTGAAGACGGAGTTTCTCTTGGCTCTCTGCTGCTCCCAGGTTGGGGCATCACCCTGCCCTGCTTTTCTCCATTCTCCATGGGTCAAACTGTCCCCCTGATCAGTCCCAATGTGAGTACTTGGATGTTTTAGTTGAAAGTGCTCTATTTACTCATGTCTTTTGTTCCTCTCCATGAGCCCATGCACCCTAGCTGCTTCTTGTGGGCCACCTTGACCCCACACCCAAGTTATGTTTTAATGGGTGTAGAGTTCCGGCTTTTCAAAATGAAGAGCTCTGGAGATTCATTGCAAAACAATGTAAATGTACTTAAAACTACATATTTGTACATTTGAAGGATGGTTCTAATGGTAACTCATAAATGTATTTACTCCAGTTAAATGTAAAAATTAAAATTAAAATAAAAAAAGATTTATCTGACAGTGGGAGTGACCTTTCTGGGTCACAATGTGTTTAATTCAAGCAAGTATGAGTACAATATTCTATTTGAAACTTTTACATTCAAAGCCTTGTGGTCTTCAAATAGTTTTGTCTCCACTTCCCACACACAGATCATTCACACCCTTTCTATGGGACACAAAGTCTGGAATATTCTTTATGTATTGTCTTCAAAATATTTGTCTTTTAAGGCTTCTGATCTATAAACTAAGTGCAACCTGCTTCTGCCATCATTATCATAGCTAGTTGTGCCACACTTAAGGAAGCTTATTCTTAATCATTACTCTCCTTGGCCCTATTTAGAGCTATATGACTTCTGAAAACTGTCTCCAGCTTTGAGAATTTTAAGGGTCCAGAAAATTCAAAGACTATTTAGTCCAAATTTTTGGTGGTAGGAGTTCCTCAAAACCAACAATGTTTGCAAAGAAAAATCATTTGTTTGCTGCCAGTTTCGTCTGCCAGAAAACACACTGAATATTTTTTAATGAACATTTTTCACAAAGCTCCTTTTTATTAAGTGCTTCCTTGATCCTATTTTTCTCTCTCTCTCTCTCTCTTTCTCTCTATCTCTGTCTCTCTCCTTAAAACAAAGAAGCTTCCTTGAGAACCTTGGAATTAAATAGGAAAGCTGCACCTTTAAACTTATATTTGCTCTAAGTTTATTTAACTACACATATGGATTGAACCATTATCGTTCAAAGTCTTTTATGAATCTCATAATTTTGTCTTTGGAGCCTAATCAATCATCTTTCCCAATCTTGAAAAACCTTGGATTATAGGACACTATTTTCTTTTTTTTCTACTGTAAAACATGCAATTCTTTTTTGAGATTGTATCTTTCTTATAATGCCCTCTCTAACACAGATAGTAGTGGCTAACATTCTAATATTTCATTTTACACTTTCTTTAGACCTAGGGGCTGAGAAGACATGTTGTCTGCCTTCTAATTTACCAATAGTTTACCAAAACATTTATCTTATTAGGAAAAGTGCATTTACCAAACGAACATACAGATACAGATATGTACTGTTAATTTCTGCCATGATTTTTGCCCATAAACTTTTGTTAGAAGTTGTTCTACATAATGTTCTCATATATACATTGTCAGACCTTGCTATTCTATTCTATTTGCAATTCCTCTTCAAGGTCATACTATCTTGTTTTCATTACTATATCTTTCTGAAAGTGCACATTATCCTGATGTTGCTCTACATTTTCAAAATTTGCTACTCATTGACAGCTATTATTAATTTTATTTTTATTTTATTGATTGTATGATACAATACCTATAAAATAACATGCATATCACAAGTATATATTGTACACATTATTTTATCATGCCTGTGTTATTATATATCATGCATATATAAAGCATGATAATAAAATCAAATCTACCCTGCCACTTTTATATCACTGATATGGTTTGGCTGTTTCCCCATCCAAATCTCATCTTGAAATTTAGCTCCCATAAATCACATGTGTTGTGAAGGGAAACTAATGGGAGATAATTGAATCATAAGGGCAGTTTCCCCCATACTGTTCTTGTGGTAGTAAGTCTCACGAGATCTGATGGTTTTATAAGGGGTTTCCCCTGTTGCTTAGCTGCCATTGTTTCTCTTGCCCATCGCCATTTAAGATGTGCCTTTCATCTTCCACCATGATTGTGAAGCCTCCCCAACCACACAGAACTGTGAGTCCATTAAACCTTTTTTTTTTTTTTAATAAATTACCAAGTCTTGGGTATGTCTTCATCAGCAGTGTGAAAATTGACTAATACAATCAGATGTGGCCATATGATTTACTTTGGTATTAGAATATAAGTGGCATATAAGTACTACATCTCAGTACAAACTTTAAAAGCCTTCATGTGGTTCAACCAATAATTTATATCACTCTGCCCTGAGTTTCCTGTGTTTCCTATAGGAGCATGGGAACTTACAGTCTGGGTACTGGAATAAAGATTCATGTAGCAGCACCATGGCCAAATTACACCTGATACAATATTTTAGTGAGAAATAAATCCCATCACTGCAGGTATATATGTGTGTGTGTGTGTATGTGTGTGTGTGTGTATATATATATATATATATATATATATATATATATATATCTCCACTTCCTTGATATCTGGCATTACAAGGTGCTCTGGGCCTATCTTCCACATTTCATGCTTCAGTTCTAGAATTATCCTTTCTCCAAGGAGTCCTGGTTCATTTTATTGCAGAATACTTTTAGAAGCAATATCTGGATACTGGATATGCTTCTTGCTACTGCAGAACTGTTGCTTCTGGTCTCTTTCAGTTGGTAGAACAAAGGAATATATACATGTATTCTAACTTATATGTGTATACATATCTATAAATATGTCTATATGTAAACATCTGTATATAATAAGCTAAAACAAGATCATACTAATCTCTCCAATGCTAATCTATTCCCACATGAATCATTTAAGCCTTCTTCCCTTGCTCTAAAATACAGGGTGTGTGTATTTTTCAGTTGGACTTCAGTTTTACAGACTTCATTAATTTTCAGTACTTTAGGTCGGCACCATTTCCCCGATGACCTTCAGTGACATTGTTTTATATACTTGTAGTACAGTTAGAATGTTTTGTCACATTCTGTATTCTACACCAGAATTCCCTAGACCACTTAAATGATGTGCTTAAATTTTCATACATTAAGGTTCTTTTTTGTGTGTGCTGTAAAGTTCAATGGGTTTTGACAAATGTATGATAACATGTATCCACAGTTACAGTATTATCCAGATAAACTTCACTATCACAAAAAACATCCTCTGTGCTTTATCTATTTAACCCTACCCTGTCCTAGTTACTATGTTGTGTTTACCCTTTGCATATCTTTACTTTCCACAGTATCATAAAATTAGAATTTTACTGTATGTCAATTTTTCAGACGAACTTTGTTCATTTAGCAATATATATATATTAGATGCAACTATGTCTTTTTGTGGTTTCATAGCTCATTATTAAAAAAAATAATATTCTATTTTATAAATGTATGCCAATGTGTTTATGCATGCACATGTTAAAGAAAATATTGGTTGCTTTACATTTTGATGATTGTATAATAAATAAAGTTGCTATAAATATTTGTGCGCATGTTTTTCTGTGGTTATATTTTCCAATTAGTTTGTGATATGGTTTGGCTGTCTCCACCTAAATCTCATCTTGAATTGTGATTCCCATGATCCCCACATGTCATGGGAGGGAATGGGTGGGAGGTCATTTAATCATGGGGACAGTTTCCCCCATAGTGTTCTCGTGATAGTGAGTGAGTTCTCATGAGATCTGATGATTTTATGCCTGGCATTTGCCCTGCTGGCATGCATTGTCTCTCCTGCTGCTTGTGAAGAGGTGCCTTCCACCATGATTGTAAGTTTCCTGAGGACTCCGCAGCCATGTGGAACCATGAGTGAATTAAACCTCTTTTCTTTATAAATTACCCAGTGTCAGGGGTTTCTTCATGGCAACATGAGAAGGGACTAATACAGTTTGCTAAATATTTATGAGCATGACTGAGCAATCTATGCTAAGACCATTCTTATCTTTTCAAGAAACTATCCAATAGTTTTTCAAAATTACTGTGGTAGACTAAATGATGGCCGTTAAAATAGATGCAGGTCCTAATCCCTGAAACTGTGACTGTTTCTTTAGATGGCAAAAGATCCTTTGCAAATGGAACGAAGTTTAGCATCTTGAGATAAGGGGATTGTCTTGAATTATCCAGTGGGGCCCTAAATGCATTCAAAAGTATGTTTGGTACAGAGAGGCAGAGAGAACTGGATGCCATAGCAGAATGCAGTGGGGCCACTGAAACAAGATGCTACACTGCTGCTTTTGAAGATGGAAGACTAAGCCAGGAGCCAAGGAATGCAATGAATAAATAAAGAGGTAAATAAATAAATAAAAATCTGCATTCATATGACTCCCCAAATTTTAGGATAATAGTTTGTTCTGTGACCTCAATTCTGGGATTTTCACAAGAGAGTCCATCGATTTTCACTTGGTTCAGAATTTTTTTTTCTGTGAGAGTAAGAAGTGATGATTTCAATTTTTTGTATATGAAGCTAAAATTGAAAATTTTAATTAGCAACTTAAAATACTTTCAAAAACAACTATAAATTTGCTGTCTTAAAAAAGGCTTAAATCTCAGTAATAACCTATAATTAACCCTAGATTGCCTCTACTTTGTTTTCCAGGTGCCACCATTTGTCCAAATTATATAAATCTCATTCTAAATTCTGTGTTTATCATGGCAAACCTATCTAAAATTATTTCTAAAATACCATTTGGGGTGATTTTATCTTTATGAAATATGGATTATACTGTATCTAATATTTAAGTATCTACTTTTTGTCTCAACAGTCTACTACTAAGATACATTTGTTATATATTCATTTTCAACTTCTATACAATACTTTGTATGTCACTTTACCACACTTTTATCATTCTCTCTTCCATTAATAAATATTTGGGTGGTTTTCAACTTGTTTTCATGGATACTATGATTAACTTTGTCATACATGTCTCCTATTGTGTATATCAAGTATTTTTCTCCTTTCTTTTCTTCTTCTAACTAAAGGCCTGGGATTAATAGAAAGGAATGCCTGAGTTAAAATAGGGGGTTGAGGAGACCAGAGATTGATCATGCAGATGAAGCTTCCAGGGAATAGGCTTCAAAGAGAATAGATTGTAAATGTTTCTTATTAGACTTACAAAGTCTGTTCTATCAGTCTAAAGGTCTGTTTTTATCTTAAGAGTAATGACACATGTTTAACTCCCCTTCCCATCGTGGACTGAACTAGTTTTTCAGGTTAACTTTGGAATTCCCTAGGCCTAGGAGAGGGGTCTATTCAGATGGTTTGGGGCCTTAGAATTTTATTTTTGGCTTATAGCTATCCCTGTGCCAGTATCTTCAAATCCATAGAGCTTCAGAATGACGTTTATCATAGTTCAAATACTCCTTCTCTGGTCTCTTGTTCAGAAAATTACAGGCCAAACTTGGCCCTTTATTCTTCTTGAAAATTTTGTAATGACCTTATTAAGTTGTACAGAATAAAATGTCAGGAGTTGGATTTTATTTTAAATATGTATGTATACCAATTTGAGGACATTTAACCTGTTACTGTTTTTAAGTAAGTCTTGTGTCATATTTCTAAAAATATTTTACAATTTTCTCTGGAGAGATCTTGAATATCTTCTGTAGGATTTGTCTTAGATACTTGAACTTGATATCTTTTGATATTTTCTCTTTTTTCTTTTTTTCTTTTTTTTTTTTTTTTGAGACGGAGTCTCGTTCTGTAGCCCAGACTGGAGTGCAGTGGCGCGATCTCGGCTCACTGCAAGCTCCGCCTTCCGGGTCCACGCCATTCTCCTGCCTCAGCCTCCCGAGTAGCTGGGACTACAGGCGCCCGCCACCACGCCCGGCTAATTTTTTTTGTATTTTTATTAGAGACCGGGTTTCACCGTGTTAGCCAGGATGGTCTGGATCTCCCGACCTCGTGATCCGTCCACCTCGGCCTCCCAAAGTGCTGGGATTACAGGCGTGAGTGATATTTTCACTTTATGTTCTCAAGTTGTTTGGTAATGGTATATATACATAGAAATGACTTATAAAATATATCTGGTAACTACTCACCAAAATAAACTTTCCTATATTATCTATCAAATGATAGTTTTCTATCACATTACATAAAAATAAAGTTTATTTCAACTTTGTATTTTTTATTTTTGAAAATAAAACTGTCAGTCAAAGAACGTCAATGGATTAATAAATAGAATAAAGACTGTAAAAATCTTGGGCTCATTTTTTATTTAAAAAGGAATTTTTCTGACATTTTCTAAAATCAATCAATTTTAGAAAATTGTCACTGTCTTAAAAAAATACATGTCATCTTTTCTACTTTGTTTTTATACTTAATTTTTCAAGAGTCTTTACAAGAATGGGTAATGAGTTTTATTTCCTGCATTTTATTTTTGTATGTATTAAGTCATCATATTTATTAGTCATTGAATCAGAAAATACTATAAATTTTATTCATGGATTATTTTAAATAAATTGAACCATCCATGTGTACCAGATATACTCTAACTTGACGTGGTGTATTATCTTCGTACATTTTTGGGATTATCTAATGAATCTTTCCCTCCTGTATTCAGGGTATTCAATGTGTGGCAAATTTTATAAGGACTAATATTTGTCAAAATTATTTTTATTGAATTATCAAAAATACCACTGAAGTATATTGCTTACAGTATTCTTATTTAAATTTATGTTACAAAATGTGAATTTTTTTGCATGAAATCTAATTGTTTTTAAACATTTTAATTATTATTTTTACATTTTAAACTTTAATTTTGCTAGGATGTGTTTTCATAACAGTTGTTCCTTAATTATCCTCTTTAGGATCAAATGGATCTTACTCTTGGTTCTTTTGTTTTCAACTCTGGGAAATGTGTTTCTATTGTTATTTTAAATATCTTTCTCCTCTTTCCTTCTGTCTTTCTGGGACTTCGGTTATCTACCTGATTGTACATCTATTTCTATCCTACAATTATTTTTAAGCAAAGTATTTACCCATCTCTTTAGAAATATGGTATGCTAATTTGTAAAAGCGTGAGTTACCCAAATCCTCCCTTATCTCTCAAAGATGTTTTTATCTAAATTAAAAGGCAATGGCCTATCTGTTCTAATTAGTCTTCTTCGTGTGGCATATAATTTGCAATTTTACTTCATCTGCAAGCCATTTTACTGCTCTGATATCTAGTTATTTCGTTTCCTGTTCCCCTGGAAATAGCTTCTGCCCTACTGGTAAAATTTGCTTTTGGAGGGGTTAAAGCCCAGACCACAGTTTTCATCTGATCATGTGGCATTAAGCGGACAGGAGAAAATAAAGCTCAGGTTAGAGAGCCACAGTTGATCTCCAGCCTTATGCAGAAGCTTAATTATGCAGCAAGCGATTCTGTGCTAAGATTTGTCTTTGGGACCCTGGATAGCAATAGCCCTGGAAAGGATTACCCCGTGCAGACAGGTTGTCAATTTCCAGTATCTTTTATAGGACTTCGGTGCTGTCCAGATACATATATATTTTTGTAACATCGGTGGTGTCGAACCTACTTCAGGGTGGTAGTGAGATGAGTAGATTGGCATTGACTCTGCCAGTGAAATGTTTGAAGAAGGACACAGCTTCCCCGGGAGCCCCCACCCCCAGCCCCTGTGTGTCTGTCAACGCTGTACCTGCCCCTACATGTCCAAGCTTTTGCAGTCTATCTACAATTTAAGACACATTTCCGATGGCCAGGAGTTTTCTCATCATTTGTTTTAAATGTTAGTTGGTCATATGTCCCTCTCTCTTTGCTTTTACAGAGTTGATTTTGGGAAGAAAGACAGCAACATTGCTTATTTTTAAAATCACATTAGGCATGAAATTCTTATAATAGCTTTCATTTTTTTCTTATTTTTTAAATTAATAATTTACAATAATAAAAACCCTCCCAGTCTGTCTTACATATTGTTTTTACTACTATTTTCTAACAAGGAAAAGATAAGTTAAACAAAATAAATAAGTAAATAAAAATTAAACAAATAAATAAAAGTGAAGCCCTGAACGTTTCATTAATCTCATGGTTATATTGCCTGCCAATAACAGCTGTAAAATTAGGTGGCATGCTTTATTATTTTTTTCTTCCTATCTTCCTTTCTTTATTCTTTATCTAATAGAGACCTACATCACAGAGAAATGTACATTTTATTCATCCTAGAGAACTGAAACATTTTGGCAAAAAATGTTTTTGTAATCTTACATAAATTTTTTTCGAATTTTGTTTCTTCTTAAAGAGTAATGTATTTTGATAAGAAATATTTAACTTAATAAGAAACACAATGTGACTAAATTTAAATAAAACTAGTGAGTAAAATGCAATGATTCTTTTTTATAATTACATTTTTTGGAATAGCATAAGGAGCAGCTTCCATTTTTCAATATCAAATTTTATCAAACCTACAGGACATGCATCGGGCTGTACTGATACTATGGATTTTAAATTTTAACTATGTTGGGATATTTGAATTTGTAGTAAAAATAGTGAAACTGTATATTTATCCTCTGGTAGTTTAATTTTGCTCTTGTCACAAATCATGTAGATCACTCTTATGTCTTTTAACTTATTAACTTGCTTTGACTAAATTTTTCTAATTCAAAATCATTATAGCTGAAGTGCCTCTCTTAGAGATAGAAGTTCGAAGCAAAGAAGTTGGAGTCAGAAGTAAATAATTTATTTGGTGTTTGAATTAGAAATAAACTCTTTCTTCTCCAAATTTAGAAAATTAATCACAAAACTACACTGTCAAACACTAAAATATCGTTATGACAGATTACATGCAGTTTAAAGGAAATACACAATAACAACGCTTTCTATCCATTAGAAATTTGGCACTGTCCAGATATTACTGCTTTTTAAATTAATAGATACCTAAAATTCGATGATTAAAAACGAATATTTAGATACACATTAACAAGAGCTGTTTATTATAATTATTTGAACTAACAAAAACTCTAAGCTGTTGTACCTTAAATTTTCATAAAACAAAGTAAACTATATTATGTTACTATCAAAGTCCATTCTGGGATGAAGTAAAAAAAAAATTTTGAGGGCACAAAAATTGATGTAACTCTCACACGAGGTTTATCAGAAACTAGGCACATATGCAAAATGTAATAAATTTTATAAAAATGTTTAAGTGACTTCACAAATGTTTATAGGTAAAATGTCATCTGATTAATATGTATCAATGAAATTTCAATAGAATAGTGTATACATTTAAATACATACAATGGCATAGGCTACACATAGAAAGCAAAGCTGTGAATAACTACTAATAACCACTCTAGTAACCCAAAATATGTTTTACAGGTTTCATTTTTCCCCTTAAAAAATAAAATTTATATCCTAATTGCTTAGGCAACTTAAGATCTTGAAAATGCCACCTTACATTAAAATGTGTATTTTACACATTTTCTTATAAGCCGAGGTAATAATTATATGGTAAATAGTGAGTACAAGAAAAAGAGATAAAATTACCATTGATTTAGTTTTATAGAAAGAACTGCATACACCATATTCATATTTAATGTGAAGCTCTCTGTTGCACCTCTTTACTGCAAATTACTTCAGGTAGTTTGTGAGAACACCTGCTGATCTTGAACAATGAAATTATCAGCTATCTGCTTTAAAAAGGCTTTCAACTACCAGCTCTGAAGTGCTGGTTGTTCATTTGCCAATTATATGGTATTCACAGTTCCATAGATTCAAAGACACTATATCCCTCTATTATAGAATTACCTCAATTAGAAGGTATGAGCTGAATTAAAATATCTTTATCATTTAAGCCCAAATTTACTGTCTTTTAAGAGATTATTTTCATTTGTCTCCTTTAAAATTTAATTTAGCCAATTGGAGAATGAAATCAAATGACAGAAGTCATTTATTGCTATTAATCATCATTTCTAAATGTCTTGTAATGTGGAGAACATTATCTAGGTATATACACACATAAGAATTGCATAGAGATATACAAATATATTTATATATGAGAAATCTTTTTATAATAGAAAGATATATGTTTTAGGTATGGATTTAATTAAAATTAGGTGGATTTTGCTTTATTAAAATACACTTTAAAAATTAACTAATAGTATAAATGAACCAAAAGCAATTATTCTATGCTGCCTGCTAACAGCAATTATCATTGCCAATGTAGGACAAGAAATATTTTTTTCAAAATATGTCATATAATTTTATAATAATTAAAATATATGGGTTTTGTAAGTCAAGTGCTCTATGGGTTTAAACTTTGCATAAATATGGCTAAGTCTGGAGTCCGATTAGTCTTTACAATATAAACAGGTTTCAGAGAAGCTCTCTATCCAAGTGCTTCCATAGTACAAGCAAGGTTGAATTTTACATATATGTTTGAACACACATAAGCCTTAAAAAAGTTTTATTTCGCCTATTTGTATACACCTCTAATCAAACTTACAATCTTGTTAGACTAAAAATTAACTCTAAAAGACAAAAAGGGAGATAATCATTATTATTAGACATAGATTTTAGTCTTTCTTGCTGGGAATCAAAGAACAGTGTTCAGTCTTTGTCTATGTATCTAGATGTCGAAGGATGCATGTGGGGATGTGTTATATACATTTATGTGTCCTATGTGTAGCATTCAAGGAAAATAAATATCACCCCCATCAAAATATATATGTTATTTTTAATTTTATTAAAATTTTGTTGAATGGCATTAATATTTTAATAGATGATATTAAAACAAATGTCTATAATATTAACTTATAAAACTGTATAAATTAGTTAAATATTAGAAATAACATGAATTACATGACTTATTTAGTGTTTTAATCTAGTACTTCCTCAGACCTCTAGTTAGTTTTACTGACTTTTAAATAATCTTCCATAAAAGAATAAAATTTGACAATTATATAATAAAATATGATGTGCTCAAAGTAATTCATATCAAATGTAGCTGGCTACAGGAGAACAATGACAAGGTCATTGAGAATCATTAATTTTCAAATATTTGATTTCAGGTGAACAGTTGGATATGTCACTTTTTATATCAATGAAGAAGTGCACCTGTCAAAGAATTCTTAAGACAATATTTTGAATGAAGTTGTGCAGAGTTTTTCTCATGATTTTTTGGCATTTGAGGTATAGATGGTATTTTTAAAATTGCACATAGTTAATGTATAAGTTTTATGAGTTTGAACATATGCGTACACTCACCATGATCAAGGAACAAGATACTAACCATATCCCTTACCTTCAAACCTTTGCTTGTGTTTTTGTTTGTTTGTTTGTGGTAAAAGCACTTAATATGAGATGGATCCTTTTAACACGCTTTAAATACGCAACATTCTGGTGTTAACTACAGGTGCTACATAACCCAGAAAATCTCTAGAACTCATTTGCCTTGCAGAACAGAAACCCTATACTCATTAAGCAACAATTTTACATTTTCCCTCCCACAAGCTCCTGACAACCATTATTCTATTCTTTGCTTCTTCGAGTTTGACTATTTTTGATAGCTCATAAAAATGGAATCATGCAGTGCTTGTAGTGGTTTATTTCACTTGGTATAAGGTTCTCCAAGTTCAATGGTGTCACAAAGGATAGGATTTTAAGTATCTATCTATCTATATCTATCTATCTATCTATCTATCTATCTATCGAGAGAGCACATTTTCTTTACCCATTCATCTGTCAGTATTTATTTCTCTTGTTTCTACAGTTTGTTTTGTGAAACAATACTGCAGTGATCATGGGGTTGCAGGTATCTCAAGATCCTGATTTTAACTTTATTGGATACGTACACAGAATTTGGATTGCTAGATCAGATGAGAGCTCTATTTTTAATTTTTTTAATTTTTGAGGTATCTCCATACTGTTTTTCATAGTAGCATACATTCCCACCAACAGTATATAAGAGTTCCAATTTTTCCACGTCCATGTCAGTATTTTATATATATTTTTTGTTGTTGTTGTTTGTTGTTGTTGTTTTTGTTGTTTTGAGATGGTGTCTCCCTCTGTCGCCCAAAATGAAGTGCAGTGGCGTGATCTCCCTTCACAGCAAACTCTGCCTCCTGCAGGTCAGAGCTGAAGCTAAGGGCCTGTTGCATCACACTTCCACCGTGCTCCGACCCTTATGACCCAAGAAATAGCGCCCAAACCGTGATGTTAAGAAGCCTTAAGCCTCAAATGTCAAGATTCCTTCAACAGAGTCTGAGCTCTAGACTTGTCAAAACCATCTGTGCTGCCCTAGAATGGAACGAGCAACACGGAACCCAAATATCTAAGACTATCTTTATTTGCTTTCTTAAAAAAAAAAAATGATGGCTGGGTCGGGTAATGGGGCTTATACCTGCAATCCAAGCATTTTGGGAGGTCAAGGGGGGTGGATCACTTGAGCCCAGGAGTTTGAGACCAACTTGGGCAACATGGCAAAGCCCTGTCTCTACAAAGAATACAAAAATTAGCTGGGCATGGTAGTATGTGCCTATAGTCCCAGCTACTGGGGAGGTTGAGATGGGAGGACGTTATGTGTAGAATATTAGACTCTGCATGGTTTGCTTTCCTTAACCTCTAGTATAATTTTGTAGCCACATCTAAGGAATATCTAACCATTCTGATAGCAGACATGTCATCTAATATTTGCAGTTGTCCAGATTACAGAAGTTTTTCCCAATCAATGGAAATCTGTAACACTAAAAATGTTAGATTATAGAATTGTCCTCAATGACAATTTTATTTATTTGAAAATAATATTTTTATCTCTACCCCATTTTAAGCTCTTTCATAGTAGCATTTGCCCCCAATGAGGTATCGGGACCACTGTAACTAAAGAAGACAATCTATCAATCTGATGTATCCTTTAAAAATTATTCCTTTAATAGTATTCGGAGATTATAATAACACAATATATTCAGTTTCACAGAATATGAAATTCAAAGCCCAAAACTGCAAGTCACCTGGCTCTCACTCTTGAGATTCTATCTATGATATTTTCAACACAAAGAGAGCAGGCTGTTTTCACTATCTGCTAGATAAATACAGAAACTATTTCTTTAGCATCACATTTTACCTACTAAATCCAACATGCCTATTATTGTAATCATCAACTAACAGGTAAGCATATTCTCTGCCATGTGAGAGTTTTATACATTCTTTTATCTGAACATTCCATTGCTACTTATTTCACCAATACCAACTCTTATGGATTTTTTCTTTAAGTCAACTGTACTTTTAAGTTTTAGCCTCTTCACTCAACTCTCTTTCTTTGCCTTAATTAAAATATGGCCAACCCCTAGAAAGACAGCTTCCCTTGTAGCACTCTGAACAAAAGAGATGCTCCTTTATCATATGCCATATAACTATCCCCCAAAGCTATCTTGTATATATTTTTCACTGGACAATCCTCTGGGCACCACAGCAGCACTGAATGTATTCTTTCATTGGTTCCTATCACTCAGCTAAACTATTCATTACACCCAATTCATTACCCTAACATCCATAATGCTTAGATACACAAATAAATATATTGGATTCTTCCTACTTCATACATTTTACATGTCACAATATCTTAAAAATCATTTCATATGTCACGATGCTTATAAGCAATACTTCTTATTAATAATATTTTATCTGTCTGCCTTCATTAGAGATGTACTTTAATAAAAGATATTTGTAAAGGGAAAAACAGATGACACATTTGAATTAACAATTCCTTATTACCTTTGGCTTAATCTTGCCTTGATGATGTATTTATGCATATTGACGAGAGTAGAGTGAGGGCTATTGTAATGATGTGTTTTACAATGGCATTATTATTTCTGTATTCTCTTAAGAGATGTTAAGACTGGATTAAGAATCTCAGAGCACACACATAGGTCATCAGTAATCTCTAAAACATATCTCAGTAAACTAAAGGAACCGTGTCAAAATATGTTTTCCTGAAACAGTTTGATAATTTCAAAAACTTTTCTCCACTTAACGTAGTTGTTGGAAAATCTTTCTACATCTTTTCAAGTGTGAATTACCTCGGATCAGAGTAACATAGACAGAGGAACATTAGGTTTTTTTGATTTTTTGTTTTTGTTTTTCTTACAGATTTTAATATTAGTCAATCAGATTCAATATAAAATATTGATTCTAACTGAAATGACTCTATATGTTTCAAAGAAGAATTAAAATATTTCTCCATCAGTCCATGTATGACTTATTATTCTGTTGCATTGTACAAATAAAGTGTTATAGAAACGAGAAGTTCAATATTTTGGAGGCTAGAAGGCTAAGATTTACTACACTGTTCTATGACCTTTAATGCTAGCATTTATAAAATAAATTCACTAATTCCTTGTATGTTTATCATTTCATGGAGGATTTGAAAAAAATGATATTCAGTTAAATGCATTGAATTTAAAAACATTTTATGATGAACAAATAAATGTATACATTATGTTTAAATATAAAACACATATTAATTAAATATAGGCAACATTTTATTAAAAAGTTTAAGTGCTTAGTTACTTCAAAATATTGAAATCCAAAAACTGCTTTGCTTTCACCTTTTTTTTTAAATTAAATTTCCCCTTTCTGTTGGTTTATGTTAGTTCCTGTACGTCTTCAAATTGACTCTTAGAATTCTTTTTACTGGAAAAAAATTAATAAAAATGTTGCATGCAATAAAGAAGAATATTATTAGGAAAAATTAATCTTGACTTTCTTCACCTTTTCAATATTAATTTTAACTTTCATATTGAATTTTAATTATTTGGTACCATTATTAAAATTTTCTAGTGTACTTACCTTAAAATTGTACAGAAAGCACTTACTTTATTACAAATGTAAAATAATTACAATAAGCAGTATTTGTTTATGTTGAATTTCTACCTTTTTACTCTTTCAAACTGTCTATGGTTTATCGACTGCTACTTTTACTAAAGAAAAGTGACTCTTTTTAATGATATCATTAGTGATATATATATATAAAATACAAATCACCTGTTAATTTAGCAATGTAAAATGTGGCTTCTAAGGAATTGCATTTTAGTAATGACCTTCTTGCAAATTTTTTTAATGTTAGAAGTATTTGTAGATAAAAATACTTTCTAAATAAATTGAATGTTGGTCTCTGTCTGGAATAAAACACTGAATCAAAAGGATCTACACTGCCATCTTCTGTCATGTATGGTATCAGATAAATATCTCCAAGTAAAATGACTGAAAAAATTTTATTAAATACATTAACTTCCCTCAAACTATTTCTTAGTGATTTGTTATATATGTTTACCCTTGATTTATACAAATTCATGTAACGTTTAGCTACTAATGATGAGTTTATAACCATGTAAGTTTATAACCATAAAGCCCTGTAAGACCTTTCCCATATTAACAATAAAGCAAGCTGTACTTCTTTAAATAAATGAATATTTTTAAAAAGGATAAACAGACTGTATTTTATAGGGCATTCTGCCTTTAAACCCTTCCAGTCCATTACCTCCAATGGAATGATAGTGCATTACATCAGTAGTCATTCATTGAACCAGTTTCTCTTATCTGGTGGACTTCTGCTGTTGATTATTATGCATTCATTTGGGAGAGAAGAATATAGTTACATTTTAAAAAAGAAAAATATTAAATTTAAGAATTTAAGTTAATGGAGACGACACAAAGACAAATTCTGTAGAATATTTGTCAGAAACAAAAAACTGAAAAGTAAAGACAAGATTTATATTGATATGAATTGTATTGCTGGAATACGGAATCCATCCTTTGCTCTCTGTCTGTTCCCCAATTTAACAAATCCTCTTTAGAAACGGGTCCTCCCCACCACACCAGGCTGCAAAGTAAAGTCTTGTTTAAGTGACTGCCCATGAGAATATTTATTCTACAATATTGAAAAATACCAAATGGGAAAGCATTTAGAAGACATATTTGAGGCTCTGTCAAAATATTCTATTATCTTTATTTCTCACAATACTCTAAATTGAAAAGAACCTGACATTAATTGACCTTGTGACATGCTGAAAATTTTATATTTAATAAATTTAAACATGAATTAAGCTTTTATAGTTTAAATAACTATACATTTTCTTTGAAAAATACATACCACATTAATAACTGTGAGCTATAGAAAAGTAAACTTTAACATTATAGTAACCAAAATAAAAATTTTACTGAGATGGAATCTAAAATAGGATAAGCACATAGCAACCCTAAGTGACAGATTATCCAGTGGTTTTAACAATTTCTAAGTAATGATTCTTATTGTTAGCATAGCATATAGAAAGAAGTGAAAAAACGTTTTCCAGATAAAATCATTATCTTTATCTATCATAATCTGTAGCATCAGAAGACTACATATAAATTTTTTAAAGTGTCTACGATTTGTTACTTATATATGTCTGAGAACAAGGTATTTTTGGTCTGATTTCTCCTATTTCTGTATCACATATATTTTAGAAAAATAGATATTCTTTGGAGCCACAATTGTCATCAAATGTGCTTCTCACTTGACACAAATTAGTGAAATAGATTAATAGAAGGATATGCATCACTATTGGTATCACTATAGATAATTGTATATATTTGGAAAGCCAAATAACAATTCTAGAAGACTTAAATAAATGCAAAACATATGTTCAGGAAAATATACAAATTATATCAAAAGACAATTTCCCACTGAGTTTTAAAATTAGATTAATTTAGACACAATTATGATGACCTTGCAAAAATGCATTAAACTTTTTGATCTTTGGTTTTTTATGCTATAAAATCACAGGATTGTTTGGTAAAATCTAAATAAGTTAATATATAATAGATACTGAAAATTAAAGAGTGATAGAGGTAGGAAAACAAATAAAGGTAGAGATAGAAGAAAAAAGGAAGAAAAAAAACTAAGAGAGACAGAGACTGAATTAAAATAAGGACTTGCAAACAGAGTTTCAGGACAATACCCCAGTTGCTAATAGGCAAATTTGGGTTAATAGAAATGTAAGAGGTTCTGGACAACCAAGAACAGAGGGAAAGAGGCAGAGCACTCTTTGGAGAAAAGTTCTTGGGCTTGTCCAGATTGTGAGACCATGATTCTTATTCATTGGCCCACGAGCTCTCAGTGCACAATACCCTTCTCTGAGAAGGAAGTGAGACAGCAGCAGGCTCAGTTGAGGTGAGGTTAAAGCAGCGCAGAGATATCTACTGGGAAAGCAAGTCTGTCAGCTAGCGTGCTACAGAACGTGAAGTCCAAGGATGAGGGATTCCTGGAATTTGGGGTTCCTGGTGCAAGGGCCATCACTGTCAAACTTTGCTCCAGGTGGTAGTTGGAAATAAAAATGTGTAGGGCTTCAGTTCTGATAACAGAGTTTACAAGAGAATCAAAGCCTAGAATACATGTAAAATAAGATATTACTTAGCTGATCCCAGGTTCATGTTACAAATACTGTCCCCACTGTGGTGCAAAAAAAAAAAAAAAGGGTTTGAATTTCTCTTGACCTCATAGTGTCAGTGTCAAGGTTATGTTATCGTTTATTCAGCATAACCGGTAAGCTACTATAGTGTCCCTAAATTTAAAATGATCTTACTGTTTACATGAGATAGTGAGAAAAAAGTTAAAATTTTCTCATGGATTTTCTAATATTTACAGTCACACTGTTTTGAAGCTGAAAGCTATAGATGCTTGTTGTGAGAAGATTAAATGCCCTTAGAGTCCAATCTCGAGAACAAATTGACCCTAAATCCCCATTGACATTTTATATATGTGCAAGTATTGAACTTGAGACCATTGTACTGACTGGTTTTAATGAACATATCCATTATTTTAGCAGGATTTATTTTTCTGATATGTATCCATGTTTTCCTCCTGCTTAATGATGTTTATTCAATAGCAAACTAATAAAGATTCATACATTTGAATGCAGATAAATAAATGTTATATGGGCAATATTTTTCTTTAAAAAATAATTTTTTCCAACAGACCTTGGTGGAGACATGGCTTTTATCAAAACCAGAACATAACAATGTACATATACATTTTTGAAAATATAAAGTTGTTTTATGCAAGCCTGATAGTGTGCTTAGATAAAAATAAGTGTTTTATTATAATAAAATCTGAAATTTTTGAATTGAATATGTAATTGCAAGGCTTGCTTTTATTTAAATGTTTAATACTAATTATGGCTAATTAATATTTAGCATAAACCAGTATAACTAGTTTTAATCCTTGTTATCATAGTGCTGAATTTTGTTCTTGTGAATATAAATTTAATTGATTGTTTATAGAGTAGTATAATCTTTTACTTTCAATATAATAAAAGAAGAAAAAACACTTTTACATATTATTGACAAAATATTTTAAAATGAATTACACTTGGATTTATTGTTTTCTTTATAACCCAAAGATGGAATCCAATGTCCCATAAAAATAATGTACATGTACACATATACTGAATGTTCGTTCATTAAAGGATTGTATTATAATCCATGTTAATCACGAAAACAAGAGGTAGATATATTTGGAAGTAGTTTACAAAATTCATTTTATGAAGATCTTACCATTCATTACCGGCTTTTAGCCATTCATTATTTGGGCTCTCCTAGTTACTAAATCTAAGTAAACTATTGAATGCTGCCCTTTTCTGACTCTATGACAGAACGTGACCTAAAATATTGTTTGATGAAATGAATTTAGTGCAAGAAAAAGTATGAAATATTTGTCATACAGGACTATTCAAAGGTTTCATGATACCAAAAATGAAATCTAGAAAGAAACTAATTGATTAATTAAATGTCATAAAATGAACAGCTTTTTCAATATCAAAATCATGTTAAAAGGATGAAAAGACAAGTTCTTACTGGGTGAAAATGTTTACAATCTATATATCCAGCAAAGGACTAGTATCTGAAACATATAAAGAGTTCTCAAAATTCAAAGCATAAAACAAAACAAAAAAAACCACGTAATTAGAAAGTGTGCAAAAGACATGAAGAAAAATTTTACCAAAGATTAAAAAAAAACAGCAAATTAGCAAATCAAAAGATGTTAAACTTCATTAGGTATCAAGAAAAGACAAACAAAAATAAGATATTACCATATATCTATCATTATAGTTAGAATAATGAAAAACAAAATAGTGATGGAATGCTGGTGAGGATGCAGAGAAACTATTCCATATACATTGTTGGTAGAATGTAAAATGGTGCAGCCATCCTAGAAAATCATTTGGCAGTTTCTTAAAAACATGAAGTGTTCAATTTCCACACAAACCATTAATTGTATACTTGAGTATTTATTCCTTAGAAATTAAAATGATATTAACTTAAAAACCTTTACCTTGATATTCATATTAGCATTATTCATTATTGCAAAGCAATACTGAGGTTGCAGTTATAAACTAAGCTATACTTTTTATTGGAGTACTCTCAACTAAAACAATTCCTTCACCTCAAAAATCATTATATTTGATTTTCCATCAAGCAAGTGCAAGCATAAGTACTTCAATTTCAGGATTCTGAACCCCTGGAGAACCTTAAGGAAAATTCTGAAAATATGCAAACAATTACAGTTATGAAAATAAGTTTGACCCACAAAATTCTGGAATATATTTTATTTATCCAGTTTTCTTTTCTATGATTCATTGTACCAGAGCATAAAACTTCATGTGAATACATTGTGAATTCAGAATTATCAATGTACTTTATCAATCTAAATACATCTTATGCCACATAAAGATGTTTTAGTTAATAATGAATAGCATATTTAGCAGATTATAATGGAGCTAAAAAATTCCTATTTCCTAATGACATTGTAGTTGTCATAATGTCGCAACACAATGTGCTATTCATGTGTTTGTGGTGATGTCGGTGTAAACAAGCCTGCTGGGCCACCAGCATATAAAAGTATAGCACATACAATTATGTGCAGTACATAATATTTGATAATGATGATAAACAAATATGTTACTGGTTCATGTGTTTACTCTACTTTTTGTTATTATTTTAGAGTGTACTTCTACTTACAAGAAAATAGTTAACTGTAAACAGCCGCATGCAGATTTCTCAGGCGGTGTTTCATAAGAAGACATTGTTATAGGAGATGAAAACTCTACACCTGTTATTGCCCCTGAAAACCTTCCAAGGTGCCAAGATGTCTGGGTGGAAGACAATGATATTGATCATCCTGACCCTGTGTAAGCCTCAGCTAAGGTGTGTGTTTGTATCTAAGTTTTTAACAAAAAGCTTAAAAAATAAAAAAATAGAAAAAAGCTTATTAGAATAAGGACATAGAAAAGAAAATCTTTTCTGTATAGTTGTGCAATATGTATTTTAAGCTGTTATTACAAAAAGTCAAATAGTTAAAAAATTTAAAAAGTTTGTAAAGTAAAAAAATTACACTAAGCTAATGTTAATTTATTATTGAAGAAAAAATATTTTGTGTACATTTAATGTAGCCCAAGTGTACAGTATTTATGAAGTCTACAGGAGTGTACAGTAATGTTTTGGGTCTTTATGTTCACTCCACTCACTCTCTGACTTATTCAGAGCCACTTCTGTTCCTGCAAGCTACATTCATTATGAGTTTCCTATACAGATGTACCATTTTTATCCTTGATACAGAATTTTAATGTATCTTTTCTATGTTTAGATACACAAATACTTACCATTACAATTGCCTACAGTTTTCAGTACATAATGCTGTACAGGTTTGTACCTAGAAACAATAGGCTATACCATATAGTCTAAGTGTGTAGTAGACTGTACCATCTAAGTCTGTGTAAGTAAATGCTATGCTGCCTGCACAATGAATACATTGCCTAAGGATGCAATTCTTAAAATGTATCCCTGTCTTTAAGTGACATATGATAGTGTCAAAGGGATCAAAATCCTTTATCATCACAGTGAAGTTATTTGGAAAACACAGAAAGTTACTTTCGTCTGGTTTCCATACTAATCCACGCAAAGAAAATTCAAGAGTTTAGTGTTTTGTTTTTTCTTAAAATGTAAATGCAGAAAAAAGACAACATTAGACTGTAAATATCAATTATATATTAAGACCTTTTATTTAAAAAAAAAAAACAAAGATGGGCTGGGCACAGTGGTTCACAACTGTAGTCCTTGCACTTTGGGAGGGTGAGCGGGAAGGATCACTTGAGGCCAGGAGTTTGAGATCACCATTGGGCAACAAAGTGAAACCCTATTTCTACAAAAAATTGAAAAATAAAAATTAAATTTAGCCTAGCATGGTAGTGATCACCTGTAGTCTCAGCTATGGGGGAGGCTCAGGCGGAAGAGTTGCTTGAGCCCAGGAGTTTGAGGTTGCAGTGAGCTGTGATCTTGCCACTGCAATCCAGCCTGGGGGACAGAGTAAGATCCCATCTCAAAGAAAAAAAAAAAAAAAAAAAAGAAAGAAAAGAAAGAAAAAAAGGAGGAAAGAAAGAAAGATGATTTCTGTTGTTTCTGATTTCATGCATAAAAAATTGTGAAAAATGAGTGAGGGACAGCTGCCTATTAGCTGTGCATCTGTCAGTGCTATATCATTTTGATCTCAACAAATATAAAATCCACTGAAATTTTGAGGCCTTTTATTTAGTAGCTCAATTATGACACTGAAAGAATGAAATAAACTGAAAGTGAACAAAGAAGAGATAGAATACCATAGTAGCTTAGAGCTTATATTTTTGGAAGAGATAAAATTAAATGTAAATTCCGACTTGCCCACTTGCTGGTAATTATCATCTTTGGGCTTCATTGTTATCCACAATGTATTATAAACATACATATATAAATTTGTTCTGTGAAAAATATATTCCCGGCCGGGAACTGTGGCTCACACTTGTAATCCCAGCACTTTGGGAGGCCAAGCGGAGTGGATCACGAGGTCAGGAGACCGAGACCATCCTGGCTAACACGGTGAAACCCCGTCGCTACTAAAAATACAAAAAAAAAAAAAAGAAAAAAAAATTAGCTGGGCGTGGTGGCGGGCGCCTGTGGTCCCAGCTGCTCAGGAGGCTGAGGCAGGAGAACGGCGTGAACCTGAGAGGTGGAGCTTGCAGTAAGCCTAGATTGCGCCACTGCACTCCAGCCTGGGCAACAGAGCGAGAACCCGTCTCAAAAAAAAGAAAAAAAAATTTCCAGAAAAATCATCTAAATGAGACTCAAACTCAGCTTTAAGGATGTTTGTCCACATAGGATGTGCTGTCATCTATAATCTGAGTCTCCCTTATCAATATTCCATAAAAGTCCAGGAAAATCTAACATCTCATTAAAAGATGCAGAATGCTATGGATGTAATACTAGGGTAAAACACTTAAAAATAGTGGATGAATTAAAGTTCACATGGCTAAAATAATGTTCTGTTTCTTTGTATCCCTTCTTTATGTTCAATATTATTTTTTAAAATATGTAAACAAAACATAATTTCAAAATATGGTCTTAATTTCTCACTCAAAATTCACTGAAATCTGAGACCAGATGGTAATGCATACGTTTACATGTGAACAAAGCTTTTCTGGAAAGTGCATGTGATGAAAAACTGTGGTTTTGGGAACCCTAGTGTGTGTTCACCAGAGTGCAGTAGTCACCCCATTCTCTGCAGTTTCACCTTGTGTGGTTTCAGATAACTGTGGTCAACCATGGTCCAAAAATATTACATGGAACATTCCAGAAATAAACAATTCATGTTTTAAATTGTATGCCTTCTGGGTAGCATGATGAAATTTTGTGCTACCCCACTCTGTCCTGCCTAGGACACGGATCATCCCTTTCTCCAGAGTAGCCACACTGTAGGCGCTCCCTGCCCTTTAGTAGCCACCTGGGTTATCACACAGACTGTCATGGTGGTGCAATAATCCATAAAGTGATTCCTTTAAGTTAAAAGGTGAAACTTTACCATAGGTCTGTTTGTATGTGTAGGAAAAAAAGTATCTCTACTGTCCAGTACTATTCAGAATTTTCGGCATCCTCTGGGGGTCTTAGAATGTGTATCCTGCAAATAAGGGGAGACTAATGTGTTTAGTAATTTTTTGTTACGGTTGAATAATTCATTTTTCAAGTTGTTCTTACAGATTTCCTACTGCCATGTGGAGGTGGATAAATTTCAATATAGCAATGAAGACAATTTGTCACAGCCTTGATTGGATTGCTATGATTAACCAATATTTAGTGAATTATAAAAGTAGGTTTGTGATAATCTATAATAAAAATAGGAAGAATTTAATGACAAGTATAATCATGATAATATCTTGCATGATTTTTAATATTATACCTATAGCAGCAGAGTTATATGAGAAGCCATAAATTGGATTCATTATAATTTTCCTCCATAACCTGTAAAATTGAGGGACAGCTGCCTATTAGCTGTGCATCTGTCAGTGCTGTATCATTTTGGTCTCTACGAATATAAAATCCACTGAAATTTTGAGACCTTTTATTTAGTAGCTCAATTATGACACTGAAAGAATGAAATGAATTGAAAATGAACAAAGAGGAGATAGAATACCATAGTAGCTAAGAACTTATATTTTTGGAAGAGATAAAATTAGATTTAAATTCCGACTTGCCCACTTTCTGGTTAATTATCATCTTTGGGTTTCATTGTTATCCACAATGTATTATAAACATATATATAGTAGTGAATACTAAATAATATGTCATGTATATCATACTTTACTCATTGCCTTACATAAATTATATGAAAATTCACATGTATATTTATTTACATATAAGTATATAATTATTAAAAAGATTTTCTTCCTATAGTATTCATTATCAAATGCTGTTATTTTAATAAATAGCCAGTTCTCTTAAAATTACACATGCAAAAATTATTGTTGAAAAAACTACTCAAATAGAAAGCTGTTGTTTATTTGGGGCCATCATCATCTTCATTCAGTTATACCAAGTGTATCAAAATTAAACCAAATTATAAAAGAAATTTAATTTTAAAAGGAAAATATCAGGGGCCATGCTTGAGTTTATTTTTTGAACCTTTTATATTTACTTCACCATACAATATTAAAGTTCATATTACTATATCTCCAATTCAGTGCAAAATAAATGCATGCCTGCTGGAACATATCAAATTACTTTCACTGTGTTTGTAATTGTACGTTATAATGTTCACTTAAGCAGACTACCTGACTAATCATAAAAGTTTACTCCAAAATGTTCTAGATTAATGGAGATTTTGCCATATATCTCACAGCTTAGTTTGAGAGGTTACAGCATATACTTAATCACTGATAATTTTCTAAATTTTTTATTGTGAAATGTGCAGTGTTGAAAGTTCTCAGTTCTTGTGACTTGTTTTCGAATCGTTCATTTCTAATTTATGTAAGTAGCTTTTTTTTTAACCAGCAATTTCATAAAGTAGAAGAGGTTATACTAACGCTGCTTTGAACAACAATTTTAATGTTGTTATCGTTAGGTGCTCATTATTTTTCCTGCTTTTACTATCAATAAATATATATCAGTGAGAGCTTTTCTCATGGGAATCCAGAAATGAACTCTCCAGTAAGTGTAAGAGGGAGATAGGCACATCCTCATCAAATCTTCATAGATTAACACCTTGAAGCAAGATGATAATATGACTAATTTCCTGTATCCAATACGTTTTGCCTCTGCAGTTGCACATGACAAGTCCTGCACAGCTTAATGAATACTTCTCTGGAAATATGGGACTCCAGGCTTCTCGCGTCCATTTATTGCACCTAGGTTTCTCCATCCTTTTACATCCAAACGATGTGCCAATGTGCTCCTCTTTTATTCATTGTTATTAATTTCATTGCCACATACTCATTGTCCAAACTTATGAGATATGGTAGGATATTTCATTACATATGTACAATGTACAATGATCAGATTAGGGAAATTAGCAAATCCATCACCTCAAACAGTTGTCACTTCTTTGTGTTGAGAACATCCCAAACCCTCTCTTCTAGCTATCTACAAATATGCAATAAATTGTTAGTAATATAGTCACCTTACAGTGCCACAGAACCTTAAAAATTTTTCCTTCCATCTAGTTGCAATTGTGTATATGTGAACCAACCTTTCCCTATCTCCCCCTCCTGTTACCCTTTCCAGTCTTTTAGTAACCACTATTCTACTCCTTCCTTCTTTGAGATCAACTTTAATAGCTTCCACATATGAGTAAGTATATGCAGTATTTATCTTTCTATGGCTGGTTTACTTCACTTAACATAATAAAATGTTTCTACAGATTTGCCTATTCTGGATGCTTTATTCAAATAGAATGATATAATATGTGGTCTTTCATGACTAACTTTTTTCATTCTGTATAATTTCATCATTTTGTAAGAGTCATCCATGCTCTAGCATGTTTACACACTTGATTGCACTTGATTGTTTTTATTGCTAAATAATATTACACTGTATGTATATCTAGAAATGGAATTGATAGGTCATATTACAGATCTATGTTTAACCTATTGAGGAAATGACAAATTCTTCCACATAAGCCAAACTGTTTTACATTTTCACCAGCAATGTATGAGAATTTCCATTTTCTAACTTCCTCACCAACACTTGTTATTGTCTGGCATGTTGGATATAGTCAGCCTAATAAGTATGAAGTGATATTTCACTGTGGTTTTGATTTGCATTCCCTGATGGCTAATGTTGTTGAAAATTCTTTTATGTGTTTTGGGGCATTTCTATGTCTTCTGTATGTGAATATCTATTTATATTAATTGTTCATTTTTAACTGAGTTTTGTATTTTTATTTGTTTTCTATTGTTTTAAGAATTCATTATAAATTCTGGATAAAAGTTAAGTAGTAGATTTATAATTCTTAAATATTTTCTGCAACTTAATTGATTGTCTTATTAATATTATCATTGACATTATTATACACACCATAAAAATTAATTGTAATGAAGTAAAATTTCTTCATTTTTCTGTTAAATGTATTTTTGCTGTAATAGCTGAAAATCTATTGCCTATGTATTCTTCTAAGGTTTTATAGATTTAGATCTTAAATTTATGCTATTTTATATTTTGAGTTAATTTCCATGTAAGCTCTGAGGGAAGACATTGTCTTGGCATCATTATAGAGAAACAATAATAGAGGAACAATTAACCATTGCTATCCGTAGAGTTAGTAGATTTTGTTTATCTTTACAAAGAAGCATCATTTGGTTTTGTAAAATTTCTCTATTTTTCTTTTACTGTTTTCAATTTCAAAATTTTAACTCTGTTCTTTATTATTTCCTTTTTACTACTTGATACATGCTCGGGTTGCTTTTCTGTTTATAGTGTCTTAAGGTAAAAGTTTAGGTTATTTTTTTCTTTTTTGATATAATTCTTTTAATCCAAAAAGTATCTCAGAATGCATAACTTATGGTAAGAGAGCTAAGGGGCTAAGTCAACAAGAGTAGTTCTGCTTTCATATGATTTATGAACTGATATTTAAGAAATATTTTGTTCGAAATACAGGCTCTGTGAGTGTGCCTGTGTGTATGGTTTAAAGCAAAATCCAAGTCTTATGGAGAAAGTTACTTGAAGCAAAGAATGTACAAAATACCAGGACAATTGTATTAAATTAATCATAATGTAGTATAAGATATGCAAAGGGTGCCAGGCATTGACTCTATCTACTTTATAATCTTGCCCTTCAAACTTATAATAGTAACATTTTTATGCAACTTAAAGTTATTGGAATGCTTATTTAGGAACTCATGATTTAAAAACACACGTAAAACAAGTAACAGAGAGCTACTAAACTCATGTCTCAAGAATAAATCGAGTGTGCATTTGATTAGGTGAGTCTCATCTTAAAATGCATTATTTTTATGTTTTTTTTCATTTTAACATTTCTTTTGTTTAAACCTAATATAAAAAATAATATCCTAAATTCTGGCCTTTAGTGAAGAATAGTACAATAAGATTTGTATACTTCTAGAGTGAGCTGGGTAAAAAAAAAAAAAAGGGAAATATGCTCTAATGAGTATTTAGCTGCTTATCAATTATAAAATGTCAGAGAAAATATATCTAGCATAAATAAAGTTTTTGCTTCTAATTCTAGTAGTAAATATTACATCTAGAAATCTTAGAACACCTAAAAAATTTTGAGAAAAAAATAAATATCATTTATAAGTTGTATTGGTCAATAGTAGTTAATATACTACTATTTTTTCTGTTATATATTTCTTTATTTTTGAATGGAATCTGATATAGTTTAGATTTGGGGCACTGCCTAGTGGAGCTGTGAGAGGAGGGCCACTGTCCTCCAGACTCCTTAAATCGTGCATCTGGAAAAGCCACAGACACTCAATGCCAGTCAGTAAAAGTAGTTGTAGGGAATGTACCCTGCAGAGCCACAGAAACAGAGATGCCCAAGGCCTGAAGAGATAACCCTTTGCATCTGTGTGGCCTGGATATGGGACATGGAGTCAAAGAAGATTATTTTGGAGCTTTATGATTTATTGACTACCATCCTGGATTTTGGACTTTCATGGGCCTTTGGGTCCTTTGTTTTGGCTGATTTCTCCCTTTCAGAATGAATGTATTTACCTAATGCCTGTACCCCTATTTTATCTTTTTTTTTTTTTTTTTTTTTTTTGAGATGGAATCTCACTCTGTCGCTCAGGCTAGAGTGCAATGGCACGATCCTGGCTCAGTGCAACCTTCACATCCCAGAGCAATTGTTCAAGCAATTGTCCTTCAAGCAATTATCCTGCCTCAGCCTTCTGAGTAGCTGGGACTACAAGCACTTGCCACTATGCTTGGCTAATTTTTGTATTTTTAGTAGAGACAGGGGATTCACCATGTTGGCCAGGCTGGTCTTGAACTCCTGACCTCAGGTGATCTGTCTGCCTCGGCTTCCCAGAGTGCTGAGATTACAGGTGTGAGTCACCACGCCTGGCCCACTATTGTATCTTGGAAGTAACTAACTTGTTTTTGATTTTACAGACTCAGAGGCAGAAGGGACTTCCTTGTCTCAGATGAGACTTCTGACTACGGACTTTTGAGTTAATGGTGAAATGAGTTAAGACATGAGAGACTGTTGAGAAGGGAGAATTCTATTTTGCAATATAAGAAAGACATGAGATTTGGGAGGGGCTGGGGCAGAGTGATATGCTTTGGATTTGTGTCCCCACCTAAATCTTACGTCAAATTGTAATACCCAGTGTAGGAAGAGGGGCCCAGTGGGAGGTGATCGGATCATCGGGGCAGATTTCCCTCTTGCTGTTCTCATGATAGTGAGTGAGTTATCACGATATCTGGTTGCTTGAAAGTGTGTAGCACCTTCAGCTTCACTCTCTTCCTCCTCTGCCCATGTAAGATGTGCCTTCTTCCCTTTTGCCTTCTGCCATGATTTTAAGTTTCCTGAAACTTCCTCAGACATGCTTCCTGTACAGACTGCAGAACTGAGTCAATTAAAACTCTTTTCTTTATAAATTACCCATCTCAGGTAGGCCATTGCTAGGTCTTTAGAGCAATGTGAGAATGGACTAATACAGAATCATACACGATAAGCTGTGTTAAGAGGTTTTTATTCATAGAAGCATATATCTTGACCTAAGTTTAACATTTCTAATGATGAAAAGACATAAGGGCATTACGGTGGAAATGTCCTCTTTATACCGTCTTATTGCACTTGCCATAACAGATATCAGCATCCTTAACACAGGAGGGAGGAAGCTTTCCCTCCATGCTTCAGAGTATGTTTTTAACTTAAATAAAAGGTAATTTCAATGAAATAAGTTTACTGTGTAACTTTAGAATTGGATCTAAGGTGCACATGTGTTATTGTATTTCAGTGTTATTTATTGCAAGGAAATTAATAGTTGCGTTTTAGGTGGTAATTATTTTTCATTCTTGGGTTTTTATTTCTACTTGTATATTCAGTAGCATCCCTAAGCAAAATATTATAACACCAACAAAATATTTTTCATTAACAATTTTTTGTTAGAATAATAATGAGGCAAGAACAAAGAAGCTATGTATAAATTAAAAAGAATAATAATATGTCAAGCATAATTTTTTTAAAAGGATTCAGTAAACCAAGTTTTAAAAGACTGTAGAGAAAAATGTGGGTAGTGGGACATATTATCCAATATATCCAGATGTGTAATTCATATAAGGAAAAAAGCTGAGATACCTCTGAAGGATAATGATATCCAGTTTGCCATATATAAGTTCATAAGCTGTGTACTTTACAACTTAACCCCAGTTTTATAGTTTAACATTTTCTTTTTCTACCCTATTCCGTGGGGACTGGATTCTCTAACTATTCATTAATTATCAACTCTACTAACAAGCAAAGCTTTTCAAAGTTTAGCTTGGTTCTTATAATAGTCTGTTCTTGTCTTGCTATAAAGAAATACCTAGACTGGGTAATTCATAAAGAAAATAGGTTTGATTGACTCATGATTCTGCAGGCTGTACAGGAAGCATAGTGACTTCTGTGACGGCCTCAGGAAACTTGCTCATGGCAGAAGGCAAACTGGGAGCAAGTATCTTACATGGCTGGAGCAGGAGAAAGAGAGAAAGGAGAGGGGCAAACACTTTTAAACAATCAGGTCTCGTGAGAACTTTATCATAAGAATAGCACCAAAGGGAGAAATCCACCCACGCGATCGAATCACCTCCCACCAGTCCCCACCTCCAACATTGGCGGGTTCAATTCAACATGAGATTTAGGCAGGGAAACAAATCCAAACCAAATCAGTTCCATTCAAAAACATAAAACAAGGTAATTTTTGTCTTGATGGTTTGATTATATGAACTAAAATTATAGCAATAGGGTAACTGCATAATACCATTTAATGTCCATATTTGCCATCACTTGAGAGAGATACATGACTCATAATGAAAGGCTTTTAAGTAATCAGAAATTCGTAACACAATAATTAAATCAATTTTTATTGAAGCTATCAGATAAGTAAGTTATTCTAGACTACATTCTTTTCTCCAAAAGTTAAATAAATCAATAAATAGAAAATAGTATATGTACATTTAACATTTTTCAGGTGAGGAAGGATTATGTAGAATCAGGAGAATGAGACAAACATTCATCAATCACTAGGATAACAAACTAATGATAATAATTTTGACTTCTAGTTTCCAGTCTGGCATGTAAGAAGCTTTAACCCACCTATCTATCGTAACAACAAATAAAAAGCTGAACAAACTGAAAGATCAACAACTCTTCTTAGATTCATCCGAAAAATGAAGTTACAGGGGAAACTACCGTCCCCAGAATTTGAGGTGGATTGGAGGTGGATAGGTGGATGAAATCACAACTTATCAGATCAGAAATCCACCAACAGAAAAAGAGGAAGCAGTAGTAGGGGAGGAAAACCTGAACTGTATTTGATGCATTCTGGTGAGGGAAGTGGAAAAGTAACCACTTTGAAATATGCCAGAACATTGTCTCTTGCTTACATTGAGGCCTGCCCTCGAGAGAAATTATTTTACCAAAGCCTAATCTATCAATATCTTATCAAAGTTTTACTGACTTGGTGAAAGAGAAATACCTAACTCCAAACCCTTCTAGGCATCAAGAATCACCGAAGAGGGTTAAAAAAAAAAAAAACAAAAACACAAAAGCAAAGACTAGAAGCATTTGTGGGGTTCACAGCCCAGGGGTTCAGGCATACTGAAGTATAGAGAACTAATTCTAAGACCATAGGACACTTCTTCTCCACATCTTCCCACCACATTACTAAAGGCTTATTTTCCACAGATTCTTTTACCCAATAGATTACGTCACTCTTTCAACAAAAACAACAAAATTACAAGACATGTAAAGGGGAAATAAAACAGTTTGATGAGACAGAGTAAGCATTAGGACAAGTCTTAGGTATGGCAGAGATGTTAGAATTATCAAACCATGAATGCAAAACAGTTGTGATTAATATAATAAAGGCACTAATGAAAAAAGTATACAATAGGCCAGAACAGATGGATAATATAAGTAGAGAGATGGAAAATCTAAGAAAGAATAAAAAAGAAATAATAGAGATAAAATTCACCATAACATAAATGAAGAATGCCTTTGACAGATTTTTCAATAGAAATTTCAAAAACTGAAAAGTGAAGAGAAAAAAGACTACCAAAGAAAAAAAGAAAGGGGACAGATGTCCAAGAACTGTGAGACAACTACAAAAGGTGTAACACATGTGTAATGGAATACTAGAGGAGAAGAAAGGAAGGAAGGAAATATTTAAAGCAATAATGATGAAGAATTTTCCTAAATTCATATCAGACACCAAGCTACAAATCAAGAAAAATCAGAGAATGTCAAACAAAATAAATCCCAAAAATTAAAATAAAAGTACACTGAAGCATATCATAGTCAAACTGCAGCAAATCAAAGATAAACATAAAATCTTCACAGAAGCCAGTGGTGGTGGGGGAAGAAACATCTCATATATAGAGGATTAAAGATAAAAATAATATCAAACTTATTCGCAAAAAGTATGTATGCAAAGAGAGACTAGTGCATTATTTAAAAAAGTGTTGATAGAACAAAACCACTGGCCTAGAATTCTGTACTATGCAAAATTATCTATCAAAGTGGAAGGACAAATAAAGGCTTTCTCAGACAAAAATTGAGAGAATTTGTTGCCAGTAAACCTGTTCTGCAGGAGATATTAGAAGTCCTTCAGAGAGAGGAAAAATGGAAAAGTTTAGAAGGTTGGATCTATATCAAGAAAAGAAGAACATTAGAGAAGGAGTAACTTAGAAAAAATAAAATGTTTTATTTTTCTTATTCTAACTGATCTAACAGATAACCATCGCTCAAATAATAGCAACCATATATTTGATTATGTATGCATATATACAAATATATTTGTGTGTGTATACATATGCTCACATACATAGAGATATATAGAGAGAGATATATATATTTGAATGCTTGAGTTTAAGTAAAATAAATGACAGTAAGAAAACCAATGACAGGAAGGAGGAATGAGAATTATTTTGTAATTATTAAATACACTATTCAGAAAGCAGTAAGATTTCATTTTAAAAGTGACTTTAGTTATGAATGTATACTGCAAACCCTAGGACAACCACTAAAACAAATAAAGAAAAGGGGGGTTGTAACTGATATGCTAAGAAAAGAGAGAAAATAGAATCACATTAAATGATTAATTGAAACTACAAAACGCATAAAAAATGCAACAAAAAATAGGAAGAAAGAAGAAGGGCAAAAAATAGAAAACGGTAACAAATATGGTAGATATTAACCTGACTTTATCAATGATCACTCTAAATATAATTTGTTCAAATATACAATTAGAAGCTAGAAATTGACATAATGGATTAAATAAAACAGAAACTACATATTATCTACAAGAAACTGTGTTTAAATATAAACATAAAGGTTAAATTAAAGTGATAAAGGTAAACCATTCTGAAACTGATCAAATCAAGCAATTAATTTTAGACAGAGCAGATTTCAGAGCATGGAAAGTTGTTAGGAATAAAGAGGGACATCATTTCATAATAAAGGATCAATTATACAAAAAGACAAAATATTTCATATAGATAATGATGCACCTAACCACAGAGCATCAAAATATGAGGTAAAAACTATAAGGAGGAAACGATGAATTCACTATTTTAGTTGTAAACGTCAACACCACTGTATCAGAAATGGGCAGAATCAGCAGGCAGAAAATCAATAAGAACATAGTTGAACTCAACAGCATCAT